>NC_000009.12:110095552-110720552 GCF_000001405.40 Homo sapiens
GTGGACCCTCAGCTATGAAAACAGATCACATATGGCCTGCTGTCAAGCATAAGAATTGCCTTTTTGTTCTTGGGGAATTGCACAAAGCAAGTAGGAGACGGGGAAGAAGACCGTTCTAAGCAGGAAAATATATTGCATTAATTCTTCCCTTCCATTGCCTCCTCCCCATCTTGTGCTATATTCTGGTACTAGGACTTTTGCTTTTTTCTAGGCTGAATCACATTTGGCCATAGCAGAGGAAAAGTGATAGCTGTTAGGGGTCTTGGAAGGAGTATTGAGTTCCTAGAGTGGGACCATCTTGGCCAGGCCGCTTCTTGTCCTCTTTTGGGGCTGGGACTGGTATGATGTTGAAGTAGCCCATCTCTAAGTCTTCCCCTCCTCCCTGCCAGCTTAATTGTGCAACATTGTTCAATCAAGTCACTGAATCATCAGCCCTGTGATATCTACAAGCGCATGCATGTGTCTGAGTGAAGTGAGCTGGGCAGTTCCATGATACCCTTTTCTATGTATGGAGGGTGAGGTGTTTCTCCTTGGTTTACCCTGACCAATTTATTATTACTGTTCCAAAAAGGAAACTGCATGATTAATGTCAGAATCAGGTCCAAAGGCCTCTGGCTCTGGTGATGGCTAATGTGATTTGGATCTAGATTCTGTTTAATAACCTGCCAAAGGCACCTAGCTCTTTCTCTTTTTTTGCTGTTTTTTGTTTGTTTTGATTTTTGTCTTTATAAGACAGGGTCTTGCTCTGTTGCCCAGGTTGGAGTACAGTAGCAGGTTCATATGTCACTGTAGCTTCAACCTCCTGGGCTCAAGCGATCCTTCCATCTCAGCCTCCCAAGTAGCTGGGACTACAGGAATGCACCATTATGCCTGAATTTATTTATTTATTTATTTATTAAGATGGGGGTCTTCCCATGTTTCCCAGGCTGGTCTTAAACTCCTAGGCTCAAGTGATCTTCCCACCTCAGCCTCCCAAAATGTTGGGATGACAGGCATGAGCCATCACGCCTGGCCTTGGCTCTTTCTTCTGTCCCCTTGGTGGGGACGTTGGGGTGACCCATATGTGGTACATGGCAGGTAATGTTCTTTTCATACTAGCCAGTCTTCTGTTGTGATTCCACTGTGTGTAAGATGTGTCCAAAATGAGGAGATGCATCCCCGCACCTAGAGGTGTACAGTCTAGTGGTCTTTCTGCTCTTCCTGCTTTTTTCTGGGAAAGAGACTTTTTGTGGGGGGTTGGGGGGGGGTGAGTCCAGGACAGCAAGTTCATCATAAATGCAAATGGGAAGGCTATTGATATTTTTATTCATAGCATGAATGATGTAATAAATGAGTCACGATGTCAGCCTCTTTTAACAGAATCACAGAATTTTCTTTTTATTTATTTATTTATTTATTTATTTATTTATTATTTTTTTTATTGATCATTCTTGGGTGTTTCTCGCAGAGGGGGATTTGGCAGGGTCACAGGACAATAGTGGAGGGAAGGTCAGCAGATAAACAAGTGAACAAAGGTCTCTGGTTTTCCTAGGCAGAGGACCCTGCGGCCTTCCGCAGTGTTTGTGTCCCTGGGTACTTGAGATTAGGGAGTGGTGATGACTCTTAACCAGCATGCTGCCTTCAAGCGTCTGTTTAACAAAGCACATCTTGCACCGCCCTTAATCCATTTAACCCTGAGTGGACACAGCACATGTTTCAGAGAGCACAGGGTTGGGGGTAAGGTCACAGATCAACAGGATCCCAAGGCAGAAGAATTTTTCTTAGTACAGAACAAAATGAAAAGTCTCCCATGTCTACCTCTTTCTACACAGACATGGCAACCATCCGATTTCTCAATCTTTTCCCCACCTTTCCCCCCTTTCTATTCCACAAAACTGCCATTGTCATCATGGCCCGTTCTCAATGAGCTGTTGGGTACACCTCCCAGACGGGGTGGTGGCCGGGCAGAGACGCTCCTCACATCCCGGACGGGGCGACAGGGCAGAGGCGCTCCCCACATCTCAGGCGATGGGTGGCCGGGCAGAGACGCTCCTCACTTCCTAGATGGGATGGCGGCCGGGAAGAGGCGCTCCTCACTTCCTAGATGGGATGGCGGCTGGGCAGAGATGCTCCTCACTTTCCAGACTGGGCAGCCAGGCAGAGGGGCTCCTCACATCCCAGACGATGGGCGGCCAGGCAGAGACGCTCCTCACTTCCCAGACGGGGTGGCGGCCGGGCAGAGGCTGCAATCTCGGCACTTTGGGAGGCCAAGGCAGGCTGCTGGGAGGTGGATGTTGTAGCGAGCTGAGATCATGCCACTGCACTCCAGCCTGGGCACCATTGAGCACTGAGTGAAGGAGACTCCGTCTGCAATCCCGGCACCTCGGGAGGCCAAGGCTGGCGGATCACTCGTGGTAAGGAGCTGGAGACCAGCCCGGCCAACACAGCGAAACCCCGTCTCCACCCAAAAAATACGAAAACCAGTCAGGCGTGGCGGCGCGTGCCTGCAATCGCAGGCACTCGGCAGGCTGAGGCAGGAGAATCAGGCAGGGAGGTTGCAGTGAGCCGAGATGGCAGCAGTACAGTCCAGCTTCGGCTCGGCATCAGAGGGAGACAGTGGAAAGAGGGGAGAGGGGAGAGGGGAGAGGGAATCACAGAATTTTCAAACTGGTTTAGCATGCTGGCTCTGCAGCCAGACTGCCTGAGCTCAAATGTCAGTTGACTTTTCTGTAAAATGGGATAATAATAGTACCAGTTTCATAGATTTGCAGGAGATGTGAGATTACATGAATTCACTTATAAAAAGTGCGTGATACTTAAAGCCATGTTACCTTTAAACTTCCAATCCATTCATTCATTTATTCAACAAAAACTACATACTGTGATGGTTGCACAAGCCTGTGAAAATACTGAAAACTAATGTATTGTATACTTTAAAAGGGTGAATTCAATGGTATGTAAATTAAGTATATCTCAATGAAGCTGTTTTAAAAAAATTAATTGATTACCTATTATGTGCTGGACACAGCTCTTTTAAACTGAGGCCTAGAGCAGGTGACTTGCTCAAGGTGAGTGAATGGCAGAGATAGTTCTAGAACTCAAGTCCTCTGACACATCAGCCAAGCTCTTTGCAAACTGTCAGGGATCCAAATGAAGATCGCAATCCAGATTGGAAACTAAAGTCACTTTCTGTCCTGGTATAGAACCAAAGTTTAACTTAAGAAAGAATCGTGACGTGACCTAAGGACCTTGGCATTCTACTTCACCACCTCTCTCTGCAGGTATTCTCATTTCCACGCACCTCCACATTTTCGAAGACTTCAGACAAATATATCACAAATAACCTATATAAATTCACTATATGAAAAGCAGGCCAACATTTCCACCCCATCCTTCCTCTTTCCCCCAGCTCTGGATATAAAACACATATTTTTCAGTTAGATTTTTTCAGTTAAGTGATTACTTTCAATTCCCCTGTTTTTGGCATTTAAAAATGTTCACTTCTTATTGCAAGACAGGGACAGTCTTTAAAGATTTTTCTGCTCACCACCACTACCAAAAACTAATAACAAATTTTGTCTTCATGGGGAAGAAAATCTTACTCATTCTTGAGATTTCACAGCCATGTCTAAAGATCTAGGCTATATAAGAAGAGAGGAATGCCTTAGAAATGTAATGCTGTTTTTCCTACGGAATCAATTTCTGTAGAAATAGAAACCATGGTGCATCCAGAGTTACCCTGCAGCCTTCTGCTCCTGGCAGCTTGCTGTGTGTTCTCTGCCACATGCTTTCTTCTGGGATTTCTTCCTTCTACTGACATCTGGTACTTAGGATAAGGGAAAAGGCTTTCCCTGAACCAGTGAAATTGCTATCAGGAAAAAATGACTCAAGTTTCCAGGCAGCTATGAATGAGGTGTTTTTCTGGGCGGTCTGAGCAACTATCTTTTGGAAGGATACATAAGAAGGTACAAGCTGCCAGCCCATCCATTTCCCTAAGATGAACTTGAAGCACGTTTTCTTTCAGCAGCCCAGACAGCACAGGCTTTTCCTAGCAGATGGGTGGCATTACCTCACTGACATTTAATGAATAGGTTGCCCCCAGGGGGTGGAATTGTAGCAAAGTCTATTATGAAATCTCATTTGCTTTGCATGAATCAGTTTAGGAGTCCCGAGAAAACAAAATTTGAAAAATGAAAAGTGGCCACATAGCTTGCCCTGTAACTGCTTGGACATGGCAGGTAATAATCATAGTCAGTTTGCGCTTTTATGATGGAGAGGGCTTTCAATTGATTTGTATTTCTTGTGAGTAGGAACAAAGCCAGTTGTAAGTACCTTTTAGCTTTGTTCCCTCCTTTCTCATTTTCTAGGACTGTAGCATCTGGGGCATATAATTGAGCTCTGAGAGCCGAGAGCTGGAGGGGGAGGGGGTGGTCAGAGGAAAATTATTCAATTCACACATATAACATGCATATATATATGTGTGTGTGTGTCTTAAACATATATGCATATGTATGTGTGTCTATATATATATATATATATATATATATATAGAAACATAAATATTTTATCAAGTTGAGAATGGGAGAATAGATTTCTTTCAGCAAACAACCTCAAGCCTATTATACATCTGATTTATGAAGGGTAAGAAATTCAACCTTAACCCAAGCAAAGGTTTAAAAAGGCAGCATGGGTATTATTGGGCTTAGGAAAAGGTGAAGGCTGCCTTGCTGCCGTCCTGGAAGATTGAGACAGTGGTAACAACACGTGCAGCAACCCCCTGCACTTCTAGAAGGAAGCTGATATCTGTCTACATGTTTCAGCGTTTGTCTCTGAACCTAGTCTTTTCTTGGTCACATAGGGGAAGCAACAGAGGTGGCTTATCATAGCAATGCAAAAGCCTTTAATGAAAAATGGGCTCAGGTTTTGGTTCCTATAAGATGGTGATTCCCTTCCCCCACAAAGGCCTTTGTGTACATGGGGTGAGGTAGGGGTCTGAGAAAGGCCACTGGAAATGGAAGGCTTAACGGCCAGTCCTCTGCTATGTCCCAGATGGAAAGCTCCTTGTATCTAAGAAAGGCAGGAAACCATGTCACCTGGCTTCTGATATGTAACAACCCCAAATTATTCTCCGACCCCTTGAAGGCCAGCTGGGCTCTTTTGCATCAGGGGGATTGTGTTTAGAATTTGTGTCAACTGTCTTTGTAGAGATCCTTCTGGATAACTACTACAATTCCTGGGATATTCTTACAGTGGGCACATGACAAAGACATGTGACATTGGCCCAAACCCCCCTCAACTTGGAAAAGGGGTGGATTCCCCCAGCTGACTTGAAGATTCTGGTCTGTGGATTCAGCAAGAGTCTGAGGCCTCTGCTGAGTGAGCCAAGGGTGGCTTCCGGGGAGGTGAGTGCCTGGAGGAGAATGTTCCCAGAGCCAAGATGGGATGCCTCCTGGTATCAAAGTGATGTTCAGATTTTTTCTGGAAATCTAGAATAGGATAAATGTGAATAGAGATTAGAGTGAACATCTTCTAGGATTTGAAGCCCTTGAGAGCTTCTAGGATTTGAAGCTCTTGGTCTTGAGACCAAGCCTCTGCAATGCATCTGGGGTCCGTTGCACAAGTGTGTGTCTTTTTACCAGGTCTTATCCCCGCTTCAGCCTTTTCTCTCCTGTTAGGGATCAAAACTTGCCAAAACAGAAATTTTAAAAAGACACGCAGGATGTGGGGCTGCTCCTGGGAGGTTTGCTGTGTGTGTTTGGGGTCCTGCACCCTCCACTCCACTCCTGAGTGTCCAAGGGTGGATGTCCAGAAATTTAGCCACCTACTCCCATCAGTGTAGCCAGAACCTTTGCTGGGAGTTAATCTCTCTCCCTCATTACTTTCTGATCTGCTTGAAAGACAAATAGAGGTTAGGGAAATATATTAATATCAGTAAGTCTCCATGGATGGCCCAGGTCAAGGCAGACAAAGGTAGTCACACGCTTTCAGGGGCTGAAAGACAAGTAGAGGTTAGGGAAATGTATCAGCGCATCTCCATGGATAACCCAGGCCAAGGCAGACAAAGAAAGCCACGTGCTTTCAGGTGCAAACAGCGGCCGCCTTTTTTCACTGGACATCATTGGGCAGCTGTTGCTGTCATTTCCCACGGCCTCTCTGGAGGGGAAACACAGCTGGCTTCTGTGGGCCAGCCTGAAACCATCTGCAGCTGCTTGCATGCTTTCAAATGTAAGTAAGGGAATTTCAGCTGAGGTTAATCTGGGAAATCCTCTGTATGAAACATTTTCCTTTTCACTGTTCCCTTTCCTTTTGGATATAACATATGACCCACTTACGAGGCAGCCTGTTGGATCACTGGTCCCCAAGGAGCTGTGGATGTCTTCCCAGATTACTCCTGCCACCACCAATGCGTCTACCACCATGAGAGCTG
This sequence comes from Homo sapiens, assembly GCF_000001405.40. Classification (NCBI taxonomy): domain Eukaryota; kingdom Metazoa; phylum Chordata; class Mammalia; order Primates; family Hominidae; genus Homo; species Homo sapiens. Next base: position 110,101,959 of record NC_000009.12, read on the forward strand.
CTGCTGATGGGCACTGCACTGTGCATGTTGCATATGTGATCTCATTTAGCACTGTGACACTCCAAGGACCACACTCTTGTCTCATTTTCGGATAAGGAAGCTGAGGCTCCAAGAGGTCCAGCAGCTTGTCTTAACAGTGAACAGGTGCAAAACCAAGATTTGAAACCAGTTTTTGATCTTGGTTTGATCTTGATGCCACATCCCAGCCTCTTTCTACCTCTGTAGGACGGCTTTGTGTCTCCTCTGCATTTTCAGCCTCCATTGCTAATCTGACACCATCTAAAGCAGGAATATCCTTATTAATGGAATAGTGCTTAATGGGATTAGGCTTACTTCTGTATTCTAGACAATATTTACTGAGCTGTTAGATGTAATGTGTTCAGAAATAATACAGGGATTTATGAATATGTATTAAATATTAGAGTATAAACTTTATCAAGCAGAGAATATATTTGTCCTCCAGTGTTGTTGACCTTGTATGTTTTTTGTTTGTGTTACCTCCAGAGCTGGATTTTGAAAGATTAAGCCAAGAAAAAAAGATGAGACATTCAAAAGTAAATAAATTAGTTTAGGCCTGGCTTTTCTGGGGCCATGGAGTTGTTATCCCAAAGTCCTTGCTTGGACCTCTCCTCCTCTCCACTCCTCCCCTCCCCTCCCCTCCCCATTGGGCACTGCCAGGGCCCAGTACAAGTGAAACAGATGCTCAACTCCTAGACTTGTGGAGGCTTAGGTAGACCAGCAAGTCACTATTAGGACAGAAAAACAAGACCACGTCATTCCCCAGCCCAATCCCTTATGCTTTCTTTCAATGACACTTAAAATTTAAGACCCAAACCTACATGATCTGGCCCCATCTGCCTTTTCAGACTCTTCTTCCTCCTCGAGCCCCTTACCCCATCCTAGCCACCGAAGCCAGTGATGCCACATCCCAGCCTCTTTCTGCCTCTGCAGGACAGTTTTGTGTGTGCTCTGCATTTTCAGCTTCAATTGCTAATTGTCCTCTCTTGTCCTCACTTCTTTCACTCCCATCTCAGGGTTTCTGCATGCTGGTTCTCCTGCCTGGAACAGCCTTCTACCCACCCTTTGTGACTTAGTTCACTTCCCAGATTTCAGAGGGCAGCTCAGCTTTCCCTTCCTCATGGAAACCTCCCCTGACCTCCCTGAGTAGCCCAAACTCTCCTATTGTAGGCACTCTCAGAGCGCTTCTCATAGATGCAATTTTACGTTTGTTCGTAATTCTGTTTTGTTTTTTCACAACAATAAATTTTGAGAGGGCAGCTCTATGCCTAGTCTCCACCCTGTGTCCCCGATGCCCAGCACAGTGCCTGAAGCACAGTAGGTATTCAGTTGCCTTGGTGAATGAATGAATAAAGCCAAGCCAAGCACAGTACTCAGATCTCAAGCTCATAGTCACTGCATAGCTTGTGCTAACCTTGCAGCAAGTGAGACACTAAGCAAGTGAACAGCTTACATTTCTTAGTGGTGGTGTTAAATTTACAAGGAGAGCATGTCACCTCTCACTTCAAGTTTCCACACTTTTAGGCCATTCTTAGTGTTAATAGCCTGTGGAGGACTCTTTGAGGAGAGAAGAGGGGAATTCCAAAGATTCAGCTTGATAAATCCTTCATCTTTGACCTCATGTGTATTCTACTTAGGAATTAAAACGTAGAGTATGGCTGCTGCTACAAATCTTCTTTGCAGTTTTTCCTCTGGCTGATTTTTCTACTTTACCTGGAATTTTTATCCTGAATTTTTGTCCTTTTTTGAATCCATGTGGCACACATACATTGCCCTACCAGGTTTATTTGTGTTTGAGATTTGAGATGCTATCTGAGGCCAAGACCTCCAGAATTAGATGGGCCTTTGTTCCCAGAGCCTCTTTGAACAGAGAGAAATTCTTTGCTATGTTGGCAAAAGATCCTTCATATCTATCTGTCTTTCTTTCTTGTTCAGACTTCTCTTTTGGCCACGTGAACGTGGATCCACCTGCCCCGTCTTCTGGCCTATGCTGTGATCCCTGGAACATTTCAGGTTTGAGTGTCAGCCACATCTTCTTTAGGACCAGTCAAGGGTTTGCCTCCAGGAACAGTGGAATCTATTGAGTGCCCCCCAGGGAGTTCCCCATATGCTGGTTTGTTTGTCACTTGGCCACACAGTTCTACTTTTTCCTCTTTGTCTGCAACTGAACAGCCTAGGAAACTTACAAGATTTCTGCTTTTTTTTGGGGGGGCGGGGGGGTAAGGTATCGTATTTTGAGTTCAATCTGGTCGCAAACTGGATTCTGTCCAGATTTTTGTTGGGATTTCAGATGTTTAGCCCCAAACAAATTGAAAGTTAAATTGAAACTGGTCCAGATGAGGTCATGCTTAAGATTTCTCCCACAGCACAAATCGTACCTTACTGGAAGCTACTGTAAGGGCAGTTCTTGAATCTCTGCATTCCCAATACATACTCATGGTAAAAACAGTTAACAGTTAATTCGCTTGTGTTCCAGTGACTTGAAAAATAAGCATTAGCACCCTGGAGACCTCGTCTTATCAAGTTCTGAAGGATGGTTTTTATAGCTAGTATAAACCCTTAGTTTATCAGCTTCACTGGCCTAGAAACCCCTCAGACCTGAATATTTGGGATCAGCAGAATGGGCCAAGCTTAGGAATTCCAAGAAGGCAGACTCAAGATAGAGGGCTGCCAAAGCTCACAGATGTGGAATGAAACCAGTTTCAAAACCTGATTCTTCGCTCAGTTGGAATGTGTTTTAAAACCTGGACTCACTTGAGATGTTTGCACCTGGTAAGAATGTTTCAAACCTTGAATTCTACTTTGTGTAATTATCTGTGAAACGTAATGATGATAGCTCCAAGCTATCTCATAAAGCTGCTGAAGTCTTCAAAGCATTCATTCTATCTTCCTGGAGTTACAGAAACACAAAATGGTAACAGGTGTGTCATATGCATCCAGAGACTACCTCGAACTTTTCTCTCTAGAACTCAAGCTCCAGACTTGAGATATTAGTTAATAGATTGATAAATTGACTCAGGTTAAGTGGTATTATTTCTTAGATTATATAGTGTCATCCTACAGAGTAACCCCATTTTACAGGAGAAACAAAGTTGGCCAGAGGACGAGGCTAGAACCCCTTTCTAGACTGTTAATTCAGGCAGAGCTCTGTATATGTTTTAATGGTTAGTTTTCTAAAGAGTTTTACCTAGAGGCCAAATAAATCAGAAGCTCAAACGCATATGTTCTCTGTCTTCTTTTTAGACTGGCTTGCAAGAAAGCCCTTGGGTTACTTTTTGCCAGAAAAGAGCATGCAGAGTGAACTTGTGACATAATACATTCCTTGAAGCTCCCACGTTATAGTTTCCTGGTAACATAGAGTTGTTTATATTATTGCTACTTAAAACTTGGTTGCTTTGTAGATCCTACTTGGGAATTGAATTAACTTCAGTGAACTTGATAGAAGCTGCATCTTTCTGTAAAGTTTTGGGCAGGTTTTGTCACTGACATTAGGTGGTGATGATTTTAAAGGACTCCCATTACTTATCCAACATGTGCACGCATACTGTATATATGTCATTAGAAATAATTAGGAGTTAATTTTCAATAAGGTCCATTTGGTGGCTACAAATTAATCCATTTAAAACCCCTGATATTTGACCCTATTAATTATATCCTGCTGTTCATTGGTGCTTAACCCACAGAGCTAATGAGATGCCTAAGTACCACTATTTTTCATTGCTCTTTACTGTAGGGAAGTAGGTCTCTCTTTTTCTTTTTAATGTGAGTGGACATAAAATTTATCAGCAGGCATATCCACAGAAAACTGACTTTATTACAAGTATCCTTTTAGACTTGCAAGCTCCCTCAGCTAGTTAATTTTGCGTTTAAGTCTATGTGATTTTCATTCTAATGTCTTTTGGAATTAAATGTAATGTTGTAAGAAAAGAAGCGTCTGACCAATAAAGCAAGGCAGTCTAGGCTGTTTTATATATATATACGCACTTTATCCTGTCTAATGTAGTGCTCCTATTTTCTTTTTCATATTCTTTCTGTTAGAGCCAAATTCACTACTCTGACTTTGCATAATATAAATACAGATATCCTTACTCATTAAGAGGCTGTGTTGTTTTAGAAATTAGTAAGTGGCTACATCTGCATAATTTTGCATTGGTAAGAGTTGGCTTCTTTAGCGAACATGATTTTGTATTTTTGGAGAGGAAAACCTTGGGCCCATCAGGTTAGCCTTTTCTGAGATGGAGACTCAAGTGGGACCACCCAGGATGGTCACAGCTTCAACTCCCACACAATGAGAACTTGTGACTATAGCCTGGGAGAGCTGACTATGCAGGAGACAAGAAATCAGAGAGTTGGGTCCAGAGGTAGCTGGCAGAAAGAAGATTCTATTAATATTTTAACCTCAGAAGAGCAGCGTCTAAATATGTGAAATGAGTGCTGGCCTAGAGGGGAAGGGCCATACTCTTAACCACCTCAAGCTGGTCTTATCATTGTTGCTGGGGGGGATGTGTAAGGCTACAACCTTCCCTTTTAGGTAGAGGGAAGAGAGGACTCCCTTGTGGGTGTGCACAAAGGAGTATGATGAGAAGAGGGTGGTGATGGGTGCTTAGCTTGATGCTTACATTGTCCCAGTGCAGCTCCATGATTGCAGGTACCTTGAGAGGACCCATGTGCAGTAAGGTGGGAGGTTAGGAAAAGCAGAGAATGCCAGCCAGCCATGAGTGGATTTGAGAGGTCTGAAGGACAAAGGCAATGTTGCTTTGTATGGGTGCACAAGGGGATATGTGCATTTAAATCCGTCAACAGTCCAGAAATTGGATTGCCATTTCAGTTCCCAAACAAATGGCTTGTTTATTAAACTAAAAGCCCCTATCTCCATTAGGAAATATTCAATTCCAGCAATTAGCCCCAGGGTGAAAGAGGTCTCCCTCTCTCCAGTCTGTTTTTGCTCTGTTCCCAAACAATGCTTTGATGTGCAAGGCACTCCTAATGGAAGATAAGTCATCAATTAGCCCGATGGAAGGTTAAGCTGAAAACAGACTTTTCAGGGAAGGGATTATCACTGAGCTGTTAATCACTGATTGACATTATCTATTGGGGATATATTCTTATGGGAGACTTACTCTCCACCCAGGCAGAAGGTAACAAAGATGCAAAAATATTCTAGTTGTTTGGTTTTTTTAAAAAATGAGTTTTAGTGTCCTATAGCACCATAGAATAACTGTAGTTAACAATAATATACAGTTTCAAATAGCTGGAAGATGGGCACTGAATGTTCCCCACACAAAGAAATGGCAAATGTTCAAGATGATGAATATGTTAATTGCCCTGATCTGATCAGTATGCATTGTATGTACGGAAACATCACTATGTACCCCATAAATATGTACAAGTAATATATAATAAGTAAATTTTAGAAATAAGAGAAAAGAAAAAATGTGAGTTTAGAAATAGGATCTTAGATCAATTGAGTCGGGGTGGAGATGATAATAGTTTTCTTTCTAAACAAGTATCTTTTACTTTCTTTAAGAATTGTTGGTCATAATATGATTACATTGCTAATTTATGAAATAAAAAGTAAGGAGAACCTCTAATTTTTTTTTAGAGTGGGGAGACAGTGTCTCACTCTGTTGCCCAGGCAGGAGTGCAGTTGTGCCATCTCAGCTCACTGCAACTTCCTCCTCCCGGGTTCAAGCGATTCTCCTGCCTCAGCCTCCCGAGTAGCTGGGACTGCAGGTGTCTGCCACCATGCCCAGCTAATTTTTGTATTTTTAGTAGAGACGAGGTTTCACCATGTTAGCCAGGCTGGTCTTGAACTCCTGGCCTCAGGCAATCTGCTTGCCTCGGCCTCCCAAAGTGCTAAGGATTACAAGCATGAGCCACCATGCCCTACCAGAACCTCTATTTTTATAAGAGTAAGTTGATATGAACAATATTGTGAATGTAAGCACAGTGCACATGAGGCAAATTTGTAATTCTGTGCTTGAGTTTTACAAGTGAAATAAGTTTATTTTTTAAACTCCAAGTAGTGGCAGATGAGTGTTAATTTACCTACAACTTTTCAGGAAAATATCAATTGCATACATTAAGCTATTTTGCTGTTATTTTTTTTTTTTGCTTTGTGCCTTTTGTTTTTCTTTTTTTCTTTTTTTTTTTTTTGAGATGGAGTTTTGCTCTTGTCTCCCAGGCTGGAGTGCAATGGCGCAATCTTGGCTCACTGCAACCTCTGCCTCCCGGGTTCAAGTGATTCTGTCTCATCCTCCTGAGTAGCTGGGATTAAGGTGCCTGCCACCACGCCCAGCTAATTTTTGTATTTTTTAGTAGAGACAGGTTTTCACCATGTTGGCCAGGCTGGTCCTGAACTCCTGACCTCAGGTGATCCACCTGCCTCGGTCTCCCAAAGTGCTGGGATTACAGGCGTGAGCCACCCCGCCTGGCTGCCTTTTGTTTTTCTAGTACGCTGATGAGACCAAAAAGAAGATATAATAAAATTAATTGCCAAAAATTTAGAAAATGGAATAGGGTAGTTATTCTACTACCCTAATATAATCAATAACTATTGTACTGCCTACCACTCTTTTTTCTCCTGTTTGCTACAGGGGTGCAATCCATTTACCTAGATTCTGTTTCCTAATTAGCCTCATAGAATGTTTCAAAAATCGTGACCCATATAGCTTAATGAGTACAGAGTTTCTGTCTAAGGGGTGATGAAAAAATCTTCAAAATAGTGGTAATGGTTACACAACATTGTGAATATAATTAATGCCACTGCATTGTACACTTAAAATGGTTAAAATGGCAAAATTTAAGTTATATATTGCACGACAATAAAAGAAAGTGTATCAAAATTATGCCCCTGCATTTAAAAAAAAATTTTTTTTTGGTAGGGGGAAGTAAAGGATTGACAGATTTCAGAGTCTGTGGTGCTAGGAGAAAATTTTAGGGTGGAGTTATTCTCCATGGGGCTCAAAACCCAAAACTTTTCAATACTATTGAATATTAGCAATAATAAGCTTGTAATTCAAAGCAGCAGGGTGGTACGTTGTTAAAACTTCAGAAACCGGTCCGGCGCGGTGGCTCATGCCTGTAATCCCAGCACTTTGGGAGGCCGAGGCAGGTGGATCACCTGAGGTCAGGAGTTCGAGACCAACCTTACCGACATGGAGAAACCCTGTCTCTACTGAAAATAGAAAATTAGCTGGGCATGGTGGCACATACCTGTAATCCCAGCTAGTCAGAAGGCTGAGGCAGGAGAATTGCTTGAACCCGGGAAGTGGAGGTTGCGGTGAGCCGAGATCTCGCCATTGTACTCCAGCCTGGGCAACAAGAGGGAATCTTTGTCTCCAAAAAAAAAAAAAAAAAACCAGAAAGAAAGAAACATTTAAAAAAAAAAAAAAGAAAAACTTCAGAAGCCTTCTGAGGTTCAGAGGTCATGTTTCGGAGGTCATGTTTCAGGGTGCGGTATTTGGAGCCCTCCCGGAAACACAAAAGCCTCCCTGGTGACATTCTTAGCCCCTAGGAAGGGCAGTAATGACAGCCCACAACTGACAAGTACTGATGAATAGTTCTTGAAGGCAAACCCTGCCCTCAGGGAGCTCTGCCATAGCTTGACATGTCTTCTAGAACTACGTGCAAGGGGTCGCAGAGCAGCTAATTCTGCCGCGGTATGGGCAGTCACCAGGAAACTTCAAGGGGGAGCAGGTTTAACCTGAATCCTTGCTGAAAATAGATGAATTTGCCTGGGAGTGAGAGAGGAAAGGGCATGCCTATGTGGAGGTACCAGCAAGGGGACAGATACAGGAAAAGGGTGCCAGGCCCCTTAATTCCAGGTTTAGGAGTTTCTTTTAAAAAAAAAGTTCAGTCTCAAAAAACTAAAAATAGAAGTACCATATGACCTAGCAATCCCACTTCTGGGTATAGATCCAAAGGAAATGAGATCAGTATGTTGGAGAGAGGGACTGGCTGGAGGGGAGGGGGATTGGGGAGATATTGGTCAATGGATATAAAATTTCAATTATGCAGCAGGACTAAATTCAAGAGCTCTATTGTACAACATGGTGACTATAGTTAATAATGATGTATTATATATTGTACTTGAAAGTTGCTAAGAGGGTAGATTTTAAGTGTTCTCCTCACACATATGTGAGGTAACATATAGTAATTAGCTTGATTTAGTCATTCCACAAAGCATATGTATTTCAAAATATCAAGTTGCATACCATAAATGTATACACTTCTTTTTTCTTAATCAGAATAAATAAATAGTCCGAGGGACATTTATTGAGGGCCTAGTTGTTGGGCAGCATCTTAGGCTTCTTTTGGTTTCTAAATGGTGCCCTAGTCAGGGCTTGGTGAGTTTCAGATCCCCAGAAAAAGTCTGTTCTTAGCTTTGATGGGGGAAGGAAGACCCAGAGCAAACCACAGTGGCACTGCTGATCTAGAGCACCCTTTAGGGTGGCTGGGGGTCAGATTACAGACTGGACCACACTCCTAACTTTCTTTACCCCTGAGACCTCTGGAGTCCTAGATGTGGACGTGGTGTTTATGGTGCATTCATGTTTCTGAACTCTTTTTTTTTTTTTTTTTTTTTTTTGAGATGGAGTCTCACTATCATCCAACCTGGAGTGCAGTGGTACGATCTTGGCTCACTGCAACCTCTGCCTCCCGGGTTCAAGCGATTCTCCTGCCTCAGCCTCCTGAGTAGCTGGGATTACAGGCACCTGCCACCATCCCTGGCTAATTTTTGTATTTTTAGTAGAGTCAGGGTTTCACAATGTTGGCAAGGCTAGTCTCAAACTCCCGCCCTCAAATGATCCACCTGCCCCAGCCTCCCAAAGTGCTGGGATTACAGGCGTGAGCCACCATGCCTGGCCTATGCTCCTGAATTCTTAAATACTCCAAATGATGCGATCCAGGCTTACAAGAGAGGAAGGAGAGTTAGATCTATGAATCTAATTAGGCTAAATGTTTTAAACAGCTCTTCTCTCAGGATATTGTTTTTGTTCATATCCCAATTCTGAAATTCATTAGCCTTATAGAAATTTATTAAGCCTGAATTACAGAGTGAAATCAAGAAGCATTTTTTTTTCCTTTTTTCTTTTCTTTCTTTCTTCTTTTTTTTTTTTTTTTTTTTTTTGAGACGGAGTCTTGCTCTGTCACCCAGGCTGGAGTACAGTGGCAAGATTACGGCTCACTGCAGTCTCAATGGCTCAGGCTCCAGTGATCCTCTGACCTCAGCCTCGTGAATAGCTGGGGTCACAGGCATGCACCACCAAACCCGGGTATTTCTTTTAATTATTTGTAGAGATGGGGTCTCATTACGTTGCCTAGGCTGGTCTTGAGCTCCTGGCCTCAAGTAATCCTCCTGCTTTGGCCTCCCAAAGTGCTGGAAATATAGGCATAAGCCACTACACCTGGCCTCAAGAAGTAATTTTTAAATAATATTTTTCATAAGAAGTTGAGCCATGTTACTGAAATGATGACATGCTGAATGGTGCATTGCAGCATTGCATAGTGAAATTGAGGGGACTTGACTAAGTTGGGAGCTGGCAAACCCCTTGCCACCACCACAGCCTTTGCAGATAAAGTCTTTGCCTTGCTTTCCCATCCCCTAACGGCAAAATGAATTGCTAAGATGAGAAAAAGGAATTTTGCACCATCTGCACCAATTCTGAGGTTTTGCAAGTGATCACCAATGTGGAGAGTATGGTTCAGGGCTACATGTTTATTTTTATTTTTATTTTTATTTTTATTTTGCATCCAGCGTGCTCAGAAAAACTAAAGGAAAAAAAATGGAAGGATGAACATTTTAAAATACAACAAAGCTGCATCATCCTCCAGTCAACGTTTTGGTTCCAGCTGCCTTCTAGCATTGCACAGCTTGAGATGTTTGTTGCTTGTGTTCCTGCAGCATTGAAGCCCCCACTCCCACACCCAGCCCCTGTCATTTCCTGTTTTCAGATCCCCACCTTCTGCCCTGCATGTTGGGGAGGGGTCCATGGCCAGAACGGAATGGCAGCTCTCTGCTATTGTAGGATCCCTGCTGTTGTGCTCGAACCTGTATATAAGACAAACAGTCATTCTTGGGAGTGGCCAGACATTATCTAGAGAATTCCAACCACTCAGCTGAAGAGAAAGTCACTCACCTGGAGTATTTAGAGAACTCCAGGCATCTTTAAGCAGGTACAGGTGGGAGACACAGCCCTTGAAGATTACCATCCGAGATACAGCTAAGAGCTCAAAGTGAATTCTTAGATTCAGTGAGCCATGACACATCATGTGTTTTGGAAGAGCAAAAAGGATGTCAAGATGTGCTTCTTTATAGTGGGCTTTGGAGAGCTGGACAGGCCAGGGCTTGGCTCTCAACTGTGCCCCTCCTTGTTTTGTGTCTTTGGGCAAATTACTTAAGCTCTGAGCTTCAATGTGTTCATCCACAAAATACGGATTAGCCCTATTTCACAGAGTTGCCATGAGGATTTATTGAGATAATGTATGTAAATGTCTACACATTGTAGGTATTCAATTAATAATTGTTACCATCATCATCCATATCATCTATATTTCCTGTCAAGGAAACTGGCATACCAGCTAAGCCAGCAAGCACATGCAAATAGTTCTAGGACCCATTTAGAGTATATGATAAAGTAGAAAAAGAATCTTGAAGCCGGTCTTCCTTGTTAAGTTTCTAGTCGAGATTGTCCCAGTTTCCACCTTTGTATCTACAAGAGGCAAGATAGTGGTTAAAGGCCCTGAGACAGATTTTCCTCCAGTTCAATCCCAGCTTTAGCACTTATGGCTGGAGCCCTTGGGCAAGTCACTTAAAACTCTCTGAACCTTGGTTTCCTGATATGTAAACTACAGCTATCAAGAGTACTGACCTCCTACGCTTGTTTTGAGGAATAAATGTAATTATGCATAAAAATCGCATGGTCTAATGCCCAGCATATCATAAATGCTCAACAAAGGTTATGAGCACCTCATCATCAACTAAAGTTGCTAATGCCTTTGAGGACTCTCGGGCTCTTTGTTCCTTCTCCAGTTTGACAGGGTACATTACCATTGCCAGCTCTGTGACAGGCTTTGTAACCTGGCTTCTGTGTACAACAGCATACATGTATGCTTCTGCTCCAGCTGGGCAGTCGATAAGCCTGCAGCCTTTGCTGGTTGATATGCCCTTATTCCACAGGTATTCTTTGCTGTTTCTGTTTTATCTACAGGTTTTTATTTTTGTTGTTGTTGTTTGTCTTTTTGTTTTTGTTTTTGTTTTTTTCTTTTTTTTTTTTTTGAGATGGAATCTCACTCTGTCACCAGGCTGGAGTGCAGTGGTGCGATCTCAGCTCACTGCAACCTCCACCTCCCAGGTTCAAGAGATTCTCCTGATTCAGCCTCCCGGGTAGCTGGAACTACAGGCGTGCACCACCATGCCCAGCTAATTTTTGTAATTTTAGTAGAGATGGGGTTTCACCATGTTGACCAGGATGGTCTCGATTTCTTGACCTTGTGGACCTTGTGATCTGCCCAACTTGGCCTCCCAAAGTGAGCCACTGCACCTGGACTTTTTTTTTTTTTAGACAGAGTTTTGCTCTTGTTGCCCAGGCTGGAGTGTAGTGGCACAATCTCGGCTCACTGCAACTTCTGCCTCCCGGATTCAAGCAATTCTCCTGCCTCAGCCTCCCAAGTAGCTGGGAGTATGGGATTACAGGCGCCTGCCACCACAACAGGCTAATTTTTTGTATTTTTAGTAGAGATGGGTTTTCATCATGTTGGCCAGGCTGGTCTCGAACTTCTGACCTCAGGTGATCCACCTGCCTCGGCCTCCCAAAGTGCTGGGATTACAGACGTGAGCCACCATACCCGGCCCTGTCTACAAGTTTTAAAAAGCATGAATATGTTGGGGCAACCCACCTCTGAGAAGGCTCGAAAAATGCTATAATTAGCCTGTGGCCAGAGTAGAGGGCAACAGTGAACTACCTGGCATTGAAGTCCTACCATGTTCCCATTGTGGGGCCAGCTGCCTTCACATTCTGTCCTCTTGGAAATCCTCATAACAGCCTCAGAAGGTAGGTGTATTGATTTCCTAGGGCAGCTATAACAAATTCTCACAAATTACGTGGTTGAAAACAATAGCAATTTGTTCTCTCACAGTTCAGGAGTCCTGAAGTCTGAAATTACAGATGGCAGGGTTGGTTCCTTCTGGAGGCTTTGAGGGAGAATCCGTTCCATGCCTTTCTCCTAGCTTCTCGTGGTTGCTAGCAATGTGTAACATTTCTTGACTTGTAAATGAATCATTCCAAATTCTGCCTCCAGATTCACATGGAGTTTCCTCTGTGTGTATATCTGCATGCCCTCTCTTTCCCTTATAAAGACACCAGTCACTGGATTTGGGGCCCACTCTCACCCAGTATGATCTCATCTTAACAAATTATATCCGCAAAGATCCTATTTCCAAGTGTTACATTCTGAGGTTCCGGGTGGACATGAATTTTGGGGCGGGGCACTATTTGACTCACTTCAGTACTTATTATACCCATTTAACAGATGATGACCCAGAGTCTCAGGGAGGAGAAAATCCCTTGCATAAGCATCACACAATCAGTTTATGATACCCAAGGATTCACAAACCCTGACCTGCTTTTCTCTAGATTTGTGTACTTCCCACCGTATCACTTTACCACATATAAACAAACGTAGAACAAAGAGTCTAAAACCTATGGCAGCAAAACGGTCAACAGCAGGCAGCCCTGGGATCAAAGAGGGTCTCTGGAGGGTAAACAGGATGAAGCAGAGGCTTTGCAAGCAAATGGCGATCCCTTCCTTGTTTCTGGTTCTCAGACTTCATCCTGTTTCCATAATCAGTATTACTTATTGGCTCTCAACCATCCGGCTGTGCTCCTGGGATTCCACAGTCGGGCAGAGAGATTCTTCATAAATGAGAGAAGGTAGTAGTCGGTTTCGTTTGCATTAAGAGAAGGAGCACATTTCTTTGCACAAAGTAAAATACCCTCCCACGACTCCCCACTGCTCCCCGTATCCCTGCTGGCTTATGCTTATCATGCATCCCAGTGGTGAATGGAGAAATTCCATGCTTTCCTTCTCCTGCAGAGGTTCCTTCCTGGCATTCAGAGCCGTAAAAGCAGTGGACGGAAACAGCTGACCAGCCCTCAGCTGCTCCCAGAGTCTGGCTGCCTAAACTTTTCCCAGAGGATGGTCCAGCAGTGCTGGTCCAGGGTGGGCTTGGGAGAGCAGAGCTATAGGCAAGAGAGGTGTGAATCCATGTGGTCCCCCTGGTTCTGGGTAAAGGCCAGGGCTGGGGCAGAATCACAGTCAGAACCAGGGTCAGGTCGTCAGTGTCAAGGGCAAATATCTTTTTCTTTAAACCACAAGTGCACCTCTGGTACCATGCTCAGAATCCCTTGTAGAGAGTGGCATCCGTTTGCTGCATGAGATGGGAGAAAAATTAGCGGCCCTGGCTCGAGTCTTCATTGCCCCTTGGCTGCCTGCCGTGTCCTATTTCTCATCAGGCCAGTGTCCCCAGTGCCTGTCCTGATCCAGAATTACCACTTAACCCTAGTGGAGCAGGACTCTCAGACTGACCATCTGGACTTTCCTCGAGTTCTCTTTTCCTGCCAGAGTGTGTCAGAGTGAATTGGATTAGAGTTCTGTTTGCTGCACAGCCTGGCTTCACATGAGGCTTTGTGCTTTTGAAGAAACTTGAGACAAGACTATTCATGAGTTCCCAGAGTGGGTGGCAATTCACAGTGATGCTGATATCCACGATCGTGGGGGTGGTTCTGTGCAGGGATCTCTAAACCTTTTAGAACCTTCCACCAGTTTCCCTGCAATCAATAGGTAGCTGATTCCATCAGATCAAACCATTTTCCTGTTGGAAAGTGGTAGGTCCTTTTGTTAAGTGTTCTTAGAACTCACCAATGATTTCATCGAAAAAGCATCTCTGATGGTTTTTCTTTCTCCTCTGGCATTGTGAACATTGTCTTGGAGAAGTGAAGGTTTGCCATGTAACACCTGCCTTTGAGCAGGGAAGAACATGGTGGGTAAATCTACGAGAGAGACCTGTTCTGTTCCCTGGACTCAGCTCCCATAGAGTCCACCACTGACCTTAGACCCTCAGGCTCCACCGGATGGATAGGAATTGAGTAACAGAAGGGTAGGAATCCCATACATAATCAGTATGGAATTTGGGATTGCCTAAGTGCAGAGTTACATTCTGTTCCAAGCCCCAGCATTCACTTTAAACATTAATAAGAGATATGGTGCTTTTTGCCTATGGAAGACTAGATTGAACAAACCCAAAATATTATTTTTAAAACTACTCAAAATTTTAAAATACTAAAAGAAAAAATGGGACTCAAATTTAATGAGCCCGTGTGTGCGTGTGTGTGTGCGTGTGTGTGTGTGCGCATGTGTGTGCGTGTGCGTGTGCGCGTGCACGCGCACCTTGTAGGTAGGTGAGGAGATTACTAGATTGACTCTCCTGTACATTTAAGTTAAATGGAACAAAAAAAAATGACTATTGCTTAGAATAATGGATAAGCCGGCCTCCTATTTTTTGTTCTCTACTTGACTGATCAGTCCTTGGGAAATTCTTCAATGGGATTTTCCTATGACATATTCTGTCTGTGACATAGTTCATGAAATTCTACGACATTTGATTCCCAAGGGGGAATCTGGTTACTCACAGCGTGTTTCACAACTTTTCTGGGAACAGGCAGCTCTTGGAAGGAAAATGTCTATGTATAGCAGTGAGCCAATAACTCATCTTCAGTGAAAACGGAAGGTGATATTGTCATACAGCTGTGTAGAGTGAGAGTACTCCTAAACAGATAATAAATTACAGCCAGAAAGCAAAACCTCCTCAAGAGATGGCCAAGTTTTGGTACACATTTGTTCACTGTGGCTCTATGAAAGACCTCACTTTTTAATATGTGGATGGAAAATGGAGATCAGAGGTGCTGTAAAACCTAACAAGTAGATGAGCCCTGGCCGTTTAAAAGTCTAAATGTATTTAAAGCTTGAATTTGTAACTTTTTAATTTATGTATGATACTCTCAATCCTTGCTTTTCCAATTACAATACTAATACATGCTCAGTCATATGCATCTTTGTTTGTTTTTGTTTTGTTTTTGTTTCTTGTTTGTTTGCCTTTTGAGACAGGGTCTCATTCTGTTGCCCAGACTGGAGTGCAGTGATGTGATCACAGCTCACTGCAGCCTCAACCTCCCAGGCTCATGTGTTCCTCCGGCCTCAGCCTCCCAAGTAGCTGGGACTATAGGTTCATGCCACCATGCCCGGTTCATTTTTTAAAATTATTTTTTGTAGAGATGGGGTCCCACTATGTTGCCCAGGCTGGTCTCGAACTCCTGGGCTCAAGTTATCTTCCCACCTCAGCCTCCCCAAGTGCTGGGATTACAGACACGAGCCACTGTACCCTGCCAATAATCCACATCTCTATGAAATAAAAACCATGGACTCCACTTCAGCTTTTCATCACCCCTTTAGCACTGAGTTTCCCCATTCCTATTCTCCAGGGTTAACCACTGTCTTTGTCTAATTTCTGCTGCTGAAAGAGTATACCTGAGTCTGAGTAATTTATAAAGAATAGAGATTTGGTTCTTACATTTCTGGAGGCTGTCTCATCCCATAGAAGAAGGTCAGAGGGCAAAAGAGCATACAGCCTGTGAGAGACAAGAGAGAGCCAGTCTTACTTTGATAATGAATCCATTCCTGGGTTGACCATTCGTGAGGTCAGAGCCCTCATGACCTTATCGCCTCTTCAAGGTCCCATCTCTCAACACTGTTGTATTTGGGATTAAGTTTCCAACACATGAATTTTTGGGAGACACATTGAAACCACAGCAGCCACAGATAAGCTATATATATATAGAGAGAGAGAGAGAGAGAACTATAGAGAGAGGGCAAACTATGTATATAGAATAAAGTGTATATATATAGTGTAAGATACATATATATATATATGTCGTTTTGTGTGTGTGTGTGTGTGTGTGTGTGTGTGTGTGTGTATGTAGTTCTACTTCCAAGAATTTCTACTACAGCCATGGAGGCACATGTAGAAAATGATCTATATTCAAGGATCTCCAATGCCACAATGTTTGCAACAATAAAAGACTAGAAATAACCTAAATTAATAGGGAACTGATCTTTTTATAAAATGGAATATATATTATATATATATATTCCATGTATATATACAGAAATATACACACACACACACAAATTATATCCTTATTTTATTATTTAATTTAATTTTGGTTTTTGAGATGGAGTCTTGCCTATCACCCAGGCTGGAGTGCAGTAGCACAATCTCGGCTCACTGCAACCTCTACCTCCCAGGTTCAAGTGATTCTCCTGCCTCTGCCTCCTAAGTAGCTGGGACTACAGGAGCCCACCACCACGCCCGGCTAATTTTTTGTATTTTTAGTAGAGACAGGATTTCGCAACGTTGGCCAGGCTGGTCTCAAGCTCCTGTCCTTAAGTGATCTGCTCGCCTCGGCCTCCCAAAGTGCTGGGATTACAGGTATCAGCCACTGCTCCCAGCCTTCTTGACTTGTAGAGAGTGAATTTATCTCCTCCAGGTGCCTAATCACCCATCAGGAGTGCCATATTTCCTTTTAGTGCTTTCCCACCTGTCTCTCTGTATTTTTTAAATGCTTACTTCCTTTTTTCAGAAGTTAATATATGCACATATTCTAACATTGGAAAGGTGTAGAAAAGAACACAGTGAATAGAAGCTTACCTACACCTGATGTCCAGTGACTCCCTTCCCCATTCCAGAGAAAATCTCTGTGATCGGTTTCTTATGTGTCCTTCCAGGGATAGCTTATGAATATGCAAATATAGATACACACATACCTACATATATACAAATAAAAATATGTACATATAAGATTATTCATATTCATGTTTGTTAACATCAAAGGTAACGTGCTCTTTATAAAATGTTCCATAGCATTTATTAGTAGATTTTGAAGATTGCTACATATAAATTATCATAGAGCTGGGAGTTCTTCTGTTCTTTTAAAGTTGTATGATATTCCATTTAATGAAAACATCAGGCCAGGCACAGTGGTTCACGCCTGTAATCCCAGCACTTTGGGAGGCCGAAGTGGGCAAATCATGAGGTCAAGAGATCGAGACCATCCTGGCCAACATGGTAAAAATCCGTCTCTACTAAAAATACAAAAATTAGCTGGGTGTGGTGGTGGGCGCCTGTAGGCCCAGCTGCTCGGGAGGCTGAAGCAGGAGATTTGCTTGAACCCGGGAGGCAGAGGTTGCAGTGAGTCAAGATCATGCCACTGCACTCCAGCCTGGTGACAGAGCGAGACTCCATCTCAAAAAAAAAAAAAAAAAAAGAAAAGAAAAAGAAGATAACAGTTCCCTATTAATTTAGGTTATTTCTAGTCTTTTATTATTGCAAAGATTGCGGCATTGGAGATCCTTGTGTATAGATCATTTTCTACGTGTGCTTCTATGGTTGTAGTATAAATTCTTGGAAGTATAACCACTGGGTCAAAAGCATTGTGTATTTTAAAGTGGGGTCCACGTTGCCAAATTGCCATCCAACTTTATGGAGTTGGATGAGGGTACCTCTCTCATTACATGCTGATAACTAATATATAGGTGGAAAACTTGTAGTTTTTGTGTTTCTTTTTTATAAATGGGATTGAGAGTCATTCTGTATGTCTAAGAATAGTTTATATTTCTTTTTGTGAACCGTCTATCCATATCTTTTGTCTAGTTTTATGTTTGGGTTGTTGACCTTTTTTATCGATTGCAAGGGTCCTTTATATTTTAACACCATCAAGCCATTATAATAACGTGAGTTGTGAATATTTTCCTAGTTTATTTCTATTTGAGCCACCATTGGTTGAATCATTTTACCGTATGGCAAGCCCTGTGGTGAGCATGTCATGTTTTACAACTGCTCCCTAAGTTAGCAGTGGTATTATGCCATTTTACAGAGAAGGGCCCCAGGTCTGTCGGATGCCAAAGTT
The DNA here is from genome assembly GCF_000001405.40 of Homo sapiens. Taxonomy (NCBI): domain Eukaryota; kingdom Metazoa; phylum Chordata; class Mammalia; order Primates; family Hominidae; genus Homo; species Homo sapiens. The sequence continues at coordinate 110,120,003 of NC_000009.12, forward strand.
GATTCTTAACTTGAACTCTACACCCCTTTTGCACATACCTATTTATATAGCATCATTTCAGGTTGTCATGCAATTATGATAAATATCCTTTTCACAGGTTGCATAGCATTCTATTAGTTATACAAATCAAAATTTTCAGATGCTGATACTTAGACTACACATTTTCATCACCTATAGGTTTTCACTGTTATAAATAAGATTGTGATACATTTCTTCTAAAACTCTGTCCTCCCCAATGCAACAAGATGGTGCCATTGCTCCTGCAGGAGATGAGATACCATGCCTGAGGCAGACAGCAGAGTCATCTTTTGAGTCTAAGATCCTTGACAAGGGAACTCAACAGATTCGGGGTAGAAATGGGGTGCATGTCAGGGGATGGGGACATTTTATTGGCCTGCTAGACTTCTCAGTGCCTTTCCCTTAAATGTCACCAGTAGCTTCACCTGGTTCTGGAATGAAATACAACACACATTAGGGCTTCAGACCCTCTTCTCTCTGAAAGCCTGCCCTTTGTTTTTGAGACAGAGTCTTGCTCTGTTGCCCAGGCTGGAGTGCAGTGGTGCGATCTCGGCTCACTGCAACCTCTGCCTCCTGGATTCAAGTGATTCTCCTGCCCTCAGCCTCCCGAGTAGCTGGGATTACAGGCATGTGCCACTACACCCGGCTAATTTTTGTATTTTTGAGTAGAGACAAGGTTTCACCATGTTGGCCAGGCTGGTCTTGAACTCCTGACCTCAGGTGATTTGCCTGGCTTGGCCTCCCAAAGTGCCGGGATTACAGGCATAAGCCACTGCGCCCGGGCCAAAAGCCTGCTTTTTGATCAGCAATATTGGAGACAGTTGTAGGAAACACTGAAAGACTGCAGGATGCAGTGGGGAGGGCGAAGGCCGGGAGTTGACAACTATTTTTTTTTTTATAAAATAGTATTTCAAATAATATTTCTAACAGGAATAAATGAGATCATAGTGCATGACATAGCTGAGGGGTCCATATGTTTGTATGTTCTTGTGGATTCTTCTCAACCCTCTGCTCTGTAGCTTTCTATGCCCTGAGCACCAGAGAAGCATTACCAGGTCTGGGTGTTCTTTAAGCCTTTCTAAAGAGAGTTGCTGTTTCTGTTTGCCTTTTCTCATCATTTTCCCCTTAATAAATTAAGGGCTAAGTGTGTCTTAGTTTCCCACACTTTACTCCAATCAGGGATTCCTTTGGGTAAACAAACTCCTGTCTTAAATTGTAAGTATTCCCATCTGATTCACATGTAAGGGCAAATTGTTTTAAAGACCTGGCTCCATGCTGAGATGTAGGGTCTTTTGGTGACGGGGCTTGGAGGAGGAACCTACCTGAAAGGTAAGGAGGGAGAGGACAAGACTGGGCATGTGAGGAGGAAGGGCGGTTGTGAGGCCCAGGCTTCCTTCTCTGTGTGCCTTGAATTGGGCCTTGGAGCAGCTTGAAAAGCTGCCCCAGCTTCGCTAAGCACCAGGAAGCAGGGAGGGGAACCTTCCTAGTGCCACCCTTTCCCCTGCACCTGCTACTTTGCAATTCCAGGCAATGGGCTGGCTCTTAACTGTGTTTGAAGCCAGCCTCTCTACCCTGAGGACCTCATTCCTTCCTGACCCCTTCAAACCTGTTTTTGGAACTTTCTGTCACACTAAGGTGACTGGTGACTGTCACAAATGGGAAAGTTACATTTAGCAGAATAAAATCCTTCCGTTAAAGAGATAAAGTTCTGACAAGGGGATTGTCTACAAGCTGCGCCTCCTTCTAGGAACTCTTAAAATCCCTCTCAGCAAAAGTATCACCTGGTTTCCAAGGCAGCTGCTGCTCCTATCCTCTCACAGGCTTTCTTGAGACTCTGCCCACTCAAAATGAGTTCACCTTTGCCCAAAGTTCATGCTAAAAGCACAGAACTTACAGAGATTAGGAGAAGTGAATTGTGAGGGTTTATGTACCTGGGATCTCATTTTACCGACCAGAAAACTAAGACCTAGAAGAGAAATGAGGCCTTCCCAAAGCTCCTAGCAGCTGGCCTACGCTTTCAAAGTCGTCTCTTGCTGCCTTACATTACAGACACTTCTTAAGGTTTTTTCTTTTTTGATCATGGCTCACTGTAGCCTTGACCTCCCAGGCTCAAGTTCCTCCTGCCTCAGCCTCCCAAGTAGCTGTACTATAGGTGCATGCCACCGAACCTGGCTACTTTTCAAATTTTGTAGAGACAAGGTCTCACTACGTTGCCCAGGCTGGTCTCAAACTCCTGGACCCAAGTGATCGATTCTCCCGCTTCAGCCTCCCAGCACTGGGATTTTACAGGTGTGAGCCACTGGTCCTGGCCTTCAGATTTTTTTCTTTTATTTGCATTAGCCCAAACGCTTCTTGGGTCTGCTCCTTCCTGAGCTGCCTGGTGCGGCTTCTATGAGCACTGCTGCATTTTGGGGATTCATGGCTTCTAGCCAGAGCTCTGTTCCTAACCAGCGGGATGACCCTAGGGGGTAGGTGGCTGCCATTGGCTGGGGTCTGCCCCTCTGCAGAGTGCATGATAATCCCCACTTTGCCATTAATGGGAGGATTAAATAGAAGGTATAGAAGGGTATGTGGCACAGACAAGGCACACAGTAGGAGCACCATAGATATTGGCTGCGTGATGATCATAATGGTATCAATTGTCTTTAAACCCCAGTGGCTAGACTTTCATAAATTGAAGTTTACTTCCCAGTCAACCAGGACCAAGTTTCAAAATGGCTTCTTTTCCCCCAGGGCAAGGCACCCTCAGAAACTAACGAAATCAGGTTACGGCAAAACAGTGCAAATTTATTTTCAGAAAACCCACCCCAAGCTCAGAGTCTACACTTAAAGGGTGTAGAGGTGTGAGCTGCAGCTAGACGTTACCTGCTGGATTCTACTCTGGTCATTTCTCTCCAGAGACTCCACTGTCATCAAGTGTGGGATGGCTCTGTTTATGCTTTTGCAGCCTCAGCCTAGCTTGCTGGTTTTTCATGTCTCCCTCTGCCTCTGAGTATAATCCACTTTTCTGGAGTACCTAACTGTGACTTTGCCATAGAGTATTTATCTAACCTCAACCCTATTTTTGCAGCTTGGGTTGAGGGGAGACTCAGGCAACTGTGTGAATGTGTGTGTTTTTGTGTGCATGCACAAATACAAATGCATGGGTGTGTATGTGTGAGTATATAGATTAGTTTGTTAGGGTTGCCATGACAAGGTATCACACATTGGTGGGGGGAGGCTTAAACAACAGAAATTTATAGTCTTACAGTTGGGAGGCTAGAAGCACAAAATCCTCAGCAGAGTTGGTTCCTTTGGAGGGCTGTGAGGGAAGGATCTGTTCCAGGCCCCTCTCCTTGGCTTATAAGTAGTTGTGTTCCCTCTATGCACATCTCTGTGTCTACATTTCCTCTTATTCTAAAGACCCTAGTCATACTGGATTAGGGCCCACCCTGGTGACCTCACTTAAATGTGATTACCTCTGTAAAGACTGATCTCCAAATAAGGTCACATTCTGAGGTCCTTGGTGTTAGGAGTTCAACATAAGAACTTGTGGAGATGACTCAAGTCAACACACAACAGTGTGCCTGTGTGTGGGTGGAGCATATGTGTGTTTGTGTGTGTAGTGGACTCTGGCGTCTCTGAGACACCAGGTCATTTGCAAACCTACTCCTTGGAAAATAGTACTTTAAGAGCACATACAGTTGTCTCTTGTGAATAGGGCAGATTTAAAACCTTTTTCTAAAACAAATCTTCCCATGGGTGTGGAGGGGCAGGTGTGGTAATGGAGTGGGTCCCGGGTGCCCCTCTTGCATCGCTGGTCGAGGGCACTTCATAATGGAAAGTCCTTCCCTGGTTCTTCATTCTCAAGCAGAGCAATGCCATTGGCATGTGATTTCTGCCTCATTTTACTTCAGATGACTAAGTAGCATCTTGAAGTGCCTTTGGCTACACAACAGAACATTCCAATTATTCCACAGGGCAGCATAAATTCGGAGTTCCCTTGGAGCTCCCTGGTGACTTGATACCACCAAGTCAGTCATTGAGGAACTCCCCAATATTTCTAAATAAATTTGGAAAATGTTTTTAGCATATGGAAAATGTTGTTTAGATGCTGTAAATAGTTGTAAAGTCTACTTTTAGCCTCCTTTTCAAAAGAGCCTTCCTGGGCTCCATCTACTCTGATTATCCCTTCCTTGACTCGTGTGCTTGGGAGGGTCCCAGGAGGACTGCTATGCTGGCTGGTGTGCAGACCACAGGTGAACCCTGTTGCATCTTTCAGCTGCTCACCAGGACAAACTGCTCTAAAACTGACCCCAAATGAGCTGGCCCCACAGAACCATGTGTAGCGTTTGTCATCTTTCCCCCAGTTTACTGTAAATCTCAGTTCTCTTTGACCTCTAAAATCTTACTGAAAAAGTGAGTACTTCATGGTACTGAACTGACCTGGAATTCTGACTGACTTTCTAGTTCTGCCCGTAAGTTATGCCCTAAATTTTCCAGGTCAATGTAGAGTTCCAGGGAACGAGGTGGACGGAATCTGGAGGCAGAGTTGAGCCAGTGGGTGTTATCAGGCAGGGGGCACTGATAAACACGCCAACTCCCTGTTAGACTTAGTGTAGTGCTGGGGGCCCTATTCTGAGGTGACACTGATGTCTCTACTCAAGGCAAATGCACATCTGTTTTCTTGATGGCAGAGGACTGTTGTTAGCCATGGGATGGTGCAGCCACTTCCTCCAGATATTCCTTGAAATTAGAGCACTCATCTCAGACTTCAGATGCATCTGTCCACTTTGGCATGGACTATAATGTAGCCACTTAAAACATATCTTACAAGGGCCATTAAATAACATAAAAAGTGCTTGTGAAATGATATGAGTAAAAAAAAAGTTGGCACAGAATTGCATTTACTGTCTGGTCTCAATGATATTAAATATGTATTTCTGAGAAGATGACAATGGAATGAAATAAAATATTAACTTTTTTTCTGATTGGAGGGGTAATGAATATTTTTTATTTTCTAAATGTTCTGTGGTGAGCATTTGTTATCACACACAGACACACGCACACATGCACATACCACATGCATGTACACACGCACAAGCACACACCACAGGCTGTCCTGAAAAGTCTGTCTAACTGGAGATTTCTCCAGGGTCTTTCAGATTTTTTGCTGCCTCAATACCCCTGGGATATCAATTCCCTGCTTGTCCCAGGGCCCACCTCTGAATTGCCGAGAAGACAGTGGTAGCTGATTCACATCAATGCTAACTGATTCACCTCAACGCCGCCAGCTCCTGCCTCCCTGCTCAGCCTTGAGCGTGACAGGAGCAGGCCGGGCCTGCTCTGGCTGGGAATGCCGCTGCCCTCCAGCTCCGGCCAGCCAGGGAGGGGCCAGGCCTCTCCGAAGGAGGTTAAAGTCCTTCTTTGTGTGAATGGCCTTTTAGGGAGCAGAGGGAGGGCCCACGGTGACATCACAGTCTTCCGTCAGGAGGCTCAGGAGGAATTTGTCCAGCTTGAGCCAGGGTGCACGCAGGAATCTGTCTGGAAAAAGGCAGTTCTCACTGAGGAGGTTTGAGGCGCGCGCTCTGGGCAGGGTAAGCCAAGTCTGCTGACTTATCTTCGTGTCCTTTTCTTTCTAATTTGAAAGGACAGGGGTCTTTTTTTGAGGCCAGTGTCTTTATGGAGGAGGTTTTCTGAGTGTGTCATGTGCTGTGGAGTCCTTTCTTGCTGGAGAGTAGGCAGCCGAGCTCAGACTGGTGTCTTGCTTCTCTCTCTCTTTTTTTTTTTTTTGCAAATCTTGTAAAACTCTCAGCTTTTGTGCTAAGAGGCAAAGAGGACGCTCAGTCCTGCACATATAGTGCAAAGCTATATGAGTCGTCTGTGGCAGATCACGCTTTGAAGATGGTGCAAGTGTGTCTGTGAGAATCTGTGTGCCCTTTTCCAGAACAAAACCAAGTGACTCGGTGATTCTGTCGCCTCGTTTCTTAGCCATCTAGCATTTGTTCAAGAGACTCAGTCTTGTGGTCTACAGCTAGCCTTCTGTTTCCATGCTGTGGAACTCACCACATTCACAGGGTGGCCTGGGGGAATATGGTTTTGGGGGGAATGTGTGGTGCTTGTCTCTTGGAGGTCCCATGGGTATGGAAGGAGACCCTCGCCAGCTTTGTTCATAGGCACAGAATCATCTGTAGACAGAGGGTTAACCACAAATGCATCTGGCACTGTTTTCTCTTTTCTTGGGGCTCTGCCTCAATATAGTGGATTCTGCTGGTCCACAGTGGTGTTTGGCTTTTGATCTCTGCCATGACCTGCTCACCAGGCGTGAACCCAAGATCTGGAACTATTTTTAAACCAAGAGGGACACAGCAAATTTATAAAGAACTGAAAAACTAGGCTTGCTTTTGTCTTTAGCAGAATCGGTTACCCTAGAAATCTCACCTTGCAGGAGCCAGAGTTCCCTCTGTGGCCTTGAGCTTGGTTTATTCTGGGGTAGGGACTACCTTGCAAAATAATCTCCAGTGAAAAGGGCCTTTGGTGAGAAGAGCCTCCGAGGGCTCCTTGATAGGGCGCTCAGTATCCCTCATTGAGGAAAACATGAAACTCACATCTCTCCTTATTCACGGGAAACCCGGAAGCCTCTCAGTCACTCCTGTAAGAAGTGGGTCTCCAAGTAACGGAAAGAAACAACCCTTTCATCAGCTGCTGCAGAAAAGGCAACAGCAGCTTCCTTCCTTTCCTCCCCTCCCCGCTGCTGACCCCCACCACACACACTGTCTTCAGTTTCTTTCACAGAAAGCCCAAGCTGTAAATATATTCATCAAATAACACCTTAACATTTTCCAGATGTGATTGGAGCCACTGACTTTTCAGCAGGGCTAAGAGGAGGATTGTTCATAGGCTAAGCTATGGTGCTGGGGGAGACTCCGTTCTATGAGAAATTGACCAGTCTCCTTCACTAGGAATGTGGGTCAAGACACAGGGAAGCCTTGTTTCCAGTGAAGGGGTGGGGAGTTCCAGAAGTATTTTCATCCCGTCTTCAGACCTGTACCTGAGGCATAAGACAGAGAGAATAGCAGAACAGTGATTACTCTTTTGACCAATACCGTAGAAGCTCTCAGAAAAAAAGGCTGGACCTGCAGGAGCAGGAACAGGACTCCTGGCCTCCAAAGGGTTGAGTTTTCTTTTTAGAACTGCCCTAGTCACATTGAGCTGTAATGGCTTCATGGCAGGAGATCCATGGAGGCAAACCAAGAAGTGTTTTTAGTATCTGCCCCTTTTAAGGCCCACAGCATTGACCCGAGCCTGCCGGGTCCAAATTTAGCCTGCGTTTGCCCCAGGAGTGCTTGAGGTCTGGAGTCTGGCCGGCTGTCTTCCATCAGCCAGGAGGGGAGGCTCTAGCCTCTTTAGGGAGTGGCTTAGTTCCCAGTTTCCCACAATCAACACGGGCCCCTAGTTCCACAGGCCGGAAGAAGCTCTGCTCGGGGGATGGAAGAGGAAAGCCTGCACAGGACTGGAATGTGGCCCAGGTTATCACCCGGGGCCTCTCCTCTCCTCCACTTCCCGCTTATAGGCTCGGCTTAGAGGCCCAAGTCTAACCCTCGCAGCAAGCAGTTCCCAGACTTTCCTGCTGTCAGTGCCTTCAGGGGAGGGTGGAACGGCCCACTCGGAGTCCCAGCTCCTTCTCCTTCCTGTCGTCGTTAGCAGGGAGGGCCAGAGGAGGTGCAGCCAGCCTGCTTAGAAACTTTGGTGCACCGCGCTTTCTTCAATTCTTTTTGCCCGGCACAGTTTGCGCCGTTGAAGAGGGCTGGAAGTTTATTTCCAGCTATTGCTGCAGCACTTCCTTCTCCTAGTGCTGTTCGTTCTTCTTATGGGAACTGGTACTCACTCCCTCCAAGTCTGTGAGCGTCTTGCTGGGGATGGCGGATCACCTTGGAGCTCTGAGGACCTCGCACGGCCCAGGCTGAGAGCATATAGCTCTGCAGGGTCCCAGGATATGCTTATGGATCCAAGGTAGTGTTGACCTGTTCAACTTCTGTTCCCTTCCTTATGCTTCGGGTTCCCTCGGTTTGGGGAGTTAGCCTCCCCCAGACCTCCTGACTGCAGCTTTGCCTGGTTTGTCCAAAGCTGATGAGGTTCAGCTGATGTGGGCATCTTTTAGGTTTCTGGGCATCATCCACCAGCCAGGTGCACTTCCTTCCATCCCACCCTCACCCCTTCTGCATTTGCCTTCATGCTGGAGACATCCTGACTTAGCCAGAAAGTTAAAAATTTAGGAAGAACCTCTCTAAAGATAGCCACACATAGCTCGTGGAACCAGTTCTTCATCATGATTGTCATTGCGTCCTGCGCACTGAAAACGTGACTTACAAAAGAGAGGCAGGATGAGAAGGGAAAACGGAGATACTCTCTGATTTCACAGCTATGAGGAAGTTTTGTTTTATAGCCATGCCTCTGTTCCTAGGCCAAGAGTGAGTTTATATTTTTGGTGGAACTTATAAATAACTGGATTAAAGGATCGGGTCACCTATTATCTGGAGAAAAGCATTTCTAATTTAAATGTCATGGCTTTAGTAGGAAGTAATCTGGGTTATTCAAAGCAGAGAAACCTGGTTGTACAGCCTGATGTTTGAGTAATTTGGTTCACACTGTGCATTTAGGCTAGGAGCCTAGGAGGTCGAGATGGGTTAGGCACACTGTCGAGCTTTAACAGCCTGAGGATGGTGGGGCAGAGGGGAGGCTGTGAACACAGTGAACATTGTCCTTGTGGTGAAGGACACCTTTCTGCTCTCCGCCTGGGCTCAGGCAGACCTGCTAAGGAAAATGCACTTCCTTAAAGTTATTTCTGTCCATGACATGCCTAGCTGTAGGCCTAGGTACCCTGGGCAGAAAGAACACATGGGTGTCTATGCCCAGTGGGGCAGGGATCAGGGCCCTGCTGTTGTGTTTTCTGTGCAAATGTAAACAGGCTTCTAGAATCTCACTTGTGGTGTTGGTGAAGAGTTGCAGCCTTTTCCCACAGTGTCCATCATAATGACATGGACATGGGATCTTAATATTTTACCTCTGGCAAGTGGCCAGAGGAAACAGAACCCCTTCAGAGACCAGCCCAGAGGGTGAAATCCCCAGACCGTGCAAGAAGTCACATTTCTAGCTGACACGTAGAGCAACAGATACGTCTCCAGAGAGTTAACTCTCCAGGGAGTTCATCTATTTCTGACCAAGACTGAATAAAGAAGGTAAAGGGATCATCGACTTTTAAAGCTAAATTGTGAGTCTCACATCATCTGTAGAGATTCAAGCAAGCAAAAGATCAACCAAAAAGCCAAGCTAACTCTGTTTTGATCCATCCACTCTTCTTACCATTTCCCATGTCATTTTAAAAGCCTCCTAATATTGAGACTCCATTTTGATGTATCAGGATAGAATGAGAAGAACCCACCTTCAAATCCTGGCTAGGGCACTTACTAGGCAGGTGATCTTGGGAAACGTCCCTCTATTTCTCTATACCTCTTATTCTGAAGTTTTAAGACTGAAATAAAATTCATGCCTTTCCCACTTAACAGAGGGCCATTTTTCAAGCATCAGCTGACATATGTATGTGCATGTACTGTGAAATGATAAGCTATTAGACATGTGTCAACCAGAAAATGGGGATGCCACACTTACAGCATGCCCACAGGACAGGCTTGTCAGGGCTGTCTCATTCACTTGTACATTTACTTGGCTAGTTGAGTTGTGGAGATGGACCAGGTTCTGTTTTAACCAATGTGTGACCCCTCCTCTGCTTCCCATGTGACTGGAGCCCCAGGTCTGGGTGGTTCTTGACTGCTCATTCTACTTACTGCATTTCAGGACTTAACTTTTAAGGACATTTTGTGAAATTACTCCCTCTGTTGCAGCACAACTGTATCTTCCTAGTCGTGTTCAGCTTCAACTAAAATTCACATGTAAGGATCTGGGGTTGGGGAAAGATTAGGGAGATTAGAGCTGCCATAGATTCTGACTTTGAGTCTTTCCCGGGCCTTTTTTCTTTCATCTTTTCTTCTTGATTTCTTTTCTTCTAAAAATCTCCTGCTCTTTTCCCAAAAGAAAATCAGTCTGCTGCCAGAAAGAATATAATACCTGTCATTTAAACCTCAGTGTAAAATGGCTTAATAATAGTGAACATTTGCATTAACCGTTTTACAGTTTACATAGTACTTTTAAGTACATTTTCTAACTTAATTCTCAAAACAGATTTGGGAGATATTATTAGTCCTGCTTATGAAGGAGTTCTGTTCTCAGCAGAATTCCATAATTACAAAAAGTCTGGTAGGACTTTTATAGGTAGAGCCAAGAAATGACCCCAGACTCTGGTCTTTGGACGCTAAACTCTGAATTACCACATTTCCTGCATTCTTTAGGTGGAGACATAGGCACCTGTGTTGTAAATTAAGCCACGCTAATTTGCTTTGCAAAACTATTAAACACTTTTTGGTAAATAAAGGCGACTTTAGTTGCAGCCTGGCTACCAGGTTATGTTAAACACAGGTCTCTGGGACCAAATTCTGGCACTCATACAGACTTGAGTTGAATAAACATTTATAAAAAATGCTATGAGGAAATCTCAGCTCCCTAAATTTCTAGATGCTCCAACCCCACCTTGCCTGAAGACAGATGTGGCAACTTTATGAAGACAGGATTCTGTTACCATTTTAGTGGGTGGTAAGCAACCGAAGTCCCCTGAGCCAAAGGCTAGAAACAAGATCGTTTAGTTTTCAAACCTCAAACACCATCCCTAAGGGTGTATAAACCAAAGGGTTCGCTCTATTGGCATATCCCCTTTATGAAAGGGTGAGGAAGATCTCTAATCCACAAATTTGAACACCACCAATTTCACGGATTTCTAACATTCATTATGCTAATTGACAGGCCACTAATTTCACTAATGAAAACCTATTTCTCACCTTAATTATGCCAATTAGCAAAGCTTCAGGGGTTCTTGGGAGTTAAAGGGAGCTAAGTACTGGAGGAAGCCACCTGTGGGGCGTGGGATCTCTCATTGGATCCTAGATGACCATCCCTTGAGTTTATATTCCCATTTAGGATGGTTGTCAGACCCTGGAATGTAATTTAAACTAATTCCAGAAGCACACAGCTGTATTAAATTGCCCCGATCAAGTATGTGAAAGTAAATGGTAGGCATCCTAACCAGCTGTTAACTATTCTAGAATTTAGTGGGAAGGGCAGGTTTCTGTGTCGTGGTATTAGGGCTCTACCTGGAGGGTGAACTGGGCCGATCTAAAAAGCTCCCACAGCCCCTTTGCACCTTAGTTTTTCTCTGACCTTAGAAAACCCAGTTTGATGATTCTTTCATATCCTCCTGTTTTTGCATTGGGGCATAGTTCATTTCAAAAAGGACTTTCCTGGTGATTGAATGAATGTGCATCTTATCTGAATCTGGAATCACGTTCGCCTAATTTGAAGCATGGAGAAAATTCTGGACCTTCTTATCTTCAAAGAGAGCAATAAGCATTTGTTGGTTTAAACAAGACATCATCTGATGATACCAAGCCCAGATTCCTGCCTAATCCGGATAGGTTAGATTTCCAGCCCATTTCCATTTACCTGGTGTAGTTGCCAGTGGCTTTGATTCTATCAGGCCATCATGCATGAAGGCAAATTCTTACTGCTGACAGTGGAACTCAGGAATTCGCTCTTTTGTTATCATTGTTGTCTAACTTTACAAAACCTCAGGACCTCTGGTGCATGATTGTGAATCAGTAATTCAGAGTTGTTTATCTCTTTAAATACTTCCATGCCAATTAGAGGTTAAACCTGCTGCTTCCTGAGTAGATGGAATTGAGTGTCATGAAGAATTTTCTGAATTTATGGGGAAAGGGGGACTGGATGCCATATAGCTCACAAGAAGGAGGGCCTCTTTCCTGTTTACACCCTCCAGTGTCTAGAGGTTTAAAAAAATGTATCGGAAAGGAATCATCCCAAATTACACTGGAACCCCCAAACTTTGACTTTTAACAAGTAACTAGCGTGTGTGTGTGTGTGTGTGTGTGTGTGTGTGTGTGTGTGATGGAGTTTCACTCTTATTGACCAGGCTGGAGTGCCGTGGCATGATCTCGGCTCACTGCAACTTCCTCCTCCCAGGTTCAAGCAATTCTCCTGCCTCGGCCTCTCAAGCAGCTGGGATTACAGAGGCACCTGCCACCACGCCTGGCTAATTTTTTGTATTTTCAGTAGAGATGGGGTTTCACCATGTTGGCCAGGCTGGTGTCGAACTCCTGACCTCACCTCAGGTGATCTGCCTGCCTTAGCCTCCCAAAGTGCTGGGATTACAGGGGTGAGCCACCGTGCGGGCTTCTTTTTTTTTTTTCTTTTTGATACCAAGCCTCACTTCCTCACCCAGGCTGGAATGCTCCAACTTCTGCTCTCCGGGTTCAAGAGATTCTCTTGCCAAATAGCTAGGATTACAGGTGTACACCACCATGCCTGGCCAACTTTTGTATTTTTAGTGGAGACAGGGTTTCACCATGTTGGTCAGGCTGGTCTCAAACTCCTGACCTCAAGTGATCCACCCACATTGGCCTCCCAAAATGTTGGGATTACAGGCGTGAGCCACCACACCCAGCCTTTTTTGAGACAGTCTCACTTCCTCACCCAGACTGGAATGCAGTGGCACTATCTTGGCTCACAGCAACCTCCGCTCTCCAGGTTGAAGCGATTCTCATGCCAAGTAGCTGGGATTACAGGTGTACACCAACCACCATGCCTGGCTAACTTTTGTATGTTTAGTGGAGAGGAGGTTTCACCATGTTGATCAGGCTGTTCTCAAACTCCTGACCTCAAGTGATCCACCCACCTTGGCCTCTCAAAGTGCTGGGATTACAGGCATGAGCTATTATTGCACCCTGCCAACTAACTAGCATATTTTAAAATCTCAGTTTGACCGATCACAGAAGACATAACTACTTGTAAAATAATTTCTGATTCAAAGATAATGGCAGTTTTGTATTTTTTTTCAAACAATTGCAAAAGTATATTGTCAAATTGTTGTCTTAGATTTTAAATATTTGGTACCAAAACAACTATTTCTAGTTCAAAAAGGGTGCCTTGGAAAGAGCTGATACAATTTTTGAATCCTAAAAAGAAAACGTGGAAAGTCATCTGCTCATTCATCATCGAGCACTTGAAGTGTGAAACATTCAACAGAAAGGGATAATGCTGATGTGAGGAGCGGAAAAGTGTTCTTGGGAAATGGCTTTGGAGATAAGCCCCATCACTCCTTCCTCTGTGATTAGCAACAAGAGACAAAGAGAAGCAATTTCTTCACTTGCCTGATTCAGACTAAGAAAACTCTAATATAGACTTAGGGCTTTCTTGGAAGTACAGAGAACTCATTTTTTTTTTAAAGGGTGTTGTCTTCTGGAGCTTATTGTTGCTGCTAATTTCATTATGACCCTGCAGAATAACCTCCCCTCATGTTTAATGAACGGATTAATTAATTAAACTATAGAACTAATTATTTGCCTTTTAGTTTCCTTTACTATTACGTTGCCCTTCTTCCTCTCCTCAGGTATTCTAAAGCATCTTGTGTTTCAGGAGAGCAGTGTTTTCTAACCATATTTCAGTCCTACCAGCTTCCTACTGATTTCCCACTACCCTCCGCCCACCCCGGCCCCCAAGCCAAAAAGGATAGAAGGAGAGCTCTGTTGTTCCCATGCAGAATATTAGCAGTGAGTCATTGGCCAAAAGAAGCCAGGGGTGAGGGTGCCATAGGTAATCTGACTCATCTTAGCAGTACCGTGAATCTCTCTTTGTTTGTCTTCTTATTTCAATAATAATTTTCCATGGAGTGGGCTAATTTTGGCCTAGGTTTACTTGAAATTGAATGGCAGCCAGTAAGTTTCAGCATTCAAATTTTGTGTAATGCTTAATGATATATGAGTAGAAGTTACTGACAATGTCTCATCCAACAAAAAGTTTAGTTAATAGTTTTAAAAGGGCTGGCCATGCAGGGTGGCTCATGCCTGTAATCCCAGCACTCTGGGAGGCCAAGGCTGGACTGCTTGAGTCCAGGAGTTTGAGACCAGCCTGGGCAACATAGCGAGACTCTATCTCTACAAAAAATTTTAAAAATTAGCCAGGCATGGTAATGCCCACCTGTAGTCCTAAGGGAGACTGAGGCAGGAGGATCCCATGAGCTCAGGAGTTCAAGGTTGCAGTGAGCTATGATCACATCACTGTGCTCCAGCCTGGGCAACAGAGCAAGAGCCTGTCTCTTAAAAAAAAAAAGGAAGGTGGTGGCAAAAACTACTATTTAATGATGGTCAAAAATAAAAAATAAAGATATTAGCAATTATAAATATTAATTGTGTTAAGTATCACTCCTTAACAAAGACCAGACCTAGACTGGAAGAAAATCAGAGAATGGAAGATGTTGACAAAAGAGGAACACTCATTATTTGTGCCTGTTAATGGAGAAGACATATACATTACTTGAATAATTTAAGTCTGAAAGGAAATGTGGAAAGTGAAGAGTGAAGGAAACCCCCCAGTTCATGGATAACTCAGAGAGTTTTTCAACATTCTGACAGCAGTGTAGAGCACTTACGATGAACTCCAGTGTTTTCTTAGGTCTCAAGAACAAATCCATAATTATCCACTTTTTTGGGAAGGATTTTGAAATTAATTTCCTGAGAATCGTCCTAAGGTGGTGTTTTAATATTCTAAGCATTTAAAATTGTTGAAACCTTAGATAAATGAAAATTACACTCTCTTGCAATTTTGCATTGTCCTATGTCAATAATACCAGGCACATTATAAACTTGAGACAGGGAAACAAAGCCAACCTAGGTGTTGTAAGGTCCTTGATGGTAACTCAAATTAAGTTTATACTTTACTGGAATTCTTTGAGATAAGCCAGAGTCCTTTGATATGAAAAAGAAAATCATCTTATAATTTGAAAATTAATGTTTCTAATGCCAAATAACAAAATTACATAGGCTAGATAACTGGTAGAAAAATAAGATGGATGGGTTGGGTGTGGTGGCTCATGTCTGTAATCCCAGCACTTCGGGAGGCTGAGGCGGGCAGATTACTTGAGTACAGGAGTTCAAGACCAGCCTGGGAGACATGGAGGAACTCTGTCTCTACAAAAAAAAAAAAATATATAAATATATATATATATATAAATCAGCCAGGGGTGATGGCACACACCGGTAGTCCCAGGAGGTAGAGGTTGCAATGAGCCGAGATGGCACACTGCACTCCAGCCTGGGCCACAGAGCAAAATCCCATCTCAAAAAAAAAAAAAAAAAAAAAAAAAGCCCTCAAGACAAAAAACCTCCTTCCTTAAAAAAAAAAAAAAAAGAAAAATATGATGGGTTTTAAAACATTAAGAAGATAGGGTTTTCTTATTGAATCACAAACTGAAGATATCACATATAAAGCAGTTAAAAAACTGGAGGAGAGGTACCATTGGCCATTAGTTTTTCAAAGCAGTGCTGACTTCTTAACTAAAGAGTATTATTTTGATGCAATCCCAGAAAACAGAGCTGTGCAGTCAGTGGCTTTGGTGATGGTGTTCATAAGGCACATGGTCAATTACAGCCATGGCAGTGAGGCACTGTAGCCTGTGTGCTGCCATTAAAGGGATCTACTGTTTTCCAGTATTTTATTCTGCAAAGATTTTCCAAAAAGTTTCTTGTCTCCAGAATAACTGCATTACATCTGGCAGAGAGTCATATGTTTTAAAGATCTGTTCATACAAAAGGACCTTCTTTTTGCAATCCTATTAATAGTCGTATTGCACAGCCTGCAATCATTTGCCGCAAAATACTTGGGAAGACTCTGGTACAATAATGATGTAATCTCTTCCACCTTAGTAGATAAAATTTAAAAATGGCACTAGCATGTAAACAAAATGGAATCCATAAATTAGAGAGGATTGGGCACCTGTTACTACAAGAAAATGAACATTTAAGGGATTATTAGAAAATATCTATTCAAAAGAATTTGTCACTGTGGTTTCCATTTTCCTTCCTCTTAATTATGAGTCAGTTTGTCAGCATTCACATCCATAAGAGATGCAGTATTTAACCCTGACTTTTGTTTACTCTTTATTCCAGAAGCCTCCCCAGCTTTCTGAGGATGATATCTGGCTAAAAAGCGAGGGAGACAACTATAGTGCCACCCTCCTGGAGCCTGCTGCCAGCTCTCTTTCCCCAGATCACAAAAACATGGAAATTGAGGTGTCTGTTGCAGAATGTAAAAGTGTTCCTGGAATCACCTCTACCCCACATCCCATGGACCATCCCTCCGCTTTCTATTCACCCCCGCATAATGGCCTCCTTACTGATCACCACGAATCCCTGGATAATGATGTTGCCAGAGAGATCCGCTATCTAGATGAGGTGCTAGAGGCCAACTGCTGTGATTCTGCTGTGGATGGAACGTACAATGGAACATCCTCCCCAGAGCCTGGTGCAGTGGTTCTGGTGGGCGGCCTAAGCCCCCCTGTCCACGAGGCGACCCAGCCAGAACCCACTGAAAGAACAGCTAGCCGGCAGGCACCTCCTCACATCGAGCTCAGTAATAGCAGCCCTGACCCCATGGCAGAGGCAGAAAGAACAAATGGCCATTCCCCCAGCCAGCCTAGAGATGCGCTGGGGGACAGCCTGCAGGTGCCTGTCAGCCCCAGCTCCACAACCAGCTCACGGTGTTCTTCCCGAGATGGAGAGTTCACTCTCACCACACTGAAAAAGGAGGCCAAGTTTGAGCTGCGTGCCTTCCATGAGGACAAGAAGCCCTCCAAGCTCTTTGAGGATGACGAGCATGAGAAAGAACAATACTGCATTAGAAAAGTGAGGCCTTCAGAGGAGATGCTGGAGCTGGAAAAGGAGAGGAGAGAGCTCATCCGCAGCCAGGCCGTCAAGAAGAATCCTGGCATTGCAGCAAAATGGTGGAATCCCCCGCAGGAAAAAACCATCGAGGAGCAGCTGGACGAGGAACATCTGGAGTCGCACAAAAAGTACAAGGAGCGCAAAGAGAGAAGGGCACAGCAGGAACAGTTGCTGCTGCAGAAGCAGTTACAGCAGCAGCAGCAGCAGCCCCCATCGCAGCTCTGCACAGCCCCTGCCTCTTCTCATGAACGCGCAAGCATGATTGACAAAGCAAAGGAGGACATTGTCACAGAGCAGATAGATTTCTCTGCTGCTCGCAAACAATTTCAGCTGATGGAGAATTCCAGGCAAGCGGTGGCCAAGGGCCAGAGTACACCCAGGCTGTTCTCCATCAAGCCTTTCTACAGGCCTCTGGGGTCAGTCAACTCAGACAAGCCACTGACTAATCCGAGACCACCTTCTGTCGGGGGACCTCCAGAAGACAGTGGTGCCTCAGCCGCCAAGGGACAGAAATCCCCCGGTGCCCTGGAGACCCCATCGGCAGCAGGAAGCCAGGGCAACACAGCCTCTCAGGGGAAGGAAGGGCCCTACAGCGAGCCTTCTAAACGTGGGCCCTTATCTAAACTGTGGGCTGAGGATGGAGAATTTACGAGCGCCCGGGCTGTCCTCACTGTGGTCAAGGATGATGACCATGGGATTTTGGATCAGTTCTCAAGATCTGTCAATGTCTCCTTGACCCAAGAGGAGCTTGACTCTGGTCTGGACGAATTGTCGGTGAGGTCTCAGGATACCACAGTCCTGGAGACCCTATCCAATGATTTCAGCATGGACAACATCAGTGACAGCGGGGCATCCAATGAGACAACCAATGCCCTCCAGGAAAATTCACTGGCTGATTTTTCTCTGCCCCAGACACCACAAACTGACAACCCCTCAGAGGGCCGAGGAGAAGGCGTCTCCAAGTCATTTAGTGATCATGGTTTCTATTCCCCTTCCTCCACGCTGGGGGACTCTCCGTTGGTTGATGACCCCTTGGAGTATCAGGCTGGCCTCCTGGTGCAGAATGCCATTCAACAAGCCATAGCCGAGCAGGTGGATAAAGCTGTGTCCAAAACCAGCAGGGATGGAGCAGAGCAACAGGGACCTGAAGCGACTGTAGAGGAAGCTGAAGCTGCGGCTTTCGGCTCAGAAAAGCCTCAGAGCATGTTTGAGCCACCTCAGGTGTCTTCTCCTGTTCAAGAGAAAAGGGATGTATTACCAAAGATTCTGCCTGCTGAAGACAGGGCGCTCAGGGAAAGGGGGCCCCCCCAGCCACTGCCAGCTGTGCAGCCCAGTGGCCCGATTAACATGGAGGAGACCAGGCCCGAAGGAAGCTATTTCAGCAAGTACTCGGAGGCAGCTGAGCTGAGAAGCACAGCCTCCCTCCTGGCCACTCAAGAATCTGACGTGATGGTTGGGCCTTTCAAGCTGAGGTCCAGGAAACAGCGGACTTTGTCCATGATTGAGGAAGAGATCCGAGCAGCTCAGGAAAGGGAAGAGGAGCTGAAGAGGCAGAGACAAGTCTTGCAGAGTACGCAGAGCCCCAGGACAAAGAATGCCCCATCACTGCCCTCCAGAACATGCTACAAAACTGCTCCAGGTAAGTGAGGTGCCTCACATGAGAGACAGATGCCACAGCAGTCTGTTGTTGTTGATTCCAGCTCATGGGTTTCTATGTGGAGCCTCCTCTGTGTGTGTCTGGAATAAGTGTTGGGGGGACACTGGCATGAGAATTCCAGCATACAGGGACATGCAACAAAAGTGTCAAGAGTGTCCTCTAGAAGAACCCTGAGCTTGCATGGAGTTTGCCACTTTCCAGAGGATGCAATAGCTCCTTCTTTGTTGTTCTGCTTTGGCCTTGGTTTATTATAAAGAATTGTTCTCTTTTACTTGAAAGCCTGCCTCTTGTCTGAAGGAGAGGCTGTTTGTGGCATAGAACCAGAGTGGACCCATGTGTGGACTATGTTGGAATCAGTAGCTTGACCCTCAGTATCTAGTTAAACCCATCTGATTTGGGAGTTGTCCTCTACTAACTAACCCCTTCTGAATGCTGGTTTCCTTCCCAGCAATGATAGTCATGGCATGGCATTGCAGACTGGTCCATGCAAAATGCTTTTGTTCATCTTCCGTGTAACTGGGTTTTTCTTCTTAAGTCACCACAAAGCAACTACTTTGGAATCAGGAGTGGACGCATCTGTTCTTGTCATGTGACCCATTTGGAAAAGTTGAATTACTCTTCACAAAGGCAGGTCTTTAATCCCTTCATATTGCCTGGGTGGTCCCTTTTTTGAATACTTTGTATAGATGGTTGATGTTAATTAGAGTGCTAATTATTATTGCTACCATATGGATAACAGTGTGACCAGTTGTTTTTATTTTCCATGTGAATGTGATAGCAATCAGGGATCCACAGATCTTCAGCTATGGAAAACGCTGCTCAAAGCGTGGTCCAAGCTAGTCCAGGAATCATTTGCTACTGGTTCATTCTAAGTTCAGACATCGAGAGTAAGCATTTGAAAACTCCTATTGCAATGTGATATTGTCCTGAAATCCAAGCGTGGGATTTTTGTATTTTACAAAACTATTGCTTCATAATGGACTGGTGGGGAAAAACTGATGCTTCACCAGAGAAAATTTAAGAATCGTTACCCTAAAGGATAATTGTTGACACTTATCTTGGTCCATCCATATCTTAATCTTATCTTGACACTTGGCTTCCATCAAACCTACAATGACTCAAGGTCACTCTTCTCATTAACTTTTTAAAATTGGAAAGAATCTCCAACCTAAAGAAAAGTTCCCAAGTACAGTACAAATGTCTTTCTGTTTTGAATCATTTGAGAGTAAATTGCCAACATGATGCCCCATCACCCCCAATTTTGTAGACTGCTCCCTAATGTGGGTCTCTGATGTTTTCATATGATGATTTTCAGGTTGTGCATCTTTGGTAGGAATACCACCAAATTGATGCTGTGTTCTCACTGTATCCAAACAGGTAGCACGTGGTATTAGTTTGTCCCATTATGGTGACAGGTGTCAACTCTGATCACTTAATATTGATTATGATCACTCCATTGAGGGAGTGTCTGCCAGCCTTCTGCACAGTAGTTACTTTTTTCTTTTGTAATTAATATACATTTTGTAGGGCAATACTGTGGTATTCTGCAATTTTCACCCCATTTCTTATCAAACTTCATTTATTTATGTCGGTATGATCTCATGGATTCCTGTGATATTCAATGGATTCCTGTGATATTCAATGGATTATAATCCATTTCTTTTATTATTTTTATCCGCAACTTGTTCAGTTACAGCTCACGGGAGCCCTTTCTGGCTAACTTGTATGTCCTTTGGAGATGTCCCCGTTTTCCTTTGAATGCTTCCTCAATTTCTGGCATCGCAAGATATTCCAGTTTCATCTTATACTTTCCCAACCCTGAAATCGGTCGTCTCTCTGAAGAGCACTAGTTTCTGATGATGGAGAATGGTATTTAGAAACAAAGATCTGAGTGCTAGCTGTGCTCATTGTTATTGCATTGTCACTAGCCCCAGGCACTCTCAGTGGACAGAATTAGAAATTACACACATCTCTCTTGAAAACCATGAGTTTGCCCTGATGCTTTTTAATTCTTATTTAATAAAAAGTTCATTCATACTTTCTCCCTTTCCATATTTGTGACCACCTTCTTGACAAAAGATACTTAGTTTTTATTATCTGTAATATGTTTATTATTTAACTAGCCCTCCTTCCCCCACACTCCAGTATAACCAGTCTCCTGTTTTCCTCACCAAACTTGGGCTCCGACATCATTTTCCAGGTGGCCACTGCCACGACCCTTCACCAACACCCTCCTTACCCTCCCTGGGCTCCAACACTACAGCAGGTACCATCTTATTCAGCCTGGCCTAGTGACTTTTGGACTGAGTTGTTTGGGAAGGAAAGGAAAGGGAGGAAGAAGAGGAAGAGTGCAGTGACTTTCTTAATATATGCCATCAAATTGGTGATAAAGTTTCAACAAATGAATAATGGGGGGGCGGGCACAAACATTCAGACCGTAGCATGAGTATTTTCAGGCTTCTCTGTCTCTATCTCTTAATCGAACCCCTCACCATATTACCTCCAACTTTATTTCTAGCACATAAACAACTGTCTAATATAAAGACATTTCAATGCTTTCTCCTGATTCCCCCACCGGCTGTTGTCCATCAGGCTTCCCCACCAGGACCGAGGTTGCCTTAAACAAGTCAGCATCCTAAGGCTTGCCACTGGCATCCCAGCAACCCAGTATCAATCTCCCCAGTACTTCCCTCTATGCTAATGCTGATCTCTTCTCCCATATCCCACCCCCATAGGATTGATTTCTGGTCCCTACAAGGGGATGGTAATTCATCCGTGCAAGTCTGTTCCAATCTTGATGTCGTATTGAGTACAATCATGATAATGATATGCATACATGTCATTCCTTCATGTTTATCTCTAGAACATTTAAAGCAGGCACCCGGGCTTCCCAGAATTACAACATGAGTTGAAAGAAACGGAATGTAAAATACAATTTTCTTCCTGTTCATGCCTGGAAATCTTTGGAGTATTGCTTGGCTGGCCAACCTCCAAGTTCATGATCGGGGAGAAGGCTGACACGTGACTCTGAGCAGCCAAACTAGACAATTCATGGCTAGGGTCAGAACTCCTGGCTTCAGTGGTTTTGTGAATGGAGGTGTTACCAAGTTCCTGCGGCACATTTCATATTTCATGCCAGAAGAAGTGACTCCACTAGTTTGTTGTGTGACTCAGATTGATGATTGGATACTAGGTGATGAAAAATATAATTTTTAACTTCTCTGGTAGAAATCATGCTGGTGGCATGCTGGAATCCTAAAACCTTAAAGCAAATAAAATCCACTGAGAGCCAAGATGTGGTAAGGAAGGAGAAATCTTCTAATTCTTTCCATACAAAAGTTATCTAGACAGAAACCCCATCCCCCTGGTGTGGAAATGCTATTTGTTTTTGCTTTTAGTGCTTTTGCTTTTAAAAGATGGACAATGAATGATAGAAGTTCTGTTTTGAAAAGGATATAGTCATTGTTAATGACCGGGTATCTAGAAATTATCTTGTTGGTTCTTATTTTACTTTTTTTTTTTTTTTTTTTTTGAGGCAGAGTCTTGCTCTGTCTCCCAGGCTGGAGTGCAATGGGGCAAACTCGGCTCACTGCAACCTCCACCTCCCAGGTTCAAGTGATTCTCCTGCCTCAGCCTCCTGAATAGCTGGGATTACAGGTGTCCATCACCATGCCCAGCTAAATTTTTTGTTTGTTTGTTTTTTGTATTTTTAGTAGAGACAGAGTTTCATCATGTTGGCCAGGCTGGTCTCCAACTCCTGATCCGCCTCAGGTGATCCGCCCGCCTTGGCCTCCCAAAGTGCTAGGATTACAGGCATGAGCCACTGCACCTGGCCCTTATTTGACTTTTAAAGGAAGAAGCTCCACTTAAATAGAATTTGAGTGACATTTGTTTATACAGAGGTGAATAAAAATGTATAGTCCCTGCTCTCAGGGAACTTAATGGTTCAGTAAGAGAAACAACATTAAACAAATGAGGCAATTTTATGACAGAGAAGCACAGAGACCTGTAGGAGCACAAACAAGGAAGACCATATCATTTGGAGGATAAAGAAAGTCTTCCTTCCTTAGGAAATTACTGTCTAAGCTGAGAACTGAAGGGGTAAAGTTGGGCTCAGGGTGTAGGGGAGAAGGAAGGGCACCTAAGAGAGGCTCAAAAGGAATAGAGAACTTGGCACATTTGAGATATTTAAGAGTAAGTTAATGGAAGAGATTTAAAACAAAACAGAAATAGATTTGGAGCCAGACAACCAAGAGCTCTATCAATCATGTTAAGGGTTGTAGACTTTAGAGTTTACCCTATGGTCAGTGAGAAGCCAGTGAGAGTTTTTAAAGGAGTAATTATCTGAACACAACCCCAAGCTGTCCTGCCTTCACTGTGAGTTGATGGACTAAATGTCTTCCTATTGTAATGCATCCATTTCATAGGCTTGGATTGAGCTCTTCCTGCTTATGAGCACTTCCGAAGGCAGGCGCCATCTTGGTGAACACCCTGTATGTTATGTGAGGGGCCATGCTCCCAATAGTGTGTGCATGTGTGCCCTCTGCTGATGGCACTTAGAATTAGAGACTAAAAGGAAGAAGGCCAGGGGTGGTGGTGCATGCCTGTAATCCCAGCACTTTTGGAGGTGGAGGCAAGAGGATTGCTTAAGTTTGAGACAAGCCTGGGCAACATAGCAAGTCCCCATCTCTTAAAAAAAAAAAAAAAAAGAAAAATTACCTGAGTGTGGTGACACATGCCTGTTGTCCCAGCTACTTGGGAAGCTGAGGCAAGAAGTTTGCTTGAGCCCAGGTGTTCAAGGCTGCAGTGAGCTGTGATCGAACCATTGTACTCCAGGCTGGGCAGCAAAGTGCCAAAAAAAAAAAAAAAAAAAAAGGAGAGAGAGAGAATAAAGGAAGCACCTTTGCAGGTACATGAGCCTGATTTGAAGGGGTAACTCACACAGTGCTGTAAAACACCCTTGAGGAAAGAATTAGGGGGTGGGATATCCAAACATTGTATTGAAGTTGCAGTTCAAGACCTTTTCAAATGTCTTTTCATATTGGGGTTGCCAACAGTTCTCACTTTAGTATCTGTGTCTATTATTAGATATCCTGGTTTCACTTCCAAGTTCTAAGTATGCCAGAGAAACCCAGTTAGGTGATGATTTGTTTGGTTTTTTGAGAGTTTCTGTTTTCATGCCAGATGTTGAATTTATTTACCAAGTCAGATCATTCACCCCGTGAGACCTACATTATGGAGAGTGGCAAAAGAGA
The DNA here is from genome assembly GCF_000001405.40 of Homo sapiens. NCBI lineage: Eukaryota > Metazoa > Chordata > Mammalia > Primates > Hominidae > Homo > Homo sapiens. The sequence continues at coordinate 110,143,813 of NC_000009.12, forward strand.
AGGTGTAGTTTGCTATTAAGTTCCATAACTTGGGGTATCTGTTCATGTCTTCTAATTTGTGGAAAGATGTGATAGTTATAAATGTTACTTTTGTAAGCTGTACAGGAAGTGTTGACTTCTGCTGCTGTCTGTTTAGATAAGATTAGACATGAGGTGATCATTACATTATTATAAAGATTCTTAACTGGGTCTCTGTTCTTTCCCCTTCATTATCTGCAAATATCACAAAGGAAAGTCTTAGGAAAAATATGTTTGCGACTGTCCACACATTCTTCATGAAGCAGAGCTTGGTGGAGTGTGCCATGCTAAATTAGAGCCACATGAGGCACAGTTTCATTTGAGGTGCCCTCATTGCTCCATGGGGGAAGTCCCTGTGTCAGCATCTGACAGAAGGATTGATGATGAGAGAGCTCTCCATCAGTAGTACACAGTGCCTCTCTTTCCTGCAAGGCAGGCACCAACTGTGCAGCTTGTAGGAGCCCTTCTGGCTGTGTGAAGCTAGCTAAAGCTTATTGTGGAGTGTCCACAGATGGTTATTGTCCACCACCATATTTCTAGAACATTCTCTGGTTACAAAAGTCTAATCATGGTAGTTACAATTTATCAAGGCCTTAAAGCTGCATATAATACTAGTTATTTCACACTTGTCATTTCTTATTTTCTCACTGAATCCTCCCAACAGCCCTCTAAGATACAAATTACCTCAACTCTTGAGGCCGGATATATTTCTAGATTCAGACTTTTTCTGATTTTAGAGAATTTATAAAGTATATACTATTATTTAGAAAAGTAATACAATGAACATACTATTATTTAACACAACTGGCAGGTTCTGGGTCAACACCCTGTGATCAAATTAAATTTCTACTCTAAAACTTGAGAAGAAGAATTAGTTACATTAAGTGGGTAAAGACTAGGAGACCTTCATGTCAGCTCATGTCAGGTTTTGCTGCCAAATAAGTTATGAAAAATCTTTCTTTTCAGAGTTTTTTGGATTTGGGAATTATATATGAAGAGTTGTGGACCTGTAATAATATTCTTTTTCAAAGAATTACTACTAGAGCCCAGAGAGATTAAGTTGCCCAAGGTCACTCAGCTTGAAAATGGGAGAGCCTGGTTTCAAACTCAGGCTCTCATTTGTCTCCAAAATCCATCTTCTTTCCCCTACCTTCTCCTTCCCATTTGTTGAGCCTGCTCTATGAGGTATACAGTAATAGCTTCTCTCTCCAACCTGTAGCTCAGGTTCCCTCTACCCTTTCCCAATCTTATGCCCAACCCCTGCATTTTCCTGGGTCCTTCTTGATCCTCCTTTTAGGAGCCACTGTGGCTCTGCAATCCTTCTTTTGCGGTGGCCTGGGTGTATAAATTTGACTCTCAGGGGCCATGAAACAGTGCTTCCCTAGTGACCCAGGATGATTCCTTTCTGCTTTCAGAACTCAATTCCAATGCCCCAAATTACAGTAGGCAAAAGCACTCGGGCTGTCCAAAGATCTGAGCGGATAGCCAAGGGACTAACTTAGTCCACATCAGCCATCTAGCCTAGCTGCTCTTGTGAGTTCTTTTTGAAAGTTATTTCCCAGGAAGAAGCTCTGCCATTTACTCCAGAAACAGGTTCATTCCTTGAAAACTTCGAAAGAACTGGGTACTCAAGCAAGGAAGAAATTTTTAAATTTGAGGATGAGCAGGGATAAGTGTTCATTATTCTGTTAACTAAACATGAACATTTTTGGTGTACTAGGGTCAAAGTCAACTAAGTTAGTTGACTGGTGATCATTGAGCACCATGACTACGTACTGTTCTCCTTGCCTTTTAAAAATTGATCTTTCTGCCTTGGCCCAGACTTCCCTGTGTTCTCTTTATCTAAATCCAGCAAGTATGTTTTCTTGAAAAATGCATGCCATTTGGAAAGGAATTGGTAAGAAAAGACTATGTTGAAGCTATGTTTGGCAAGGGGTGAAGGTGTGCAATGAAATCAGGACTTTTCAAAGTATAGAATTCCACATTCTCTTTAGATATTACCCTTAAAGGCTTGGAAAAGACAACTGCCATGGTTAAACCTGCCTGTCAGCCTCACTCTTCTTTTTTTTTTTTTTTTTTTTTTTTTGAGATGGAGTCTCGTTCTGTCGCCCAGTCTGGAGTGCAGTGGCGCTATCTCGGCTCACTGCAAGCTCTGCCTCCCAGGTTCACGCCATTCTCCTGCCTCAGCCTCCCGAGTAGCTGGGACTACAGGTGCCCACCACCGCGTCCAGCTAATTTTTTGTATTTTTAGTAGAGATGGGGTTTCACCGTGTTAGCCAGGATGGTCTCAATCTCCTGACCTTGTTATCCACCTGCCTCGGCCTCCCAAAGTGCTGGGATTTGGGATTACAGGCGTGAGCCACCGCGTGCAGCCCAGCCTCACTCTTGAGATCCTATGGGCCCAGAAGTCTTTATTCTGTGACAAGCCTGCAGTTACAGCTTCTGGGCAGCAGAACTTTGGAAAAAGCAGAACGTTCCCCACCAGCTGAATTCCCTGGTACAAGCAGGTTCTGCTGTTCCTGCTGATTGTGCTGGGTCTTCAGATAGATCCGTGTGTCTGGGTTGGCTCCTGCTGGTGCTGGGCCACCATGTGATGTCCTCATTGCCTACTTCTGCATGGCCTCTCCATGCTGCAAGTTAGTTAGGGGAGCATCTTATGAGGAATCAGACTCAGCCATGCACAAAAACAGATGCATAGTTTTCAGGTGACAGAGAGGAGGTGAATCAAAGAACCTAATTCTTGCAAGTTCCTTGGTAAGAAATAGGAACTAATCAAAACCAGGCTTGGGAGCAGGATGTCCTCTGTGACTGCTGGGGTTCAGGGCAGAATATGACTGTGTCTTTTACCAGCCATAGTTACTTGCTGTGTACTTCCCTAAGGAGACTGGCATTTCAGATCTATTTGATCTTTGTGTGCTACATACTTATGGGGTGGAAGGCTAGGAGGTGAGGTGGGGCAGGGAGAGAGTGTATGGGGCAGACAATTAGAGCACCAAAGAATATATGTGTAGTTCTTGTAACGAGATTTTCTTTCTCATGGCCTTGAAGGTAAACTTAAAAGGGTTCCCAAAATGTGTGTGTATCTAACTCACAAGTATTACCAGTCTCTCTTTTATTTCCCATTACTCAAGTATAAATCTATGTGCGAGGTGGCTCATGCCTGTAATCCCAGCACTTTGGGAGGCTGAGGTCAGCAGATCACTTGAGGTCAGGAGTTCGAGACCAGCCTGGTCAACACAGTGAAACCCCATGTCTACCAAAAATATAAAAATGAGCCAGGCGTGGTGTCACATGCCTGTAATCCCAGCTACTCGGGAGGCTGAGGCAGGAGAATCGCCTGAACCTGGGAGGCGGAGGTTGTAGTGAGCTACAATCCCTACTGCACTCCAACCTGGGCAACAAAGCAAGACTCTGTCTCAAAAAAAAAAAAAAAAAAATTATGTGTGATGGTCAGGGAGAATATATGCTAAAATATGACAGTCACTTCTCTGGATTCATATCTCAAGCTTCATTCCTGACTACCACTTGCTAGCTTTGTGACCAACTTACTTCACCTCTGTAAACCTCAGTAAAATAGGAATAAAGTTATACCAACCTCATAAAAATGTTGAGACAGGGCCTGGTACATAAAAAGCTCCCAGTAAGAGTTATTATTGTTGTTGTCATTACAACATTACAACATTACAGTTGCTCTTTTGTTTTAAGAAAAAGCTTAGAGGCTGATCGCTTGAGACCAGAAGTTCAAGACCAACCTGGGCAATATAGTGAGACCCTGTTTCTACGGGGGGAAAAAATAGCTGAATTTAGTGGTGTGTACCTTTAGTCCTAGCTACTCAGGAGGCGAGGTGGGAGGATTGCTTGAGCTTGAGTTCAACGCTGCTGTGAGCTATGGTCATGCCGCTGAACTCCAGTCTGAGTGACAAAGCAAGACCCTGTCTCTAAAAAGAAAGAAAAGGCCAGAAAGCCTTAGTAGAATTATTTGTGAGTTGCTCTTTTGCAGCAGTTGTGAGCCTGAAATAAATAACCGAACACACATGATAAAATTGCTTTCTATTCCTAGCTGGGATTTTTTTCAGTTACTTCCTTAGAATTAACATTTCTCTTAGAAACTTGAGGTCAGGAATAATGAGTTTTCAGTAGTCCACTATGATTCGAAAAACTAAAGAGTAAAAAGTCCATCATTAAATGTACTGAGTGAATAAAATTACATGTATTACCATAAAAATGTTTTCCTTCTGGGGGGAGGTAATCTTCACACAGCCAAGCCCACCATGCTAGTAGAAATGTATTTGAAGAGAGGATCTTGGTGGAGAATTACTATTCACCATAATTTTCATTCTTACTGTTTTAATTAACTTTTTTCCTTTTTGGCCTTAAACTCTGCTTGCCCTGTAAGAGCAGAGTTCTTTCTTTCCTTCTAGAGTTTTCATCATCTTCCAGTTGTGTTCATAGGTATAAACCCAATATCAGCAACTCATCCAACAACTTGACTTACCTTTAAGCAATAATATTTGACAGTTTCTCAGACTTGTTTGCCAAGCAGTGGTATTTCTCATTTCTGAGCTAAGTTTATAATCTGAAGATTCATATCATCACATTCTCCCACCCCTGGGGCCTTCAAAGGAGGAGATGAAAGAAGAAGGGACCAGCTCTTGGTGTGCGGGTCACAGCTGGAACCGCACAAGTCCGTGCACTCTGGGGCTGACAAGCAGGATGTTCCCTTGTACTGAGAGGAAACGAAATTGAAAATGCAAGTCTGAGCTCATTTCTTTCTGGTGACTTGTGGGTCGCTTCAGATGTTTGCAACCTTATCCCAATGCTGTGTGAAGAAAGGAGGTCATTGAAGGAGGCCCTGGCTTAGGCATGTCCTCTGGTGAGTGATTTTGTTCGGTTCAGTTTGGTTTTTAAATACGAGTGGGTGAAGGCTTTTTCTTTTATTTTGAGAAATGTGGAAACAAAGGCTCTTTGATTTAAGACCTCAGACTTCATGCATAGAGAGAGTAATAATCACCCAAATCATAATATCTGACCAAAATTTTCAGGACTTTTGGAATCCCCATTCCTGGCTTTTTAAAAGTTAGACCTGAAATCCAGAAGGAAGATTTGGACAGTCAGGGATGACAATAGCTGTATTCTGAGTGCATGCAGCCTTTTCTCGGGTTCTTTGGGTGGGAGGAATTGCAGATTCTTTTCTCTGCCTCCTGTCAGCACGGCTCGCCACAGATGCCCAAGGGAAATCCATCCGGCCTGGAAAATCCAGAAGCACAGCCAAGGCATGGCTTGCTTTCTCTGGACCACAGAGTGGTATAACTATTTATGATAAATAAACAGGAAACACCAATTTATGCTTTCCCACTCATGATGGGACTAAACTAGCTAGTTTGGAGTGAAACTCTTTGGGCTTCCTTGCTGCTTAGTCTACCTTGCAATGCTACAGTCTTGTGAGCACCACCATTGCAGAGATGAACAGTTTTTTTCCTTCTGAGCTCCTCTGGGTATGCACCGCCTGGGATGATGGAAGGGCTTGTGGATCTGCCTAGTCCATAAAAGTTAAAGCAAGCAGGTTTACCTGCTTTTCTCAGCGTGGGCTAATAATATTTACAAGAAAACTTTTCTGGTTTGTTTTATATTTTAAAATTAATTTGTGCTGATTGTAGAAAAAAATGTAAAAAGAATCAAAAGTGATTCATAATCCTACTCCCCCAGGAATAACCACCTTTCTAGATTTTCTCCATGCCCATAGGTTCATGGAAGCCAATATTGGGTTGATACTTGCATTCGTTTCTATTGCTGCTATGACAAATTACCACAAATATAGTAGCTTAAAAAATATGCATTTAGCCAGGCACAGTGGCTCATGCCTGTAATGCCAGCACTTTGGGAAGCTGAGGCTAGAGAATCTCTTGAGCCCAGGAGTTCAAGCCCTGGGCAACATAGTGAGACCTTGTCTCTAATAATAATAATTTTTAAAAATACACATGCATTATCTTACAGCTTTAGAAGGCAGAAGTCTGAAATTCATCTGCTATGGATGACTATCTGACCAAAATAATTTTCAGAACTTTTGGAATCCCCATTCTTGGCTTTTTAAAAGTTAGACCTGAAATCCAAAAGGAGGATTGAGACCAGCCTGGTCTCAATTGAGACCCCTGTCCCGCAAATTCGTATACTGAAGTCTTAACCCTCAGTGTGGTGGTGTTTGGAGGTGGGCCCTTTGGGATATAATTAGGTTTACATGAAGTCACAGAGTGGAGCCCTCATGACAGGATCAATGCCCTTGTAAGAAGAGATATCAGACAGCTTCTCTCCCCACCATGTGTGGACACAGCAAGAGGGCAGCTGTCTGCAATCCAGGGAGAGAGCCTTCAGCAGAAACCGACCATTCTGGCACCTCGATCTTGGACTTCCAGACTCTAAAGTTGTGAGAAAATAAGTGCGTGTTGTTCAAACCATCCAGTCTATGGTATTTTATGGCAGCTCAAACAAACCTAAGACTGGGCTAAAATCAAGGTGTCAGTGGGTAGTGTTCCTTCTAGTGGCTCTGGGGAAGAGTTCACTTTCTTCCCTCTTTCGTTCTGTATGCTGCCTACATTCCTTGGCTCATGGCCCCTTCCTCCATCTTCAAGGCCAGCAGTGCAGCATCTTCAGATCTCTCTCTCTCTCTCGCTGACCCTCCTAGTTCCCTCCTACAATTACATCAGACCCAACTGGATATTTCAGGATAGCTTTCCCATCTCAAGTACCTAAACTTAATCACAACTGCAAAGTTCTTTTTACCTCTAAAGCAACGTATTACAGGTTTTGGGGATTAGGACTTGGACATTGTTGGTGAGGCCATTGTTCTGCCCACCACAGGAGGCAACATATAGTGTTCATCTTATGCTGATTGAGTGTCTGCCATGTGCTATGCACTTTTGCTTTCTTTCACACAGTTAAGAAGTGGTGAACTAGGATTTGAACCCAGGCAGTCTGGCTCTCCCGCCTGCACTCTTGAACTCCTGCAATATATCTACTTCTGCAGTCTGCTTTTTCTCTTAATATAGTTTGAATATTTTCTCATGACCTTAACCATTCCTCTAAGTTTGAGAGTCTAAAACATCATTTATAATGGCTAACTAATACTTCATTGCCTAAATGAGCCATAGCTAACTTAACCATTCTTCAATAGGAAGATATCTTGGTGTAGTTAAAAAAAACACAGTGCTGAACGTTCTTGTACATGAGCTGTGTGCCCATACTTACTTATTAAATGAACTTGGGCCAGAAAAGTTCCCTGGAAGCTGGTTAACTACTGTACATTAGACAACAGTATTTCCTAAACTGTTTTTCTTCTTTTTTCCCCTTCTGTATTCATTTACTTACTTTAAAATTTTTTTCCCCTTCTGTATTCATTTACTTACTTTTAAAATGAGGTCTCACTATGTTAACCAGGCTGGTCTCAAACTCCTGAGCTCAAGTGATCCTCTGACCTCAGCCTCCTGAAGTGCTGGGATTACAGGCATGAGCCTCTGCACCTGGCTTTTTTTCTTGAGGCACTTAATAGATTCTATGAAGTGAGGTTTTCTGGTTAACTAAACTTAAGAAATGCTGCACTCCCATTCCTGAATTAGAGCTTCACAATCATATTAGCACTAAAACCAGAAGTCCTCTGGTAAACAAATCCCTCTCTCCCTCCTTGTTTTCTTTAACCCAGAGTTTCCCAAGCTTAATTTGACCAAAGATTTTTTTCTTTGAGGCATCAAGTAACTATCCTACAAAGCTAAGGTCACAGGACACAATGTTAGAAACACATCTTTGGAGTCAACCAAGTGAAGCCACTTACCCTCAAACTCCTTCAAAGGCTTAAGTCTAAAATTACTCCAGATGGAATAGTTTGAATATGATCACGTTTATGAAATAAACTTAAACGTTTCCTATCCTCCACTCGGAATTTCAGTCTAACATTGTTGTAGTGGTTCCTTACGTTCCTTATAGAGGTCACATTATACCTGTTCCCTGCTCTGTAAATGTCAGGGCTGGCCATCAGCCAAGACCAATACGGACCTGCCCTGAGGTCTACATGGCACTGTGTGTTCATGTTGTTGTTTAAGGATAGTGACCGATGTCCTTCAAGAGAGCCGTTCTGGCCGGGCACAGTGGCTCATGCCTGTAATCCCAGCACTTTGGGTGGCTGAGACAGACTGATCACTTGAGGTCAGGAGTTCGAGACCAGCCTGGCCAACATGGTAAAACCCTGTCTCTAGTAAAAATACAAAAATTAGCCAGGCATAGTGGTGGGTGCCTGTAATCCCAGCTACTCAGGAGGCTGAGGCAGGAGAATCGCTTGAACCTGGGAGGCAGAGGTTGCAATGAACCCAGATCACTGCACTCCAGCCTGGGCAACAGAGCAAGACTCCATTTCAAAAAAATGAAAGAAAAAAAAGTGTTCTATAGAGTGTTCAGTGCAGGTGAGGAACTGGATGGCAGGATGTTCTCATTGAAAATGGGGCAGATTTCAGGCATCACAAGCTATTGAATCATTACAGGTGAATAAACCAATAGCAGAGCAAAGTTTGAGGGAGTAAGCAAAGCTGGACCTGGGGTTACTGGGGAAGTTCTGGGTGAGATGCACACTGGATCAGTGAAAAAGAAGCACCAAAGATAACCATCATGGTTTGGGGAGTCTAATGGGGCATGTCCTCTTGGCCAAGGGACTTCAAGGGGCCTTATGGGGTCATGAAAAAGAATGTGATTGAGCTCCCAGGCCTGTGGCACAGACTATTTGCATCACATTCATTTAATGATCTTCAAGACCCAAACAGTGGTGCTGTCTGCAGTGTCCACTATTGGGGGAAGAGCATCCGGAGTGCTGTCACCGTCCTAATGGAGAGGACCTCTGGCTGCAAACTCTGGACCTCTGAGGAAGTTGTCAGGTGTGGAACAGGTTTCTCTCCAGCCTTTTGGCAGCCTGTGTGATTCCTAAGATGGCACCCAGAATTCTGGTGCCTGGTTTGAACCATACTTGGGGAGGATCATCAGAGATCACAGGGCCCAGCAGAGGAGCCTGGCTGAGCTAGCTTCCCTTGATACTGACCAGAATGATGGCCGGAAGTCTGGGGATGAGGCATAGTGTCTTCTCTCTCTGGGGACCTGTGATAGCCTCTCCTAAGGGGGTAGATAGAACCAGAACATGGGCTCAGTTATCCAAAGCGACCATTCTCAGCCCCCTTGTTCCTGGAAGCCCCTGCTCCAGAACTGCTAAGCCAGCCTTTCTTTCCTGCTACTTCTCTGACCTCTAGTGGCTAGAACTGGAAAAACTTGCTCAAGGGATGAAATCATCAATAAGCAGGAAATGTCTTTGATGTTAAATGGCTGTCCACTTCTCTATAGTAATCCTTCACCCTCTTTACAACATTCTTTCTGCATACATCCCATCATTTAATTCAGCCATCATCAACACTGGGTTTGGGCTCCAGACTGTGACTGTCACTGTCTTATGTAACTTGGGCTGGAGTTGGCATCTGAGCCTCTGTGGTCATGACATCCAGGTGTCACGACATCCACCCTAACTACATTCCAGGGTTGTTGCAAGGCTCAAATGACATGAAGCCTACAAAAGAAGTGGTATATAAATCCGCTTGTTACTCCAAAGCCATTGAGTCTGTGATTCTGTAAGCCTAAAATGTTTTAATTCATATATTTTGGTGAAGGCATTTAAGCCCTTTCCTCTGATTCTCTATGGGAGATTCTGTCCCAATCCATAAGCATTTACTTGTGGTTGTTATATATATTTCATAATGGACTTACTGATTACTCAACAAACATGAATTGCCTACCTCGTGCCATGTACCACAGCTACTGCTGGGATCTGGCAATGATCAGACAGGCAAGGCTCTACCCTAATGGAGTTTGCATTCAAATGAATTAAGGGGATTCATAGACAGGTGAAACATACCCCCCTGTCCTCAGGATGACATTATAGCTTAATTGAGAAGACAAAAGCTTCAATAGCCAGATAAGATTTAAGTCAGTATGTGAAAATGGCCTTCACAGAAATATAAACAGGAGTTCCACTGTGCTGTGTGTGAAAGGGAGAAGCTAGAAGCAATGAATATAGGCTGTGCTTTCTAGGTGTTTAACTCTGGAAGAGTGGCTGGTGGGAAGTGATCTGGACACTTGAGAGGTCAACTGGAAAATGATGAAAATTAACCTGGTAATTGGTGTCTATTTCTGGTCCCAGAAGAGATGCAAAAATTTTATGCAGAATATGCATGAAATTGTTCATCTCACCCTATAGTCACATTATTCTTTGAGATTCCAATTAAGTGGTAGCTAGAATCATTAGATGCTTTCTGTTCTGAATATTAACCTTATAAATATTAACTTTGTCCTCATAATAACTATCTGAGGGTAGGTACCCTTATCATCATACCCATTTTACTGATGAGGAAACTAAGATATCAAAAGAGTAAGTAACTTGCCCAAAGTGATTTGGCTGCCAAGTCATGGATTCAAGCCCAAACCGGCTGGCTCCAGAGCTTACACGCTCACCACTGTGCTATATTGTTTCTTAAGCCTTCAATTAAAAAGTCAATCGGAATTTTCAGAGATACATACTAAGTGTGCAGGAGTGAGGTGACCTGAGGTCTGGGATTGGTTTAAAATAATTCAGCAAGTCTAAGGAAGGAAGGAAGAGCCAATTATGCTAAAATCTTGATAAATGTTTACTCTGGGTGATGTTTATAATGTTTATAGGGGTCATTATAGCATTCCCTAATTTCCGTAATAAAAAATAGGAACTGTTTCTAGTGAACTTGGAGATTTTGAAATACTTATTATTGTACTGTTAATATCAAAAGACTTTTCAGTTATCTGGGTAATTTAGATCAAAGCAACAAATTTCACTGTTATTAATGTAATGTGGCCATGAAATGCAGTGCCCTTTTCTGTATATTAAAACCTATTTTCCACCTAATCCCCAAGTGTAACAGCTAAATACCTTAAAAAAAATCAAGAAGGGTGTATCCTGCCAAACATATTTGATAGAATAGCAAAACGTTTGAGTTAGAAGAGACCACAAAGATAACTTCTTCCAAAATTCCCATTTAACCGCTATGGCAGTTAAAGCTAGGAGAATTTAAGTGATCAGCCCACGATTGAAATGGGAATATGAAACGATGATCTATAGTCAGTCACGTAGCCAAGTACTGGAAGAGCAGGAGTTAAAAACCTGGGTTTCCTGGACTCCAGGCCTTTGTATCTCTCATCAGAAGGAGGTTGTGCCAGTAAAGGGCTAAGCAGCCCATATGGAAATGTGGACACCAGGCTTCACTTGTGATTCCTGCTACATCAGGCAGTTGCCAAGTTAGAAGCCTGGGATGTAAGATGAAGAAAGGTGAGTCCCCTTCGGCTTGGAACTGGAAGAGGTCAAATGGCCCTTTCCCCTCCCAAACGGAGCCATGCAAGCCCCATTTATCTTGTGTGTTTTATCCACATTCCTTGTTCACAGGTTTTAGCCGCATCAACCACAAAGGGCATAATTGGAAAAATCATAATTGTTATACTTGAAGATACTTCTCAGAAGTGCATTTGGGGCTCTGTGTCAATAAACCCACCCCATGAAGGGCCAGAAGCCAGGGCCAGGCATTTCTTGGGAGGGAGGGATGGAAATGGTCTTGGTGAGGGTGCGTAGAGTCACCACACCACTGTTGAATTAATCACTGACCTCATCTCTCCATCCTGAGGATTCTTGGAGGACATTGCGAGAGCTAAAATCTCCTCATTCCCAAGGCTGGTGTGCACCTTTTCCATTGCCTTTGTTGGTGTACACTTCTTAAGGTCTGGGAGGCCTCAAACCCCAATGTTTCAGGACCCCAGCAGGTGAGGTAAATGAATAAAGCTGGCCAGTGTAAGACCGGGGCAAACTGAGAAGAACAAACTTCATCCTTATTCAAAGGTTTTATAACACTGGGCTGTCTGCACAAAAAGCCTGGGCAGGTCAGCAGACAATTGACTTCCTCTGCTATAGAGGATAGACCCTGGTGAGGAAAGCAGGAGGCCTGGGTACCATCACTGGCTCCCTATGACTTGAGTACAGCCTTCCCTTGGCAGAGCCTCAAGCGCTTTCATCTGTTAAGAAGTGGGTCTGTGAGTCTCCAAGGTGCCACCACCTCTGACAGTCTAATTCTGTGATCTGTGATAGAATACATATCTCAAAACAACTGGAGCCACTGTCGGTCTGTCCAACATATATTTGCAAAATGCGTGCTGTGCCTGTTTGATCTAACTGACTTTTTGGAACTTGGTGTCCTTGAGATCTTTGGATGGGTTTGTGCATTAACCTTAAGTGCTTTGATCCCTGTAATATAATAAAATGGCCTACACTTAACCATCATTCTGGTACCACTCTCTGTGTCAGAGGTTGTTGCTCTTTTATTTGCCAGTTTTCTTTCTAAAAGCAGTCATGAGCAGACAAGCTTAGAAAGGGTATTTTCTTCGTGTTGTTTCAGGGAAAATAGAGAAAGTCAAACCTCCTCCATCCCCCACCACTGAAGGCCCCAGCTTGCAGCCTGACTTAGCCCCTGAAGAGGCTGCCGGAACCCAGCGGCCCAAGAATCTGATGCAGACCCTCATGGAAGACTATGAGACACACAAATCTAAAAGGCGCGAGAGAATGGATGATAGTAGTGTAAGTTTTTCCTCCTTTCCTCTTTCACTTCTCTGAGCGCGGCCATCGGTGTGGCGTGTGGCATTCCAGTTCAGGCACAAATGTGTATGTCGTTGTCTGGTCAGCATTAGGGTTCCAGTATCAGTTTTCATATATGTGGTTTCACATGCCTGGAACTGGGTTTGGGTTTTTGCCTGTTTCAAAAAAAAATTGTTGATCTTGCAGGGAGCTGGTCCTTTGCTGCCAAGTATAGCTGGAGTCGACCAGCAAGGCTAGTGTGTAAGATGTTTGGTGCATAGAAAGACAGCATGCAAGGGCCACGCAGGGAGAAGGTTGCAAGTGCCCTGAAATCATCCCTATGCACCTGGGAGCTGATTTCTACCATTGCCCAGTAGAGATTTTATTTCTCTAGAAAAGGATGAAGATGCTGTTCCTTCAAAGCCGACACTCTAGGCAATCCCTAACAATGTTACAGTGCTTAAAAGACTGAGTGTGTTTGGGGCTGTTAACAAGCCCATGTGCATAGCTTGAAAGCAAAGAGCCAGTGAAAATGACAGTTGAAAACCACATGGCTACTCTGCTACACCCAAGCCCTCGGAACTTTGCACATAACGTTCAAATTAACTGTGAAGGAAGTCACATGCTCTGTGGTTTCTTTCTCCGGTTAGAGACATAGGAACTGTTGCTCTACACAGTCCCAGGAGCCTGGAGATCAGCCTCAGGGTTCATGCCAACCTCCTGTGGGTCTTCTGGCACCAGTCTCTTAGCACATATTGAAGTCATCACCTCCTCCCCTGACTGCACTTAAGTCACAGATAGCTTGGGTTGGTTGAGGATCCTACTGAGTTTACCTGAGACAGTCCTGGCTTATGCCTGTTGTGGTGTTGTGGTTATTAATATCCCCTTCAACTCTTTTGTTGTTGTTGTTGTTGTTGTTGTTGAGACAGGGTCTGTCTCTGTCACCCAGGCTGGAATGCATTGATGTAATCATGGCTCATTGCAGCCTCGACCTCCTGGGTTCAGGCAATCCTCCCGCCTCAGCCTCCTGAATAGCTGGGACCACACGCGTATGCCACCATACCTGGCTTATTTTTTAACTTTTTTGTAGAAAGGAGGTCTCATTATGTTGCTCAGACTGTTCTTCAACTCCTGAGCTCAAGGGATACTCCCACCCCAGCCTCCTAAAGTGCTGGGATTACAGACATGAGCCACTGCACCCAGCCTGCCTTTCACTCTTGAAAGTGTCCCAGTTTGGGTGATAAACCATCTGGTCACCTTAAACTTGAATGCTATGAAGTTCACAGTAAGAATTCCCTGCTGTTTTATTGCCTTTTATATCCTAGCTGGCTAAGTTAAAGGATTTCTGGAGTTGAAGCCCAGATGCTGAAAGTTGCTTTCAAAATATATGGCGGTAAAGAAAGGAAGAAAGCAAATGGATATCTGGCAGCCTGGCTTCTCACTTGGCATCTCCCAGGCTTTCCCTTTTGTTTACACCTGAACTGCGTGGAGCACTGGCTCAGCTGCTGTATTAGGCTGCAGCTATTCTACTGGGCTCTTCACTGTATTAGACAGTGGGATGATGCCCGGCCCTGGGTAGCTGCTGCAGACATTTCCACTGCTGAACCTCACTGTAGGGGAGCCAGCAGCTCCTTTCGTGAGCCTGCAGGATTTTTCCCTGGCTACTCAGTCACTTTCACCAGCCCTTCTTTGAAGCCCCACTTCAAAGGATAAAGTTTGCCTTAAGAATTTTCTGAAAGTTAAATCATTTTGAAACTTGGTGCTCTAGGTGTCTGGTTTCTTTTCTCCCAGTGACTCTGCTCTATACATCAGCAGTTTTGGTAGAATTTAGCCAAGTGGGTGCCCCACACTCTGATGTGGATGGGGAAGAACAAGTAGAACCACTTAGCATGTGACCCACGCGAGTGTTTGCTGAACACACTCTACTTGTCACTTGTGTATGTCTTTTGTGTTGGAGTGCAGATGATAGGGAAAAATACTCCATACAGAAGGGTAGAGGCAGTTCTCACTCATTTCGTAAAGGCAGAGGGCTGGAAGCTCTTTTGTGCACACGCTGACACTCTGGCAGCCACCTAACAAATGCCAACCAGGTTGAGTTTTTCCTCTGCATGAATGAAGCTGCTTGGAATCAGCGTTTTAATATGCTGATTGCCCTTCACTTACAAATCAAAGAGGCAGCCTCCTGTCTCTATATTTTCCAGTAAATAAACATTTTGAAAAAGAAAGAGACCTAACTAATTAAGCTGTTAATATCCCTGGATCTTGGATTCAAAGCCAAATGTTTTGCACTGTTATTGCTATTACAACAGAACCAAGTTTGCTGTTGTTGAAAATTCTTAGGATCAGGACAAAATCTACCAATCCACTATATGCTCATTTAAGAGACCCAAATCTAAAACAACAAATTCAGATTGCTTCTAAAGCAAAGATATGATCATCAGTCAGGCTTCAAATGAGAGCCTTCTCCTAGCCCTTCCAATTTAGGGGACCTTTTCTCCTGTATCTGTGTCAATCACTGGTGAATGTGTTGAAGTTTACCTGTAGGGATGAACAAACATTCATTTTTTTCCTAACCAATCTGTGGCCCCTTTTCCATTTTTTCTTTTTCTTTAATACCAGAAGGATAGTAATAGAGAGCAGATGGATTGCTGGGGGGATGAGTTGTGTAACTGGCTTACCTATCCGTAGAAGCATAAAGTTAATTCTCTTAAAGGTAAAGTAATTCTGGTCTCTAGCCTCCATTTACATACACTATTCTCACAGAGAAACATGGCTTCTTAGACTCTCCACCCTCTAAGCACCTCAGTGGCTCACACCTACACACCCAGCATCTCCCCATGTTATGCAGCATCACCCCTGGCACCTCCATTTGCCAATATTTTTTCCAGTAAGCCACTTGGCAGCATTTTGGCATGCCGTTTTGGAGATGATAAACCACACCTGAGAATCAATGCCTGTCGCGTGATTAGAACACAACCATGTGTTTGCCCATCGAAAGTAACAGTTATTTGTGAATTGAGCAAAAATAATTCTTATTTTTTATTCTTTTTAAGGAGAAGGCAGAGTTAAAAACAAGACAGGCGCTGATCATTGGAATGTGTATAAAGTGTGATATGTTAGACACAATGGTATCGAGGAGAGTGAAAGACAGAAGGAGAAAGATAGAATGTAGCTACGGCTGAAGTTTTGCTGAGTGAGAAAAACTGATCTTTGCCATCAAAACAAGTTCAGTGTCCCCCGAGCCCCCATCAGGGGTGTGGTGGCCTCTGGGGTCCTGTCCACAGGGACTCAGCTCAGGGCCCTGCTCTCTCCAGTTTTCCACTTTATAAAAAGTCATATGCAGAGAGGCCCCTGGCTTATGGGAGTCAGGGAGTGGTGTTATCCAAAGGTTGTCCCCAACCAGCCATATTTGTTACTAGCTCAGAACTTGAGCAAAGTACTCCCTTTAGTTGCCACAGTCTTCACCCACCTGGGCTGATTTCTTTGTCCTGTATATTGGAGTCACCAATGAGTATCTCCAGCCTCACTTATTAATGGACCTCTTGGCTAATTCTGAGGGCAGGAGGATTACCATCCCCACCCCTACCCACTTACCCAAGGCTGTTTACCAACCTATGCAAGGCCTTTGTGTGAATTAGGAAAAAAAACCACCCTTGTTCCTCTATGAAGATATGAAGATGCAGCCCTGCACCAGCCACACATTTGGGGGGTAGAGTAGGGGACTGGGCTTTAGTACCATTCATCCCTTTAGTCTGATGCTTTTGTGCAGTGCACACAACACACACCCAGATGCAGCAATCCTATTCATATTGTGGGTTTCTCTTATCTGGAAATGTTCTCTTATGTGGAAATGTCCACTTATCTGGGTCTCATACCATTTCTGCTCAGTCATGCAATTCATAATGGACTAGTGAATCCTAGTTTCCTAAAGGGCTTCTTGATGCCTTGCAAAGCGACTGCCTCCAAGGTGGGGTTGCCCACTCATGGACCTGGAAGACATTTGGATCAGTGGGCACAAATGATGGGCTATTTGGATGTTTTTCCTTCAGGCATGAAGAACCCCTCTAGGAAACTCTGATTCATTAGTCCATCCTGAGTGACATGACTGTATTTAGGCAAACAGTATTTTTCCAGCCAATTGTTTCCCTAACCTGACCTGAGCCTCAGAAAGTGAAGATGATGGGTCATTGAGTCAATGATGCTCATGAACATCTCGAGGGTTTGCTTTGCCTTTCTCAGTTGAAGGGATGCTGACCAGAGTCCAAATCACAGCCTCCTGGATGTTCAGCCCCATCTTTACTTTTAGCGCAGGATCTGCCCTCAGTGGGGTTTTCCAGTGTGCTCTCTCTCTCTTTCTCATCCCATGACTTCATTACTGAGAGGTCATCCAACCACTCTGTCTCATCTTAGAACAAGAGAAGACCTCGTCGGTTTTCCTGGGCTACGTCAAAGCTGAGAGTTCCTGGCACACATTACCCTTCCAGACCAGGACATGCATTGAGAGTTGTGGCCATACTCTCGCTCAGTGTGTGAAGGAAGCCTATCTGCCTCCTGTTTCCCCAGACGCTACAGGAAGCTCAGTGATGCCTTGTGCTTCCCTAACTCTCTCTTACGTTCTCACTCGTACCCTAGTGAAGATGCAAAGGAGAGAGAAGAGCTCCTGACTTGTCAGCTCCCAGCCATTAGCCCAATCATGACAGAACTATAATTCCTAAGTGCTACATATAAGAAGCAGTCAGCAATCACAGATGTGTGATCCCACCTAACTAGTCTATGGCTATCAATGCCCCAAACCAATAAATGCTTTAAATGCCCCAAGCAGTGTAAATGTACGCTCATTACCATAATTCTGGAGAGGGATGTCCCAAATTGGTCCTGCCATCTCATTTTCCATAGTCAGGCCATTTTTTTCTGTACTTTGAGTAAGACTTTTAGTCCCCTATAGGAACTAAAGGATCATTTCAGTTCCTAAGTGCTCATACTAATAATCCTATATAATCACCAGAAATTGCTATCAAAGGATGATCCCACTCTCAGGAACTTACCCAGGCCCCCAGGGTTCTGACGAGGGAGGCTGTGTGGTCTCCCTAGGCAAGACTACCCTTAGGCCGGTTTCAGAGAATCTGCCTCCACAAACCAACTGCTGTGATTAGGATCTTCTTTTAATGGAACAACAGGTTACAAGACGGCTTTGGGGTTCAGAGAAGCCTACGGGAAGAGAAAAGGCTATTTGGCTACAGACTCTAGCAAATCCAAAATGGCCCCCAACGACCTTGCTGGTGGGCAGCTGATTGTGTACAGAGGGGAAGGAATCTTGTTAATTCAAAGTACAGAAACTGAAAGCAACGTTTTGAATTAACAAAGTACGGCTTATCTGATATTTTTATTAGTGAACAATAGGGTATCTAGTTGCTGCAAAGAATAGACTTATAAATAAACTAATATCAGATGGAGAAAGTTTTGGCATGGGTGTAGAATGGCCTCCTGGTATTACTTCCCCTCCCATCCTCTTCTGGTGTGGTGCCTGTTCCCGGCTAGGGGGTGTTCTGTAAGTGTGTCACTGCCATGTACTAACCCTGGTCTTTTCCCTCTCTGCCAGTACACTTCTAAGTTACTGTCTTGCAAGGTGACTTCCGAGGTACTTTTCAATTTGTTTGTCTTGGTCTTACTGAATGCATGATCCAGGTGCATGCTGTTGTGGTTTGCCATTTCCTGATGAGTTAAACGAAAATGGCAAGAAAAATGACTTGTCTCCATATGTATTTTTTTGTGCCTGTTCTGAAATATGGGACTGCCTCGAAATGTTGGAGTCCATGCAACAGTGATATACAATGGTGTGGTTTGCTGTGCTGTGCTGTGGGGGCGAGTGGGAGGGTACTGGGGAAGACCTTGCCTGCTCACGAATCTTGAAGACGTTTGGACCAGAGGACACAAGTGATGGGCTATTTTGGTTTTTAAAGTTTCTTTAGGCATTAATAGCAAGTATACTTGGCCTGGTTGGAAAACAGTGCAGCTCATGCAGATTGAGCTATGGATTTTCACCCATTCTTTGTTTACCTTAACATAAAGCTAGAAAGCTCCATTCTATAGATTTAAGATGAACCATCCTAATCTACAGATTTATCAAATGTAAACCATCCTAGACCTCCCTCCCTCCAATCTTTAAACGTGTATTTTTATTTTAGAAACTCTAAGCCTTGATTTCTCCAAAAGCCTCCTTGTTTAAGAGACAAGGTCTTACTCTGTTGCCCAGGGTGGAGTACAGTGGTGCAATCATAGCTCACTGTAGCCTTAACCTCCTGGGCTCAAGCGATCCTCCTATCTCAGCCTCCCAAAGAGCTGGAACTACTGGTGTGTGCCACTATGCCCAGCTAATTTATTTTTTTATATTTTTTTTGTAGGGACGGGGGTCTCGCTATGTTGCCCAGGCTGGTCTCAAACTCCTGGCCTCAAGTGATCCTCCTGCCTCAGCCTCCCAAAGCATTGAGGTTACAGGTGTGAGCCACTGTTCTCGGTCCCCAAAAGTCTTCTTTCCTTTTACACAGATTTCACAAATATATGTGCTATAAATATGTGTGCTATGAGAAGGCATAATATTTTTCTCTTTTAATTTTTTTCTATTTTGTCCATTTTTTCTTTTTGCTGAGAAAGCACAATATTTTTCATATTTTTATTTCTGTATTTTATTTTGATTTTAAAAGAATTATTTCAAATATACAGAATTCTAGAGAGAATCATTCGTTCATTCATTTAACAATTTTCAAGGCTCTACTATGTGTCAGGCATTGTTCTAGGTTCCAAGAATACAGCAGTCAACAAAACAAGTTCCTGATATCATGGAACTGGCATTCAGAATAATATAAGATAATAAAATAATAAAACCCACCTACCCAGCTTTGTCCATTCTTATCATTTCATGATATTTAATATTTTTAAAAGAAATTAGTATTGCAAATACAATTTAAGCCCTCTCGTACTTCTCCCAGTTCCCTCCTCCCTTACAATCTCGCAGAGGTAACTATTTTTGAGCTTGTTGTTCATCATTTCCATGCATGGTTTTATACTTATACTACAAATGTGTATATACATAAACAACACCTTATTTTTGCATGTTTGAAGACATTCTATAAGCGGTAAATCATGTTGCAGTATCTTCTGCTCCTGACTTTGTTCTGTCTGCATTGTTTTGAGATGTGTCCTTGTTGATCACTGTGGCTCTGGTTCATTCTTTATAACTGCTGTATGGTATTCCATTGAATGAATATATCACTATTTATTCAATCTTCTGTTATGGAAATGTAGACTATTTCCAGTTTTTCTTACCGTTAGAAATAATGCTTTTATGAATGTTATTATACATGTCTCTTTATGTACCTATGGAAGAACCTGTCTCTATATTTAGGAGTAGAAGCACTGGCTAGTAGCCTGATACATCCTAACATTTACTAGATATTGTAAATTATTTTTCAAGTTGGTTGCATTAACCTGTAGCATAATAAGTTTTTTGGTCTCTCTATTTAGCCAAAGAATTATATTTAAATATAGAGCTGACCTGCTGATTATCAGTAATTTTCTTTCATAAGATATCAAATGAATACTGAGAATATCATTCTGTACCTTCTTTAACGTCTAATTGTGGTTCTCATCTGGAGGATGGCAGTTTGAGAATTAGGACTAAGCCCGTCTCCCCTTTGAGTCCATTTAAAACAATGAAAATCTGGTCAAATATATCCAAGGAAGATAGAGTTGGGCCCACTCTGTCTTCAATTTAAAAGCAGGTTGGAAGATGAAATATAAATATTAATATGAATAGGGTGATATTATTTAACATATCTGTCTTTTGTTTCATATGTCCAAATTAAAATTTTCTATATTGATTGCTTTCAAAGTTAAGCAATTCACTTGAATTCCCTAAGCATTAGAGAGAAAAATTAATATTAAAGGGTTGTTGAGAGATAATTGTTTTTTATTCCCTACCAGACCTGAATGTGAATTTGTGAAAACAATAAAACTTTGTTTATTTATTTAGTTTACTTTTTTTTTTTTTTTTTTTTGAGACACCGTCTCACTCTGTCACCCAGGCTGAAGTACAGTGGTGCGATCTCAGCTCACTGCAGCCTCTGCCTCCCATGCTCAGGCGAGTCTCATGCCTCAACCTCCTAAGTAGCTGGGACTACAGGTGGCAGCCACCATGCCCAGCTAATTTTTGTATTTTTAGTAGAGACAGGTTTTCACTATGTTGGCCAGGCTGGTCTCGAACACCTAGTCTCAAGCAATCTGCCTGCCTTGGCCTCCCAAACTGCTGGGATTACAGGCTTGAGCCACTGCACCCAGCCACAATAAAACTTTAAATCAGATCGTTTTTTGTTTTCCCTTTTCCATTTCCATGGGGAGTGTTGATTGCTCTTCTCTGGTGTGTCTCCTTCTGGACTCCTTACAGCCATTGGGCAGCCAGATAGTCTGGTGGCCTCAAGCATCAACTCTGCACCCAGAGTGCAGAGTTCAAATCTTGGTTTTGCCTTCTGCTAACTGGGTAATTCTGGGCAAGTTACTTAACCTCCCTGTGCTTCAGGTTCTTCATATAAAAAATGGGAGTAATAACAGCATAAATGTCATAGACTAGTAGTGAGGATTCAAACAGTAACATCGTACTTAGGACATGAGTATGACATTATTAGAGCCCCAGAGACATATGCCTTTTTGCCCAGAAAATAAAGGAATGAACTTTAGAAAGTGAAGTTAATATGCAGTAATAAACAAGTAATAAAAGCTCTAAATTTGCTAGAGATTCACACACACACACACACACACACACACACACACACACACACACACGTCTGAATTAATTACAGAACAGATACTCATTCAAATACCTTGATTTTTGAATCTTCTGAAGACCAGTTGTGGTGCAGCTTTACTCCCAGACACCCCTGGGTCATAAGCCTTATGAACCCAAAGACAGCTTTATATCAAGATTGCCAGGTATTTCAGTAAGGATGTTTATTTTCTTGTCTGTGCCATTACTAGAGGCTTTAGATTTCACTAGAAATTTATTGTATGGCCATGGTAAGTGATTGTATGACCATGGTAAATGGGCATACATACTAGGGGAATGAATTAAGAAAAGAGAGCTCATTGTTGGTATAAGTGAATTACTGGGGCTCTTGACAAGTAGATGTCCAAACCCAAGCTATACTAAACGTTTCCATAATTATGAGTATTATTTTTCTGCCCATTATACTTTTCGTCACTAAACTCCATGAGGGAAGGGACTATTCTATCCTCAACACGAAGCACTGTGCCTTATACTTGGTAGGAAACTAATAAATATGTGTAAATTGGATTGATAGATGGCTTGTAACAAGAGTTCCTAAAGAGCAGAGCAAACTCAATTTGCTCAAGTTGTTTGAGAATTAAAATAGGGTTTAAATAACAAGACAAAGAACATTCCAAGAGGATGGGGACCATAGTTTTTAGAACTTTAGATTTATTTTTAGCTTTGATGTAAACCTTTCTGTTTGTATCTGCAATCTGAAAGGCAAAGAGATGATCCTTTTATACAATGTAGAGTTCTTTATAAAACGCCCTATTTGTATGCCACTTCATAATTTATATATCCCTTTCACATGATGATAGAAATAATTATTCCATCATAGTTTGAGAGCTTACTATGTGCTGGGAACTATACTTTACATACATTGCCTCATTGATTTATCCGTCCAACTTTATGCTGTAGTTTTTATGATCCCCATTTTACATGGGGATACTGAAGCACAGGGGTAAGTGACTTTTCCAAGGTCATGAGGATTTGAAGTAGACCTGCCTGGACTTCTGAGTCCACAGTGCCTTCTGAGAAAGCCTGTGAAGTGGGGTAGCTGTGTTCTCCATGTTATAGATAAGAAATGTGAGATAAAAGATGAACAACAAAGGACAAAACTGGAAATAGAGCCCAAGACTTCCACGTGCAGTCCAGTGCTGTTTTTCAGTTCCATGCTACCACACATTAGACTATTAGAAAATTTCTCTATTTAACTATACAGATTTGGAAGCATGCTTTCCTCCTACTAATTTGTTATTCGTAGATATCTGTGGATATTGAGTGAGTGACCGTGATATGCTTACATACAAAACACATTATGCAAAACACACATGGCTTGTGTGCTTAACAATGCATCATTCATTCAGCAAACGTGACTGAGGAGGAAAAGGGGAGGCTTCACAGAGGAAGATATGTTGAAGCTCTGGGTGGTCCATTCCTTTGACAAAGGTGCAGAGAAGCAGGTTGAGATGGACCCCCGATCTCCCATCTACCCACAATCTGCTTATGTCTGGGCTCCCACCTCTGCCTGTAACTGCATCTCCTTGCTTCTCTGGAGTTGCCAACTGTATTAGTCCATTTTCATACTGCTATGAAGAAATAACCAAGACTGGGTAATTTATAAAGAAAAAGAGGTTTAATGGACTCACAGTTCCACATGGCTGGGGAGGCCTCACAATCATGGCAGAAGGTGAAGGAAGATCAAAGGCACGTCTTACATGGCAGCAGGCAAGACAGTGTGTGCAGGGGAACTGCCCTTTATAAAACCATCAGGTCTGGTGAGACTTATTCACTATCACGAGAACAGCATGGGAAAACTCGCTCCCACATTGAATTACCTCCTATGAGTCCCTCCTGCTACACAAGGGGATTATGGGAGCTACAATTCAAGATGAGATTTGGGTGGAGACACAGCCAATCCATATCACCAACATCACTGTCCCTTGCCTAACTGATTATATTTAGAATGAGCAGTGCCTTCATTGCAGTTTGCATAATCAACCAATGTTGGCTCTACTGGACTTTTCTTCAAAATCAGAAACTGTACATCCTAAGCAAATGCCAGAACAATTGGCAAGAATGCCTGGACTTGTTTTCTGCATGGTCATGAAATAGAACCATTTTTCATATGTTGGCAACCTAAATGCCATTAATCTGGAATCTCTTCTTGATCAAACTGAAACTGGACCAGATAGGCTGAAGTCTCCTCTCGGGATTCCACAGACTGCCCTAGTGAATGGGAGGAAGGGAGGCTCTCCCTCAGTGGTGGTGAGCCTACTTGTCCTTAGTGTTGTCACCTTTCATTTCATTGATTAGCATGTGGGGTCTGAAGTTGCATCAGAATGCTGAGATTGCTTCTATTGATCCAAGAACTTTTTTTTTTCATGTAATGGCTTTTTTAGTTTAATTTTGCCAAAGTAGGTTTTTATACTATAAATATCATCATGGCTTATATAGGTTTGCAAAGCTTGATGGACTGAATCCACACTGGTCCCATTGTTTGGAATTATTTTCTGGTTTGCTTGTTTATGAAGAGACTAAGACCATCTATAGTGTGCTGTCTAATATGGTAATCACTAGTCACATGGAGCTATTCAAATTAAAATTAATTAAAATGAAATAAAATTAAATATTTAGCTTCTCAGCCACACTAGCCCTATTTCAAGTGCTCAATAGCCACGTATGGCTAGTGGCTACCATACTGGATAGCAGAGATACGTTTTCATCATTGCATAAAGTTCAATTGGACAGCACTGATCTGCTGCGTGTAGGGATCTGCTTTATCTGAAAACTTGATGCAGAATCACGGCTAGTTCAAAGAAACTTGCAGAACATTTCATGAAAATTAAATTTCTCTATGGTGAAAACTAGGGGTCAAGTAGCAGATGAATACTGGCTGTGAGATGAATGCATAACCAGAACCTCCCATTCCCCTTTTTCCAGCGTCTCTCCTATCTCCCAGCAGTGCTTTATCACTTTCTCCTCTCAAGTTGATAAAGAGAAAGGAAGAAAGAAACAGAGAAGTCGGTTTATGTTCATAATTAACATCCATGAACTCTGCATAATTTTTTCCCCTCTCTTTACAGGTCCTCGAGGCCACACGGGTTAATCGAAGAAAGAGCGCACTGGCTTTGCGCTGGGAAGCAGGGATCTATGCCAACCAGGAGGAAGAAGACAACGAATAAACTTCCTTCAACCCAGGAAGCGTCTTTGGTGCTTGGGAGACCAAGAAACCAAGAAATTAACAACTGAAAGCATTTTAATGGACTATTTATTAAAGTGCAAACAAACTCAGCAATCCTTATGTAGACCAGAAGCTGCAATATACAATGATGAAAATGAAACGAAAAGGAAGTCCCCCCATCAGACTCTGGACACCCAGGAATCAAAAGAGAAAGGACTTTTTTGGTGACTCAATCCCAGTGTCTGGTTTGGGGCCAATCTACAATGGATCCAAAAGGACAAAACATGTTACAAGCAAATCAACATAGTTGCTGCAGGCGGAACTGAGACCAGCCTCTCTGGGCGATGAAGGACAATGGTGGTAGGGCCACTTAGAGAGCAGTAGGGCCCAGGCTGGTGCAGCCTACATGGCACAGGATATTTCCCTGCACCAGTTTCCCACCTGTCACTTGCAGCATCAGAGGGTGTTGCATTAACTCCATTTTCTCCAGCAGCCATAAAATGAATGGCGTTTCTCTCCATATTTGCCCAGAAGAGGCAGTTATGATTCCACTTCTCCTACATTTAATTATTTTTAATTGAGAACAACTCATGATCACAATTCATAAAATCCATATTTTAAGACAATAGTTCTTCATGTCACAAACACAATCTATTCTACATGAGGAGGCTGAGAAAGGGGAAGAGAAAAACAAACCAAATGGATGATGTTAGCTTTAGGATCGTGTCTGCTTATAATATTCACTGATCTGCAGTTTATGAGAACACATTTTCACAGTTATGTTTCTTCATAGGAAAACTATATTTAGTGGGCAACAACTATTTTTATGATGGGATGGGGGAGTATATACACGTATAGAATCTGTACGCGTTGAACAACTTGGTTCAAGATGGTGGGGGCATTTTTAGAGCGGCAATAATTGAAAAAAAAGGCGAACTCTGCCTTGGAGAGGTAGATGATAAGAAATAAAAAGGTGTTTATAACTATTTTGTATTATAAAGTGGGCCTTAGAGATAGGAAGAAGAATGATGGATTCCTTTTGGATCAATCAGAAAGGAAACACGAAAGAAAAGTCAGGAAGGTAGAGAGAGAAAAAGGGAGGGAAGGAGAAAGAATGGGAATAAAATAAGGAGGTAAGAGATACTATTTTTGCTGAGCAACCAGTGTGTTTCAGGATGATACAAAGAAAAATATAGAATAGAAATAAGTGCAGGCTTGGAATCAGCTACAAATCCTAAAGATGGGGTGTGTGTGGATGTGTGTGTGTGTGTGTGTACACCATTGTGTGTTTGTAAAATGTGTATGTTCATGAGTAAGGGTGTGTGTGTGTGTGTATTAAAATTCCAGAGTGACCGTGGCACTTGGGTGTACAGGTAATTCCTCCAGAGCTGTTTGCTGGCTTCAGGAGTGGAGTGAGAATTTCTTTTTTATGAAAAGGGATATAAAGGCACCGAGCTGATGCAGTATTTGTAATATTAAGTTGACCTAACAAGGTATTTGCATGAGTCACAATTACAAAGTTTTGAGCGGTTTTGTAATTTGACATTTAGGAGAGTCTCCTATTTATTCTCATACTTTACATTCATGCTTAGTATACTATAGAGGATGCCAGCTTTAATCTTTCTGTCATTTAAAGCAATATGATAAGGGTATTCAATAATTGGGTGCCCTAAATTTCTGGATGAGAAAATTTTCAATTCTGGCCATGAGAAAGAAAAAAAAATAAACAGCCTTCTTTTTTTTTCCTTTGTTTTAAAACTGTGGTTTTTTAAAAAAGCAATAATTAACTCAGACCTCACTAAAAATCATTTTTGTTTTTATATTGTTATGTCATAAGCTCTATTATGTTATTCTAACAAGTAGCAATTTCACAAAATTTGTATGTAGATGTTAACGCACATTTCCTTTGCTTCTTTTATTAGACTAGTGTTGACTTTGGGGGGGGACATTTATTCACAAATGAGAAGTAGGCACAAAGTAAAAAATGGAACCATCTACTAACAAGGATCCTTTAAAACTGCCAAGGGAGCTCTAACTTGAAGCCACATCCTACAGATGGCAGCCCAAATAGCACATGGGCAATTGGCACCATCTTTATATGGTTGAGTCTCCTGAATATTTTGAATGAATTCTCAACAAAATGTGCTAGCCACTGGGGACGCAAAACAAGTAAGATCCCTGTTGCAAGAAATTCATTTTATAGTGAGGGAGGTTGGCATGGAGACTAAAATTCTCAGGAAAATGAGATCCGTGTTAGATTAGAAGTCCTGATGTGAAATGGGAGGACTCAGGAAGGAGGATCGTCTTTACCTGAGGATTTCTAGCCAGAGGTCCCAGATGCCTGGGCTGAGAACCCAGCGATAAGGGGGCGTTCCCAAAGCAGACACAGGGATAAGAACAGAGGAGGCAGCAGCATTGCACAGCCCCAGGCACAGTGGCAGTTAGGATGGCTGGAGAGTAGGATAGTTCTATGGGTTGCCCAAAAAATGTGATGCGCTTCATGTTTTCTCTGACTCATGGATCTGGTAGAGACCATAGACATGATATAGACTAACTTCCCCATTTTTCACAAGAGGAAACCATCCTTATGACTTACCTTAAAGTTTTTTGTTCTGTTTTGAAGGAAACCATGTGCTTCATGAAACCTACAGTTGACAAGAGAATGTACAGCTAAGAGAAAAGCTTAAGAGGCCACACTATTCGCGGAATGGCTTTAGAGGCAGATGAAGTGGTCTTTGACCACAGTTGATTGAACCAGAGCACTTATTGCTTAAAGAATAACAGAGTTCTAGAGCTGGGGGTTCTTGGGCCATGCTCCGTGTGTGGATAAGGAAAGAAATACTGTTTCTGGGACTCTCCCACAGTCACAAAGCTGTTTTCACTGTGGCCCCTACATCTCTTAACTTTTGCTATTACTCCTATGCTGCCTTCCGGATTACTGCTGTCTATCTTCTTGCTCCACTCACTGAAGATCCTATTATAATCCCATGAAAATGTAAATTACAGTTTACTTGGGAGAGCCAGATTTTCTCTGTGCTCTTGAGTTTTTTATTCATTCAAGAAACCTTGGGCCACCGCTTTGTACATAGCACCGTGCTAGGCTCTGGGATCCCAAATGGACCCTTTTAACTTTCTGAAGATGGGACCGTCCCCTGGAGGAAAGTCATTCCTGCCTAATCCATCGAGAGAAAGAGGCTTACGAAAAACTTTGCCTCTGATGCTCAGCCCCACCCCCAAATAGCACACAAGCTTGTTAACCCCACCTCTTACAAAATGTTTAGATTCTGTAGGTGTTAAAAGCCTTTCTGGAAGTATTGCATTCTGCCGTGTTTATAGGTGTTCACTTTCCTCCAGAGCTGATTAACTACTGACATGACTTGGCTTTCTCATCCAGAAATTATGGAAACAGGGTCTGTCAGTGGCAGGAGGCCGTGCTGTGTTTTACTTGGATGACACAATGCAGTTTACTTGCCTCTTCATACCCATGCATGCTGCTCACCCTAGACAATGACATATAAGCCGTATATAGATCAATGTCCACATATATATACACACACACATATATATATATAAAGTGTAACAAGGAACACTAAAACAGTGTTGATTCTTGTCTCTGAAGACAAATAATTAAACCTTTTTTTTCCCAACTAAAGAATGGATTTAATTAAACTATGTATTGAAAAAAAAGTAGCCTAAGTGTTAGAGATGGTGAATATATTCCATTTTAGTTAAAGAACAAATTTCCTGAATTTTAAGCATTCAGTGAGCTGCCAATTTTGATTTTGTGTTGCTCTTTACCCAAATTATTTTTTCTTTGTTTTTCTTTTTTTGGGGGAGGAGGGGAAAAAAGCAGCAATACTGTGTTTGGAAATTATACTCTGTATCTGGTTTTCCTGTGTATGTTAACCACTTAAATGTTATTATCCTGCTTTGGTTTTAGAGTGATTGTGAGGCATTCAATGCAAGTATACAGTTATTTTCTCATTAAAATCCAATGTGTGTTGAGTTTTTATAAATAATGGCTGCTTGTTTGACCGTGAGGGAGGTTGGAAGACTGGGCCAAACAGTGGCACGCCAGCGTCCTACTTGGCCGCTACTGTGTGACAGCTTCTGGTTCCTCATGTTTGCAACAAAGGAATCAATCCGAGCTGAGGGGGCACTGCTGCACCAGGCTGTTCCCACAGCCCCCTTTTCAATGCTGTCCCCAGCCACCCTGGCTAGATGCCAGAAGCTGCAAGTGCCTCTTAAGGACATAGACTCGAAGCCACAGCAAGAGCTGGACAAACAGCAGGACGAACGGTAAACTCCAGCCTTGCCTGTAGCTTTTGGCTCTAACCTTTAGAATACATTATGAGCACCGGCCGGGCGCGGTCGCTCACGCCTGTAATCCCAGCACTTTGGGAGGCCGAGACGGGCGGATCACGAGGTCAGGAGATCGAGACCATCTTGGCTAACACGGTGAAACCCCGTCTCTACTAAAAATACAAAAAATTAGCCGGGTGCGGTGGCGGGCTCCTGTAGTCCCAGCTGCTCGAGAGGCTGAGGCAGGAGAATGGCGTGAACCCGGGAGGCGGAGCTTGCAGTGAGCCGAGATCGCACCACTGCACTCCAGCCTGGGGGACAGAGCCAGACTCCGTCTCAAAAAAAAAAAAAAAAAAAAAAAAAACCACATTCTAAGCACCTGTATTTGGCTCTCCTCTGCAAGGAATAGCTGATGGCTACATGTTGACATGAAGGACTCCTTTTGTTGTATTCAACATAAAGCCCCTTTCCCCAAACTCTTACTCTGGTTTCTTTATTTTCCTACTCTTCGACTACCCCCAACTCTTTTTCTTTTTCTTTTTCTTTTCTTTCTTTTTTTCTTTTTTCTTTTTTTTTCTTTTTTTTTTTTTTTTGCTAGAGCTTTATTGTGGTATAATTTACTTAACAAAATTTATTCATTTCAAGAGCATGCGAAGACCACAAGTTTCTCAGGAAGCGTCCTCCCTTCTACTTCCTCCCTCCCGCTTCAGTCTCCGGCTGCTCCATCCCATCACCGAGCCCTGGGCCCCTGACCCCTGACCATCAGTTTTCCTAGTCTTTCCCTCGGCCCCTCCTCTTCCTGGTACTTCCTTTCCAGCTGCCTTTTTCTCTCTCTCCGCATTTGTAACTCTTCCAGCCTTTTTCTCCCCAGGATTTCCAACCATATCTTCCTGTTCTGAGCATCTGGGGGTGTTCTGTGGCACCTGTCAGGGGTGATATCTTTCAACCTCTAAGTGGTGAGAGTTCTGAATTTGGAAGTGGGGGCACCCCTTTAAAAATTTGATCAAAGTCTAGTAACAGTGGATAACACTTGTGAATGTCACTGAGAATGTGACAGGCACTCCAGGCTCTCCATGACTATGATACATTTATATTTATATTTATATTGATTTCCATTTTACATAGTAGGAAACTGCAGCCCCGGGAGGTTAGTTTTTCAATGCATAGCTTGTAAATGGTAGTGCTTGCATTTGAACCCCGGCTCTTAACTGCTCTTCCCACAGAAGCACACATTGGCAGCTTCACATGCGTGTGAAGTCGAAATGGGCTTGCACCATCTCCCCGCACTGTACTGTCCAGGAAAGAGGCTCTCAGGGATCAAAGCCAAGGCTGTGATAGGAGCCCAAGTCTAGGGGAAGAGTGAGGTTTTGGTGGGAGCAACAAAGAACTTTCTTCCTTTGGATGAACTTTCTCTGGGCTCTTCTCTTCGAGATCATCTCTCCCAGGAGATGGTGACAGCAGATGGCCCAGGCATCGCAGCTGCCAAAAGAAAGGACCCAAAATTGACTGCAAATAGGGTGATAAAAATGTGATAAAATTAAACTGTGGTGATGGTTGCACAATTTTATTTTTATTTTATTTATTTATTTATTTATTATACTTTAAGTTTTAGGGTACATGTGCACAATGTGCAGGTTAGTTACATATGTTTACATGTGCCATGCTGGGGTGCTGCACCCATTAACTCGTCATTTAGCATTAGGTATATCTCCTAATGCTATCCCTCTCCCCTCCCCCCACCCCACAACAGTCCCCAGAGTGTGATGTTCCCCTTCCTGTGTCCATGTGTTCTCACTGTTCAATTCCCACCTATGAGTGAGAACATGCGGTGTTTGGTTTTTTGTCCTTGTGATAGTTTACTGAGAATGATGATTTCCAATTTCATCCATGTCCCTACAAAGGACATGAACTCATCATTTTTTCTGGCTGCATAGTATTCCATGGTGTATATGGGTTGCTCAATTTTAAATGTACTGAGAATCATACACTTGAAATGAGTAAACTTTGTTAAGTAAATTATACCACAATAAAGTTCCAGCAAAAAAAAAAAAAAAAAGAAAGAAAGAAAGAAAGAAAAGAAAAAGAGTTGGAGGTAGTAGAGGGAGTAGGAAAATAAAGAAACCAGAGTAAGAGTTTGGGGAAAGGGGCTTTATGTTGAATACAACAAAAGGAGTCCTTCATGTCAACATGTAGCCATCAGCTCTCTCACTAATGAGGAATAAAGCTTCCTCTCCAGGCTGCCTCCAGGAACCAGGGGCAGTGGTGCTGTGACCACGTATGGATTCAGTCCTGGTCCTGTTTCCATCCATCACTACTAACATCTGGAGGCCTCAGGCAGAGGTAGGGATGAGATTTGGCAGGCAGGCGTGCTGGGAAGGAAGGAACTCAGGCCATGTGTGAAAAAGCAAGTCTCCTGCAATGGTAGAGGAGGGTACAACACTCACAATGGAAGTTATTTTTTGGGATGCTCTAACCACAAAACTACCAATGTTAAAAGGCATTAACCCTTTACCCAGTAGAGGGCAGTTATGCAGGGTCTTTGCTCTGTGATGTGTATCTGTGGGAAGGGATGGGGGCCTGTGTCCATTACCCAGGCTCATCTCCCCTGTTTTGTATTTGTGACAGAGGCTGTCATTGTGAGACACACAAGGCCATGAGGTTACTTTGGAGCACTGCTCATTTTAGTTAGGGGATTCCTGGGCCATGAGAGGGCAGTGACTATACTCCTCCCTACACGGAACTCACACCAAATTCAGAATTGAGCTGCTAGGGACATAGAGAACAAATGGGAAATTGAAAAGGAGAATGCAAAAGATTTTAAATGTACAAGATGACACCAAGTGAAAAAATGGGGACTCAGGAAATACCTGGAGATGCCACATCGGCAATTTCTAAATGTTGCCCAAGCATTCACATGCTTTCTCTGGGAGAAAGAAGAGTATTTGCATGGTGCGCATTGTTTCATGTTGCGAAGACATGGTGATCTCAATGTCAGTTAACCTTGATGGGAGAGTTATCCAAACTCTGGATGGAGAGTTCTCTTTGTTCTAAGTTCAAAGTGGGTGGACTCTGGACAACTGGAATGAGTCTACTGCTACCTGAGACAAGTAAAAACACAAATCAGTTTGGTTTTTCTCTGTCTGCTCATGTATGGAACATTCAGTCTCTGCAGCGGTCTTCAGCTGGTTATATCAAAGAGCCTCTGGTGAGCCCTGGCTCTCAAATTGGAGTGAGTTCTGCATCACCTGGAGGGCTTGTTACAAATCTGGGCCCCATTTCTGATCTACTGAATCAGATCTACTGATTCTGGGTCCCATCCCAGAATTTCTGATCAGTAGATCTGGAGCGAAGCCCCAGAATTTTCTACCTAGCTCCCTGGAGATGCTGCTGCTGCTGGTCCAGGGACCTCCTTTGAGAACCATCGGTCTAGAGTATGAGAAATGAATATGTCTGGGCCTGCCACTTATGTTTGAAAATGGGGGAACTGATACATGACTGATAAGCTGCAAACACAGCCACGTGTGGTTCTGGGGTGTTGTGAATATTTGTTGGGGGCTTTTGTGTGTTTGTGCAGCCTACCGACTCACCATTTTGTGGGCCTTGGTGAAGCAGAACTTTGACTCCACTTAGATTCTCGAACGAGGCCCCTCCAACTGTGGCTAAACAGATTAAGAAGAAAGTGGGGGAAAGAGGAAAATATCTCTGTATGTTCAGACTTTAATTTCAGGGTAAGATCAAGGAATTCATTTGACCACTGGAAGAAGTTTTTATTATGTGGGCTGATGCACAATAACATAAGTTTGGACTTTTTTTTTTTTTTTTTTTTTTTTTTTTGAGACGGAGTCTCGCTCTGTCGCCCAGGCTGGAGTGCAGTGGCGGGATCTCGGCTCACTGCAAGCTCCGCCTCCCGGGTTCACGCCATTCTCCTGCCTCAGCCTCCCAAGTAGCTGGGACTACAGGCGCCCGCCACTACGCCCGGCTAATTTTTTGTATTTTTAGTAGAGACGGGGTTTCACCGTTTTAACCAGGATGGTCTCGATCTCCTGACCTCGTGATCCGCCCGCCTCGGCCTCCCAAAGTGCTGGGATTACAGGCGTGAGCCACCGCGCCCGGCCAAGTTTGGACTTAATAACATAAGGACCAATAACATAAGTTTGTTTGAGTGACATGGTTACATAATTTGAGATGAGAAGCAAAGTAAGAAGTTATTCTTATTTGGTCGAGGGCAGCACATCTCAATTCTGACTCCACATTAGAATCACCCAGAGAGTTTTAAAATTTGGATTCAGTTGACATGGGTTGGGGTCCAGGTATTAATATGCTCTAAGAGCATCCCAGGTGACCCATATGCAGCAAGCCTTGAGCAATACCACCCTGTGCAGTGGCTCTAACCTGTGCTTACATTAGGATCAGCTCAAGTGATTTTAAAAATACTAGTGCTGGCTGGGTGTGGTGGCTCATGCCTGTAATCCCAGTACTTTAGGAGACCAAGGCAGGCGGATAACTTGAGGCCAGGAGTTCAATAACAGCCTGGTCAACATGGTGAAACCCCATCTCTACTAAAAATACAAAAATTAGCCAGGTGTGGTGGCACATGCCTGTAATCCCACCTACTTGGGAGGCTGAGGCATGAGACTTGCCTGAACCCAGGAGGCGGAGGTTGCAGTGAGCCAAGATCATGCCACTGCCCTCCAGCCTGGGCAACAAAATGAGACTGTCTCAAAAATCAATAAACAGACAAACCAGTGCTTGGGCCTCAGCCCCAGATATTCTAATTTATTTAATCTAAATTGGTCTCAGACATGAGTGTGAACATGGGTATGGCGGCACACGCTTGTAATCCCAGCTACTCGTGAAGCTAAGGCAGGAGAATGGCTTGAACCCCGGAGGTGGAGTTTGCAGTGAGCCAAGCTCATGCCACTGCACTCCAGCCTGGGCGAGAGAGCGAGACTCTTGTCTCAAAAAAAAAAGAAGGAATATAACATGTGGTGAAATAATTGATCAGCATACATCAAATACATATAAAATACATTAAATGAATGTTAATAGGTGGTGCCATAAAACAAAATATTTAAATAGATAATACAGGTAAATATAAACAAACAAATGTATGCTTGTATTGCTCTGTCACCAGGCTGGAGTGCAATGGCACCGTCTCGGCTCATTGCAATCTCTGCTTCCCAGGTTCAAGTGATTCTCCTGCCTCAGCTTCCTGAGTAGCTGAGACTACAGACGTGTGCCACCACGCCCAGCTAATTTTTTAGTATTTTTAGTAGAGACGGGGTTTCACCATGTTGGCCAGGCTGGTCTTGAACTCCTGACCTTGTGATCCGCCCACCTCATCCTCCCAAAGTGCTGGGATTACAGGCATAAGCCACTGCGCCTGGCCGTTTCTTTCTTTCTTTTTTTTTTTTTTTAAGTCTCACCTGGAAGCAGGCAGCTAGTTCCTGCACAGAGGTCTCTGGACAGGACCCTCAAATAGACTTTACTTTTGCAAATGTCTGCCCATCCTCACCCGACCCTCCAAATTCAAAGGAAGGATATGAGCTTTCCCTGAGGTTCTGCAGGCCACAGGATGCATCCTTTGTTGCCCTATGATTGTTTGACTCATCTGTCACCTCCACACCTAAGAATGCTGGGCACTGGGAGGAATACAGCCAAGATTGGGTTTTTTTTTTCTGTGCCCTGCAGCCTCTGGTGTTTGCCAGTGGCTGACACACCACAGGTGGACCCACCTTATTCAGAGGCAACTCTTGGGATGGATGCTGGTTGGCATGGTAACACTGAAGGATTCTTTTTGGAATCCTGGGCACCACAGTCATATTGCTTGTTGCTACACCCTTTCTGACAGTTTGAGTTAAAGCAGAATCATAAAAGGGACAATGCTAGGAGAAGCAATAAAAGAAGAGCATCACATGCCACCGTTTCTAAGGGTCTCACTTCTGAACATTTTATTATCTCTGCAATTAGAATGTGTCTTACAATCCCTGCTGCGTGGGCACAGACATGAGTACCTGGCCTGACCTAAGCAAGGGAAAACTTGGGTGTGGCTATTTCTATTGGGGTCACCGTAATTGAGTTTTCAGCCTTGCTGGCCATGCATGTGTTGTTTACATACTAACCCATGCAATGGAAGGCAAGAGGAATGGACAAGCCTTAGAATAGATTTTAAACATTTCAAAGAATGAGAAGCTATTGTAAATAATTTGTTCATCATTTGGATCACTTTTAGGATGGCAAGCATGAGTTTGATGGAAGCTGCCTGCTTATTTAACTATGAGCTTAGTCCAGTGGGAAAGTGCCAGTCACCAAATTTACAGAATGGGTATGGCTGACTTGGAAGGAAATACCAGATTCAATAGTGGAGTACCCCCTTAAGAAATACTGTGCTGGCAAGGCACAGTGGCTCATGCCTGTAATCCTAACAACTTTGGCAAGCTGAGGCGGGAGGATTGCTTGAGGCTAGGAGTTTGAAACTAGCCTGGGCAACAGAGTGAGACTGCATCTCTACAAAAGCAAAAAATTAGCCGGGCATGGTGGCACACACCTGTAGTCCCACTTGGAGGCTGAGGCAGGAGGATCACTTGAACCCAGGAGGTTAAGGGTGCAATGAGCTACGATCATGCCACTGCACTCCACCCTGGACAACAGAGCGAAATCCTGTCTCAAAAAAAGAAAAGAAATACTGCACTGACACACATGGCCACAGAGGATGATCATGTGTATAAAAATGTGGAAAAAGAACTCAGGAGAGCTAGACTTTAACATAAAGATGTCTTAGGAATACCTTTAGACTTTAACACAAAGATGTCTTAGGAATACCTTGGCCAATTTATTTTGTTTGTTCTTCCCTTTTTTATGCATGCACAAGAGTGATGTATCATAAATATCTATATTTAAATAAGCCCAAAGGAGCTATTCAATGGGCACAAAATAAACATTCTCAGTGATCAGAGGGTATTGGGTTGTGGTCTAAATGGCAGTGCTTTTTCTTAATGGTTATATTTAGAAATTCAAATTCCAATTGATGGCGTATGAGATTTGATGAAATGTGGTAATAGGGCAGCTACAACCTATTACAACTATATGCTAAGTCATGTTATTCCTCCCTTTTCACTTTTAAGAAACTGAAGCACAAATAGTTGAAGTGATGACTCGCATAAAGTCATCCGTATCTAGGCAGTCTTACCAAAGTCAGAGTTCTTAACCACAGAACTGAAAAGAATTATCAGTGAGGCAAAGACATTTTAACTTTGTGTTGAAGCTCGAACAAGAGACTATAGTCACCTCTCCTCTGTATTGTGTTGAGAACAACACAATTTCTCTTTATACTGAGAATGTGGTTTGGGGAAGAGCTTGAGCTTATTACACCTGGAGCCTATCATCTCTCTAAAGGTAGTAAGGGGCCAGGTGCCATGGGTCACACCTGTAATCCAAACACTTTGGGAGGCCGAAGTGGGTGGATCACTTGAGGACAGGAGTTCAAGACCAGCCTAGCTGGGTATAGTAGTGGGGGCCTATAATCCCAGCTACTCAGGAGGCTGAGGCAGGAGAATCACTTGAAACAAGGAGGTGGAGTTTGCTGTGAGCTGAGATCATGCCATTGCACTCCAGCCTGGGTGACAGAATGAGACTGTCTCAAAAAAAAAAAAAAAAAGTAAGGGAGCTAGGATGCATAAGAAAACCCCTAGTGACAATTCTAAGTGTCTTTGTAGCATCTGCAATTGCTTAACACATTCTTCCTGCCCACTGCAGAGAAAAAACCATCTTGCTGAGACCATGGTATTGCAGTAAAGAGTGTAATTAATGCAAGGCTGGCCATGCAGCAGACAGAGTTATTACTCAAATCAGTCTCCCCAAAGGCTTGGGTTTTTCAAGGATAGTTTGGTGGGCAGGGGGCTAGGAAATGGGGAATGTTGACTGGTTGGGGATGAAATCATAGGGATGTGGAAAATGGTCCTTGTGCACTGAGTTCACCTCTGGCCAGGGGCCACAGTAACTGTTGAGTCACAAGTCACATGGATCCAGACAGAGTCAGTTGGTTGCCAGAAATGCAAAACTCTGAAAAACATCTCAAAGACCAATCTTAGGTTCTACAATAGTGATGTTACTTATGGGAGTGATCGGAGAAGTTACAGATCCTGTAGCCTCCAGAACAATGGCTGGTGTAAGTTAATGAATGTGCTTTGGTCAAGGATAGGCCAAGGTAGGATGTTTATATCCTGTATGACTCAGCGAGTTTGTAGTGCAGGTGTGTAACTCTGCTTGTTATAATGTAAACACAGCTATGTAGCCATAATATGGGAAGGCCATCACTTGGCTCTATGCCACTATTGTCTGTAAAAGGTATAACTGCCCT
The DNA here is from genome assembly GCF_000001405.40 of Homo sapiens. Taxonomy (NCBI): domain Eukaryota; kingdom Metazoa; phylum Chordata; class Mammalia; order Primates; family Hominidae; genus Homo; species Homo sapiens. The sequence continues at coordinate 110,181,158 of NC_000009.12, forward strand.
GCTGACACTGTACAGATGCTCACACCCTAAGAAAGAGAAAGAGTCAAAGCTGACTTTGCAGATAGACAGAGGGGAGCCAGGACACCGCTCAGCTTGCTCGTGCCCAGAGAGAGAAAGAGTTAAGCTGCTGACCCTGAAGGGCGAGCTGGCCATGCAGCCGTGCATGGGAGCTGCCAGAGCAAGCAGCCAAGACAGAGCAGACAGTGTAAGAGAGCTGCTGATGAGACAGTGTAAGAGAGCTGCTGTATTTCACCTACCTACGGCCCCCCAAATGTTCTTTCAGCTATCTGCCATTTATCCACCCACTCCCTTCGGACCTCAGCATGGGCTGGAACCGGACCCTGGACCTAGCCGCTGGTTACCATTTAACTACACCTATATCTTAGCAGAATTCAGGCCCCTCTTGTAATCCTAATCTTGTGGCCTTTCATTAGTTTTACAAAGGTGGTTTAGTTTAGGGAAGGGCTATTATCATCCTTGTTTTAAACTATAAAATAAATTCTTCCCATGGTTAGGTTGGCCTACACCCAGGAATGAGTGATAACAGCTAGCCTGTGAGGTTAGGGGCAAGATGGAGCCAGCCATGCTAGATTTCTCTCACTGTCATAATCTTTGCAAAGGTGTTTTCAAATCTCTATATCTTTTGACCCAAAACTGGTTAGGAACAACACAGAGCAGGTGTGTATGTGACCAGCTGGGTTCATTCTAATTTTTTTTTTTTTTTGCAAAGCTTTTTAGTAAAGGGTCAGATAGTGAATATTTTAGCCTTTGTGGGTCATAGAGCCACCCAGTTCTGCCACTGTCACCTGTAAGTGGCCATAAACAACATGGAAATGAACTAGTGTGGCTGCGTTCCAGTAAAACTGTATTTATGAACATAAAAATTTTCATTTTATATAATTTTCACATGTCACAAAATATTTTTCTTTGATCTCTGTCAACCATTAAAAAATGTAAAATCGGGCTGGGTGCGGTGGCTCACACCTGTAATCCCAGCACTTTGGGAGGCCGAGGCAGGCAGATCACCTGAGGTCAGGAATTCGAGACCAGCCTCACAACAAGGTGAAACCCCATTTATACTGAAAATACAAAAATTAGCCAGGCGTGTTGGAGGGCACCTGTAATCCCAGCTACTCAGGAGACTGAGGCAGGAGAATTGCTTGAACCTGGGAGGTGGAGGTTGCAGTGAGCCGAGATCAAACCACTGCACTCCAGCCTGGGCAACAGAATGAGACTCTGTCTCAGAAAAAAAAAAACAAAAACAAAACAACAACTACAACAAAAAGTAAAATCCCTTCAGGATGTACAAAAGCAAGTGGCAGGCCAGATTTGGATCCCAGACTTTAATTTGTCTGCCCCTGCTAGAGGGTTGATGTCTTTTCTCACAAGGGTTCAACCTTTGGGATCAGGCAGGGAACACAAATTAGGGGCCTGATGCGTTTTCTGTGGAATTGTTGACAGTTTGCTTATTTTAGATCAGATTTCTGACTTACAAAGTTGCCGTGAGAATTAAGCCATATGTCATATGCAAAGTGTTTGGTGAGAGGTTGATACAGATGTGCTTAGAGTTCATTCCTTCTAAATTCCTACATTTAGGAATACTTATTTGAGTGCCTACTATGTCAAGTTCTATGAATATAAAGAACAAATTAAAAAGGGGGGTTCTTAGGATGGTTTCAACTGGAATTGGGGAAGTACGTTAAGTTCTCTCTTAGCACTGGGAGTTTGGGAACATAGCTGCTCTGAGGTCAGGCAATGTTTTCACACCTGCGTTTCCTTAACTATTCAATAGACCATCCAGTGAGAACCTGTACTGTCTTAGCATGCTTTTAATTTTTCCACTCACTATTGGATTCATCTAATTGTGTATTCTTCTGGACATGAGAGAGACTGCTAGGTGATAAGATGTTTAGTAAAAACGAGAATTATTTCAGAACTCATTAGTAGAGGATCACAAGGTTCCAGGCGCTCTAAAGGAGAAATTTAGGAAGGAACTTCCCAAGATAAGCATGAAGGTGGCAGAAGTTCCTTCGTTGATAATGGAAAGGGTTAAAGATCAAATCAAAATTATTGACAGGCTCAGGGAAAAATGCTGGCTTGAACCCCAGGTGGCTACAATCCCTCTTTAATGAATTAAAATCTACAGGTACTTAAAGATAATGGAAAGGGTTCCTCACACTACTTTCAGTGTTTTCAGTTGACTCAAGATGTTCACCTTTACCTGCAAGTATAGAATGTGACCAGGAGGTGGCAGTGGTCCCTAAAGGAAAAGCAGCTTGTATAGCTAGGAGCCTTCCTCGGAGGCCAGGAGGACTTTTCTTACCCTTCACACTAACCAGGAATCCATGAGATGTACATATAGCTATTCCCAAAACACTACAATGAACACCCACATGTGTGCCGTCCTATCTGTAGATCAAATGTGGCACTTACACACATTTAAATAGAAAACTGACCTTGTCGCCAGATGGCAGAGGATACCTGCATGCTTCTGTCAGTCATGGCTCATCCTTCTCAAGGGCTAGCTCTGAACTAGGCACTGTGCTGAGCATCTGCTATGGATTATTCCATTAAATTTTTACCATGCTCCTTTGAGATACATACAGCTAGTTTCACCTCCATTTTACAAAGGAAGGAACTCACTCAGAGAGTTTGATTAACTTGCATGAAAGGAGAGATCCAAACCCAGGCAGTCGGAGCCAAAGCCTGTGTTCTTACCTCCCAAACTTTCCTTCTCATCAGCTTCATTCAATAGCAAACAAACTCCTAGTCTTGGTCCTGCGCCAGGTCTGCTTTTTCTCAGACCAGTGGCGCCTACCTTCAGCACAGACCAGTGCCAAGAAGGGAGATGGTACAACTGAGTTGGAAATTAGGCTGTGTACAATGAAGTGGCTCAGACATGGGGATAAGGGTGGGGTGCTGACAGTGTCTGATAAAAGCACCCATTGGGCCAGGCGCAGTGGCTCAGCCCTGTAATCCTATACTTTGGGAGGCCAAGGCGGGTGGATTGCCTGAGCTCAGGAGTTCGAGACGAGCCTGGGCAACAGTGACACACCCATCTCTACTAAAATACAAAAAAAAAAAAAAATTAGCTGGGCATGGTGGTGTGCACCTGTAGTCCCAGCTACTCGGGAGGCTGAGGCAGGAGAATGGCATGAACCCAGGAGGCGGAGCTTGCAATGAGCTGAGATTGCACCACTGCACTGCAGCCTGGGCGACAGAGCGAGACTCCATCTCAAAAAAAAAAAAAAAAAAAAAGCACCCACTGTCCCTAAGAGCCAACACATGCTAAAATTCTGGCTCTTGCCAGCTGCTGCCTGGAGAGCACATAAGCATGCGGCCTGCCTTCTAAGTTATCACAAATGTCTACTGAGTTATGCAAATATTCTGGCCTGCCATAAGAACAATCTCCAGCTCCCCATCCTGCAGTTGCAGTGTCTGTTTCCCGACCTCCTGCTGTTCACAAGTACACACACACACACACACACACACACACACACACACACATTTTACAGAATCACCCCAGTACTAAGGTGCCCATTTCTATATTGAGTAGAATACAGCCAATAAAGAGACCCAGTAAATAATTCAGTGGCTGAAAGAAGATAGAAGTTTCTCTCTCACGTTACAGCCCAAGGGGAGCATGTGAGGTCTGAAGGCAGATTTGTTCTAAGCAGTCATTTAGAGGCTCAAGCTCTTTCCACCCTGTTGCTCTGTTACCTCCACAACCTTGTTGTCATGGGCATGGTCCAGCCTTAGGAAACTGTAAGGTGCGGTAAAGCATTTACTGAAAATACAGGTGGTTCCATTCCCTGAACCAGTAGCTGTAGCTTCCTTGCCTTGATTGGGACAGACAGCTGACCAACTTCTGAAGATTAGGAAACAGCCATGCCAGGGTTCCTGCTGCTACTGTAGATGCTGGCAAAAGAACAACTCAAACTAAGCCCAAAGCATAAGCTGTTAGAAACTGATTAAGGGTGCACATCCTCCCTCATTATTCAGTCCGCACCTAGTTTATTCCTTCCCGTAGTTAAAACAGCAAAAGCTATGAGGAGAATAGCTCCAAGGACAGATGGGAGAAACACAGGGGAACTTTCCATTAATCCTGGAAAGGCCTCTGGGTTGCTCAGGAGATCCTCTATATGCACACGAGACAGCATTATCATCTGAATGCTCACAATCCACAAATCCTGCATCTCATGGGAGCAGTGTTCTTGCGCTTAAGAAGGCTCCATCACAGACACACAGAAATACTGTAAAAATAAAGTGACTATGTTCAGATGTCCCTTAGCCACGTTACCTATGTCTCACTCCAGGGCAGCTAAGGAGGGCTTTTCAGAGCCTCTCAGGGTCATGCGGGTGTTTGTACTTGTGGCAGTTTCTCTAATTCTGAGTTTGCAAGCCTTGCAGACTGACCTGAAGAAAATGGCTGTGGCTGTCGAACACGTTTGCCATGTGGTTTAGTCTGGGTTCATTTCAGCTGGTCTGGATTGATTGCGTGCTTATCTCCAGAGCTACCTGCTGCATGGTAGTGACCTTAGCTAAAACTATGGAATGCATTCACTAAAGAGAAATAATGTGTTTTAACCATGAGTTCCTGAGTAGTTTCCCGAAAGGATGTACCAGTCTACCTGCAATGTTTAGTAATCATAATAATTATTATATGCATCTGATGTTGGTGGAGCCTGGGTTGACCTTTAAGGCTGGCCATGTAGCTGGAATGGCCTAGGGGACCAGCTCACTAGAAGAGACCCTCCCTGCAAGTAGACCTGGGTTTCCAGTTCTCATATTCTCTGTGTGAACGCTGATGGTGTCTGAGACCTAGAAACCAAGCATGTCTTGTGTGACTCAGCAATGGGAAGACAAAGAAGCCTGTGCCTGAGAGCTGCAGATCCCTTTTGATACTCTTCTCTCTCCTGCGGTTGCAGTATTGTACCCTTTACCTGTAATAAAGCTGTCTGAGTATAAACTCAGCACCTTAAGTATAACACTTAAGGTAATTAATGTGTAATTAATGCACATATTCTTCTAGATACACCTGCATACTCATATAATGTCACCCAAACCATTAAGTGATTTACTTGGTCCTTGGCCATCAGTCTGGTACACTGGAAAGGTACAGGCTCATTATAAGGGTATGATGAGGGTTTTCTACCGTAACTCTCTGGACTCCATAAACATCCCCAAAGAGAATTCAGATTATCTTTTCTACCTGTGTTTGAGGTGCCACAGCACAAAGCTCACTCCAGGCAGACAGAGGAAAGTGAGCACTGGGCAGGTTGAGGCAAGTATGAATCATCCTCTGACATCAGACCCCTCCTTGGAAGCTTTATCATTGGTATGCTTAATCCAGTTCCATCTGAGCCTACATCAAAAGTGGAGAAGAATAAGTTTGGGGAGCAAAAATGTGGGAGTGAATTTGGTGCAAGGGGTTCACATTAAAGCATAGCATTCCAGAAGCCCATTTAAAATGGGTCCCGGGTTTCAAGAGAGTGAGCAGGGCAGGATATTCCCCAGGGAATCACCTGCATAGATGTGAGAGGTGATGCCATGGACCACCTCGCCAAGGAGGAATGCAGACAAAAAATGGGATGAGCACCTGGGACAGAGCCATGTGGATGAGACAGAAAGATTCAGGCAGAAAGGTCAGAGGGGAGCCAGAGGGCAATCATACATAACTTTACAAAAAGTAATAACTTGGCCAGGGGCGGTGGCTCACACCTGTAATCCCAGCACTTTAGGAGGCCGAGGTGGGTGGATCACCTGAGGTCAGGAGTTTGAGACCAGCCTGTCCAACATGGTGAAACATCTCTACTAAAAATACAAAAATTAGCTGGATGCATTGGTGGGCACCTGTAATCCCAGCTACTTGAGAGGCTGAGGCAGGAGAATTGCTTGAACTGAGGAGGCTGAGGTTGCAGTCAATGGAGATGATGCCATTGTACTCCAGCCTGGGCAACAGAGCAAGACTCTGTCTCAAAAAAAAACAAACAAAAGTAATAAATTATTAAGAGGAAATTCACATAACATTAACCATTGTAAAGCAGATAATTCAGTACATTCACAATGTTATACAACCACCACCTCTAGTTCCAAAACCTTTTTATTATCCCAAACGGAAATCCTGTGCTGTGTCCTGTAAATGGTCACTCCCCATTCCCCTCACTTCCAGCTTCTGGCAACCACTAAGCTGCTTTCTGTCTATGAATTTGCCTATTGTGCACATTGCACATAAATAGAATCATACAATATGTGCCCTTTTGTGAATGAGCTTCTTTCTCCTAGTATAATGCTTTCAAGGTTCAGCCGTGTTGTAACATGAATCAGTACTTCATTCCTTTTGATGGCTGAATAATAATCTATCATATGGATAGACCACATTTTGTTTCTCCATACTCTGTTGGTGGGCACTTGGGTTGTTTCCACTGTTTGGCTATTGTGAGCAGTGCTGAAAACATGGGTGTACATGTACTTATTTTAGTCCCTTTTTTCCATTCTTTTGGGTGTATACCTAGGAATGGAATTGTGAGGTCATATGGTAATTTTCTGTTTAACTTCATACATAACTTTCAAGCTCAGCCGCATCAGCGGTTGGCAATTAGAAGAAGGTTGTTGGAGAGAACTGTCAGTCAGCTGAGAGTCCTATCCCCATAAAGAGGGGGTAGTAGGGGATGCCTGCCTCATTTCAAGCTGTGGGAAAGAGGTTTTCAAAAGGGCCCCTCAAGCAGCTTTTATTTGTTCCTTGTAAACTGGAGAACATGACACACCTGAGAACTCCAAAGGGCTCCAGGTCATAGCTGACGGTGTCCCTAATGGCTGCATGAGGTTGGCCTCCTCTCCTGAGTTTGTGAGCACAAAGTATGTGTGTGACCCATGAAGCAGAGAGGGGCTTCGCATTTAAGACAGATGGTGTTAAGATTTTCTTAGATCCTGATTACAACCACTGCCTTGGAGGGGTGAGGTGTGGAGCAAGAGCAAAACCAAGCTGGTGGTTGACTCCTGCATGCCGAGGAGCTGCAGATGGATTCTAAGCAACCAGGAAAAGCAGAGATGCCTCCTCCCATGTCCAGGGAGGATCCCATCCATTAGAGGGTGAATTTCCAAAATGAGGAAAGAAAAAGTGTCAGCATTTAATTCCTTCCCCGTGCATCTCATGACAGTATTACTCAAGTAAGGTCTTACCCACCTCCCTCCCAGTTATTGTACACTCCCAACCCTGGAGAGGATGAAACTTCCCTAAGTAACTTGGGATGAGAGCTAGAAGCTCAAGTTTGGAGAGCAGTTAACCAAGCTTCCCGTCCTTCCTCACTGCAGACGTCCAGCCCAGAGCTCCTGAGAAAGAAGTTGGAGGGCTTTTTTGTTTTTAAACTTGTGCTGGGCAGGACTTACTAAGTTCTGAACTGAAACGAGTGGTTTTCATTCCTATGAGTGACACACCCAGCCATGAATTTCATCCAAGGCCTTGGAAGGTAAAAATGAAGTTGTTTATAATTAATTATCTCCTGTTATGGAGTAAATGTTTGCATACTCCAAAATTCATATGTTGAAATCCTGAACCCCAATCTGGTGATATTAGGAGATGGGGTATTTGGGAGGTGATTGGGTCATGAGGATGGAGACCTCATGAATGGTACTGGTGTTCTTATAAAAGAGACCTCAGGGAAAAAAAAGAAAATAAAAAAGCGACCCCAGAGAGATCTCTTGATCCTTCCACCATGTGAGGACACAGCCAGAAGATGGCCGTCTATGAACAGGAAGCAGGCCCCCATTAGATGCTGAGTTTACCAGTGCATTGATCTTACACTTCCCAGCCTCTAGAACTTTCAGAAACAGATTTCTGCTGTTTATAAGCCACCCAGTCTACGGTATTCAATTATGGCAGCCTGAACTGACTCAGACATATCCCAGAAGTTGCACCTGTTCCAAGTGGTTAAATTTTTGTTACTTAGCCTCCTTAAGAACAAAGCTCGTGACTTCCTCTGTATCTGTTGCTTCTGTACCAGAGTCTGGCATGTGGAGACACTGAGTACATGTTCTCTCTTTGTGCATAAACTCTGTTTACTTCCTCATCAAGCACTCCAGCTGGAACTCAGCAAGCAAACACAAGGCGTGCTTCACAGCCCTGGGCCTGGAGGCTAGTGCAGCAAAGGGTGAGACGTTCTGTGCCCTTCCTATGGGGATAGGTAGGGAGTGAAACTTTTACCCTGCCACCTCCTTTCCCCCATCAGCAGAGATTAACAGAATGGACATTCTGTAGACTGGATAGGAAAATGGAGCTAAAAGTTACTTATCTTGCAAAAATGTCATAATCTCCCCAAAGCTAGTAAGCAATTCTCTGTGTCTCTGTCCAAACGCTTGGGACACTAAGGCGGATTGTTTTTTTTTTTTTTTTTTTTTTAAACTCAAAAAAGAAGAAATGTTTACAAGGGAAAATCTACCAAATGTGACTTCTCCATACTGATCACCCATTAAGGCAGGGGGTAGACTCTACCACAAATGGTGGTTTTCAAAGTTGAGTGTGCATCAGAATCCTATGGAAGCCTCGCTAAAACGGACTGCTGGCCCTCACCTCTTGAGTTTCTGAGTCAACAGGTCTGGGTGGGGCCAAATAATTTTCATTTTGGACATGTTTCCAGGTGACGCCGATGCTGCTGGCCTGCAGAACACACTTTAGAGCCCCTGAGTGAGACATAGGAGATTTGCTGGGATTCAAAATCACTCTTAAATTAACCACCCTAAAATTTTTAAAGTGTCTGAAAAATACCCTGAAAATAACTCTTTGCCCACCCTCCTCACCTCTGGCTAAATACCTGAGAGAGGTTTTCCAGGAGTTTCTTGCCCAAATCATTCCAGGCCCTTGCCCTGAAGCCTGCCTCGTTGTAATCACTGCATTCTCTCTGGTCTTCATATGACTTCCAGTCCATCTCAAGAATAATGCTGAAATTAGAGAAACTCCAAGACATGAAGTCATCAGCACACTTCTGGTTCTATGTAATGATGAAAGGCAGACAGGTCAGCCCTAGTGGGGAAGCTCAGGGTTTTCCAAAGCTTTGGGATGAGGAAGCTGCATCCCAAAAGAGGGTCCTCTGAGATGGTTCTCAAGGATACGGCAGGGCCTACCTGTTGGTAGGAGGAACAAAAAGGGTCTTCTGGCCTACAGTCTTTTTCAAAGACTCATCTGGGTGACTTCCTTGCCTTCTACTCACAGAGCTGGTGTGATAAAATACGCATGGGGCTGCCTCCCCCATAGGACCCTCCCCAACCCCTTCTCCCCACCATGGGAACTCAAGTGGAATATAAGAGTGGCACCCAAAGGAGGAGAGACATGAAGATTCCCACAAGTTCTGTACTCAGCCTCACAGAGAAGCCTCTATCCATTGAGCACATTTGTGCCTCAGTTTATAATCAGTGTGGTCCTAAGGCAGTGGGTCTCAATGCTGAATCTTAGAATTCTAGAATCACCAGAGGGAGCTTTCAAAAAATACCCATGCTTGAAACCAGCTCACCCAGACAGGCATCTGTAAAAAAAGAGGGGTGGGGAGGTTTAAAGAGAAATGGAAGCAAATGTCCACGAAAGGATGTGTAAAATGAACAATGCTTACTGTATGCATATAGCAAAAAAGTAGAAACAGGAGAATGGAAAAATAAATTGTAGTTAATTATTGGGAAGAGACTGAAGGCGACTTTCTAGAATGCTCAAAATGTATATCTTGATCTGTGTGTGTATGTATCTGTATCTGTGAAAATAAGCAGATATAGATGTAGATATAGATACAGATATGGTTTGACTGTGTCCTCACCCAAATGTCAACTTTTTTTTTTTTTTTAGATGGAGTCTTACTGTATCACTCTGTTGCCCAGGCTGGAGTGCAGTGGCGTGATCTCGGTTCACTGCAACCTCCGCCTCCTGGGTTCAAGCGATTATCCTGCCTCAGCCTCCCGAGTAGCTAGGACTACAGGTACAGGCCACCACGCCTGGCTAATTTTTGTATTTTTAGTAGAGAGAGGGTTTCACCATGTTGGCCAGGCTGGTCTTGAACTCCTGACCTCAAGTGATCTGCCTGCCTTGGCCTCCCAAAGTGCTGGGATTACACCTGTGAGCCACCATGCCCAGCCCCAAATCTCATCTTGAATTGTAGCTCCCATAATCCCCACGTGTCATGGAAGTGAGCCAGTGGGAGGTAATTGAATCATGGGGGTGGGTTTTTCTTGTGCTGTTCTCATGATAGTGAGTAAGTCTCACGACATCTGATGGTTTTATAAAGGGCAGTTCCCCTCCACTTGCTGTCTTGCCTGCTGCCATGTAAGACGTGCCTTTGTTCTTCCTTTACCTTCTGCCATGATTGTGAGACTTTCCCAGCCATATGGTACTATAAGTCTATTAAACCTCTTTCTCTTTATAAATTACCCACTCTTGGGTATTTCTTCATAGCAGTATGAAAATGGACTAATACATATATAATACATAATAATTAACACATAAGCTATACTCAAGATTAACACACTTCCCACACTTTACATGGTTTATGCCTTGATCAACAGAAACAATGCCAGTGCTCAAGCCCTACTTCAGAGATTGTCATTTAATTGAATATTTTCCAAGCTTCCTGATGATTCTCTTATGCAATCAATGTTGAGAAACACCGTCTCAGAAGATAGGGCCACCTTGGTCTGGGCCTGAGGCTAGAGAAACAAAAAGAGGCCTTGTAGGCCATCTAAGACTGGCTGGACTCATCAGGGTTTTGCCATAGTACACACTTGTTTGGAATTTCCTCTGCACACGCACCCTTTGGGGACTGGTAGTGGTACCTGACTGGTCAGGGGTCTTCTCATTGATCTTGTTAATTTGTGGCAATGCTCAGCAGAGAGGATACTGGGATTTGTGGGGGGCATCCCCACAGCCCTCAGGTTGTGAATGCAGCCACTGGTATCATGAACAGTGCTTTAAAAGGAGAGCAAGGCTCCAGTCTTGGGGGAGAATCCAGCAAGTGCAATCTGAAGCTGGCAGAGAAAGGGACCCATGGCAAGAGAGAGACAGGTCTCGCTCTTAGAACCCTCCCACCACGAGAGCACCTGCATTTCCCTTTTTTTTTTTTTTTTTTTTGGTGGTGGAGTCCTGCTCTGTTGCCCAGACTGGAGTGCAGTGGCAAGATCTTGGCCCACTGCAACCTCCACCTCTCAGGTTCAAGCTATTTTCTTGCCTTAGCCTCCTGAGTAGCTGGGATTACAGGCACACACCACCATACCCGGCTAATTTCATATTTTTAGTAGAGACGGGGTTTCACCATGTTTGCTAGGCTGCTCTTGAACTCCTGACTTCAGGTGATCCACCCGCCTCTGCCTCCCAAAGTGCTGGGATTACAGGTGTGAGCCACCATGCCCATCACACCTGCACTTCTTGTAAAGAGAAGCAGTTCCTGCATTGGGAGAAAATGTGCTAATCTGGATCTGGGGCTGATACTGATTTTGAGAGCCAGCTCGCCCCCCCTTAAAAACATTTGGGGTTTGGGTTGGCAGAAGACAGCATTTGCTATGACCAGCTTTTTCCTCCTTCTCCTATTTCTCAGCCAGGGCTCGGGGGCTTGTGTGCTTCCAAGTCTTAATTATGATCCTGGATTTGAGGAATTCAGGGGGTGGATTCACACAGGATGGGGGAGTTATCAGTGAGCAGACAGAGGAGAAATACAAGGATTAATAACACGGAATAAATCATGGTTAATTACTGGGAAGAGACTGAAGGCAACTTCAGCGGGTGTATCATCTTATTGGATGGAATTGGAGGGGGAAATTTAATGTAATTGTCACAAACACAAGGCCAAGAAAAAATATTACAAGTTCAGTTCCTTGAACTTTCTGTTTCTAGGAAGTGTGTTGTTCATTAGCTGTGGGAGAAACACAGTCACAGCTGGCGAAAGCTTTCAGAATTTATGTGCAGACAGAAAATGCTGGAAGTCATGACTGAGTCTTTCTCAATAAGGAAGTGGTCTGAAGTTTGTGAAGAATGTGGAGGGTCAACCAGTGCCTGAGAGGCTGGGGAAAGGTGAGGTTTTATGAAGAATTTAGGAAAAGTCTTAGGATTCTCTCTGGCCTCCAGTTAGAAGCAGCAATTTCACCATTGGCAGTTTCAGTTGAAAAATATTTGGAGGGTGGATTTCCCAGCTATGATGTTATAAAAATAAGTGAAGGGAGGGAGTCAGGAGGAGACAGTTTAACGTTGTTAAGAGTTTAGACTCAAAAAAAAAAAAAAAAAAAAAAAAAAAGGCCAGGTGCAGTGGTTCACACCTATAATCCCAGCACTTTGGGAAGCTGAGGCGGACAGATCACCTGAGGTCAGGAGTTTGAGACCAGCTGGCCAATATGGTGAAACCCCATCTCTACTAAAAATACAAAAATTAGCCGGGCGTGGTAGTTCGTGCCTGTAATCTCAGCTACTCAGGAGGCTGAGGCAGGAGAATTGCTTGAACCTGGGAGGCGGAAGTTGTAGTGAGCCAAGATCTCGCCACTGCACTCCAGCCTGGACCACAGACCACAGCAAGACTCCGTTTCAATAATAATAATAGTAATAAAAAAGAGTTCAGACTCTGGTATATGGCTTGTGGCTGTCTGAGTTTGCTGTTCCCTTGTGCAATTTGCTAGCTGTGCCACCTTAAGCAAGTGATATCACCTTGTTAGACTTTTTACCTTCAATATGGGGCACCCTACTCACAAGCTGGGGCGCAGGGATTTTTAAACAAATAAGATGAACAGAAGAAGCATCCTCTCAGGAAGAACCTGAGGCTGGAGGTGCCACTGGAGAAGATTTATAGTTTTTCCAGACTAAAAGAATTGTTCAAGTTATTTGTTGTTTGTTTGCTTGTTTTTGTTTCTGCAGCCTAAAATAAAACTTTCAAATACAATAAAAAAAAAAAAAAAAAGAATTGCAGATGCTTCTCTCAAAACCCAAGAAAGCCAAGTAAAAATTAATGTTTTTCAAATATGAAAGATCAAAACAGGGACCAGACATCAAGTATTGCTCTGAGACGGGCCTGAATCAATTTATGAGTTAATTTTTCCAAGGTTAAGGATATGCCCAGAAGGAAAAATACGGAATCACAGACACAGTCCGTGTGGTCTGTGCCTTTCTCCAAAGATGACTTCCAGGACTTCACTATTTAAAGGGGAAAAGCTGCTGGAGGGGAAAAAGGGAGGGTCTGGAAATCCACAAGTTGCAAGGGAAAAGGAGAAGGTAGGGGAATAGTCAATTATGGATTTGTTTTGCAATCAGTAACTCAGTGTTTACATAAGATAAGGCGAAAGTGGAGTAGCTGCCTGTGGAGATATTTAACCTTTTATCTGTGCTATCTGTTTAGGAACAAAAGGAAAGGCAGTTTCATTGTATGACTCAGCTTTTAGCCGTTTTTTTGTTTGTTTGTTTTTTTTTTTTTTTTGAGAAGAGTCTGGCTCTGTCGCCCAGGCTGGAGTGCAGTGGCGCAATCTCAGCTCACTGCAGGCCATTCTCCTGCCTCAGCCTCCCTAGTAGCTGGGACTACAGGCGCCCGCCACCACGCCCGGCTAATTTTTTGTATTTTTATTAGAGACGGGGTTTCACCGTGTTAGCCAGGATGGTCTCGATCTCCTTACCTCGTGATCCGCCCATCTCGGCCTCCCAAAGTGCTGGGATTACAGGTGTGAGCCACGGCGCCCGGCCGAGGTCCTGAGTTTTCATTTCCTTTCACAGCATTAAGTAGTGGCCATGACCCAACCCCTCTCTGAGGCAGTTTCTCCCACCACCATGGGGACATGTCCTGGATGGGTGTGACACTCCGAGGGAATTTGACTCTAGCTCCCCAAAGAGGTAAGGAGCTGGACTTCTTAGTTCCCTTCTCTCTACTCATCCCCTCCAACCTCCCCCTTGGCCGCTGTGGTTAATCTCCCTCCACACACACATGCACACACAGGTACTAATGAAGTCCTAGTTTGTGAGTGAGCAGGGACCTTGGAATAAGTCCTTTCCTAAGGTAGGGTCTTAAGTTGCTATCCCCCTAGGAGCCTGAGTGCCTAGAGGGAGGGCGAGGAGACAGCCACAGGCAAGTTGCAATATTTTCTCTACATATTCTGCCTGGAATCAAGATGCTCAGGAAACGGCCGGGCGCGGTGGCTCACGCCTGTAATCCTGGCACTTTGGGAGGCCAAGGTGGGCGGATCAGGAGGCCAGGAATTCAAGACCAGCCTGGCCAACATGGTGAAACCCCATCTCTACTAATAACACAAAAATTAGCCAGGCGTGGTGGCACATGCATATAGTCCCAGCTACTCAGGAGGCTGAGGCAGGAGAATTGCTTAAACCAGGGAGGTGGAGGTTGCAGTGGGCCAGGATGGCGCCACTGAGGGAAAAAAAAAAAGACTCAGGAAAGAAGTTCTGGACTTAGAAAGTGGCTGGAGTTTTGTCTTGTATTTTTTTGTATTTTTAGTTGGGATGGAGTTATAACCATGTTGGCCAGGCTGCTCAAACTCCTGACCTCAGGTGATCCACCCAGCTCGGCCTCCCAGAGTGCTGGGATTACAGGCGTGAGCCACCGCACCAGGCCAGGATTCTGGTTTCTATGACCCACCTTAGAAAAGAGGCATTCTAGTTTCTATGGCTAGCCCTGGGGGAGAATGGCACTGAGAGACAGGAGGGCAGGAGAAGGTCAGAGAAAAGTTTTTGCTTCTGAGGCCTTCTCTTGGGGGCACTGTTTTCTGAGCCACAATAGGGACATTCAGTGTTTGTATGGAGCTCATTCCCTCTTCTCCTCTCCATGGAATTAAACACCTGACTAAGGCCGGATGCTATGGCTCTCGTCTGTAATCCCAGCTCTTTAAGAGGCTGAGACAGGTGGATCACTTGAGCTAAGGAATTCGAGACCAGCCTGGGCAACATATTAAGACCCTGTCTCTACAAAAAATACAAACGTGGCTGGGCGCGGTGGCTCACGCCTGTAATCTCAACACTTTGGGAGGCCGAGGCGAGCAGATCACGAGGTCAGGAGATCAACACCATCCTGGCTAACATGATGAAACCTCGTATTTACTAAAAATACAAAAAATTAGCCGGGCGTGGTGGTGGGCGCCTGTAGTCCCAGCAACTTCAGAGGCTGAGGCAGGAGAATGGCATGAACCTGGGAGGTGGAGCTTGCAGTGAGCCGAGATTGCGCCACTGAACTCCAGCCTGGGCAACAGAACGAGACTCTGTCTCAAAAAAAAAAAAAAATACAAACATTAGCTGGCTGTGGTGGTATGCATGGATAGTTCCAGCTACTCAGGAGGCTGAGGTGGGAGGATCGCTTGAGCCTGGGAGGTTGAGGCTGCAGTGAGTTGTGATCGCACCACTGCACTCCAGCCTGGGTAACAGAATGAAACCCTGTCTCAAAAAAAAAAAAAAAAAAAAAAGAAAAAGAAAAAGAAAAGAAAGAAAACACCACATACACACATGCCCTACTTGACTAGTTCTTCTCAAAGCCAAAGGGGAAAGAGGGAGGGCAAAGAACCTTTCTTCTTTTTTTTTTTTTTTTTTGAGACAGAGTCTTGCTCTGTCGCCCAGGCTGGAGTGCAGTGGCAGGATCTTGACTCACCACAACCTCCGCCTCCCGGGTTCAACTGATTCTCCTCGACTCAGCCTCCTAAGTAGCTGGGATTACAGGCGTGAGCCACCAAGCCCGGCTAATTTTTGTATTTTCGGTAGGGATGGGGTTTCATCATGTTGGTCAGGCTGGTCTGGAACTCCTAACCTCGGGTGATCCACCTGCCTTGGCCCCCCAAAGTGCTGGGATTACAGGCGTGAGCCACTGCACCCAGCAGAACCTTTCTTTTAAAGATGGTAGTGTCGGCCAGGAGAGGTGGCTTATGCCTGTAATCCCAGCACTTTGGGAGGCCAAGGCAGGTGGATCACCTGAGGTCAGGAGTTCGAGACCAGCCTGACCAACATGGCGAAACCCCGTCTCCACTGAAAATATAAAAATTAGCTGGGCATGGTGGCATGCACCTGTAATCCCAGTCACTCGGGTGGCTGAGGCAGGAGAATCGCTTGAACCCAGGAGTCGGAGGTTGTAGTGAGCCGCGATAGTTCCATTGCACTCCAGCCTGGGGAACAAGAGCAAAACTCCGCCTCAAAAATAAACAAACAAATAAATAAATAAATAAAGTAGTGTCTGCAAGAAGGAGGACTGACACATTATCCCCCCACTAGATGATTGCTCAGCAGAAAGGGGAGACTTCAGTGGAAACAAGACAGTATAGAATGGCCAGAAAGAGAAGGTGCAGGGATGATCACCTCACATAGGTGCAGAAAATGCCTCCTGCCTATGTGTCTACAGGCCGAGCTGGGCTAGCAGAGGTAGATGAACTTGGGGCAAAGGGTAAAAAGAATGGGCTCCTGATGCAATGGGGTGGAGGCAGCTTGACCAGGCATAGCCATCTTCCCAAGAGACCCTCAAACACGCTAGCGGGATGCTTGGGATGAGTCCCTCCTCAGCAGGAGCCCACTGGGGCCACCACCTGTCCATACCAAGCCTATAGATGACAAGCCAGGCCAGCGTAAATGGCCAAGGCGAGAGACCAAAACTACACCATAGCCAGTCACATAAAGAGCTATCTGTGCTTCCTCTCCATCCTTCCTACCCCGTTGTCAAAAATCTGTGTAAACACAGACAGAAGGGTGCGGGAATGAGCCTCTCCCTCCAGCCTTAAAGGCATCAATCAAGGCTGTGCTGGGAGGAGGTGGAGCCTGGTAGACTCTGACTTGACTATGAGATGAACTTTAACATTTGAACAGTTCCAAGCTTTAACAACTGAAATGAATGGCTTTAATGTCAGGAAGTGACTGAAAAGTTAGGGAATCTGACTGAGATAGTGTGAGGGCAGCCTGTCCCCTAGTGGGGAAGAGGCTGTTCGATCCAGCTGAATTGGTTCTTGGAAAAGAACTTTTCTGTTCCTAGCTTAGGGAAAACGTCTCTCCTCTGCGTCCCTCACCACCCCAGGGAAGATTATCGCCTTCAGTTAAACTGGGAAATCTGTGGCTCTGAGATTTGGCTCTGAAATCTCTGGCTTTAATTCACCCAACAAAGGTCACACCTCTACCAATGGCAGTGCCCAGACTAGAGCCTGATCCGTCCTCCTCTGCCAGGGGAGACTGAGGCATGGTGTGTGCCAGGCAGCCACATGGGGAGTCCACACTGGGAAGTGGAAGCCTGGGGAACCCTAGGTAAAGGTGGCCTGCCTGATGCAGGATTTACAATGTGAGCTGGTTTTTCTCTATCTTAGGAAGAGAAGAGGAAAACTTTCTGCTAATGTTATCGGTGGAGGCCATCCAGGCTCTTGGCATTTTGAACAAAGACTTGGCCAACCAGCTGGCCGTGTGGCCTAATGGATAAGGCGTCTGACTTCGGATCAAAAGATTGCAGGTTTGAGTTCTGCCACGGTCGTGGAGGGGTTATATTTTGTTGGGTGCGGTGGCTTATGCCTGTAATCCCAGCATCTTGGGAGGCCGAGGAAAGCGGATCACCTGAGGTCGGGAGTTTGAGGCCAGCCTGGCCAACATGGAGAAACCCCATCTCTACTAAAAATACAAAATTAGCCGGGCGTGGTGGCGCATGCCTGTAATCCCAGCTACTCGGTAGGCTCAGGCAGGAGAATCACTTGAACCTGGGAGGCAGAGGTTGCGGTGAGCTGAGATCACACTGTTACACTCCAGCCTGGGCAACAAGAGCAAAACTCTGTCTCAAAAAAAAAAAAAAAAAAAAAAAAAGGGCCGGGTGTGGTGGCTCACACCTGTAATCCCAGCACTTTGGGAGGCCAAGGCAGGCAACATGGTGAAACCCTGTCTCTACAAAAAAACCACAAAAATTAGCCAGGCATGATGGTGCACACCTGTAACCCCAGCTACCGGGGAGGCTGAGGTGGGAGAATCGCTTAAAGCTGGGTGGTGGAGGTTGCAGTGAGCTGAGATTGTGCCACTGTACTCCAGCCTGAGAGGCAGAGCAAGACTCCATCTCAAAAAAAAAAAAAAAAAAAGATGTAATTATTGGCTGGGTGTGGTGGCTCACACCTGTAATCCCAGCACTTTGGGAGGCCAAGGCAGGCAGATCACCCGAGGTCAGGAGTCCGAGACCAGCCTGGCCAACATGGTGAAACCCCGTTTCTACTAAAAATACAAAAAATTAACTGGGGTAGTGGTACACGCCCATAATCCCAGCTACTTGGGAGGCTGAGGCAAGAGAATGGCTTGAACCTGGGAGGCAGAGGTTGCAGTGAGCCGGGATTGCACCACTGCACTCCAGCCTGGGTAACAGAGCAAGACTCCATCTCCAAAAACAGGAAACAAAAGCAAACCTATAGAAAGATACGTTACTTGTGGGACACTTCTTTAAAAACAAAAGCAAAGGACAAATTTTTTTGAGAAAATTTCCTTTTTTATTAGAATATTTAAAAAACAACTGAATTGTATTAATTATTCACAAAAGGAATGACAATCCCCAAATTTGAGTGGATTTCTGGGTGGTTCAAGGAAGCTTCTACATGTTTTTCACAGGTAATGACACTACTAGTTAACAGCTCTGGATGTAGATGGGCAAGACTGGACGGCCATGCAGAGAAAAGAAAGGTGGGAGTGAAACTTTACAGAGAAAGCACCTGAGATGAGGGAAAGGCACCTTAGGTGTGTTTAAATAGCATTACAAAAGCTAAACATTAACCAGGAAATACAAGCTTTTTTCCCTATCACCCAAGTGACACCTGCTTCGCTTTGTCTTAGGTTTAAAAATATATTTGATCCCAGGAAGGATCTGAGTGATCTAAGTTGGACTAAACAGGAGGCAGTCTATAGGGAATGTGTATTTTTCAAGTAGGAGCATTTCTTTGCCTCTTTTGTTCAGGATCTCATCATTATATATCGTCAATGATTGGCAGTTTTTAATAAGAACTTAATTTGCAGAGAGAGAGAGAGAGAAAAGATAGGCAGGAAGGCAGGAAAGAAGGCAAGAAGGAAGAGAGGAAAGAAAGAAGGAAAGAAGGGAGGAAGGGAGGGAGGGAGGGAGAGACAGAAGGAAGGAAGGAAGGAAGGAAGGAAGGAAGGAAGGAGATAACTCTGTGATGATGCTGGAATGTACATGTCTCAGTGAGCAGTGACAGATGATTAGCCCTTTCTAAAGACCCCTTAAAGACACAAAATGGTAGGTAGCATTGATCTCACCTTCATACCCTGGGTGACCATACTTTGGGAAGCCCAAATTGAAATGATGTGATCACTGCCAATGAGTGTTGTGACTTCTAAGTGAGATGGCCCCCCAGACATAGCCACCAGAAAAAGCATCTGAATTCTCAGAGCTTGTCTTCTCCAGAATATATGAGAAATCATCAGAAGACATTGAAAACAAGAATGCCACGCCCATTGACCCCTGGGCATTGCTAAGGCATTCTGTTGGCTAGGTCCCTGGTTTATGTTCCAAAATTATCCAGTTCCAGGGATGGAGCAGATGTCTTACTGGTCCTCCCCAAGGAATGGATATCCAGGACCTCATAGTAATGTCAGAATGGGGCTGCACTGACCAGACAGTCCTCTTCATCCTAAACTGTGGGCAATTTGGCCTGGGAAGTCTCTTCTTATTGGAAGGGTAAAACCATGTTACCATTGTGAAGTTCGTCTCCCACAATTCCTATAATTAGGTTAGTCCAGTTCTTGCTCATAGCTAGAGACCTCGTTGTGGCTCTGCCTCCTTGGTTCTTCTATAAGGCCATAGGTGGCCTCAAGGTCAAGACATCTGGCAGAATAGAAAGCTTCACGCTGAGCCATATAAGCCCAGGTTCCGGGCAGCTTGGGAGATCCTGGGTGTTTTCCTCTGGGGAAATGGATAGTAAGCTGGTTTGCCAGACCTGTGTGGGTTCTTTATGGAAAGAGGACATTGAGTGCTGAATTTTAAGCCAGATTCCACTGCCTTTGTTTGGGTATTGCCCACCTGGCATGGAAGCTGGGCAGCCTCTGGGATTCCGGTTCCTTGCTGAGTCATCTGATTGGTTTCAAACAAGTGTGTGTCTCCTTCAGGAGGGAGCCTTTGATCAGATCCCACAAGCTTGCCCCTATGATGTACTTGATGACTGGTGTCCTGGGGGGAGGTTTGGACCAAACAATGCATCTCCAGGTGCGTGTGCCATGGAGACTTGGGGGCCTGAAGGCAGCCCTGGGCAGCCTCCTCCAGCCTCCCCTCCACCTCAGAATCTGCCTCTTCCAGGGACAGTGAGCTTCTTCTCTCCTTGTTAATCCAAACAGCATTGACCATCGATTCTGCAGGAGCAGGTGTGTTTCCTCCTGAAAAGAGAATGCACCAGCAGGGTCATCACTGGAAGGGACAGGGGCGGCTCTCACTTAGGGGGTCTCATTGCTTTCAAGCTGAAGGAAGGCCATCCCCAGAAGGTTCCTGGTACATTTCATGTGTGTACATGTGTACACACACAAGATCTCACTTGCATGCTCACACACATGCCCTTTTACACCTCACCCATATATACTCACACACACACAATTATTCATTCATTCAACACATATTTATTGAGCACTTAATATGTGCCAGGCATTATTTATTCTAGGTCCTGGGAATACAGCAATGAACATTGAGACAAAACCCACACCTTCCGGGGTGTGTCCTGGTTGAGTAGAGACAAAATTGCATATTTATAATAAAATTTCGGGTGGCAATCAATGCAATGGAAAATCTCAAGCATAATAGAGGGTCAAACACTGAAGTGGAGGAGTAAACTCTGGGAGGAGATAGGGAACTAGCGTTTGGGGCTAAAAGAAAGGCAAGGAACAAGAGCACACACAGACTCACACACATGTGGGTTCACATATTCTCACCAGTGGAAAAGATTATTCTTAACTTACGGGGTTTTGTGTTCTGGGATTCTTTTTGTTTGTTTGTTTGTTTGTTTTTTTGAGACAGAGTCTCACTCTGTTGCCCAGGCTGGAGTACAGTGGTGCAATCTTGGCTCACTGCAACCTCCACCTCCTGGGTTCAAGCGATTCTCCTGCCTCAGCCTCCTGAGTAGCTGGGATTACAAGGCACCTGCCACCATGCCTGACTACTTTTTGTATTTTTAGTAGAGACATGATTTTCACCATGTTGGCCAGGCTGGTCTTGAACTCCTGACCTCAAGTGATCCGCCCGCCTCAGACTCCCAAAGTGTTGGGATTACAGGCGTGAGCCACTGCGCTCGGCTGTGTCCTGGGATTCTGATAGTGAGTTTACCACCCAAGGCAGAAGAGGGAGGAGTTGTGTTTTGAAGCAGCTCCCTTTAGAGAACCAATCATTATCCTTCTCCTAGTCCACAGGCACTGCTCTGGGAGGACATCTGCAGCATTTACGGCTCCTCAGAACTGGCTTTAGGGTGAAAGAGGCAGACCAATGTCTCTTTTCTTTCTTGGGGACTTTTTTTTAAACCACCTAGTGGAATATGACAGTTCATTGTTAACTCTTGGTGGCAGTGAGAGGTATTGGAATGACTGAAAGGCATTTTCCTTATAGAAAGCAGGTGTGTGACCAGCTTGGAGCTCCTCAGAGGTGTCACTTAGGTTCACTTATCTGTTCCGGCACCTGTTATCACAGGAGGCCCTGGAGGTGACAATGTGCAGAGCAAGAGTGGGGAGATGATGTTGGAAGAATAAAGTCAGAAAGAAGCCCCTGAGCTCCAATTCAGGGATCCCAAAGAAACAGAAGACCAGCTGCAGCCATCTCAGCCAACAATTACTCTCCTGTCAACACTAACTCTAGTGTGACTCAAGATTTGTTCCGGCTTTGTAACTGGTTAATTCCTTAGTATTATTTTCCAGCATGAAATGAAGAAAACACTTTTTTTTTTTTTTTTTTTTTGAGATGGAGTCTTGCTCTGTCACCCAGGCTGGAGTGCAATGGCGCGATCTTGGCTCACTGCAACCTCCGCCCTCTGCATCCCGGGTTCAAGCGATTCTCCTGCCTCAGCCTCCCGAGTAGCTGGGTCTATAGGTGCCAGCCACCACGCCCAGCTACTTTTTTTTGTATTTTTAGTAGAGACGGGGTTTCACTGTGTTAGCCAGGATGGTCTCGATTTCCTGACCTTGTGATCCGCCCGCCTCGGCCTCCCAAAGTGCTTGGATTACAGGCGTGAGCCACCGCGGCCAGCCAAAGGAAACTTTTATAAATATCCAACATGTTATGTACTTATTTGAGAACAAGGAAGGAGGGAGACACAATGGGAGAACCTAGAAACTGGTATCCTAGCATTAGTTTAGAAGGAAAGGACTGAAGGTGGACAGGCCTGTTCAGCTGTCAGTCCCAGCCTGTGGTTCAGAGGAAAGGAAAAAGAGTTAGGCTGGGAGATACACAGGGACCCCACCCCAGAGCAGCCTCTGCTGAGAATCACCATGAGCCTTCTGTGGCAGTACCCTGCACATCTTGGGATGGTGCCTGCCCTTCACTGTACAAGAGAAAGAGAATTAGGGTAATTGACTGAAGAGTACAGGGAAATTTCGTATCATGTTTTTTATCTGTTTTGTTTTGGTTTTGGTAAGTCAGGGACTGGAAGGAAATGTACTCGTTATCTATAATACCTTCTTCATTCTCCACCCTTGATTCACTTTGCCAGAAGATACAAGTTGGAGAAGGGGTATTTTGAGCCCCTCCTTGATTTCTCTCTTCAGTGGGGATGAAGGAAGCGGGTGGAGAGAAGAGCGAAGAGAGTGGTAGAGAGACTCAGGGAGGAAAGAAGAATCGAAATTCACCCTAACTGCCTGAGACCTTTGGTGGAACCTCTCTCATCAAGCCAGAGTCAGGAAGACATGAGGTCTGGTCCTGAGTTCACCACTGACTCACTAGGAGACCCTAGGCCTCCATTTCCTCATCTATAAATGGAGATCTTAAAAAGGGAGCTACCTTACAAGGCTGCCAGGAATGTTCAATGAAATGTAATATAAAACATCCAGCCCAGATATAAGTCCCGACCCTAATCCCTTTTTCTACATGAGGCGAGTCACACAGTGTCTGACTGTGACAAAAGCATATTCCTTTTGGACACCAATCACTGGGAGTAATTGGGGCTCCACAGACTTCTGAAAGTAGCTCAAGGTCCCCTGGGTACTTACGTTGCATCAGGGAAGGCACGCTGCTACTTGTAACTGCATTTCCAGAAGCTGGATCCATCGCATAATGCTAAGACAGGGTGAAGAAAGCTAATTTCGGAGCCCTTCCTTTCATTGATCAGCTCCTAGAATTTCTGAGCTTCTAAACGCAACCCAATGTCTTGAGACATTGACTTCTAGCTTTAGTAGGAGCCCAGTCTCAATGCTCACTCTCTCTTCCTGGGTCTTTTTGCTGCACTGGGCACTGAGGATCACGGTCCTCTAAAATCCCTCTACCAGCTTGGCTTCATGACATTAATTGCTCTTGATTTTCTTATACCACTTAAAATATGTTTAATTGTGGTAAAATACATAGAACATAAAATGTACCATCTTAACCATTTTTAAGTGCACAGTTTAGTAGTGTTCAGTACATTCACATTGTGGAACCAATCTCCAGAATTCTTCAGTTTCTCTGACACTCTATAAGCATTAAACAATAACGCCCCACTTCCCCATGCCCCAGCCTCTGGCAACCACCATTCTGCTTTCCTTCTGTCTCTTTAAATATGACTACTCTACATACCTCATGTAAATGGGATTATACAGTATTTGTCTTTTTGGGACTGACTGACTTCACTCAGCATAATGTCCTCAAGTTTTATCCATGTTGTAGTGTATGGCAGAATTTCTTTCCTTTTTATGGCTGAATGATATGCCTGTCCTCAAATTTTGACTGCTCTCTCCATCTTCCCTGGCTTCATTTCCTCCTCTTGTTCCTTAAATATTTGAGTATTCCAGAACTCTAATTTTCATCCCAGTTTCTTATCAATTTACACATGGATTTGCCACAGTTTTATCCATGCCCATGGCTTCAGCTACCATCTATAGATGAATAACCCCAAATCTAGCTCTCCAGCCCAAATGAGATCCAGGCTGGATGGAAGGTCTACAGGCAACTATCTCCAATGCAGTATATTCAAAAACAAGTTCATCTCTCTCTACAAAAAGCCTTTTTCTCCACAAAAAGCCTTTTTCTCCTGTATTCTCAAGGAAAGATACCACCATCTATCCTGTTGCTAAAGTATAGGGGACAATTAATTGCTCTTTTGCCTCCTTAGTGCCATTTTCACCTTATTTTTGTCACCTTACTCTGATTTCTCCCTGGATAATTACCTACTCCTTCACATTCAGTGCTAGTGTTTCAAGTGGCCTTCCTACTTAGATACATGTGACATACGTGATCTTGTCCTCAGCCAGTCAGTGCATAAGGCCTTGATGAGCTTTATACATATTAGTTCATTTTATTCCTACAATAACCCTATGATTTGGGTACTACAGTTATTCCCAATTGACAGGTGAGGAAACTGAGCCCCAGAAAATTTATGTAACTTGTTTAAAGCTGCATATTAAGTAAATGGCAGAGCTGGGACTCAAACTCAGGCTGTGCTCCAAGACCCAGTACATGACCACTCCATTACACAGTATGCTGCCTCTCACAGTTAGATAAAGAATGTGGAACTCAGCCAAGTATGGTGGTTCACGCCCAGCACTTTTGAAGGTCGAGGTGGGTGGATCACCTGAGGTCAGGAGTTCAAGAGCAGCCTGGCCAACATGGTGAAACCCCATCTCTACTAAAAAAAATACAAAAATTAACCGAGCATGGTGGCAGGTGCCTGTAATCCAGCTACTCAGGAGGCTGAGGCAGGGAGAATTGCCTGAACCCGGGAGGCAGAGGTTTCAGTGAGCCGAGATTGCACCCCACTGCACTCCAGCCTGGGCAACAGAGTGAGAATCTGTCTCAAAAAAAAAAAAATGTGGAACTGCAAACTGCTGAAAGTGCCCTGAATGACCCTGACCTAGCTGGGAGGTCAGAAGTCTTCTCGGAGAAAGCCACACCTGGGCACTCCTTGCATGAACCATAATTTAGCACCTAGTAATGATGGGAAAGGGGGTACCGAGTTACCAAGAGCAGGAGAAAGGACGAGCACAGGGTATAGTGAATTCTCTGGGGGCATGTTGAATTTGAGATGTCTTTGGATCATCCCCACTAAGCAATTAGATTTGTGAGTCTGAATTGCAGGTGTATTAAGCATTGTGTTTCCATTTGATAGGGATTTAAATTGATAAATGTTTGTTGAATAACTGAATGAATAAATACCCTCAAGGGTGGGATAGAGCTTTAGGAACCTTTCAGTTTATGCCCTGCAGAGATGGTGACTGTTTGGCTGTGCCAGTTCACTCCTGCCAGGAACGAGGATTCCATTGGTTGGCAACAGCCCAGGTAATGGGAGATGGGCTCCTTCAGCTCAGAGGTGCCACTTTTGTTCCCAAAAGGCAGCACACTTCCTGCCCTAGACAGAGAGGTCCCTCTGGCCCCTGATTCCTGCCCAGTCTGGCCTGGCAAAGGGCAGCCCAAAGAGTCTACTGAACTCTACAAATAACCACAGAATCCCACAGAGCCCAGCTTTGACCTTTCAGGGTATCTTCCCTTCTCCCTCAACCTGTTCCTCTGTTAGAGGAGGAAGGGCTGGGATTTGACATGCCCTTGCTTTCTGAGCCCTGTGCCTCTAACTCCCTCCTGGAATGAAATCTGAGTTCCTAAAGGGAGGAGGTTTCTCCCCATGAGGGGGTTTCTGTGTCCAATCACACCTCCCTGCCTGATGTTTGAGGCTGGATGAGCCTGGGATGCCTCATGGGTCTCTGAGCCCTAGGCGTCCTCTGGCCCAGACAGTTCCCAGGCTGTTGGGAACGCCATGTCTTCTACCTCCAGAGTGAATTTCTCTGGTTTGTAGGAGGTGCCTTAGTTAGACCCAGCCAGGAAGCAGAGCTCCTATCGCCATACCTGGGCTAGCAGGGGGGCCAAGCCTGGCTCACCAGGCTGACCAGTCTAGCAAGATTAGAACATCAGAGCAGAGGCCAGGAACAGTGCTGGCAGCCAGGTGCTTGGCTGAGGCCCCTGGCTCCCTTAGCAGGTGGGACAGCTGAGCAGAGCTGCCCTGAGCCCGCCTCCCCTGCTCTTCCCCACTGGGAGGGAGGGCTGGCAAAGCCCTGGCTCTGCCTCCCTGCAGCTCTGCCACTCAGGTCTCCCATGGTAAGTCTCTCCTTCCCCAGCACCTGTCCATTCCTACCTTTTGGAAGCACCAGGAGGTGGGCCTGGGTCCTCTGCTGCCTCTTCAAGCCTTCATACTGGGCTCGCAGGAACTGGATGCTGAGTGGGGGCCCTTTCCCAGGGGCCTGAGTCCTGGAGCCCTCAGCCATTAAGTGAGACCTAAGCTGCCAGAAGTGGGGCAGGGCTGGGCACGGGCAGGGCAACCCCTCCATCCGGATCCGGGAGAAAAGCAAACACAGCTGGGTGGGGCAGGACCTGGGGAGGGGAGAGAGAGGGAGGGGGCAGTGAGGGAGAAGGAGAAGTGACGGGCAAAAGGAGGGTGGAAAGAGGAGTGGGACTGAGGAAGGAGATAGAAAAATAAGGGGGAAGGAGAAAGATGAAGGGGAAGAGGAGGTAGGGATAGGGAGAAATGTGGGGGAGGAGAAAGGTGGGAGACAGTGGCAGTAAGAGGAGAAGGAAATGTCAGAGGAAAGAAGGGGCAGCGAAGGGGGAAAGACTGGAGGAAGGAGGTGATAGTGACAAGCGGGGATTAATGGGGCGAGAGAAGAAAGAGAGGGAGGAAGATGGAGACAGGCAGGAGGAGGCAGGGAAAGGAGTGATGGGGAGTGGGAGACCGAGAAGTAAGGGGAGGACTGGGGGAGCAAAGAGAAAGGCAAGCCCAGCTGCTCAGAGCCCTTCAGGGGGGTCAAGAAGGTGTCTTATTCCAGGTCCTTCCATTGCTTGATCCTAAAGTTTAGAATCCAATTCCCAGTGCCACGGTGAAGTCTCCCCTTTCCTGGCAGAGCTGGGACTGGGGCTGGGGAGTGCTAAGCTCGCGCTCTGCTCACACATTTTGGACTGGAACGTGGCCACTTTTCAGCAAACCTGCCGGTTGGGTTTGCAGTAGTTCAAAGAACACCCTCGGGAGCTTCACAAGGTCGGTGCCTCTGGATGTGTGCCCCGCGGCCACACCCTAAAGAAACCCAGTAGCAAAGATCTCCCCAAGATCTCCACTCAGACCCCAACACACACCCCAGGTGAAAATTCAGCCCTAAAGTCAGCCATGGGACAGAGCCCAGGGGAATCTTGGCCTCGGGCCAGCCCTACCCCTTGGACATTTGGTGCAGCCTCTGCCGTCTCAGCATTCTCCAACCAAGTGGTAAGTTAGGCATCCCCTCACTCTCTGCTTGCCAGCCTCAACATTTCCACATTGCTTTTGAATCCCAGACCCTCTCCCTCTTACACCAGCTTTGACCTAGCCTTGCTGCATTTGGTCAACTAAGTCCCTTTCTATCTTCTCCTATCACGGTGCTTACTGATTACCCAATTACCCAATATGTCTACAGAGGCAATGGAAACAGAGTAGAGCCTGAACCTACAAGACATTTTGGACATTAACCAGACAAGATCTAGTCATTTGATGTGGGGGAGCCGTGGAAGATGGAGAGCAAATCTTCACTGGGTAGTATATGTTAGTTTTGCTAGGGCTGCCATAACGAAATCCCACAAACTGGATGTCTTAAACAACAAACATTATTGTCTCAGAGTTCTGGAGGTTAGAAGTCCAAAGTCAAGGTGTGAGCAGGGTTGGTTTCTTCTTGGAGCTGTGTGAGAGTATCTGTTCCATGCCTCTCACCTTGCTTCTGATGGTTTGCTAGCAATCTCTGGTATTCTTTGGCTTGCAAAAACATTGCCTAATCTCTGCCTTTATCTTGACATGATGTTCTTCCTTTTTATTTTTTTATTTTATTTTTTTTTTGAGAGGGAGTCTCACTCTGTCGCCCAGGCTGGAGTGCAGTGGCGTAATCTCAGCTCACTGCAAGCTCTGCCTCCCGGGTTCGCATCATTCTCCTGCCTCAGCCTCCCGAGTAGCTGGGACTACAGGCACCCGCCACCGCGCCCAGCTAATTTTTTGTATTTTTCGTAGAGACAGGGTTTCACCGTGGTCTCGATCTCCTGACCTTGTGATCCGCCCGCCTTGGCCTCCCAAAGTGCTGGGATTACAGGCGTGAGCCACCACACCCGGCCTAATATGATGTTCTTCCTATGTGGGTGTCTCTGTGCCCAATTTTCCCCTTTTTATAAGTACAGCAATCACATTGGATTAGAGCTCAATCTGTCTCAAAAAAATACCGAGAGAGATAGCCAAAGCTTCCTCATACCTTTTTATCGGTAGATCACTCTATCATGAAGGCAAGAGCAACCCATCCATGCTGGACCAGCTGCACCTGCCATGAAATCATGGCAGTAGACATCATGGCAGTAGGCTGGCCACAATGGCTCACAACTGTAATCCCAGCACTTTGGGAGGCTGAGGTGGGTGTATTGATTGTGCCCTGGAGTTCAGGACCAGCCTGGGCAACATAGTGAAACTCTGTATCTACAAAAATTAGCCAGGCATGGTGGCACATGCCTGTAGTCCGAGCTACTCGGGTGGCTGAGGTGGGATGATCACTTGAACCCAGAAGCTCGAGGCTGAAATGAGCCATGATTGCACCACTGTACTTCAGCCTGGGTAACAGAGTGAGCTCCTGTCTCAGAAAGAAAAGAGAAGAGAAGAGAAGAGAAGAGAAGAGAAGAGAAGAGAAGAGAAGAGGAGGAGAGAAATAATGGCAGTAGAAATTTCTACTATATTTTCGCATTTACTTGTCAGCCTTCATCTTTTAGTATTAACAGTTTTTGTCTTTTTCTATATGGGTGCGTTTGTGGATATTTTGATGAGAAGTAAATTGAGGCTGTCTACTGCTGATTGAATGCCTTTTAGGAGCTTAAATTCCTTCTTTTAGTTCATATAGTTCCTCTTTCTTTTAAAACTCAAATCTTTAATCCATTTGAAATTTATTTTGGTGTTGTGTTAGGTATAAGGCAAGGATCTAGGGGTTTTTTCCTCCAAATAATTGACCAGTTGTTTCAATAGCACTTACTGAATAAACTTTCCTTTCCTTGGTCTGTGATAACAATAACAATAGTATAAGAAAAAACTGGCAACTCTATCTCATCCCAGGGAGTCTTCAGAAATAAATGAAAAAAGATGATCAAGCCTGGAGTTTGTTCTGGGTGGCTGCCACTAAATGGGTGACTTTCATTATCCAGGTATATCCTTCAGAGGAACTGGAAATAAGCTTCAAAGTTGTTCAGGGCTGGAGACGCTGGAGTAGGAATAAGATGTCTTGTGATTCTAGGGAATATTTTGTTTTTCTGTATATATGTAAACTGTATGGAACATGAAATGTCCCATTCTGGTTGAGAGATAAGACTGTGCTTAATGTAGCAGGTTAGTTCATTACCGGAACCAGCATCCCTACAGCCCTCCCTGGAGCTTCCAGTAAAATAACTTAGACCAGAGGCTCCAGGTCCACTCCTGTCCAGGGGATCCAGCTATTCTGTGAGACTTGAGTGGCAACAGGTATCACTCACAACTGGGGTACCACTCCAGAGAGAATGACTCAGACAATAACCCTGTCCATACAAAGACCAGTCATTGGTGGGTAGAGACTCAGAGACTTGAAGAAGGAATCCCTTAGGGAGCTGGCTTGAGAGCAGCAGGCTGGGTCAGCCCAGTATACAGTGGGGGCAGGACAGGAGTGGTGGATCCTGTTCTTGTGAAGAACTTCAGTTTGGAGTTCTTTCCACTGGAGACTCCAGGAAAACTTGAGTTACCCTGTTCTTTCACTTTTCCTCTCCCCTATAATAAGTTCGCTCTGAGATTATCCCATCCCTGAAGCCTAGTGATCTAGCCTTAGAGAATCAAGAGGGCAAGATTGCAAGGGATGGAGGCTTCCCTGTGCTCTCTTCTCTCTGGTTCCAATGAGGAGGGGACCTTGTCCTATGGAGTGGACTGTGATTTGCAGGTGTATGAATGACAGTGTCCACAGGAGAGCCAAGTATGACGAAGAAGGACTCAGGATGTCAAGAAGTGCTTCAGGGCAGACAGACTAAAAAATTCAAAGCTCTCAGCCTTAAGAGTAAGGGAGATTCCTCTCTGAAAAAAGAGAGGCTAGGCTAGACATATGAAAACAATAGTTATAACCATTGATCTAAAACTGCAGTGGGTCAGATATGTGCTAATCACTCTATGTAAATGATCAATTTTTTCATTATGGTAATATTTGTGTAAATGAAATTGACTATTTTAACAATTTTTCAGTGTACAGTTCAGTGGCATTGCATCCATTCACAGTGCCCTGCAACAATCACCATTATTTCCAGCGTATCCATCATCGCAAACAGAAACTCTGTACCCATTAAATAATGCTCCCCACTTCCCTACATCCCTGGCAACCTCTACTATACTTCCTGTCCCTATGACTTTAGTACCCAACCTAAGTGGAATCATACAATATTTGTAATATATTGGACTGGCTTATTTCACTTAACATGTTGTCAAGGCCCATTCATGTTGTAAACATTCATCAGAACTTCGTTCCTTTTTATGGCTGAATAATATTCCATTGTATGGACAGGCCACAGTTTGTTTACCCATTCATCTGTTGATGGAGATTTGGGTTGTTTCCACCTTTTGGCTATTGGGAATAGTGCTGCTATGAACATTGATATACAAGTGTGTGTTTGCATTCCTGCTGTGAATTCTTTTGGAAAAGCTGGACTATATAATAATTCTATGTTTAGCTTTTTTGAGGAACCTGGACAAAATTAAATTTAATTTCTCATGAGAACACTGTGAGAGAAGAAACATTACTATCCTTTCTCCTTCACCTTTTACACCCAAACCATCTCTAGGCCTGGGAGATACAAGCTCTAAAAGATACCTGAAATCCGGCCAGGTGCGGTGGCTCACACCAGTTATCCCAGCACTTTGGAAGGCCAAGGTGAGTGGATCATCTGAGTCAGGAGTTCAAGACCAGTCTGACCAACATGGTGAAACCCAGTCTCTACTAAAAATACAAAAAATTAGCCAGACGTGGTGGCAGGCACCTGTAATCCCAGCCACTGGGAGGCTGAGGCTGGAGAATCACTTGAACTAGGAGGAAGAAATTGCAAAAAAAAAAAAAAGATACCTGAAATCCATGTATTTCTTTCCACCTCCACTGTCATCCACCTAGCCTATGCTGTCCTCATTTCTTTTTCCAAGACTACTGCAACAGCCTCTTACCTGTCCCCTCCCTCCCACTTCCACACCTGTCCTCTCATCCATTGATCCTTTGACCTCACAGCAGTTAGTGTTCTCCAAAAGACACAAAGCAAATTGGATCTCATGGCTTCTCTCCCAGTTAAATCCTCCAGTGGCCTCCCAATACACTCAAACTCGCATTCAAATCCTTCTTATGGCCCAGGGGGTTGTGCCTGTCTTGGGTCTGTCTCACCTTTCCAGTCTCTGTGTCAACTTTCCCCTTGCTCTCTACTTTCTAGACAAGATTTCCTATAAGTGGGTTCCAGATATGCCTATGACTGAGACCCACAACTCCTGGGCCGGGTGTCTCCAGCCACAAACAGCTTCTGCATTTATTCCAGTGATCTATACAAATAGTGTCATTTTCTAGGTGTGCCATGATGTGAAAGAGGGGAGAAAAGCATTCTCACCGCTTTAGCCTTCTCTGAAGGAATTTCTTGAATTCCACCAATGTCTTTTCCTCCTTGGAGCTTTGGTATGTGCTGTTCTTTGTCTTCTAGAACACTCCTTTACTTACTTTCACCTCAACCGTATCTTCATTATATTTCCATCCTTGGCAGCAACCACATGTCCCCTAGCTAACTTGTAAACACCTTCAGTTCTCAGCTTTAAAAAGTGGTACAGTGTAAGGATTGAGAGCATGAACTATGAAGCTAGACTATGCGGGTTTGCGTCTTATCTTCCCTATTCTTAGCTACTCTCCCCTTGCTCTCTAGAGTCAAGTGTGCCTTTGGGTTAGTTAAGTGACTGGAGTCTTGCTCTGTCACCCAGCCTGGAGTGAAGTGGCGTGATCTCAGCTCACTGCAAGCTCAGCCTTCTGGGTTCAAACGATTCTCCTGCCTCAGCCTCCTCAATAGCTGGGACTACAGTTGCGTGGCACCACACCCGGCTAATTTTTGTATTTTTAGTAGAGATGGGGTTTCACTATGTTGGCCAGGCTGGTCTTGAACTCCTGACCTCAGGTGATCCACCTGCCTCGGCCTAAGTGCTGGGATTACAGGCGTGAGCCACCACACCCGGCCTAAGATGTCCTCTCTTAGCAGTATGCCTTTGGGCCAGTTACTTAACTTCACTGTGCCTGCAGATAGAGCGATTACCAAAGAGAGGGAGCCGGCTTGAGCTGAGCAAACAAGCAAAACGGACTTCATCAAGCATTGCCTTCCAGGTGCTAGGCACGTGACAATATTGCGCATGTGTTGACTCATTTAATCTGTTTAACTCTATAAAGTAGATGCCAAATTATTATTATTATCATCCCCATTTTCCAGATGGGAAACTTGAAACTCAGCAAGGGACTTTCCAACTCCAAATGCTTTTCCTCTCCGGAGCGTCACTGCTCTATGCCAGTTACATACAGAGTAATATATTGGAATGCTATTTGCCTGGGGACAGTAAAGTCCCACCTCCAGCCTTGATCAGGATCCAGGTGTAGTCAACAGATCCCAGTCTGGCTAATTTAAGCAGAAAGAGATTTCACATGGGGAATTGGTGCTGGTAAAATTATTAGCAGAGCAGGAAGAGCAACATTAGGCCTCCAGACCACTCTTCCTCTACCCTTGTAGTTTTTCCAAAGATGGATAAACACTATCTTTCATCTCATATACCCTTTGGCAACTGAGCTTGCCATTCCCTCATCAAGAGGTGGAGCCTGTATCACTTTCTTAAGTGTGAGTTGGTTGAGTGGTATCATTTGGCTAACAGAATGTGGTAGAAATGACTCTGTGTCTGTTCCTGGTGTAGCCCTAACTGCGGCTTCTGGCAGCTTCTGATTCCTGCTGTTTGGAATGCTGACTGTTGGGATGTGCCTCCTCTGAGCCTGGACACCACGTCATGGGCAGCCTGAACAACACAGTGAGGTGTGTCACGGTAGGTGCGTCAGCCACCAAATTCTGGTGAATTCCCAGCCAATAGCTGGCTTCAACTGCCAGAGAGTGAGACCCCAGGACATCCAGCCCAGTTGAGCCATCAAATAACTGTAGCCCGGTGCACATCTGAATGTAACGTCATAAGAGAGCCCAAGGGAAGCTTACCTACTTGAGCCCAGTTTATGCTTAGACCATGAGAAGTAATAATAAATTTTGTTTTAAGTCACTAAGTTTGGGGATGGTTCATTACACAGCAACAGATAACTGGAATATTTCTGATTATGTATGAGTATACTACCACTGCTGCTGAAGCTGCTGAACAGGAAAACCACCTGCCAAATTAGGAAACTTCTAGGACAGCTCTTTGCCCCCAAACCACACCACCTGGGCCATGAACCACACCTACAAAATGGGCGCCTGCATCCTGCCTCTTTGCCCATAGAATCTTAGGAAAGCACAGCTGATTGCTCAACCCAAAGCATGTCCAGAATCCTAACTGCAAGGAAATCTGGGAAATGTAGCTTTTAAAAGCTCCCCAGCCTTTGTAAGATAAAAGATTTAAATGGATATCGAAATAAGCAATCCACAGTACAGCCACCCATCCTAATTCCTAAATCACCAAGCAATAGCAAGACTCAAGAAAATAGAGGGAATGTTTAAAAAAGTTATGCTGCATAATTCAGACTCTTTTCACCCAAGATATCTTTTGCATTTATTATTCTATAGACCTTTGGGACACAGCTCAGCACACTCAATTATTATCATGTTCAAAGAGATCTTAGCTGTATCTGGCTGTATTTCTATATCTCTTCTGAAAGTTCTTTGATCTTTGCTATCCACTTAGCAAATACACAAGGCAAAAGAAACAAATGATAGCACTTGGTGATTGGTTACATTTTAACCAAAAGGATGCAGAAATCTTTGTAGGTTGTCATTGTACATAAAAATGGAATATTTTATAGTCTTAAAACATAGGTAAGTTTTATTTTAAAATTGGTTGTAGGTTGAGCTTTTTATTTATGTGGGGTAAAACTCACACTATAGAAAACTCACCATTTTAACCATTTAACATAAACAGTTCAGCAGCATTTAGTACATTCACAATGTTGTACAATCACCACCTCTATCTACTTCTAAAACATTTTCATCACCCCAAAGAGAAACCTCATATCCATTAAGAAGTCATTCTCAGCGGTGGCTCATGCCTGTAATCCCAGCATTTTGGGAGGCTGAGGCAGGTGGACCACCTGAGGTCAGGAGTTCGAGACCAGCCTGAGTAACATGGAGACACCCCGTCTCTACTGAAAACACAAAAATTAGCAGAGTATGGTGGTGCACGCCTGTAATACCAGCTACTGGGATTACTGAGGCACAAGAATCTCTTGAACCTGGGAGGCGGAGGTTGCAGTGAGCCGAGATGGAGACACTGCACTCCAGACTGGGTGAAAGAGTGAGACTCAAAAAAAAAGAAGTCATTCTCCCTTCCCTCTGTTCCCAGCCACTGGCAATCACTCTGCTTTCTTCCTTTAAACATTTGACTACTCTGGATATTTCAAATAAGTGGAATCATACAGTGTGTGACTTTTTGTTCTGTTTTCTTTCACTCATCATGTTTTCAAGGTTCATTCTATGTTGTAGCATATATCAACACTTCACTCTTTCTTATGATTGAACAATACTCCATTGTGTGGATATATCTTTTATTGTTTATCTATTCATTCACTGATAGACATTTGAGTTGTTTCCACCTTTTGGCTATTGTGAATTGTGCTGATATGAATACTCATGCTAAGTTTTTGTTTAAATACCTATTTTCTATTCTTTGGAGTATATACTCAGGAATGGAATTACTGGGTCATATGATTGTTGTATGTTATTTTTATTGCAAAACTTACTTGGCTGAAATTGTGTTGCATTTTGATGATACTGAAAGATTTTTGCATTGTATGTTTTGGCTTTTCTGTTGATATTCCAAGAGCTCTGCCCTATAGCAGGCTGGCTTTTGTGTGTTAGTTGGTTAGTGTGTTTGGTCTTTTAGAAAGGGGATTACAGTTTATAATTTTTCATCATGTGCTGGCAAAATAACTCCCTGGCTAGAAACAAGATTTGGACAGGAAACAACAGCTTCTGACCTATTTGTAATTCTTTTCCCATCCCTATTATTTCAAATGGATTGAAAGTCAATTAGAAAAAATGCACAGAAGTTCTCCCAGATTTATTTTTCTGTGTCCTATCAGAATCATTACCAATGAAGCTGTTGCTTTTTGTAATAATTGTATAAAATCATTAAGTGAAATTTAGAGGCAGCATAGCAATTATGTATTTGGAGTTCGCAGCCAGAATACCTGAGTTTGAATTCCAGCTGTTCAATTTACTACTTGTGATATATTGGGCAAGTTCCTTACTATCTCTGTGCCTCAGTTTCCTCATCCGTAAAATGGACCTAATAATAGAAACTTTGTAAGGATGCAGTCTTTAGAACAGTGTCTGGCATGAGGTCAGCGTTTGTTGAATATAAATCCACAAATTCCTCCGGATAATTACAATACCCATTACCAAGATAATAAATTAGCTCTTAATCTATAAGGAGGTCCTTATTTATTTTAGTTTGACAATGCCTGTCAATTTTCTACAAAAGAACAGAGATTTCCCCAATAGATATCCTATAAAAGATATTGAAGGAACACTATGGGACAATCAAATTTAATAATTCATCTAAAATACCTAAGAACAGATATTACAAAATTTAAAAACAGTTTTACCAATGACAAAACACAATGTACTATAACAGCCACCTGGGCGTGGTGGCTCATGCCTATAATCCCAGCACTTTGAGAGACCGAGGTAGGTGGATCACTTGAGCCCAGGAGTTTAAGAGCAACCTATGCAACATGGCAAAACCCCTCTCTACAAAAAATACAAAAATTAGTCGGACATGGTGGTGTGCACCTATAGTCTCAGCTGCTTGGGAGGATCGCTTGAGCTCAGGAGGCTGAGGCTGCAGTGAGCCATGACTGTGCCACTGCCCTTCAGCCTGGGAGACAGAGTTAGACCCTGTCCCAGAAACTAAAAAATAAACAAATAAAAAAAAACAGCCCCCATCTTTTGGTTTTGAAGTCAGGATTCTTTTATTCATTCAACAAGTACTTATTCAGCCACTACAATATTCCAGACACAGTACTAAGTATAGAATAGTGAATAAAACAGACACTATCCTCATGGAACTTCCAGTCCAGTGGTGGGGACAGAAGTGAAGAGCAAGTTAACTGATAATTGCATGGCTACAATTTATGGTAAGAAGTAGGTAAAGAGAATACAGTAAATAACTTAAATACTATAATGCATATAAAGTGCTTAGAGGAGTGCCTGGATCTTAGAAAGTGTGCGACAATTGTTACCTATGACTATGATTTCAATAATCATTATCATTTATCCAGTTTATTAACCTTTAGAACATAAAATCCATCTTAAATGTAAGTTTCCTGCCCTCTAGTGGGGACTTTGAGTCATAGCCAGACAAAAAAAGGGTTTTTGACATTTCAGCTGCTTTTTTGTTGTCCTTGTTTGAGACGGACAGAGTTTCGTTCTGTTGCCCTGGCTGGAGCGCAGTGGTGCGACCTTGGCTCACTGCAGCCTCCACCTCCCGGGTTCAAGCGATTATTGTGTCTCAGCCTCCCGAGTAGCTGGGATTACAGGTGTGTGTCACCACGCCGGGCCAATTTTTGTATTTCTAGTAGAGACCAGGTTTCACCATGTTGGCCAGGCTCGTCTCGAACTCCTGGCCTCAAATGATCCGCCCACCTTGGCCTTCCAAAGTGCTGGGATTACAGGCATGAGCCACCACAACTGGTCTTTTTTTTTTCTTTTTAATTTAAATTAAATTTAATTTAATTTTTTTGAGACGGAGTCTCGCTCTGTCACCCAGGCTAGAGTGTAGTGGCAAGATCTCGGCTCACTGCAACCTCCACTTCCTGGGTTCAAGTGATTCTTCTGCCTCAGCCTCCTGAGTAGCTGGGACTACAGGCGCCCACCACTGCACCCTGCTAATTTATGTATTTTTAGTAGAGACGGGGTTTCACCATGTTGACCAGACTGGTCTTGAACTCCTGACCTCGTGATCCACCTGCCTTGGCCTCCCAAAGTGCTGGGATTACAGGCGTGAGCCAACATGCCAGGCCTAATTTTATTTTTTAATAGAGATGAGGCTTCTCTATTCCCCAATAGATATCATATAAAAGATATTGAAGGAATGCTATGGAACAACCAAACTTAATATTTCATCTAAAATACCTAAGAAAAGATATTACAAAATTTAAAAACAGTTTTACCAATGATAAAACACAATGTACTATAACAGCCACCTGGGCATGGTGGCTCATGCCTATAATCCCAGCACTTTGAGAGACCTAGGTAGGTGGATCACTTGAGCTGTTTCCCATGCTGGTCTCAAATTCCTGGCCCTAAGCAATCCTCTGGCCTCAGCCTCCAAAAGTGCTGGGACTACAGATGTGAGCCACTGCGCCTGGCCCAGCTGCTATTTAGTGAGCTCCTAAGGGCTGGAACAC
Organism: Homo sapiens; assembly: GCF_000001405.40. Lineage (NCBI taxonomy): Eukaryota > Metazoa > Chordata > Mammalia > Primates > Hominidae > Homo > Homo sapiens. Next base: position 110,218,908 of record NC_000009.12, read on the forward strand.
GCAGAACAGAACCACAGGCCAGACCAGACATTTGCCTGCCATCGACTCCCCTTCTGGGAAGCACAAAGGCTCCCCATGCAAGCTCGGTGCCATGTGACCTCACCACTCTCCCTGAGCAGCCATCTAGGGTCAGCCAGAAGCCTGTGAAGTGGCCTGGGGTGGAAGCTGTAGTAAGCAGGGCTCCTATACAGGAGGGTAGCAGGTCCAGCTAATTGGACTTCCAAAATAAAACAGGGAAGAGACCCTTCATCCACAGTCAAAGAAAAGACATGGAAAGTATATGAACCATGATTATGATAGAACACCAGAATGAATGATGCCTGATGTGGGGGTGGCCAGGACTGCCTCCCATCCCAAAGACAGTACAGTAGCCCCAAGGAATTCCAGCTAGGGCTCATGACTGTTACCTTCCCTGAGCATCTTCACCATAAACCCAAATTAACCCAGGTGGCTCTGACATCAAAGAGTCTAACCAACAAACATGCTTTAAATACGCCATCCCATTTCATCCTCACAAGCTTCCTAAAAAACAGGTATTATCATCCCCATCTTACAGATGAAGTACTCCAGGCTCAGAAAGCTTCAGTGAGCCACCTCAGGTCCTGCAGCTAAAAACTGGCAGCACAGGTTTTATACCTACTTTGTTCTGTTCTCAAAGCTCATGTTTATTCCACTACCCCATACCTCATATCCCATGGTATTGAAGCCTGAGTTTATTGGAGTCATGAGATGTTCTCCCCACATTTTATTATAACAAAACCCTCTTTAAAAAAATTACTAGGTTAAACAACTTTAGTCAAGTTGTCAGATAATGTTTTGTACAAGCTTTAAAATAAGTGAACACCTAGGTACAACTTGATCTTTTGCTGCATAATCTTCGAGTATTCCTTTAATCAACTCACCCTGAATCTAATCATTGAAAAGTCTTTCCCAGCAGTTTGGCCCCACACTCTTGGGGACTGTTCTCTGTTTAAGCTGTGGTCGGATGACTGCTGTCCAAAGTCGCTTAAATTAAATTCGGGTGCTCTCAACCCAGACCGCACGTTAAGAATCACTTGGATAACTTAAAAAAATTACTTACACTGGGGCTTCATCCCACACCAATTGAATCCAAATCACAGGAGCAGGTGGAGCCCAGGCATCAGTACTTTTAAAACTTGCCAGAGGTGCAGGGTACAGTGGTTCATGCCTGTAATCCCAGGACTTTGAGAGGCTGAGGCAGGAGGATCACTTGAACTCAGGAGTTTGAGACCAACCTGGGCAACATGGTGAATGAAACCCTGCTTCTATAAAAACCACAAAAAATTAGCTGGGTGTGGTGGCGCACATCTGAGATCCCAGACACTTGAGAGGCTGAGGTGGGAGAATCACTTGAGCCTGGGAGGCAGAGGTTGCAGTAAGCCGAGATCGCATCACTGCACTTCAGCCTGGGCAACAGAGTGAGACCCTGTTTCAAAACTTGCCAGGGTGCAGCCAAGGTCAAGAACCACTGAGCTATTTAAACGGTTGCTTGTCAAGCTACCTACTTTCAGAGAAACTTTTTTTTCCTTTTTTTTTTTCTTTTTTCCTTTCTTCTTTTTTTTTGAGACAGAGTCTTGCTTTGTCACCCAGGCTGGAGTGCAGTGGCACGATCTCGGCCACTGCAACCTCTGCCTCCCGGATTCAAGCGATTCTCCTGCCTCAACCTCCCGAGTAGCTGGGATTACAGGTGCGCACCACTATGCGCAGCTAATTTTTGTATTTTTAGTAGAGGCAGGGTTTCAGCATGCTGGCCAGGCTTGTCTCGAACTCCTGACCTCGTGATCCACCCACCTCGGCCTCCCAAAGTGCTGGGATCACAGGCGTGAGCCACTGCTCCCGGCCCAGAGAAACTTTTTTTTCTGTTCATGGTCCTGGCTGGTCTGTTTGCAGAAATGCATTTATACTGGAGAAGTAGTGGGAGGGGGGAAGGGCTCTGCTTTCAGTCTCCATCTTCCTAGATTCCCGGCTCTGAGTTCTCTGCCCTGTCGTCACATAGGTAGATGTGTACCCTCTGCACTGCTCCTTGAACTTTGAACTTGTCACACAGATTCAGAAAAGAGTAGTGAATCCAGTTTCACAGATTTTCAACCTGGACTTTACCCATAGCTATCTGAACTGTAAATTTGCCCTGCCTTGTTACTCAGGCTGTGAGCTTCTGCCTAGGCTATTATCCCAGTGTGGGCCTCTGCTCTGTTGCTCACCTACACTGGACGCATCTGAAGAGCATGTTAATTTGTGCACAAATCTACATGTGTGCACTACACTTCAGAGAAATTAAAAAGTCCTACTAGTTTCCGTTTTGGTTTTTATCAACGATTTCAGCTGCATCTGTGTCTTTTGGAGAATAAATTTTGGGTCCCAAGAGGTTTCGTTAATGACTCCTGGACTTCTAGAAATTACCCAACTTGAACTAGACAGGTAAAAGTTGTTCAGTTTGGCATACTTTCCCTCTTGGGTTTCGGCATTTAATTTGGCCCTTTCTGATATTCTAATTGGCTATGTTTGTCTTTTGGTGGATTTGGAGATGTGGTAAGCCCAAGAACTAAAGGAACTTTGAGAAGTGGAATTAAGTTAGATGTTTGCTGGACGTTGAGCCTCATGGAAGTTTTAATTTGTCCTCAACTGCTGGGTTCTCTGGATAGAGACAGACCTGGATGGCCTCCCCACTTCCTCACTGGAAAATCACTAAGGAATGTCTTTATTTATTAATTTTTTTAATGGGGTCTGGCTCCATTGCCCAGGCTAGAGTGCATTGGCACTATCACAGTTTATTATAACTTTGTACTCCTGGGCTCAAGCGATCCTCCCACCTCAGCCTACAGAGTTTCTGGGACTATAGGGATGCACCACCATGTCTGGCTATTTTTTTAAAAACTTTTTTTTTTGTAGAGATAGGGGGTGTCACCATTTAACCCAGGCTGGTCTTGGACTCCTGGCCTTAAGCAATCCTTCCATCTGGGACTCCCAAAGTGCTGAGATTATTACAGGCATGAGCCACCATGCCTAGCCTTAGGAATAAGTCTTTTATGTGTCTTTATTTAGCTCCGGTGTCCCCAGCTTTAGCTCAGCCCTCCTGAGGGAGTGGGTATTCTTTTGAATGGTCAAAGGAAAAAGAAGATATCAATAAAACTGTGACAAAAAGATAAGCAATTTGGGCCTGTAGGAAGTTTGTGAACATGGAAGACAGATAACCAACTAGAACACTCCCGACATCTTTATAACTGCAGTCTGCAGAAGGAAAAAGGCGTGAGGTAAGAGTTGGAAGAAAGTTCTGATCCATCCAGAAATTAGAATTTGTACTTTACCTTGAAAGCTAATTGATATACTACGTGAATACACTCTCTGATGATCTAGTGACAATAATTAAACCCCCAAACAACTCCTGTATTGAATTCACATGGAGGCCCAAGGAGAGGGGAATCTAAATCAAAGAGAAGTCAATTTCATGCCATGTACCCATTTATATCAAATCAGAAAACTCCCTTGAAATAAACCAGCATAATATGTTTATGACAAAGGTGGCACTTCAGAGCAATGAGGAAGGAAGAGATGACCTTTTCTTTTTCTTTTTTTGAGATGGGGTCTCACTACATTGCCCAGGCTGGTCTTGAACTCCTGGACTCAAGTGATCCAACTGCCTGGGATTACAGACATGACTCACCATGCCTAGCTGAGATGACCTTTTCAATAAACAGATAGCCTAATGGATATCCACATCTTGACCCCTACCTCACATCATACACAAAACTCAATTCTAAATAAATTGTAAGTCCCCATCTAAAAAGACAATACATCTTCTAGAAGAAATCATAGAATATTTTTGTTTATTCAGGGAAGGAAAAGATGGTTTAAATGGGACAGAAAAGCTACCAATGATAAAGGATATGATTGATTAAAATGGACTACATTAACAGTTTAAAATTCTGAATTTCTCATCACAGATACTAAGACTAAAAATGCAAGGCACTGAGTAGATATAAAAAGTCAGTCAATGGATTTGTACCTAGAATATATAAAGAACTAATTAATAAAAAATAGGCATCTAGGCTGGGCATGGTGGCTTACACCTGTAATCTCAGCACTTTGGGAGGCTGAGCAGGAGGACTGCTTGAGCCCAGGAGTGTGGGACCAGCCTGGGCCACACAGTGAGACCCCATCTCTAAAAAAAAAAAAAAAAACAAAAAAGAAAGAAATAGACATCGAATACAGAAATTGTCAGAAAACAAGCAAGTACTTCAAAAAAGAGGCCAATAAGCATATGGAAAGGTGCTCAACTCCCCATATCACTAAAGACAATAGCTATGCTTTTTACAAAAGGTATAAAATGAATAAAATATTCACATCAAATTTCTTGTTTTCTTTTTCTGGTAGTTCAACAATACATATAATAACTGTTAGTTGAAATAACATTTGTCTCTGATGATCAAATTGAACCAAATATAAATTTCTTTTTTGAAAATATTACAATCATTTTTCTACCTATAAATTTTACTTTGAATTTTTTACCTATAAATTCTATTTTGAATTTATAGGTAAAGAATGATAGTAATATTTTCATATTACAATCATTATTATCAATATTATCCATCTGAGATAATAATCATTTGCCTCCCTGTTTTTATCTATTTGGCCATTCTAGCACCAAATTTCAAAAGCATTTATAGTACTTTCCATTGTTTTCTTTAGACATTGTGCAGTCAGTTAAGCAAAGATTGCTTAAAGAGGACACAAAAATTCTTGGCTTAATACTGTTGTTTTTCAAGCAATTTAAGCCAATATTCCTAGCCAGTATTGACTTACTATTTTTCAATATCATCAATTGTTAACTGTTGACTAACCTACTCACCTTTTCCCGCCAGTTTTAGTAATTGCATATGTGCTTCCTTTTTATGCACATGTGATGTTTCATATTCCTTTAATGAAGAATCTAGATTACTAAATTCTAGTGCAGAATCTAGTTTAGTTAGTCATCAATACACACCTTGGCCAAAGATAATCCTGAAAACTAGGTTTGTCAGACACATAATGGGAATACAAAAATGCTTTTCCTTGGACTTAGAATATAAAAGCCAGTTTCTACAGGGTCTTTCTCTGCGCTTTAAAATGTAGGTTTTATTCTTCAGGTATGCTAAGGCCAACAGATCAGGAGATGACTGCCATTGAAAAGACAGTTTGTTATTCACAGTTCCAAGAAGAGAGGTGATATGGTTTGGCTGTGTCCCTACCCAAATCTCATCTTGAATTGTAGCTCCCATAATTCCCATGTGTCGTGGGATGGACCCAGTAGGAGGTAATTGAATCATGGGGGTGAGTCTTTCCCATGCTGTTCTCATAGTGGTGAATAAGTCTCACGAGATCTGATGGTTTTATAAATGGGAGTTCTCCTGCACAAGCCCTCTTTGCCTGCCACCATGTAAGCCTTCCCTTTGCTCTTCCTTCATCTTCCGCCATGATTGTGAGGTTTCCCCAGACATGTGGAACTGTGAGTCCATTAAACTTCTTTCCTTATAAATGACCCAGTCTCAGGTATGTCTTTATTAGCAGCTTGAGAACAGACTAATACAAGAGGACATGCCACACAGGTAAGCACCAGGGTTGGTCAAGAAGCAAAAGGAGTGAGGAGAAAACATATGCAAGAGCCTGTACTGTGGTTTCTACAGGAAGGAACAGATGAGGCAGGGTAAGCAGGTTTAGAATTGGCTAGTTTGAATAATTTCAGTGGTCTCTAGGGGTATAGGGGCTGTCCCTAGTTGCCTGGTACCTGGCTCTGGGGTGACCAGGGTAGGTGGATAGTGGCCTTGAGTGTAAGAGCAGGATGTGGGATACGGGCTCTGGATCAGTAGGTTAGCATATGAAAGACAGCTCACAGACGAGTCCTTTACTCTCCCTAGGAATTGGCTGGCTAGCCTGTGGAGGGCCAGTCTCCCAACAGTCAGTAAGACCCTAGATGTCAAAATAACAGAATAAAAAGTAATGCTTAATACCCTCTTTTTAGAAGAACTAGTGTTAGATAATGATGTGGTTTGGCTCTGTGCCCCCACCCAAATCGCATCTCAAATTGTCATCCCCCCGTGTCAGGGGAGGGACTTGTAATCCCCACGTGTACAGGGAGGGACGTGATTGGATCATGGAGGTGGATCCCCCCCACCATGCTGTTCTCGTGATAGTGAGTGAGTTCTCATCAGATCTGATGGTTTTATAAGCATCAGCCATTTCCCCTGCTTGCTCTCACTCCCTCCTGCTGCCTTGTGAGGAAGGTGCCTGCTTCTTGCCTTCCACCATGATTGTAAGTTTCCTGAGGCCTTCCCAGCCATGCAAAACTGTGAGTCAATTCAACCTCTTTCCTTTAAAAATTACCCAGTCTCAGGTATTTCTTTATAGCAGTGTGAAAAGGGACTAATACAGATGAAATAGCAAATTTTCTGTTATGATTATCTGAGGAAAAATCATAATGATTAATTTGAAGCACATTTTGTTTTGCCGCAAAGAATCTCATGCTGTCAAAAGGAGTAGGATCAGTTTCCAGAATCATTATCCAACAAACCTAGTGACACTCCAGAAGTTCTAACTTTTTGACCAGTTTGCTGATTTCATGGATATAATTTTCTCTATCTTGCAAGGTGCAGCCCAGAGTTACATTTGTTCCTTCTGAATTATGTATTTGATATGAATAATTCTCTTTTCTATCTCACTTTTACTTTGGCTCTGTGTCCCCACCCAAATCTCCTGTTGAATTATAATTCCCAGTGTTGAGGGAGGGACCTGGTAAGAGGTGATTGGATCTTGGGGGTGGATTTCCCCCATGCTGTTCTCATGATAGTGAGTGAGTTTTCACAATATCTGATGGCTTAAAAGTGTGTGGCACTTCCCCTCCTCACTCTCCTTCTCTCTCTTTCCTGCCACCATGTAAAGAAGGTGCTTGCTTCCCCTTCACCTTCCACCAGGATTGTAAGTTTCCTGGGGCCTCCAAGCCTTGCTTCCTGTTAAACCTGCAGAACTGTGAGTCAATTAAACTTCTTTTCTTCATAAATTACCCAGTCTCAGGTAGTTCTTTATAGCAGTATGAGAATGGACTAATACAGTAGCTAAAGAATCATTTACCAGATAATTTGAAGTTGCTAAGATTGAATCTGACTTGAAGTTCAAGTTGTGAATTTGATAAGAATAAATACCTGTTTTATTTTCATGAGTAGTGTTCATTCATAATTTACAATACCTTATTTCTGAACTTTACATGCTCAATAAAGTCTGAACTTTACATGCTCAATAAAGTCTGCTAGTTTTTATTGTTGCCAGTTTTAAAATTTTAAATAGTCTCTTATTTGAAAATTTTCTATTTTTCCCTTGCAGTTTGTTTCTCTTCTGATTCTATTTACTTATCTATTTATTTTCAAGATAGGGTCTCACTCTGTCACTCAGGCTGTAGTGCAGTGGCACAATTACAGCTCACCACAGACTCAATCTCCCAGGCTCAAGCAATTCTCCCGCCTCAGCCTCCTGAGTAGCTGGGACTATGTGCCACCACACCTGGCTAGTTTTTAACATTTTTTTTTAAGAAATAAGGTCTCCTTATGTTGCCCAGGCTGGTCTTGAACTCCTGGGCTCAAGGGATCCTCCCTTGTCAGCCTCCCAAAATGCTGGAATTACAAGCATGAACCACTATGCCTGGCCATGAACTTTACTTTTATATTACCTATTTCTGTTATGGTCTTGATCTGTACTCATTTCAATGATCTAAAGGCTTAAATAATGATGTGTAGTTGTTTTCAAATATTCAAACTTTGAATATATTTTTATCTAAAAATGTAAATGTTAGAAAATAAAAAAATTATAATGGTCTCATATTTTCAAAAGTTACTTTTCTCTTTAAATATCCAAAACTGTCTTAAAACTAAAAAGTGAAAATGTGAAGAAATTATTCAATAAAGCCAAAGATTGTAATTATTAAAAAACTAATCTTATGAAATATTTTAATAGAAAATAAAACTACTCAATTCTAGTATTCAATGTCTACCTACTTTCCAATGGAAAGAATTATGATTAGTAACACCATTCACATTACCTCTAGGTCTATATATTTATACACAAATTCAAGAGTATTATGAATTTTGTGATTTTTGCAAAATGTTCCTCAGCTGCTATGTGCAACTGTTGCAACACTATACTAATTTGTGAGTATCTCAGAACTGAGGACTGAAACACAAAGAAAAGCGAGTAAGTGGATTCTCTGGCATTATCAGGAAATGACATTTTGTAATATGAGTATAAACTGCTGGTAGGCTAAGAAGAGTCAACAAGTTAATTATTCTCTGCTCTTACCTATTTGATATGGTTTGGCTGTGTCCCCACCCAAGTCTCATCTTGAATTCAACTCCCACATGTCATGGGAGGGACCCAGTGGGAGATAATTGAATCATGGGGGCAGTCTTTCCTGTGCTGTTCTCGTGATAGTCAATAAGTCTCACAAGATCTGATGATTTCATTGAGGAGGAGATCCCCTGCACAGGTTCTCTCTCTCTTTGCCTGCTGCCATCCATGTAAGATGCAACTTGCTCGTTTTTGTCTTCTGCCATGATTGTGAGGCCTCCCCAGCCATGTGGAACTGTGAGTCCATTAAACCTCTTTTCTGTTTAAATTACCCAGTCTTGGGTATGTCTTTATTAGCAGTGTGAAAACAGACTAATGCACTATTGCTTCTTCCACTCAATTTCCTTCTGTACACTGAAGTAATGCTCATCTCCCGCATGGGCAGCAAATTGAATACCATTCACAGCTATGTTCGTTATATATTGCTATGTAACAAACAAGTTCAAAACCATGGCTTATAATAGCAATGATTTATTAATTTTCTGAAAGTTGGCCGGATATGTTCTTTTGCTGGTTTCACTGAGGCTTATTCTAAGACATGCCTTTTGGTGAATTATTCATGTATTTCATTTGGGTATATGACACTCCAGTGAATTCTTGAAGTCAGTTTTAAAAATCTTTATATTATTACCTGTAGGTAATGATAGAATGGTGTAGGTTCTGTCTACAAATTATTTATCATGTTTCAAATATCAGTGTTCTAAGAATCACCTGGGGAGCTTATTTAAAATGCAGATCACTGGGTCCCACCCAAGACATTCTAATTATATAGATGAGGTCCAGGAACCTATATGTGTTAGAAGTTCGGATGACTACACTCTAAAAAATACTGGTCTACACCAGCACTCCCGCTTCAACTTCGCAGACACAGTCCAGGTCCTCCAGTTTCTTCCTTACTGCATATGCTCCCCAATGATATCCCTGCCCTGGAGCACATAATCTAGCAATTTTCATGACCAATTGCTTATTTAAATCATCTGGAGAACTCTTAAAAAATTACTGATGCCTGGCCAGGTAGGGTGGCACACACTTGTAATCCTAGCTACACAGGAGGCTGAGGTTAGAGCACCACTTAAGCCCAGGAATTTGAGACTAGCCTGGACAACAAAGCTAGACCCTATCTCAAAAAAATTTACTGATGTCTGTGCCTTATCCGTAGCAATTACATCAGACTCCCTGGAAGTGAGGCCCCAGCTACCAGGATAATTTTAAAGCAACTTGGTAGATTTGACTATGCAGCCAGAATTGAGAACAGCTGTTCTCATTCATCCGCTGCCTCCAGTGGTCTTTCTTACTACACCCTAAAGTATTCTAAGGTTTCTTCTTTACTAGAGCATAGCTTCCCAGCCTGTATCCCAGGGAAGGGAAAGAGGCTACAGGTGTGGTACAAAATATCAATTGGCCAGTGATCCAGGCTGCTCCTGGGCCTATCAGCTTCAGGTAAAAGCAGCTTCTCCTGAGGCTTCTTGGATGGTAGCCTGAGTTGGGCCAGGTTTGCCCATGTCCTCCACTGCCCACTGCAGACATGTTACCCACAGAGACGCAGAAGGAGAATGTTGCCCGGGTGTCCAGGAAGCTCAACCCAAGGTATGGCTGGTTGGGGAAGGGGGAATGCTGCAAGCTGGCGTACTGGTTCAAATTTCTGTCTTCACATGTATTTGATTCTTTTGCTCAATAATCACTGATGTGCCCTCTGTGTGGCTACAGGGTGATTGCTCTAACAGTGCATGTGCTTTTTTAGAATTAGTTGCATTATCATTTTGAACAATTTGATGCCGGGAGTGGCAGCTCATGCCTGTAATCCCAGCACTTTGGGAGGGCTGAGGTGCACACCTGTAGTTCCAGCTACTGAGGGTTAGAGGGCCTGGCAGGGCAGTTTGAGGCAGGAGGATGGCTTGAGCCTGGAAGTTAGAGGCTGCAGTGAACCATGATCACGCCCTTGCATTCCAGCCAGGATGACAGAGCAAAACTGTGTCTCAAAATACAATTTTAAAAAAGAAATAAAAATTTGATTGGAAGACATAAAATTGGATTTGAAATCTATCAGCATTATAACAGTAAATTTTAATACTACATTGGACAAAGAAAAAAACTCATGTTTCTTTTAAATAAAATTTTAGATGTTGTTTTTTTTTTATTATACTTTAAGTTTTAGGGTACATGTGCACAACGTGCAGGTTTGTTACATATGTATACACATGCCGTGTTGGTGTGCTGCACCCATTAACTCGTCAGTTAGGGTTAGGTATATCTCCTTATGCTATCCCTACCCCCTCCCCCAAACCCACAACAGGCCCCGGTGTGTGGTGTTCCCCTTCCTGTGTCCACGTGTTCTCATTGTTCAATTCCCACTTATGAGTGAGAACATGTGGTGTTTGGTTTTTTGTCCTCGTGATAGTTTGCTGAGAATGATGGTTTCCAGCTTCAACCATGTCCCTACAAAGGACATGAACTCATCATTTTTTATGGCTGCATAGTATTCCATGGTGTATATGTGCCACATTTTCTTAATCCAGTCTATCATTGTTGGACATTTGGCTTGGTTCCAAGTCTTTGCTATTGTGAATAGTGCTGCAATAAACATACGTGTGCATGTGTCTTTATAGCAGCATGATTTATAATCCTTTGGGTATATACCCAGTAATGGGATGGCTGGGTCGAATGGTATTTCTAGTTCTAGATCCCTGAGGAATCGCCACACCAACTTCCACAATGGTTGAACTAGTTTACAGTCCCACCAACAGTGTAAAAGTGTTCCTATTTCTCCACATCCTCTCCAGCACCTGTTGTTTCCTGACTTTTTAATGATCGCCATTCTAACTGGTGGGAGATGGTAGCTCATTGTGGTTTTGATTTGCATTTCTCTGATGGCCAGTGATGATGAGCATTTTTTTACGTGTCTTTCGGCTGCATGAATGTCTTCTTTTGAGAAGTATCTGTTCATATCCTTCTCCCACTTGTTGATGGGGTTGTTTTTTTCTTGTAAATTTGTTTGAGTTCATTGTAGATTCTGGATATTAGCCCTCCATCAGATGAGTACATTGCAAAAATTTTCTCCCATTCTGTAGGTTGCCTGTTCACTCTGATGATAGTTTCTTTTGCTGTGCAGAAGCTCTTTAGTTTAATTAGATCCCATGTGTCAATTTTGGCTTTTGTTGCCATTGCTTTTGGTGTTTTAGACATGAAGTCCTTGCCCATGCCTATGTCCTGAATGGTATTGCCTAGGTTTTCTTCTAGGGTTTTTATGGTTTTAGTTCTAACGTTTAAGTCTTTAATCCACCTTGAATTAATTTTTGTATAAGGTGTAAGGAAGGGATCCAGTTTCAGCTTTCTACATATGGCTAGCCAGTTTTCCCAGCACCATTTATTAAATAGGGAATCATTTCCCCATTTCTTGTTTTAGTCAGGTTTGTCAAAGATCAGACGCTTGTAGATATGCAGCATGATTTCTGAGGGCTCTGTTCTGTTCCATTGGTCTATATCTCTGTTTTGGTACCAGTACCATGCTGTTTTGGTTACTGTAGCCTTGCAGTAGAGTTTGAAGTCAGGTAGCATGATGCCTTCAGCTTTGTTCTTTTGGCTTAGGATTGACTTGGCAATGTGGGCTCTTTTTTGGTTCCATATGAACTTTAAAGCAGTTTTTTCCAATTCTGTGAAGAAAGTCATTGGTAGCTTGATGGGGATGGCATTGAATCTCTAAATTACCTTGGGCAGTATGGCCATTTTCACGATATTGATTCTTCCTACCCATGAGCATGGAATGTTCTTCCATTTGTTTGTGTCCTCTTTTATTTCACTGAGCAGTGGTTTGTAGTTCTCCTTGAAGAGGTCCTTCACATCCCTTGTAAGTTGGATTCCTAGGTATTTTATTCTCTTTGAAGCAATTGTGAATGGGAGTTCACTCATGATTTGGCTCTCTGTTTGTCTGTTATTGGTATATAAGAATGCTTGTGATTTTTGCACATTGATTTTGTATCCTGAGACTTTGCTGAAGTTGCCTATCAGCTTAAGGAGATTTTGGGCTGAGACAATGGGGTTTTCTAGATATACAATCATGTCATCCGCAAACAGGGAGAATTTGACTTCCTCTTTTCCTAATTGAATACCCTTTATTTTCTTCTCCTGCCTGATTGCCCTGGCCAGAAGTTCCAACATTATGTTGAGTAGGAGCGGTGAGAGAGGGCATCTCTGTCTTGTGACAGTTTTCAAAGGGAATGCTTCCAGTTTTTGCCCATTCAGTATGATATTGGCTGTGGGTTTGTCACAGATAGCTCTTATTATTTTGAGATACGTCCCATCAATACCCAATTTATTGAGAGTTTTTAGCATGAAGGTTGTTGAATTTTGTCAAAGGCCTTTTCTGCATCTATTGAGATAATCATGTGGTTTTTGTTGCTGGTTCTGTTTATATGCTGGATTACATTTATTGATTTGCATATGTTGAACCAGCCTTGCATCCCAGGGATGAAGCCCACTTGATCATGGTGGATAAGCTTTTTGTTGTGCTGCTGGATTCGGTTTGCTAGTATTTTATTGAGGATTTTTGCATCGATGTTCATCAGGGATATTGGTCTAAAATTCTCTCTTTTTGTTGTGTCTCTGCCAGGCTTTGGTATCAGGATGATGCTGGCCTCATAAAATGAGTTAGAGAGGATTCCCTTTTTTTCTATTGATTGGAATAGTTTCAGAAGGAATGGTACCAGCTCCAACTTGTACCTCTGGTAGAATTCGGCTGTGAATCCATCTGGTCCTGGACTTTTTTTGGTTGGTGAGCTATTAATTATTGCCTCAATTTCAGAGCCTGTTATTGGTCTATTCAGAGATTCAACTTCTTCCTGGTTTAGTCTTGGGAGGGTGTATGTGTCGAGGAATTTATCCATTTCTTCTAGATTTTCTAGTTTATTTGCATAGAGGTGTTTATAGTATTCTCTGATGGTAGTTTGTATTTCTGTGGGATCGGTGGTGATATCCCCTCTATCATGTTTTATTGCATCTATCTGATTCTTCTCTCTTTTCTTCTTTATTAGTCTTGCTAGCGGTCTATCAATTTTGTTGATCTTTTCAAAAAACCAGCTCCTGGATTCATTGATTTTTTGAAGGGTTTTTTGTGTTTCTGATTTCTTCAGTTCTGCTCTGATCTTAGTTATTTCTTGCCTTCTGCTAGCTTTTGAGTGTGTTTGCTCTTGCTTCTCTAGTTCTTTTAATTGTGATGTTAGGGTGTCAATTTTAGATCTTTTCTGCTTTCTCTTGTGGGCATTTAGTGCTATAAATTTCCCTTTACACACTGCTTTGAATGTGTCCCAGAGATTCTGGTATGTTGTGTCTTTGTTCTCGTTGGTTTCAAAGAACATCTATACATTTTTTCACAGAGGAAAACAACCTAAGTTTTCAATTCTGTTTTCATCATTTGCCTTTCTAAAGTCAAAGACAGAAAAACACTGAAAGATAAAATGAGCAGTTACCTTGAAGACTGGGTTGGTTCAGAGGGCGCCTGAGAAAAGTTTAGCACATACGACATCCAAATGAGTTTTTGGAAGGCATTCAGTAATGACAAATGACGTTGATCAAAGAAAAAGCATGAATCAGAATTCAAGAGTTACTTGCTCAGCCCTCCTGAGCAAAATGACCATCTTACCCCTCAATTTGTGAATTTTTACCGTGCACTTCCTCAACAGGACTCACCTGGGCACATGCTGGGTCAGCTCTATCATTGCCAGGTGTATTTCATTATGTACCCAGTAGTCATTCAGGAGCAGGTTGTTCAGTTTCCATGTAGTTGAGCGGTTTTGAGTGAGTTTCTTAATCCTGAGTTCTAGTTTGATTGCACTGTGGTCTGAGAGACAGTTTGTTATAATTTCTGTTCTTTTACATTTGCTGAGGAGTGCTTTATTTCCAACTGTGTGGTCAGTTTTGGAATAGGTGTGGTGTGGTGCTGAAAAGAATGTATATTCTGTTGATTTGGGGTGGAGAGTTCTGTAGATGTCTATTAGGTCCGCTTGGTGCAGAGCTGAGTTCAATTCCTGGGTATCCTTGTTAACTTTCTGTCTCGTTGATCTGTCTAATGTTGACAGTGGGGTGTTAAAGTCTCCCACTATTATTGTGTGGGAGTCTAAGTCTCTTTGTAGGTCACTAAGGACTTGCTTTATGAATCTGGGTGCTCCTGTATTGGGTGCATATATATTTAAGATAGTTAGCTCTCCTTGTTGAATTGATCCCTTTACCATTATGTAATGGCCTTGTCCCTTTTGATCTTTGTTGGTTTAAAGTCTGTTTTATCAGAGACTAGGATTGCAACCCCTGCCTTTTTTGTTTTCCATTTGCTTGGTAGATCTTCCTCCATCCCTTTATTTTGAGCCTATGTGTGTCTCTGCACGTGAGATGGGTTTCCTGAATACAGCACACTGGTGGGTCTTGACTCTTTATCCAATTTGCCAGTCTGTGTCTTTTAATTGGAGCATTTAACCCATTTACATTTAAGGTTAATATCGTTATGTGTGAATTTGATCCTGTCATTATGATGTTAGCTGGTTATTTTGCTTGTTAGTTGATGCAGTTTCTTTCTAGCCTTGATGGTCTTTACAATTTGGCATGTTTTTGCAGTAGCTGGTACTGGTTGTTCCTTTCCATGTTTAGTGCTTCCTTCAGGAGCTCTTTTAGGGCAGGCCTGGTGGTGACAAAATCTCTCAGCATTTGCTTGTCTGTAAAGGATTTTATTTCTCCTTCACTTATGAAGCTTAGTTTGGCTGGATATGAAATTCTGGATTGAAAATTCTTTTCTTTAAGAATGTCGAATATTGGCCCCCACTCTCTTCTGGCTTGTAGAGTTTCTGCTGAGAGATCAGCTGTTAGTGTGCTGGGCTTCCCTTTGTGGGTAACCCGACTTTTCTCTCTGGCTGCCCTTAACATTTTTTCCTTCATTTCAACTTTGGTGAATCTGACAATTATGTGTCCTGGAGTTGCTCTGCTCGAAGAGTATCTTTTTGGCATTCTCTGTATTTCCTGAATTTGAATGTTGGCCTGCCTTGCTAGATTGGGGAAGTTCTCCAGGATAATATCCTGCAGAGTGTTTTCCAACTTGGTTCCATTCTCCCCGTCACTTTCAGGTACATCAATCAGATATAGATTTGGTCTTTTCACATAGTCCGATATTTCTTGGAGGCTTTGTTCATTTCTTTTTATTCTTTTTTCTCTAAACTTCTCTTGCTTCATTTCATTCATTTGATCTTCCATCACTGATACCCTTTCTTCCAGTTGATCGCATGGGCTACTGAGGCTTGTGCATTCATCACGTAGTTCTCGTGCCTTGGTTTTCAGCTCCATCTTGTCCTTTAAGGACTTCTCTGCATCGGTTATTCTCGTTAGCCACTCATCTAATTTTTTTTCAAGGTTTTTAACTTCTTTGCCATGGGTTCGAACTTCCTCCTTTAGCTCGGAGTAGTTTCATGGTCTGAAGCCTTCTTCTCTCAACTCGTCAAAGTCATTCCCCGTCCAGCTTTGTTCCGTTGCTGGTGAGGAGCTGCGTTCCTTTGGAGAAGGAGAGGTGCTCTGATTTTTAGAGTTTCCAGTTTTTCTGCTCTGTTTTTTCCACATCTTTGTGGTTTTATCTACCTTTGGTCTTTGATGATGGTGACGTACAGTTGGGGTTTTGGTGTGCATGTCCTATCTGTTTGTTAGTTTTCCTTCTAACAGTCAGAACCCTCAGCTGCAGGTCTGTTGGAGTTTGCTGGAAGTCCACTCCAGACCCTGTTTGCCTGGGTATCAGCAGCAGAGGGTGCAGAACAGTGGATATTGGTGAACAGCAAATGTTGCTGCCTGATCATTCCTCTGGAAGTTTTGTCTCAGAGGAATACCCGGCCATGTGAGGTGTCAGTCTGCCCCTACTGGGGGGTGCCTCCCAGTTAGGCTACTCGGGGGTCAGGGATCCACTTGAGGAGGCAGTCTGTCCGTTCTCAGATCTCAAGTTGCGTGCTGGGAGAACCACTACTGTCTTCAAAGCTGTCAGACAGGGACATTTAAGTCTGCAGAGGTTTCTGCTGCCTTTTGTTTGGCTATGCCCTGCCCCCAGAGGTGGAGTCTGCAGAGGCAGGCAGGCCTCCTTGAGCTGCAGTGGGCTCCAGCCAGTTCGAGCTTCCTGGCCGCTTTGTTTACCTACTCAAGCCTCGGCAATGGCAGGCGCGCCTCCTCCAGCCTCGCTGCTGCCTTGCAGTTTGACCTCAGATTGCTGTGCTAGCAATGAGTGAGGCTCCGTGGGCGTAGGACCCTCTGAGCCACGCACGGGATATAATCTCCTGGTGTGCCGTTTGCTAAGACCATTGGAAAAGCACGGTATTAGGGTGGGAGTGACCCGATTTTCCAGGTGCCCTCTGTCACCCCTTTCTTTGACTAGGAAAGGGAATTCCCTGACCCCTTGCGCTTCCCGGGTGAGGCAATGCCTTGCCCTGCTTCAGGTCACACTCGGTATGCTGCACCCACTGTCCTGCACCCACTGTCCGACACTCCCCAGTGAGATGAACCTAGTACCTCAGATGGAAATGCAGAAATCACCCGTCTTCTGTGTCGCTCATGCTGGGAGCTGTAGACTGGAGCTGTTCCTATTCAGCCATCTTGGCTTTTTCCTAGATGTTGGTTTAACAATCAGATGCTGGCTGTCAAAGTGTTTTAAATTTTTGTCACCTATTTGTGTGATTAAACTTTTCTTTTTTAAAAAATTATTATTAGGCTAGGTGCAGTGGCTCACGCCTGTAATCCCAGCACTTTGGGAGGCCGATCACGAGTTCAGGAGTTTGAGAGCAGCCTGGCCAACACAGTGAAACCCCGTCTCTACTAAAAATACAAAAAAATCTTGCCGGGCATGGTGGCATATGCCTGTAGCCCCAGCTACTTGGGAGGCTGAGGCAGGAGAATTGTTTGAACCCGGGAGGCAGAGGTTGCAGGGAGCTGAGATCGCGCCATTGCACTTCAGCTTGGGCAACAGAGTGAGACTCTCTCAAAAACAAACAAACAAAAATTAAATTATTATTTATTTATTTTAACTTTTTTTGAGACAGGGTCTCACTCTCTTGCCTAGGCTGGAGTGCAATGGTATGATCTCAGCTCACTACAACCTCAGCCTCCCAGGTTCAAGTGATTCTCCTGCCTCAGCCTTGCGAGTAGCTGGATTAAAGTTTTCTTTTATTGGTTATTAGTGAAAATACAAAGATAAAATTTTAAAGCTTGATTAGGAATTGTGTCTGGCATAAGCTATCATAAAAAATGATTATCATAAAAAGTGTTTTCAATGTTAAAAGCAATTATCTCCCTGACCTCAAAGTTTCAACAATATCAAAATTCAGAACTTCTGTTTACTTAACTCCACAAAGTGGGTGAAAAGACAAGTGCCACACTGAGAATATATTTGCAACCAAAAAGTCCATGAAGAACTGGTATCTACAATGGATAAAGAATGCCTACAAATCACTTAGTAAAGAATGGACAATTCAATAGGAAAGTGGGGACAAAGACTTAAACAGATCACAAAAGAGAAAATCTACATAATAGCATATTGAAAATGTTCAGCATCACTAGTAGTTACAGAAATGCAAAATTAGGCTGGACACAGTGGCTCGTGTCTGTAATCCCAGCACTTTGGGAGGCCAAGGCAGGAGGATCACTTGAGGCCAGGAGTTTTAGACAAGCCTGGCCAACACATGAAACTCTGTCTCTACTAAGAATACCAAAAAAAAAAAAAAAAAAAAAAAAAGCCACAATGGTGGTGCATGCCTGTAATCTGAGCTACTCGGGAGGCTGAGGCATGAGAATCACTTGAACCTGGGAGGTGGAGATTGCAGTGAACCAAGATTGCACCACTGCACTCCAGCCTAGGTGACACAGTGAGACTGTCTCAAAAAAATAAAAATAAAAAAAGAAAGAAATGCAAGATAAAACCAGGAAACATAATTACACATCTGCTAAATTTGATTTTATTTCATTTAAATTTAAGTCTAATGATACTATGGAGTATGTAGAATAGCAGGGACTCATTCCTATAAGTACTTGGGAAAAGTGGCATTATCTAGTAACATTGGTCAAATTTGTACTCTACTCACCGTATGTGGTTCCTGGACCAGCAGCATTGGAATTGTGGGCCTGTAGTCCCAGCTACTCGGGAAGCTGAGGCAGCTGAACCTGGGAGGTGGAGGTTGCAGTGAGCTGAGATCGCGTCACTGCACTCCAGCCTGGGCAACAGAGAGACTGTCTCAAAAATAAAATAAAATAAATAAATAAGTAAGTAAGTAAATAAAAAATGTGGAATCTCAGGCCCTGCCTCAGACCTGCTAAATCAGAATGTCATGCACATGTTAATGTTTGAGAAGCACCGCCCCATGACCCAGAGATTTTACTCCAAACACATACCTTAAAGAAGCTCTTTCACACGTATTCCAGTGATGTGATCAAGTATGTTTGTGGCAGCATTTTTTTTTTTGTAAATAAAAACTGAGGCTAACTCCAGTCTATTAGCAGCAGAATGGACAAACAAATTGTGGTGTAGCTATATAATGGAATACTCTGGATCGGGAAAACAAATGAACTACAATTATGCACATTAACACAGTGACACTCACAAGCATGGTGTTGAGTGCAAGAAGCAGATCACAGGACGATACCACTTACATAGCATTCAAAACCAGGTGAATTGTCTTGTTTAGGATACACAAATATGGGCCAGGTGTGGTGGCTCACGCCTGTAATTCCAGCACTTTGGGAGGCCAAGGCAGGTGGATCACCTGAGGTCAGGAGTTCGAGACCAGCCTGACCAACATGATGAAACCCTGTCTGTACTAAAAATACAAAATTAGCTGGGCATGGTGGCACATGCCTGTAATCCCAGCTATTCAGGAGGCTGAGGCAGGAGAATCGCTTGAATTCAGGAGGCAGAGGTTGTGGTGAGCCGAGATCGTGCCATTGCATTTCAGCCTGGGCGACAGGAGTGCAACTCCGTCTCCAGGAAAAAAATAAAAGAAAGAAAGAAAAAAGCAAGAAGCAAGGGTATAATTATCACAAGAGCCATATGGGGTTATCTCTGGGCAGGTGGAGGAAGAAGGTATGATAGGTATACACTGGGGACTTTTAAGATATTGGCAATGTTCTGTTTCATAACCTGGGCGATCACTACACAGCTAGCCATTTTGTTGATATTTCTAAAATTGTGCATGTGTTTTATATATTCTTCTGTATTTCACAATTAAACATTTTTAGAGAAGTTACATTCATGAAAATGACCTTGAAGTTTCACACTAAAAAATTAGGTAAGATATTTTTGTGGAAGTTTTATACAAATTCAGGAGTTAACAGTCTCTGTAATAGTTTCCATTTGGTTTTTGTGTTAAAATGGTTTAAAGTAAAAATGTCATTTTTTCACTAAGCCACATACAGATGTTCCCAAATCCTTTCCACTGTAACCCAGTGGGGGGTTCAAATATTGTTTTCTTTGTGTGCCATGACATAAAACACATTGCGATGCAGGGAACAAGAGACCACATTATTTCCAAGGCGTTCAAGGCTCCAACCTTCCGTTGCAGCTTCATCTGGTGCTCTGCTTCAAATTCTAGCTGTTGGATTCCTGGCCTTCCTCCAAAGTAACTGCCATGCCATTAAGCTCATGCTTCTTCTGGATGACCACGAACAACTCTAGGGTAGTGTGCTATACCATACATTTTGCAGTATTCATGTAACAGAATACTCTTTTTGCCCCTCCTCTCCCCTCCCCTCCATTGCTGTGCCCTGCCCTCCCCTCCCCTCCCCTCCCCTTGCCTCCCCTTCCTTCCTTGTCTCTTCTCTTCTCTTCTTTTTGAGACAGAGTCTCACTCTGTCGCCTAGGCTGAAGTGCAGTGGTGCAATCTCGGTCTCGGCTCACTGCAACCTCCGCCTCCTGGGTTCAAGCAGTTCTTTTGCCTCAGCCTCCTGAGTAGCTGGGATTACAGGTGCCCACCACCAAGCCCGGCTAATTTTTGTATTTTTAGTAGAGACAGGGTTTCACCATGTTGGTCAGGCTGGTCTCGAACTCCTGACCTCAGGTGATCTCCCCGCCTTGGCCCCCTAAAGTGCTGGGATTACAGGTGTGAGCCACCACACCCAGCCAATATTTGCCTTATTTTAATGACTAGTTAGTCTATATTCTACGGAACTATAAATCCTATATTTACCTTCATTACTTTATGCATTGACAAGTAAAAAGTGCTCACTAATATTTCTAGATTTATTAATATAAGTAATCCACTTTGGGGACAATAGAATTTATGACATTGAATTGTGCTGTGCAGTTACTGAGATTTTTTTTATAAAGTATGATCTTTAGTTAACTCTAATATCTTTACTATTTTAAATAGGTAATAATATATTCAAGTTATAAAGCATCTACTCTAAACACTTGTTCCATAACAAAGCAACAAAGTTTAGCATCTGTGAATTTTTTGGAGGTTGGCAGTAAACAGCTATGAAACGATATGAATGAGAAGAAACACCATGATATTTATGTTCGTCTCTTAAACTGCTTTCGAATCAAGAAATAAAAAGCATCTGTTAACTACCTTCTGCAACAATTAGGATGTTTGCCATCTCATGCTAAGAGACTATCAATGAATTTCATTGTGTTGACCACAATCACTGCCAGAGATGGGTGATCAGCTGGTCACCCATCATCTCCTGGCTATATTGTATATCCCTTAAACTGCTGGTTCTCAACTTTGAATGCACATCAGATAGTGTCCAGGCAACACCCAAGCCCATTTACAGCAAAATCTCTGGGACTGGAATCCCAACATCACTTTTGTTTTTGGAAAGCTCCCTAGTTGATTCTAAGTGCTGCCAAAATTTAGACCCATGCCCTTAACCTGAACAAACCCTCCCTCCCCATCCCTTTCACAGTAACTGCTGGAAGTTTGCTTTGGATCAGGAACCGTTTCTGTATCTTTAATGTGTTCTTGGAACATCAACTCCTTCCTTAACAGAAATATCCTAAGGGCTCCCCCTCCCCTACACTTTACACTCCACATACCCAAGTCAGGAGGTGACTGGATTTTTTGCTTGCCTCCCCACCTAAGGCCCCTTCCAAACCACTTCTCCTTCTTGCAAAATCTCCTACTACTCTGAAACTCATTCATGAAGTTGTACCAACTTCCTACCTTCCTTACTGCTGCCATCTGCTATCAACCTCCTCACTCACTAAAGATGGTTCACCTCACAGACTTCTCTTTCCATCCCTATTCCCATTTTCTTTCCCTGAAACCCATGTATGTTCCTGGCCTCAAATCCTTGACCTGCTGAGTTCCAATCTTCCTCTACCCCACTTCACCTCCTTCTCATGGTCACCCTAGTCTTTGTCTTCTCTGGAAATTTGTTTCTCAAATCTGTTTTTTAAATCTCACTCTGCTTACCACCTCTCATCTTCTTAAAGTTTGCTTGCTCAGTCACTCCCACTGCCAGCCTTCTTTGACCTTGTCAAGACCTCTAATCCTTAGACACTCCTTTTTCTGTGGCTCACCAGCCTCTTCTTGGCTTCTCCTCTCTACTTCTCCAGCCTTGATTCTATACTGCATCAGTATAATCAATCCCTCAAAAGTACTGTCAGCTTCTCTGCATCCCCACTCACTACTGGACTCAACTACAAAGACCCAATCCTGCTCCGGCTTCAACTCTCCACCTTCAGTTGCCTGCACACACAGCAGGGCTCTGAGGTCCTAACAAACCTCATGCAGACACTCAACTACGCCCAGAAACCATGCTTTGCTTTGCCACTGTGAAGATAACAATTTCATACCTTCTCCTCAAAACTGCCTGCTTGGAAAACAGAAACTATCAGATGGAAATGCCATCTTCCCATCCCTAAATCGACAATGCTCTCTAACCTTGCGCTCACTTTCATCCCACTGGTTATGGTGGAGGAAAGACATAACCAACACCAATCTCTCCTATTGTGGTCTGAATCTATTCTTTTTTTTTTTTTTCTAACTTCTAGCTTTATTGAGGCATAATTGACAATAATTGCTTATATTTAAGGTGTACAATGTAATTATTTGATATATGAATGCACTGTGTAGTAATCACATTACTTAACATATCTATCACCACAGTTACCATTTGTGTGTGTGTGTGTGGAGGGTGGGGTGAGCACACTTAAGACCTACTCTTAGCAAATTTCAAGTGAACAATACGGTATTATTAACTATAGTAACCATGGCGCACATTAGCTCCCCAGAACTTATTCATTTTATAACTACAAGTTTGGGCCAGGCACAGTGGCTCATGCCTATAATCCCAGCACTTTGGGAGGCAGAGGTGGCCGGATTGCTTGACAGATATGAGAAGTGTGATTTCTGTTCCCTCCAATCTGGCTTCCTTCCCCATCACTCCATAGGAATTTTGTGTTGCAATCACCAACCTCCATTTTGTTTTCTCAACCTTACCTTTCTTAGCTCCAAGGGAATTTGGTAAATGATACTCCTTCCTTTTTGAAATGTTCTCCTCTGTTCTTCCAGGATAAAACCCTCTTCTGGTTTTTGTCTTTCCCCTCTGGCCACCCTTCAGTCTCCTTTGTTGGTTCCTATTCTACTTGATCTCCAAATATTGAGTCCTTCAGGCTATCTTGAGCCCTCTTCACTCTGGACTCTTCCTGGGTGATGTCATGTTTGTTTATAAGTGCCATCTACATGACAATGTCTTGCAAATTTCTATCCCAGTCCAGACCTGTCCTTGGAGCTCTCAACTAGGTACCCAACAGCCTGCACAGCACCTTCAGTGGGATGTGCACCTCAGAAGCACCCAACTCAGAAGGGCCAGAGACTGACTCCCTCACCACCACCCCTTTCTCCCTCCCATCCTCACCTCACTCATGACATCACATCATACCCCGACACCCAGGGCTTCTGCCAGAAACCTGAGATTCACTCCTGGGTCTTCCTCTCACAGGCCCTTAGGCTTTGTTCCATCTCTGTCACTTCCCCACTGTCCTCCTAGTCACAGCTATCATTATCTCTGATCTAGGTAATTGCAAAAGCCTAACTGGGGCCGGGCACAGTGGCTCACGCCTGTAATCCCAGCACTTTGGGAGGCTGAGGTGGGTGGATCACCTGAGGTCAGGAGTTCGAGACCATCTTGGTCAACATGGTGAAACCTCATCTCTACTAAAAATACAAAAATTAGCTGGGCATGGTGGCGGGTGCCTGTAATCCCAGCTACTCAGGAGGCTGAGGCAGGAGAATGGCTTGACCCTGGGAGGCGGAGGTTGCAGTGAGCTGAGATTGCGCCATTGCACTCCAGCCTGGCTGACAAGAGCGAAACTCCATCTCAAAAAACAAACAAAAAAGCCTAACTGGTTTTCCACTTTTTAGTTTCCGTTTTCTATACAGGTGCCAAAATAACTTGTTAACAAAGCATGTACCCTGACTTACCCTTCGATGGTTTCTCATCCGTTCTAGAACAAATAACGCCCTGGCTGACCTGGCCCTGCCACTCTATCGAGCTTTATTTCATGCTCCTCTGATGATTCTACAAGGTACCAAGCTCTTTCTTGACTCAAGCCTTTGTGTCTGTCATTCTCTCTGCTTGAAAGCTGATTCCCTGGCTCTCAGCAGGTTGGAGTACTTTTTATCCAACAGCTCTGTTTACAGTCACCTCAAAGAACCCAGGTCCAACCACCTGATGCACAGCTGGTTCCCCTATTCTTCTCATTACTGCGCCCAGTTTTTGGTTTTGCCTTGTAGAATATACCAGTCTATTATTCACCTGTTTGTCTCTGCTTCTAGAATGTAAGCTGTATGAGGATGAGGGTGTCTTAGTCACAGCTTTATCCCAAGCCTAGCATGATGCCTGGCACATAACAGGCATTCCATTAGTATTTTGAGAGATCATCTAAGTTTGGCATCCTAATTTCACATGAGGAAAGAAACTCAACTAAGGGCCCATCATTTTCCTGCTTACTCAGATTGTTGCACTGAGGGCAATGTAGTAGTTAAAGGCACATATTCTGGTACCAGACTTCTTTGGTTCAAATCCCAGCTCCTCCAATGACTAGTTGTGATGCTGGGGAAATTACCACCCTTTGTCTGTTTCCTCACAGGTAAATGGGGATTATAGTGTCTATATCTAATAGGATTGTTACAAAGATTAAGTGAATTAATAGAAAGATGATACCTGGCATATGATAATTCTGCTCTTCATTATTATGTAAACTCAAAAAGTTTCTTCAAACCCCCAACCCCTTACTGTGCTTAGAACACAAGAAACAATGTTCTTTGAATGATATAAGTAATAATTTCCCACAACTTTTACCACTCAAGACAGAACCTATGTCTGGCCTATACAACTAGACTTTCTCAGATACTTCGAGGAGAATCAAGATCCGATCC
Source organism: Homo sapiens (assembly GCF_000001405.40). Lineage (NCBI taxonomy): Eukaryota > Metazoa > Chordata > Mammalia > Primates > Hominidae > Homo > Homo sapiens. The sequence continues at coordinate 110,243,678 of NC_000009.12, forward strand.
TCGTGGCAAAACAAACAAACAAAACGAACAAGTCCTTCATGAGTGGACATCAATTTTGGTCATGCTGATCTTTTGGAGAGCATAGAGGATTCACCTGCTAAAACAGAGAATGCTATTTTCTCTGTCAAAAGATAACAAATAACAACATACTACTTTATTACCTGCATTGCCCCCAACAAGAGATTTTTGTAGCAATACATTAAGGTAGCAATAATAATTTTTAAAATCTTAAAATAATCAGTGGCCTACAAGGTTACTAAAAAGTGATTGAGAATATAGGAAAATACATTAAATGACCATTTCACATTTATTTTGAAAGCTATTCAGACATGAGACGGTTTTAAAAAGTGTTAGCATTAATGTTTTATTGTCACGCAGATGGCAACTGGGTTTATGTCTTCATATTTTATATTTTTGTAAATTAAAAAAATTACAAGTTTTAAATAGCCAATGGCTGGTTATATTTTCAGAAAACATGATTAGACTAATTCATTAATGGTGGCTTCAAGCTTTTCCTTATTGGCTCCAGAAAATTCACCCACCTGTTAAGAGAATATTGAATTGACATTAGACGTAGCACTGTAGCACTGTTTTATACATAAAATATGTATAAATATGTATTTATATATATACATATACATATGTATATATATACATATGTATAAATATGTATTCAGCATAGAATGAAGGAAGAATAGGGGTGGAGGGAAAAAGAAGTATAATCTTATTTAAAGTAAACTTCCCTGAATAACATACAGTTCATTTAAGTTATAAACAAAGAAAAAATATCAAGAGAAAAGTCAAAAGGCTCAAGTACAAATTTTCTTTTACACAATACTTAACAACAAATGAACTGCCCAAGTCTAAGAAATTCTATGTGCTTTATGATATAAATAGGACTAGTTCTAGGAAAGATTGATTTTCAGTTAGCTGTCACATTATGTACTTAAGCCAATGAATTTTGGCATATTTAAAAATTCTTAAAAGCAGAACTTGGTGATATGCCTCAATCTTTAAAGGGAACATCACTCCAGTGATTTATTCACTTATACTGGGTTTCCTATTGCCCAGTTAGAGTTTTAAAGGTCAGATGTACGTACCTTTTGTCCCTTCTTAAAAAACTGGAATGTTGGCATGCATTTGACTTCACACTCTGAAGCAACATCCTGGTAGGGAAAGTAGCAAAGGGAGAGGATTAAATACAAGACTGCGAGTACTGAGCTTTGACAGAAGTAATCCAAAACCAGAAACTTTTCCCTGTCATGTACCCCACATTTCCGCATGAGGACATTTTTCAGCATATGAAAATTAATATAATGAATATAATGGCATTACAAAAGCCAAACCGGTTATATTCTCAATGAAGAAGTTTTATTAATATTTACTTCCTTTGACGGGCACATTAACAGGCAGAATGTTCAGAATGTTACTAGCATCAGATACTCCAGCGATCCAATATGCTCTTTAATCCAATCAAATTTTCAACTATTTTAAGTATCATACAAAGAAGCAACAAAAAATTCTGCTACAATTGGACTCAGTATGATAATCTTAACTATTCCTCAGAACTAGTACCTCTTATTTCTTGCTCATAATTTTTCCAGTTTTATTATGAAGGCAGAGTACACAGAATGATTATATAAAGGCTAAAAAGTCTAAAAAAATAAAAATCAATTGTTCAAGAACAAAATAATAGTAATCTAAAGGAATAACCCCACACTGGGTTTACTGATTATTATTATTTTTGAGACAGGGTCTGGCTGTGTCACCCAGGCTGGATGGAATGCAGGGGCATAGTCTCAGCTCACTGCAATCTCCACTTCCCAGACTCAAGCCATCCTCCCTCCTCAGCCTCCCCAGTAGCTGGGACTACAGGCACACGCCACCACACCTGGCTAATTTTGTGTGTGTGTGTGTATATATATACACACACACACACACTATATATATATATATATATATATATATATATATATATTTTTTTTTTTTTTTTTTTATAGGGACAAGGTCTCTCCATGTTGCCCAGGCTGGTCTCAAACTCATGAGCTCAAGTGATCCACCTTCCTCGGGCTCCCAAAGTGCTAGGATTACAGGTGTGAGCCACCACACTCAGCCTCCTGCTTATTTTTAATTAAAAACTGATTTGTGAGGCCAAGGCCGGTGGGTCACCTGAGGTCAGGAGTTCGAGACTAGCCTGGCTAACACGGAGAAACCCCATCTCTACTAAAAATACAAAAATTAGCCAGGTGTGGTGGCACACATCTGTCATCCCAGCTACTCAGGAGGTTGAGACAGGACAATTGCTTGAACCTGGGAGGCGGAGGTTGCAGTGAGCTGAGATCATGCCACTGTATTCCAGCCTGGGCGACAGAATGAGACTATCTCGGGAGGAAAAATAAAAAGACTTTGTGAATTCTCAAACCTTGCTGCAGTATCAGAATTACCTGAGGGGTACTACAAGTTTCCCCATCAACCCCATCTTAAACCATTACAGTTAAAGTCGGGCTTCAGGTGACTCTGATGCTCTAACCTTTGAAAGCCATCCTACTAAGAAAATCGACAAATTCCTAACATCGCAAATTGGGCTAGTTGATCCGTATTTTCTCCTCTCCTAGAAGTGGCTGTTACCACAGCTAAAGATTTTTCTACAGCTCAAAGGTAATTGAAGTAACACACATTCCTCAACTGTGGAATGCTAAATGAGAACTCTTATAATACCCCATGCTCAACACATTGTTCATGCTATAAGAGGGCAAGGTTTGGAGGACAATACCACGAAACTGGTTTGGTTTGGAGCCCAATAGAGATTGAAAATGTCAGCCAGGCACTCAAAAGAGGACTGGGAAAGAAATATAGAACCACTCAGCACCTAAGCAGCAAAAGCTACACAGGACAGCAAGCGAGCAGGCAGGACTGTTGATAACCAAATCACGGAAACCAACGGAGAATTCTCAAGGGGAAGAAAGGCCAGCTACAAACACTATGACGACCTCTAGGATGGTGGGTGGCACTACTGTTGAGGAGTTCTTTCTAGGTAATCTTTACTTTTTCTTTTAATGCTGGACACCTGCTGAGCATGAAAGTACAGGTTCCAGTAAGAGGCACAAGGACAGTAATGGCTGGAATAAAAATGGTGAATGTTTATTGAATGCATACTATTGAAAACTCACTCCAAGTAAGGGTCAGAGGGAGGTTACCATTTATAAAATAAGTATCATAACCCTGTTGGCTGTCAGAGAAATAAGGTTGGTCTATCATTTTCAAAAGGGCTACTACTCATACTTTTCTATCAATCTATGGAGGCAAAGTTAAAGTTCCTCAGTTTGTCAGAGGGTCACTTCAAGGTTTTAAAAGACACTTTCAGGCCAGGCACGGTAGCTCATGCCTCTAATCCCAGCACTTTGGGAGGCCAAGACGGGTGGATCACTTGAGGTGAGGAGTTCGAGACCAGCCTGGCCAACATGGCAAAATGCTGTCTCTACTAAAAAGTTGAAATTTAGCCTGGTGTGGTAGCGGCTGCCTGTAGTCCCAGCTACTCAGGAGGCTGAGGCAGAAGAATCGCTTGAACCCGGGAGGTGGAGGTTGCAGTGAGCAGAGATGGTACCACTGCACTCCAGCCTGGGTGACAGAGTGAGACTCTGTCTCAAAAAAAAAAAAAAAAAAGATACATTCAGGGTGATCAGGGTGCACCAAGCAGACATGAAGGAGGAGCTCTGTCATACGGAAGTCCTCGAGTGCTTTGCACACCTATAGTAATGCACCATATAACATTTAGATCGACAACAGATTGCATATATGTGGTGGTCCCATAAGATTATAATGAAGTTGAAAAATTCCTCTCACCTAGTGATGGGTTAATGTCATAGCCCATCGCATTAGCTGGTGCAAACAAATCTGCGCTGCAATTACATACAAAGTATACCACTACAGACTGCTTTACCTGCGGAATAGCCATTCTTTTGTTCCTTTACTTTCTTAATAAACTTGCTTTCACTTAAAAAAGCATATCACTACAATTATGGACAGTATATACTACTTGATAATAAACACCCACGTTACTGGTTTTTGTATTTACTTTAATTTCATTATTAATTTAGAGTGTACTCCTACTTATTTTTTTAAAAAGACAGTTACTATACAACAGGCTCAGGCAGGCCCTTCAGGAAGCATTCCAGGAGAAGGCACTGTTATCATAGGAGATGAAAGGTCCATGCATGTTACTGTCCCTGAAGACCTTTCTGTGAGACAAGATGTGGGGATGGGAGACAGTGATACTGATGATCCTGACCCTGTGTTGGTCTAGGCTAATGTATGTGTTTGAATCTTAGTTTGTAACAAAAAGTTTAAAAAGTCTTTTTAAAAAAAGCTTATAGACTAAGGATATAAAGAAAATATTTTTGTAGAGCTGTACAATGCATTCGTGTTTTAAGCTAAGTGTTATTACAAGAGTTAAAGAGTTAAAAAAATAAAAAAACTATAAAGTAAAAAAGTTACAATAAATTTATTGCTGAAAAAAGAAATTTTAAAAATAAAATTTGTAAGCATACAGTGTTTATAACGTCTACAGGTTCTAGGCCTTCACATTCACTCACCACCCACTCACTGACTCGCCCAGAGCACCTCTCAGTCCTGCAAGTCCCGTTTATGGCAAGTACCTTATAAAGGCATACCATTTTTTAATCTTTCATATCATGTTTTCACCATACCTTTTCTATGTTTAGATACACAAATACTTACTGTTGTGTTATAACTGCCTACAGTATTCAGTACAGTAACATGCCTTACCTGTTTGTGGCCTAGGAGCAACAGGCTTTACCACATAGCCTAGGTGTACAGGAGGCTATGCCATCTAGGTTGTGTAAGTACACTCTATGTGTGCACAACAAAATTGCCTAACATTTCTCAGAAAGTATCCTCATCATTAAGTGATGCATGACTGTACTTCCTAAAGGCAGTAAGAAGACCTGTCCTCAGTACAGTATGGTGCATTGGTCTGCCTCAAGAGACTGACTTTACCTTCTGTGCTGCAGTGCCATTACCTGTTCAATGAGGGTGCTAATAAAAAATACTCGTATAGTTATCGTGAGGATTAAATGACATAGTGCATGCAAAGGGCTTATCATGGCATCTGGCACCTATTATTGCTTTCAAATAAAAATCAAGGCCGGGCGTGGTGGATAATCCCAGCACTTTGGGAGGCCGAGGTGGGTGGATCACCTGAAGTCAGGAGTTCGAGACCAGCCTGACCAACATGGTGAAACCCCGTCTCTACTGGGGTTTTAATTTTGTAAAAATACAAAATTAGCCAGGCATGGTGGTGCATGCCTGTAATCCCAGCTACCCAGGAGGCTGAGACAGAGGATTGCTTAAACCCGGGAGGCAGAGGTTGCAGTGAGCCGAGATCATGCCACTGCACTCCACCCCAGGTGACAGAGTGAACTCCATCTCAAAAAAAAAAAAAAAAAAAAAAAAAAAAAAAAAATCAAGTTGCTATCTGATAGGATCAGTGGCAGTTAGAATTTCTCTATTCCAGGTGCAATTTTCCCCTAGCTAAATTGACCTTAATAAGACTAAGTTTGATTAAAACAAGGGATAAGGATTTTTCACAAAAATGCAATTACACTCTTTTTAAAAAAAAAAAAACAACTCTGGGACACATCTAGAATAGTAACTTAACAACCATATCACATTCATCATTCATTCATTCCACACCTATACTACATGCAAGGCAGGTGTGCTAGGTGAAGGGGCAACCAACGTGAATTAAGACAGGGTCTCTGATCCTAGGAATCTACTGAGACTAATGGTAAAGGACAGACATAAAGATCATTATAATAATTGCCAAGATTCACTGGGTACTTAGGGCACACAAGGCGGTAAGTGGAGAAGGGGTGAAGCTCATGACAAGGAGTTAGTCAGGTAGGAAAGGAAAGGACAGGCCAGATGGAGAAGACAGCACAAGCCAAGGCAGGGGTTGCCCAAGGCACAGAGTCAAAAACTGGCTAAGAATACACAATCTGGGGTTGTTGCGCCCTCCCATGTTTAGAGAGCACTGCCATATGCCTGTTTTAAGTGACCCTTCACCCTTTATTGGATATTCCATGTTTGCTCAATGAATAAGCAACCTTGGGAGGTTGATGGGGCAGGTCTTAAGGCTCAAGGAAGAGGAGTGACTGGCCTAAGCAGATGCTAGTGAGCCAGGACTGGAAGCCAGGTCCAGCGCCTCTGTTGCCACACTGCACCCTTCCCCCATCGCCTTTCCTTCTCCACTAGGGCTAAGTGAAAATGCTCACATATCTGTAAAGGGCCCCGAAGTGATACCTCCTCAACCCGCTCTCCTAGGTCTGTGGTCATGTGCTAAGCACCCGATCTACACCCACAAGACAGAGCATCCTCCGATGGGTAGTGCTTAAGGTCAAGGGCTGGGAAGCCAGACCACTTCATTTTAAATCCTAGTTCAGCCACATACTCACTGAAACTTCATGAACAACCTCTGTGTTTCAGTTTTCTCATCTATAAAATGGGGATGATAACAGCACTCAGGATTAAATGAACTGATACTTAAAAACCACCCAGAACAGTGCCTGGTATATACCTAGTGCAAAACAAGTATTTGTTAAATACAACCAACCCTGGAATTTCTTCCAAATTATTCTCTCAGGTACCTTGGTGTTTATTTGTTAAAACATTTGTGGTTTCTAATTGACTAAAATCAACCAAGACTAGAATAGGCTTGCAAATGCAGGTTCTCATGCTACTGCAAGTTCACAAAGAGCCCTACAAGCGGTCTCATAATTTGGTGACTCCATCAAGCCTATGGATGTAATGATCATAGCTAAATTCAATCTCCATTTATTGCACATCTCAGAGTGTAAAGTAGAATGTAGGGTTTTAGAAAGGTGGGTGGCCGATAAGATTCAGAAGTCTCACTCATTTATTTTTGTTTACTTTAGGATGTGATATACAGCTCCCGATAGCTAGGATTAAGCTCCTAACTTGCCTGCTCTTCTGAGATAGAACTTTTTAGATAGGATTACAGTTCTAGAATTATTTGACATATTTATGGAAAAAAGCACTGTGCAATTCAGAGAAAAAGGCCAATGTGAAAAGCTCAGCAGTATCTCATATTTCCAGCTACATACCTGACAGTCATCCACATCTACTTCAAGGAATATCACGTTGGAATACTTTTCAGAGAGGGACTGGAAAATTTAAAATGAAAAATCCAAAAAGATTTAGAACTAGGTAATGGCAATCAACATACCCAAGCTTCTTAAATGGAAACTTAATAAAAGTAGAGACTAATTAAAGATCCAAAAATTTAGATCTTTGGAGACATAGATCTAAGAGACATAAATTTTCTCTAAATCAAATTTTTCTTAGTATAAAACAGCTTGGCATATCAAATTCTGAGGCTGGGATTTCAAATAAGGCCCATGTTTCAATGTGGGGAAAAAAAGAACTATTTAAGACAAAATTAACTTCTAAAATTTGTTTTCAATGGGCTACATGTATCAAACCTAAATTATTTGTTATACTACTACTTTTAGACCAAAGATCCAGCCAAAGAAATCCCCCCACCGAAACCAAAATCCTTTAACTGTCTTTCTTTCCTACCACTGTGACCACCAACTCAAAAAACACAAATCTCTTACAAAGCAGACATTGTTTAATACTCACATGAAAGAAAGGCTTGATCATTTTGCAAGGCCCACACCACGTGGCTGAGAAGTCAACTACTACAAGTTTATCACCTGCAGCGTCCAAGGCTTCCTGAAAAGCAGTCTAACAGCAAAAGAAAAGCTTATATTAAATAAATAGTTAAATATTAAACCTTCAAAAGAAAGACTCGACACAATGACACAAAGCACATTCTGGAGGTCCTCCTTTCAGGACCTACTTTTTAGCCAAAAAAAAAAAAAAAAAAAAAAAAAAATCCCCAAACAAGCCAAATAAAACTCAGTTTGAAGAAATTCTATACATTGTTGGTAGTGTTACTTGATAAGATGAAACAAGATATGTGTAGAGTATACTGACATTCTCTTCATAACTATTTTATAAAATATTGTGAACTGGCTATTTTTTCTCTACACCAAACAAAAGGAAAATAAAAATAGACATTTGTATTAAAAATGTTTCCATGTCAAGGCTAGGTATATGGTAGACATTCATTAAACACTTATGGATTATGAAAGGGGTCACTTGAAGTCACAAAGGCATAGGATTTTGCAATTGAAACATCACAAGTTACTTAAAGATAAAAGTTGGCTGGGCATGGTGGCTCACACCTGTAATCTCAGCACTTTGGGAGGCCGAGGTGGGCGGATCACTAGGTCAGGAGTTCGAGACCAGCCTGGCCAATATGGTGAAATGCTGTCTCTACTAAAAATACAGAAACTAGCTGGGCGTGGTGGCATATGCCTGTAGTCCCAGCCACTCAGGAGGCTGAGGCAGGAGAATAGCTTGAACTCAGGAGGCGGAGGTTGCAGTGAGCCAAAATTGTGCCACTGCACTCCATCCTGGGCAATAGACGGAGACTCTGTCGCAAAAAAAAAAAAAAAAAAAAAAGCTATGACTTTTGATTAAACTCATTTGTCTATGGTGGACCATACGAAAATCTAAAATTTTTTGAAAAGTCAAGGAAACTCACCTTTCCCAAACCTCAACACTCAGACATCACCGTTGACATAAGCATAATGGGGTTTCCAGAGCTGAGATCACACGTTTACCAACCTTTGATTTTTGCCCTTTATTTTAAAACTATACCCTTGTCATTCATTAAATGAAAGTTTTCGTTCCTCATGAAGGAAATTTTTCATAGATATTATTTTTCATAAGGAATGCTTGTTAAATAAAATTCTCAGTAGAAATGATCAAGAAATCTCTTACCACTAACTTCCCTGAATTATTTACTATCTAGATACTGTAACCCTGGGAACCGAATATTCTAGTTACCAAGGACTCATTTTTGTTTTGTTTTGTTTTTGAGACGGAGTTTCACTTGTTGCCCAGGCTGGAGTGCAAAGGCCTGATCTCGGCTCACAGTAACCTTTGCCTCCGGGGTTCAAGTGATTCTCTTGCCTCAGCCTCCTGAGTAGCTGGGATTACAAGCCTCTGCCACCAGTCCCAGCTAATTTTTGTATTTTTAGTAGAGACAGAGTTTCGCCATGTTGACCAGGCTGGTCTTGAACTCCTGACCTGAAGTGATCCACCCGCCTTGGCCTCCCAAAACAAAGGACTCATTTTAACCACATTAGTACGTTAGTGCTGACCAAACCCAAAAACCAAACCAGAGCAATTAAGATAAATCAAAACATAAACATCTGTATCTGAAATCTAGGTTTTCTTCAAGGAAACAATGCTGGTCAAATAGGTTTAAAAAAAAATGAACATTCCCCGCCCCCCACCGCCACAAGAGGTCTCGTAAAGAAAGAAATCAAATAAATAAAAAACCATAAGATAAAAAACCAAATAAACAAAAAAAAACCCAACAAGAAAACACTAATATGACCTCATGTACTAATAGTTACTTCTCTAGATTTCTAATTTCTACCTCGTTTTTGGGAAAATAATTCACAAATGGTGTTCCTGAGAAAGGTAGGACAACACTTTCATAAATTTTTTAGTTATGCAAATCCCTGAACCCCACCTCTAGAGGTGGAGACATGGGGAGAGCTGCAGCAGGGTACATAGAAGTATAGCAATTGTTTTTCCAAATCATCACTTATTGTTCCAGATCAATTTCATTCAAAGCCTTCCCTAATGTGATTTTCAAGAAAGTTAAACCAGGCATCCTTTATTGCAAGATCCAGGTAAGACAGGAAAAAAGGTCAAGAAATGCCAATGTCTGGTTGAATAGACATTTTTGTTTTTTTAACATGATTAACCCTTATTAAAAACTTGAGATTACTTTCAAGAGGGAAGGTATTTCAAACATACTCAAGGCTTTTCCAAAACAGTTCTGAATCAAATTTAAGCACAAGTACCTAAAATTCTGAAAAGAGGCACGCAACAATAACTTTTAGCCTAACTGAACATGAGTTACACCCCACGTATGTGCAGGCTTCATGTACAAATTCTCTTCTGATACTTCTAAACGGGTATCAGCTTGAAAATTATTCAAGATTGTATTACTAAGAAGAAATCACAATTTCTAGCTCCCAGAAACTAACAGGATTAATAAATGTCTCCATCACTGACACCAATAATCTGGGGGAAGCAGAACAGTGTAGTTGGGGTAAATAGGAGCAAGAGTCTAAGATCTCGTTGCCTCAACATACCTACTCTGAGGGTAATAAGTGTGAGTGGTTTCTGAAGTACTTAGCCAAGTGCCTTGTAGATGGGAGTTCAATAAATGGTAGGTGTCATTTTTTTTAAAAGTGTTTATTTCTTCCTCATCACATTTACAGTCAATTATTCCATTCCTCTCTGAAATAGATCCCAGTTGGCCCTAAAGCACCAACAGAGTACCTCAGAAACAGAATTGTTCTGAATGGCAAATGGTGCAAATTTAGCCCATTAGGATGAAAATGTAACATGTATTCAACATTTACAAATAACAGGCTGGGCGTGGTGGTTCACGCCTGTAATCCTAGCACTTTGGGAGCCTGAGGTTGGTGGATCACCTGAAGTCAGGAGTTCGAGACAAACCTGACCAACATGGTGAAACCCCATCTCTACTAAAAATACAAAATTACTGGGCATTTTGGCAGCGCATGCCTGTAATCCCAGCTGTGCAGGAGGCTGAGGCAAGAGAATCGCTTGAACTCAGGAGGTGGAGGTTGCAGTGGGCCGAGATCGCGCCACTGTACTCCAGCCAGGGCAACAAGGGCAAAACTCCATCTCGAAAAACAAACTAACAGACAAATAACAATCAAATTAGTGTAACTTTCGATCAATGACTTTGGATTGTTATTTTGAGGATTAATTGATTATCAGGGCCTTTGGGCCCCAGGCTGTAGTGCTTTTTTTAAAGTTCCTGTCACCCTTGTACACCTTTGTCACTGGTAGAGGAGGAAGGTGCTCTGACATGCTCTGACAACTGGGAGGACTAAACTGTGTGCTCCAGAAATCCTAATCAACTTTGTTTGTAGTGTCTGGATTTTGGGACAACTAACATAGACCACTCAAAGGTCTTCTGGCTCAGTGGAGGGGGTTCTTAGCAGTTGGGTTATACTGAGGTTGCCAGACCCTGGAGAACAGAATCCCAGCCCCACTCCCTTCCCCAGGAATGGATTAATAATTTGTCACACAATAGGTGCTTGGAAAAAAAGTATATGAAAGACAATTCACTACTAAGGATCTTTTCAACACATGAGGGCTGCTAAAATGAGAATCCCACTAAGAAAAAACTGATTGAGAGGAAGATAAAAGATGACAGTGGCAATCAACATATGAGGAAAAAACACTGAGAGTCAATAATAATCAAAGGAACAAAAGGATCGGGGACACATTGCAGACACACTTCTGTTTCCGAAGCCCACCCGGCACCAAACAGGTCAGGGCACCCGAGGCGGGCGAGGACCCGCCCTCCTCTGCTTCCCGCAGGTAGGGAGGGGTAATCGCAGGGTAGGCGCTGGCGAGGGGTCTTCTACCGTTCGAGCAGTATCAATTTCCTCCACTCACTTTTCTGACGCTGCATTTAACAAATATTTCTGGAGTGGCTACATTGGACTAGACACTGCGCGTTAGGCTCTGGGTTTCCCAGTCTACAAGGTTTTAGGCTTGCAATAACTTTCAAACATGGGAAGGCTGTTTCGCCTTGGGCATTTTTAAGAGGACAAAACAACGATCGGGATACCGATAGGTCGGCGAGCAGGCAGCAGGGCGCGGCTGCTCCCAGGAGGAACCCTGGCTCCAGCAAAACCCACCGACTGAGGGTGAATCATGGACGGGCAGGGCAGCCGAGGCCCCCGGGCCCAACCTTGGGGACTCAGTCATTCCAAAGCCACTGCTGCCGGAAACGCGCCCTGCGCCACAGGAGTCCCGTGGGCGCGGCCCGGACCTCACTTCCTCGCGGTCACCTGGGGCCCTCGGGCCTCCTGGACAGACCTGCACGTGCCAGGGGGTCTCCAGCCGCAATCCGCCCCCTTAGTGCGGATACAGCACGCGTCACCTTTGGGGTCGGGCATGGGTGGAGGCAGGCGGGGGTCTCCGGCCTAGACCCGCTCCCAAAGGGAGATCACTACCCCCGCTGCGGGTGGATCACTTCACATACGGAAAGGCAGCGGCGGCCACCGACCCGTGCCTTCTGCAAGGGCCCTCCCTATCCTTGCCTGGGGCCTGAATCTGGATACAGATGGGGGGCCAAGGGCGGACCCCTTCCATTCCCTCATCTTCCTCCAGTCGGGGCTGCCCGGACGGGAGGGTGCAGGAGGCGCAGCGTGGGGACTCCTCACGCTGTCTGCGCTCTCACATCCCCCGGACGCTCCCCGCGTGCGTGCAATCCCCCGAGGAACAGGGTGCGAGAAACGCTGGGCACCGCCACTCCGCCCTCCAGGGGACCCTCGTCCTTCTCCTCCCTTCCTCCAGGGCAGGCTCCACCGCCTCGGGCGCGCCCAGGCCGCTGCTTCCCGCAGTCCCAGGCCGAGACGCCGCGTCCCTTTCCCCTGGCGATGCGGAGGGGCGGCCTCCGCACCTCCCGCCACCGCCTTCCCCACCTCCCGCCACCGCCTTCCCCAGTTACAGAGGCCGCGCGCGGCGCCGGCACCCTGGCCTTCCCCGGTAGCGCGTACCTTGCTCTCGATCTGCTTCACCATCTTGGCTGCTGGAGTCTGACGAGCGGCTGTAAGGACCGATGGAAATGGATCCAAAGCACCAAACAGAGCTTCAAGACTCGCTGCTTGCTCTCTCCCTTTATAAACTGGCACGCCCGGCGTGCGTGTGGCGGGGGCGCGCGCGCCCGGCCGGACCTCCGCGCCCGTCGCTGCGCCCCGGCCACGCCCCGCCCCTGGAGCCTGCGAGCCGGGATCGGGGCGGGGCTGGCGCAAGCGTGGGGCGGAGCTCCAGGGCTTCGGCTCCTGTAACCCCAAGCCCAGCTCGCACTCCAGCTGGAAGTGGGGATCAGCACTGCGCGTGACGGTGGGAGGCGGGGAGACGGACAGTCACCCCCAGAGACACAAGGTCCCTCCCGGGTCACCTGGGGATGCGTCCGCCGGGCCTGAATCGAACACGCCCACGCTCGAGATGGGGACCGCCCAGGCAGGGCTGGATTCCTCGAAAAGGGCCGCCACGCCCCGGCCCCCCCAGCCACGTGAACCCCACAAAGTGCTGAGTAACGGTGACCGGGAAGTATCTCGGTGTGTACGTCCTTGCCTCCTCTCCGGAATTTACCGTGACCGTTCTCTTCTCTGTAACCTCCTTCTGTTCTTTCATTTTCACTGCTGAGCCCGCTGCTCCAGCTTGACACAGCGGTTTAGTGCGGTAGAAACGACCGGGGGACTGGTTGGGCTCTTGACCATCAGACAGCTGCGTGTGAGATGGAAGTGCCACTGGGTTGAGCTCTGCAACTTAGTTACGCAGTTGTGACCCTGGAAAGGTCCTGACCTCCTGAAGTCTCAGTGTTTCCTTCTGTAGAACGGGAATCATGATGGTCTCAATCTCACGGTGGTGGTATTTTGAGGGTTAATAGTGCTTGCAAAGGACGGTGCTTGGCACATAGTAAACACTCCATAGATAGTTCTTACTGTTCGGTGTCTTGCAGGGACTGATTGGGCCTGGCCACCTTATACAGCATTTACAATGGCACAGCACGCACACTTGTGTGAGATTCTTCTAACAGAGGCAGACTCCTGGAACAGAAGTCGGAGTTTGCATTGATCCAGGAATGCCTGTTGCAGGTTATGTCTGGCAGGGCTGGGGATTGTGGAAGGTGGGTATGTTAGCTGGCCTTGTGGAGCCAGGAGGGCCTGTCAGCGGCTGGAAGTGGAGGTTGAAAAGCTGCTCACAGGAACGAGAGCTAGAAGGCTGGGAGGGAGAGTCCCAGGTCTGTGTTTTCAGAGCTGAGCTGTTCCCGATGAAGCTGCAACTAGGTGTGATTGCCTAGGGGTGGTGATACTGCTGCCTGGCTGCCCCCTGAAATCCCTGGCTTCCTTCTTTCACTCTTTCAGACAGAGGAAGGGAGGAAACCAGAGGTTTTGAATCTATTGTGCAAAGTTTCTAGGGGGCTGAGGAGCACGGAGCATGAATATGGATATAGGCAAGGGACACATTCTAAAGACAGCCCATAGGGAGGGAAGACAGACTGCCCTGAATGCAGCAATGTTCCCAAAGAGAGGGAGGTTATTGGGGCAGAGAGGAAGGAGCTGTATGGAGCACCCAGAGCAGAATCTATAACCTGCTTTTCTGCTGCTGGGTTTTCAGTTCAGCTGCATCCCAGCTTCCTGACTTTTATCTGTTTGTTGGTGAATTTGCATGGGTGATAACAACAAATCATTGAGTTCCAGGAAGGGGCAATGCAGGCCATCCTCAGCTGACTTCTCTCCAAAGACCTTCCAAATGTCCAGTGACTCAGTGAAGGAGGTACTCCCTCTCTCCCACCTCCACAGCACCAATGCAGAGTAGATGTGGAGGATGGTACAGTTATAAGGAACTGGGAGGCCAGTCTGGACTCTGCAATTTGACTCCGTTGTCCTCATCCCTACTCTACCACTTCATGACTGGGTAACTCTAGGCAAGTCTAAATAGCCTTTTTGTGCCTCAGTTTCCTTATGTGAGAAGTGGGCGTAATAATAGCTTGTGCTATTATAAGGGTTGAGTGAACTAAAATATATGTAAAATGCTTAGAACCGTGCCTGGTGTGTAGTGAATGCTACATGAACTATGATTATAGGCTATTAAATGAATGATGAGATCCATCTGGAATGATGGCAGAGCTAGGGTGGAAGGAGAGATTATAAAACAGGTGTCAGTCTTAAATGAATTAAGTAATGAAGACAGTAGTAATGAACAGTGAGCTCCGTAACATAAGCCTCAAAGGAAAAGGCCTTTTTTTTCCCTGCAAGGAAGAAAGAAAAGTGGGCTGCACCTGGTCCCAAGGAGCAGGTTCCCTGCATTTGTGGCAAGGAGGTGACGTTCTTTGAGGAGAGTGAGGTACAGGGGAATTATTTGGGACTGCCCAGAGAGGAAGCGTTCATTTGTGCAGAGAAATGTAGAGGCTCTGTGTGTTAGTCAGAATTTTCAGTTGCAAGGAGAAATTCTAGCTCAAACTGACGTAAAGCAAAAAGAGAATTAGTAACTCAGATTAGCAAGAACCCCAGGGGCCTAATGATGTCAAAGGGCACCATCTCTCTTAGTTTCATTCTCAAGTAGGCACTCTATGTAAGAGTGGAGTAGGCAGCTCCAGACTTAGGTTCTTACTAGTTTAGTATCTCTACAGGAAGAGTGTTCCTCTTCCTTGTTCTTATAAATGTCTGAGAGGCTGACCTTCACTTTCATGGTGGGGAAAGGGATTAGCCTTGCTTGAAGCTTTGCACTAAGAGTAGGGAAAATCCAGGGGGTTACCAGAAAAGGGGAGATTGCTGCCGGACCAGCAAAAATGATATTTTTATGTCACCCAGAAGGGCGGAAACATGTAACAAGGGTGATGGGCCTGCTTCAGGCCTGGGTCAGCTGAGTCCAGCCTCCACATGGGACTGGAGAACTGGGTCAGCTGTCTTTGTTTGGGTCTCAACTCGAATTTGAAGAAAATGTAATTGTAGGATTTCTGAAACAAGTTTTTCTCACATCCCACGTGTCTCTGAGTGGTTCTTGACCACCTAATTCATCATAGCCAAAGGTGCTCGATGATACTGCACATTCCTGGACCACACCCAGACAGACATACAGAATCAGTCTTTTGAGGTAAGGCTTTGTAATCTGCATTTTTAAAAAGCATCTCAGGTGATTGGGTACACTAAGATTTGATGAGCTTTGCCATGGGACCTTCAGAGGGAGGCCAGCATTAGTTAAGCTTCAAGACTGTGTCTAGCAAGAGAGTTGAGATGGGAACTCAAAAGAGAATGTGGTAAGTGACATAAAATCAGGAGCTCGAAGTACTACAGTAAAAAAAGTGGTAGAAGGAAAAGGAACAAATTAACCTGGGTGGGACAGTCATTAAATGCCAAGCCTAGAGTTGGGCGTGTCTTATCATTCCTCTCAATATCCCTTAGAAGATAGACATTATTTTTCCTATTTTACAGAGAAAGAAATTGAGATTCAAAGAGGTCACCTAGTCATATCCAATGTTCACTAATTCTTATACTCTGTCCATGAAGGGTGGGAAGTATCAGCACAGTTCTCAAGCCCATCTGCATATATTAAGTACTCCTCATTTCACCAGTGAAAAATATCTGACATCCCTTATGCTAATGTGCCGTATATTACAACACATCAAATCTTAACTATTTAGATTGTAAAAACTAATTTACGCATAACTATATCACACTTTAATTGCCAAGTATTTTAATGTAAATTTCAGATAATATAATAACCCCTGTGAGTAACCTACCCTGCACATCACTGCTCCTTATAGCCCTTAATTTGGTCCAGTGGTCACCCTTGCTGCCCGCTTGAGCCCTTTCACCATGTAGCATGGAATCATCTGGATTCAGCAAGCACCACTGTATTCCCAGATGTTTCTTTTTGCTTTAACCGAAAGTTTTGCCCATCTCAGTGTATATCATTGCATGACATACAATGCTCCATGTATGTCACAGCCAGGCGGTAAGGCAAGTGCTTCCCTTTGCTGCATCCAGATTCTTTCTCCTTCCAAAATCCCAGATTTTTAGAAAGAAAAAAAAAATTTTTTTTTGAAAGAAAAAGGAACTTGACCTTTACAGCATGCCATAAAATTACTTAGAATTTACCAAGGAACTCCTGGAAGAAGACATTAGAGATAATCTTTGCAACCTTGAGGTAGGCAAATATTTCTTAGGCAGAACACAGAAATCACTAGCTATAAATGAAAAAGTTAATAAATTTGGCTTCTCACAACACACATACACAAATATGTGAGGTGATGCATATGTTAATTAGCTTGATTTAGCCATTCTACATTGTATACCTATATCAAAATATGTTGTACACCATCAATGTATACAAGTTTCACTTGTCAATTAAAAAATAATTTTTTAAAAATGGGGGAAGCTAGCAGTCTTGCATCCCCTGTGAAGGGATGTATGTTCTAGTGGGTGGATTTTACTTGATATTAAGTATTGTTATAAGTAGTTAGATAGGCATGAGTGAGGCAGGAGAGGGCTCTCTACCCACCCACTAGGAATGTCAGGTGATGGTTGGACAATTATCACACCACCACTCTAAAAACGATAATGTGGCAGCCTAACCAGGGTGCCAGGGAGAGGCCATTTCCTGGTGATCCACAGCTGTTAACATTAAAGCGTTAAATGAATCCAGATGCCCGGGAGAAGAAACTGCCTGGGCATGTGCACTAAGAGACAAAATGGCAAAATAAGACATTCCAGGCAGGCTCTTCCAGAAAAAGGGAAGAAAGTCTCAGATAGGCATGCATATGACTTCCTAAACACGCTGTGTGTGCTCAATTCCCAAGGGTAAGGGGGCAGGCACTAGGCAGGCAGCCCACCCTGAGGGAAGAATCATGGGAAAGAGGTAAGCCTATAAAATCCTGAGATGAAGTCGAATTCTTCTGAGGAGGCAAGGACGAAGTTGCTGCAGATGTGTACAGATCGCCGCTAATAATTCAGGGTAACTTGGATCTCTTCCACTGGTAACAGAATCATCTCAAGAAAATAAAAATAAATAGAATAAATTATAAAAACTAAAAATCTCTGCTCTTTGAAAACCATTGCTTAAAAATAAATGAAAATGAATAAATAAATTTCTCCCAGTCTGTGACTGGAAGAAAGTATGCTCAATACATACTTCTAACAAAGGACCTACATTCAGAATATATAGGGATCTGTTACAGCTCAATAATGGGAAGACAAATAAGCAGTAAAAACATGGCAATAGATTTGAACACATACTTCTTAAAAGAAGATATATATCAAGAGGCTGAGGCAGGAGAATCGCTTGAATGCAGGAGGCGGAGGTTGCAGTGAGCCGAGATGGTGCCACTGCACTCCAGCCTGGGACGTTTTCTCAAAAGAAAGAGAAGATATATAAATGACCAGTAAGCACATAAACAGATGGATTGCTCAACATCATTCGTCACCAGTGCAATTCAAATTAAAACCATAATAAGATACCACTATGTGACCTCTAGGCTGGTAAAATTAAAACAAAACAAAACACACATACACAGACACTACCACATGCTGGCAAGATTGTGGACTAATTGGAAATAATTCATACTTCACTGGTAGGATTATAAAATTGTACACCCACTTTGAAAAACAGTTTGGCAAGTTTTGTTTTTTGTTTTTGTTTTTAATGAAGTTACACACACATTTACCATATGACCTAGTAATTCCACTTCTAGGCATTTACCCTCCAAAAATTAAAACACATGTATATAAGGACTTGCATATGAATGTTGGGAGCAGCTTTATTCATGATAGCTCTAAACTAAAAACAACCCAAATGTTCACCAACAGGTGAAATAATAATAAATGTGATATGTCCATACAATAGAATACTTCTCAGCAACAAAAAGGAACAAAATGCTTATATACACAAAAACATGAGTAAATATAAAAAGCACCACTGAGTGGAAGAAGCCAGACACTAAAGATTGTATTAACTCATTCCTATGAAGTTCTAGAATAGGTAAGTCTATAGTGACAGAAAGTAAATCAATGGTTTCTTGGTGTTGGGGTGGGAGGATTGCAGTAAGGCACGGGAAACTTTTTGGTGATTACATAGGTCCGTACATTTTCTACACCTCATGGAAAAATGCACTAAAAAGAGGTACATTTTATTATGGATACAAATAATACCCTCAATAAAGTTTATTTAAACTGTAAAACATGTGGTCTTTGAATAATCCTGTCTAGGCACAAAAACCATCTGTAAAGACATTAAAATACATAAAAACATAAAAATATGTAAGGGAACAAAGATAAGTTGAAACATTTCAGCAGAGCTCTAACTTGGGCCACAAAAATTCTAAGCATGGCTAAGTGAAAGTGCATGCAAAAGTTGATAAGCCTTTTATAGCAATGGTAGCCTTCAAATAAGATACAGATATTAAGCATAGACAAGTTAATTGGGTAATCTACCAAACTTACCTTAAATGCTGAGACGTGGAGAACCACTGAGGGAAGCATACAAGTAAAAAGAGCTTGTTGTCCTCTTTACAAAGGAGATGGAGCCATCCACATTAATGCTTCAAGAGCTGCACATAACTAAGAAAGGTAGGGTAAGAATCCTCCTTATATGCTAGGATCAGGTAAAATACAGGGATGTCTGCTCTCATTACTTCCACTCAATGTTGTGCTACCAGTTCTCAACAGAGCAACTGGGCAAGAAAAATAAAGGGATCCTAGCGGGGCGCATTGGCTCCTGCCTGTAATCCTAGCACTTTGGGAGGCCGAGGTGGGTGGATCACTTGAAGCCAGGAGTTTGAGACTAGCCTGGCCAACATGGTGAAACCCCGTCTCTACTAGAAATACAAAAATTAGCCACGCTTGGTGGCTCATGCCTGTAGTCCCAGCTACTTGGGAGGCTAAGGCACAAGAATCGCTTGAACCAGGGAGGCGGGAGGTGGAGGTTGTAGTGAGCCAAGATTGCTTTACTGCACTCCAGCCTGGGCGTGTCTAAAAACAAGAAAATAAAATCCAATTAAAAAAAGAAATAAAAGGAATCCAGATTGGAAAAGTAGAAGCAAAACTGTCTCCGGTTGCAGATGACATGAGTGAAAGAAGCCAGACACTAAGGATTAAATGAATTCATTCATATGAAGTTCTAGAACAGGCAAGTCTATAGTGACAGAAAGTAAAATCAATGGTTTCTTGGTGTATATAGAAGATCTTAAGGAACTTGAAAACTATTATAACTAATAAACAAGTTCAGCAAGGATGCAGGATATAAACTAAATATATAAAATTAAAAAATAATGATTTTGGTATAAATTTAATAAAGGAAGTACAAGGCTTATACAGCAAAAACTATAAAACGTTGTTGAAAGAAATAAAGAGTTCCTGGGCATGGTGGCTCATCCCTGTAATCCTAGCTTTTTGGGAGGCTGAGGAGAGTGGATTGCTTGAACTCAGGAGTTCGAGACCAGCCTGAGCAACATGGTGAAACTCCGTCTCTACAAAAGCATACAAAAATTAGCCAAGGCCGGGCGCGGTGGCTCATGCCTATAATCCTAGCACTTTGGGAGGCCAAGGTGGGTGGATTGCCTGAGCTTAGGAGCTCGAGACCAGCCTGGGCAACATGGTGAAACCCTGTCTCTACTAAAATACAAAAAATTAGCCGGCGTGGTGGCGTGCGCCTGTAGTCCCAGCTACTCAGGAGGCTGAGGTAGGAGAATTGCTTGAACCTGGGAGGTGGAGGTTGCAGTGAGCCGAGATCGCACCACTGCACTCCAGCCTGGGTGACAGAGTGAGACTCTGAGACTCCGTCTCAAAAAAAAAAAAAAATGCTGAGCATGGTAGTGGGTGCCTGAAGTCCCAGCTACTCGGGAGGCGGAGGTTGCACTGAGCCAAGATTGCACCACTGCACTCCAGCCTGAGACCCTGTGAGAGTAAGACCTTGACTCAAAAAAAAAAAAAAAAAAAAAGGAAAAAGAAATTAAAGAGTTAAATAAATGGAAATACATCTCATGTTTATGGACTGGAAGACAATATTGTTAAGATGGCAGTACGCTCCAAGTTGACCTACAGATTCAACATAATTCTTATCAAAAATCTCAGGTGCTTTTTTTTTTTTTTTTTTTTGCTGAAGTTGACAAGCTGATTGTAAAATTTATATGGAAATGTAAGGGGCACAGAATAGCCAAAAACAATCTTGAAGAAGAACAAAGTTGAAGAACTTACACTTCTTGATTTCAACACTTACTACAAAGCTACAGTAATCAAAACAGTATGGTATTAATGCACAACTATTATGTATCCATAAAAATAAAAACAAACCAAACAAACAAAAAACGGCAGTATGGTACTAGCATAAGACAGACATAATAGAATTGAGAGTCCAGAAATAAACCCATAAATCTATAGTCAATTGACCTTAACAAAGGTACAAGATCATTCAGTGGGGAAAGCAGAGTCTTTTCAACAGATGATGCTAGGACAGCTGTACATAGACATGCAAGAGAATGAAATTGGGTCCTGTCTCACACCAGTAACAGAAATGAACTCAAAATGGATCAAATACATAAAATTAAAACTCTTTAAAAGGAAATACAGGTGTAAATTTTTATGACCTTGGATTAGGCAATGATTTCTTAGATATGAACCCAAAAGAACAACCACATAAAAAATAGATAAAATTAGACTTATTCAAAATTTTAAAAAAATTGTGTTTCAAAAGACACCATCAAGAAAATAAAAAGATTGATTCTACTGTAGAAAAGTAAAAAAAAAAAGGGCTGGGCAAGGTGGTTCACGCCTGTAATCCCAGCACTTTGGGAGGCTGAGACAGGCAGATCACGAGGTCATGAGTTCAAGACCAGCCTGGCCAACATAGTGAAACCCATCTCTACTAAAAATACCAAAATTAGCTGGGTATGGTGGTGTGTACCTGTAGTCCCAGCTACTCGGGAGCCTGAGGCAGGAGAATCGCTTGAACCCGGTAGGTGGCGGTTGTGGTGAACCAAGATTGTATGTACCACTGCACTCCAGCCTGGGCAACAGAGTGAGACTCGGTCTCAAAAAAAAAAAAGAAGAAGAAAGTGAAAAAACCCACAGTGTGGGAGAACATATTTATAAGTCATATCCGATAAGGGACTTGCATCTAGAATACATAGAGAACTCTTAGGATTTAAAAATAAAAAGATAACCCATCTTAAAAATAGGCAAAGGATTTGAATAGGCATTTATCCAAAGAAGATATACAAATGGACAATAAGCACATGAAAATAAGGTCAACATTAGGAAAGTGCAAATAAAAACTACAATGAGATCCTGTACATGTACCCTGGAACTTAAAAGTTGAAGGAAAGAAAAAAAAATACAATGAGATATTTTGCACCCACTAAGATGGCTATAATAAAAAATACAGACAATAACAAGTATTGGTAAGGATCTGGAGAAATTAGAGCTCTCATATATCGCTAGTGGGACTGAAGAATGGTGCAGCTCTGTGGAAGAGTTTGATAGTTCCTCAATAAGTTAAACACAGTTACCATATGATCTAACAATTCTGTTCTGTATATATCCAACAAAGTTGAACACACGTATACACAAACACTTGCATGTGAGTGTTCATAGGAGCATTATTCTTAACAGCCTTGATAGAAACAACCCAAATGTTTATTAACTAATGAATGGATAACAAAAGGTCATATATTCATATGATGGAATATTATTCAGCCATAAAGTGGAATAAAGTTCCGACATGTGCCACAACATGATGAACCACACAGAAAAGGCCACATTTGTATGAAATGTCCAGAATAGGCAAATCCAGAGAGTCAGTAAATACATTAGTGGTCCAGAAACCAGGGGACGTGAGAATGGGTAGTGACTAGTAATGGTATGGTAGCAGATTCTTTTTGAGGCCTTGAAAATATTCTAGAATTGGGCCAGGTGTGCCTGTAATCCCAGCACTTCGGGAGGCTGAGGCGGGCAGATCATGAGGTCAGGAGTTTGAGACCAGCTCAAACTGGTGAAACCCCATCTTTACTAAAAATACAAAAATACAAAAATTAGCCGGGCTAAAAATACAAAAATTATTAAAATACAAAAACACTAAAAATACAAAAATTAGCTGGGCGGGGTGGCATGCGCCTGTAATCCCAGTTACTTGGGAGGCTGGGCAGGAGAATTGCTTGAACCTGGGAGGCGGAGGTTGCAGTGAGCCGAGATGGCGCCACTGCATTCCAGCCTGGGCGACAGGGCGAGACTCAGTCTCAAAAAAAAAAAAAAAAAAAAAAAATCCTAGAATTGGATAATGGTGATAGTTGCATAACTTTGGGAATATGCTAAAAACTACTGAACTGTTAAAAATAAGGATAAGGATATCTATTCTGCCTTTACCAAATAATCTAATGTAAATAAATATGCTTTGCAAATTGTAATAAAAAAGAGAGAGAGAAAGAAGAGAGAAGAAAAAGGAAAAAGAAAGAGAAACCTTTCCCATAGAAGCCAGGTGAGACCAGTTCCTTGTAATCATACTTTGGAAACCTTATCACTCCTAAAGGAGTGAATACCAGAAGAATATCTTTGCCCAGTACCATTAACAACTGGTCTAAAGCCAAGAGACAGCCTGGCTGTGGTGGGAGGACAACTTGCTTATCTATGTCTACTAACCAGTAAGTGTATATTTCTAATCTGCTCCTTACCCATATGGGTGTTGGTGTTCTGAATCTTTCTGTAGCACTCTATGAACAATGCAATCATGCACGATTATTTTTATGAACAGATAAACTTTTTTTTATTTTATTTTTTTTGAGACAGAGCCTCGCTCTTTCGCCCAGGCAGGACTCCAGTGGCACTATCTCGGCTCACTGCAAGCTCTGCCTCCCAGGTTCACGCCATTCTCCTGCCTCAGCCTCCCTAGCAGCTGGGACTACAGGCGCCCGCCACCGCACCCAGCTAATTTTTTGTATTTTTAGTAGAGACGGGGTTTCACCATGTTAGCCAGGATGGTCTCGATTTCCTGACCTCGTGATCCGCCCGCCTCAGCCTCCCAAAGTGCTGGGATTACAGGCGTGAGCCACCGCGCCCGGCCATGAACAGATAAACTTTAAGGAAAAGAGACTGATCCCAAAAAAGACTTTTTACATGATTGGATCTTTTAGACATAAACAAATGTAAAAGTGCCATTAAAATGCATGGTTGTCAAGGATGTCTAACCTTAGAACCATTCAAAAATCACTTGACTGCAAAAGTCATTAAATGCTCCAAGTACATTCACACATTTTCTTTTTAAAAATTTATTATTATTATTATTTGAGACAGGGTTTTGCTGTGCCGCTCAGGCTGGAGTGCAGTGGTGCAATCTCGGCTCACTGCAACCTCTGCCTCCCGGGCTCAAGCAATCCTCTTACCTTAGCCTCTGGAGTAGCTGGGACCACAGGCACACATCACCACGCCCGGATAATTTTTGTATTTTTTGTAGAGATGGGATTTCACTATTTGCCCGGGCTGGTCTCAAACTCCTGGGCTTAAGTGATCCTCCTGCCTTGGCCTCTTAAAGTGCTGGGAATATAGGTGTGTGCCACCAAAACTGTGCCTGGCTGACTCAAAATTGTTCTTGATGTTGGCAACTTTGAGGGTACAGTCAAGGTGGCATATGCCAAGATGTAACATGTTATCACTGGATTTTTATGTTGTATTGGCCTTGAGCTTTTATCATTGTAAATTGGTGTGTTTATAAAGCATATGTTCTATCATAACCCTCCTCCTAAGGAAACAGGGTCAGTGCTTGAATAAGAACCTTTATCAGCAAAGGGAAATAGAAGAGACAACATGATTAAAAAATGTAAGTAACTTTTGCCAGATATGAGGTCCTCTTTGCTTTGCTAATAAATGATGCCTTTACTCCAATAAAGCGCTTGGAAAGCCTAATTCATAAAAAGATGCTATAAATTTATTGAGCTAACAGAAATGTTTCTGAGAGTTCACAATTGGTGGTTTGCAAAAACACTCTCCAGACCAAAAAATTAGGAAATATTTAATAGGAAATGTAAAGCTTTAATGGCAAAAAGGAAGAACTTTTGATCAATTGAAAGCATTCTGGCTAAAATGACTGTACGAAATCTGATATTATTTGAATTGTGTTTAAACCACCAATTTTGTTCTCCATCATGGCTTAACTTCTATAGTGATCAAACTTGACTGTAGTCAAATAGATAAGAAGCATGAATGCCCTAAAGATAAGGTATTTAAAGTAAGGAGAGGTCCGGTTCAATGGCTCACATCTATAAGTAATCCCAGCACTTTGGGAGGCTGAGGTGGGAGGATCATTTGAGCCTAGGAGGGGGAGCTTGCAGTGAGCTGCAATTGGGCCACTATGCTCCAACCTTGGCAACAGAGCAAGATGCTGTATAAACTAACAAACAAATAAATAAAGTAAGGAGAAAGGGAAAAAATCACTTTGGCAATTTTCAATCTTGATTTAGTTCTGGTTTGCTCGTCTTTTGATTTTTGGAAAAAAAAGTTCAAATGTAAGAGCTTTTATATTGATTCATTGTAAACTTCCAAGTCTGGTAACTTTTAAATAATAAAACCAGAAAATTGGCCGGGCACAGTGGCTTATGCCTGTAATCCCCACACTTTGGGAGGCTGAGGTAGGTGGATCGCCTGAGGTCAGGAGTTCGAGACCAGCCTGGCCAACATGGTGAAACCCCATCTCTACTAAAAATACAAAAATTAGCCGGGTGTGGTGGCGGGCTCCTGTAATCCCTGTAATCTCAGAAGGCTGAGACAGGAGAATCGCTTAAACCCGGGAGGTGGAGGTTGCAGTGAGCTGAGATCATGCCATTGTACTCCAGCCTGGAGAACAAGAGCAAAACTCCTTCTCAAAAATAAATAAATAAATAAAATCAGAAAATTAAATTTTTAAAGAATCTAGTTTTGTATGGAGTAGTTCCTGGTGGCTCACGGCTGGGCACTTGGGTCCCCTCCACATGGCCTTTCATCCTCCAGTAGGTTAGACTGAGCTTCTTTTCAGGGCAGTGTTTGAAGAGGGTGAGAATGGAAGCTACAAGCTTTCTTGGGGTCTAGATTTGTAAGTCCTACAATATTACTTCTGCTGTACCTACTGGTCAGAAAAAGTCACAAGGCCTATCCAGTTTCAAGGGATGGGGAAATAGACTACATCTCTTTATTCAAGAAGTATCACAGTTATATTGCAAAGGTGCTGACCTGTAAATATTAGATGAATCACTGGGACCATCTTTGTAAGCAATCTACTCTAGTCCTTATTTTCATGGCTCAGGAGACAGCTCTAGCCATAAAGCCCATGTTCTAAGCATCAGGATGGGGGAAGAGAAAAGGAGGGCATTCCCTCTATCTTTAGGAATATGTCCCAGTGGTTGCACATATTATATCCCTATCATTGATTAAAACTTAAGGGCCAGGTGCAGTGGCTCACACCTGTAATCCCAACACTTTGGGAGGCCAAGGCGGGCGGATCATGAGGTCAGGAGTTCAAGACCAGCCTGGCCAATACGGTGAAACCCCGTCTCTACTAAAAATACAAAAATTACCCGGGTGTGGTGGCATGCACCTGTAGTCCCAGCTACTCGGGAGGCTGAGGTCGAAGAGTCGCTTGAACCCGGGAGACGGAGTTTGCAGTGAGCCGAGACCACACCATTGCACTCCAGCCTGGGCGACAGAGTGAGACTCCATCTCAAACAAACAAACACTTAATTACATGGCCCCATCAAGCTACAAGAGGCTGGGAAATAGAATCTTTGTTCTAGATAGCCAAGTGCCCAGGTAAAAAGCATGAGTTCTGTGTACTGTAGAAAAAGAAGACTGGATTTTGGTGGGGCAAAAACCAATAGTATCTGCTAGACATAACACAGGAATATATTGTACTAATTCAACTCCAAAAAATATTTTCACCTAATCCACATTTCTTAATTTCAAATTCCACTACTACTGCCCTGAGTCAGACTGGAACTGCCTTTGCAAAAATTATGACATTGAGAGAAATCTAACATAACTGACTTAATCTTGCTTCTAACCTCAGAAGATAACTGCCCTTGCTCATTCCCGGGCATAGGCCAAGCTAACTATGGGAGGAATTTAGTTTATAGTTTAACCTTAAAGCAAGGATGATAATAGCTGCTTCCCAAAACTATTCCCCTCCTTGTTTGGGGACCAAAACCACCTTTGTAAAACTAATAGAGTCCACAAAATTAGAATTTTGGGAGGGGCCTGAATTCTGTAACACCTATGCATAGTTAAATGATAACTAGTCATGGTTTCCTAATGTGCTTACTGCTCAGGAGTCATGTAGCTGGTGTTCAAAAGATTTAAAACTTCCCTACTTGCTCCTATAGATAACGTCACTCTTGTAAAACCCAAGACTGGTGTTGGAGATATTTTTCAGACTTTGCATTCTGATGGAACAAATGATACCACCTGTCTGGTCACCCCCACCTAGGAATGAACTCAGTGCCTATGATTTCATTCCTGCCCCAGCCAAACAACATTTCCCATTTCCTAACCCTCTACCCACCAATCTATCCTTAAAAACCCTAGCCTCTGAGCCCTCAGGAAGGCGGATTTGGGAAACCTCTCCTGTCCTCCTGCTCAGCTGCCTTGCGATAATTAAATTATTTCTCTGCTATCTCAGTGTATTGGCTTTATCTGTGCAGTGGGCAAGAAGAACCTATTGGGCTTTAACAACATTACCTCATCTCTTACCTGGACCACAGCCATACTCTCGTAACTCATCTCCCTTCTACTATGTTTGATCCCCTATAAGCCTTTCTTTACACAACTATATGAAAATCTTCATATGTCACTCCTCTACTTGAAACCTTTCAATGTTTTTTTCATTGGCTCTGAATGAAACTAATACTTACCATGGCCACAAGACCATGTATGATCTGGTCTCCATCTATCCCATGAACTCATCTCATTCTGCTTTCCACCTGCACTCACTGTATCTCCAGGCACACCAGGCTTCCCTCAGGTCATCTCTCCAAGCACTTTCCCCCTTTGGGGGCTTTATAAGAGGTATGTGATCACACCCCAGCCTCCTTTCATGAGTTTGGAATCAACTAGGAAGAAAACACAAGGGTCAGACTGGACAGAGATAAAAATATCAGCTTTATTCTTAAAAGCACTGGGTTGGAGAACAAGTTTAGATGTGCAGCTATAATCAGACCTTCTTGGGAGCCAACATTTTCTTGTAGAAATACAAGGACTGAGGCATAGAGTTTCATCTCTATTTACTTCAGGCCTTTTTCTGTTTGTTTGTTTGTTTTTTGATTTCACAAACTACTACTTTGTATAATAGTAAAAAGGGTTGTTTTATGGTACCAGGCACGTTGTTAACACAATTTTTTTTTTAATTCTTTTTAAGACAGAGTCTCGCTCTGTCACCCAAGCTGGAGTGCAGTGGCATGATCACAGCTCACTGCAACCTCCACTTCCCAGGTTCAAGTGATCCTCCCACCTCAGCCTCCCAAGTAGCTGGGATTATAGGCGTGCACCACCACGCCTAGCTAATTTTTGTATTTTTGGTAGAGATGGGGTTTTGCCATGCTGGCCAGGCTGGTCTTGAACTCCTGACCTCAAGTGATCCACCTGCCTCAGCCTCCCAAAGTGCTGGGATTACAGGCATGAGCCACCGTGCCTCGCCTTGTTAACACAATTCTTAAACAATTGTGAAGACATCGAGATTTTTCTCTCCTTCAGTATCACCTTTGCAAATTATAGGATATTTATCACTTTTGTAATTTACAAAAAAATGTAGTGTTATTCACATTTAGTCATTTTTTCAAGACACACATTTTGAAATTGTCAGCTTCTCTGGAGAAATATGATTAACCAAAACATAATCTAGCACTGCCCCTCCCTCCCAAGAAAAATAAACAAACCAGCGGGTCAATTTAATCCTACATTGAGGGTGTAGTTTTGTGAAATAACACTTGTTGAACATTAGTATCTAAATTATTCATAGAACTCAAACAGATATATTTAGCTTTTAACCATTCCTCCTTCAAAACAAACCATGAGCTCTTAGTGGAAAATATGATTTGACCACAAAAAACTTAAATATGAAGCAAAAAATGAACTTCAAGGTGAATGAATTCAAAGGTAATTTGTCTTGTAAACACTCTGATTTTGGAACAAATCATGCCCTTTAGGAAAAACAAAAACAATGAAGCTACTCCTTTTGGTAAAGCTTCCCAGGCTGCTTGGGAAGCAAATACAAGAATACTACCTTAGAACAGAATCCTGTTGTACCGAGTGCTCTTCCCTACCTGCTCCTTGCACATTGCTATCCCCACTATGACCATGCGGGTCTCTAGGGCAAGTAGGAGTATTTCCTTTCGCAGGGAAGGAGACAGAGACACTCATGTGAAGTGATTGCCTGAAATTATATGCTACCTTAGCAGGAGATCCTAAATAAGATGGCCTAATCGTCATCCAGAAGTCTAAGGCCTTGGCCCGAGCCTGGCTGTGACCATTCATTCTGGACAGCCTCATCCTTACACGTGGGGGAAAGCCAATGGTATCAGTTAGAACTCTCTTTTCCAAGACCAGAAACCAAACTGACCTAGAAAGGGGATTTCAAAAAGGGGATTACTGTCTGGCTGCAGTGATGGCTTGATGAAGTAGGTCATGTTACCAAGACCTAGTCTTTCTTTTGTCTTTTTGTTCCACATTCTCTGATTTGTCCTGTTTTCAGCCAAGCTTCTTCATTGTGGTAGCAGTTTGGTTGCTGTAGTTCCAAACCTAACTTTCTATCACTTCAAATCCAGTGAAAAAAAGAGCAAAAATTTTTTTTGTTTTTTTTCCCAGAAGTCCCAGCCCAAGTTTTATTTGTGTCCCATTGACTCTAATTGAGTGGATCAGTCACTATGTTACTGGTGACATATGTCACTATGGCCACATGTTGTACCATGCCTTGGTCACTTGCTCCTCCACTTTGACTAGGCTGGAGGCAATTCTGCAGATTCAAAGATTCTGTAGCATCCTGCATAAAGAGGCTTCAGAGAAACCTGCAAAGGCAGGCTTTGGTTTTACTGTTTCTTTAAACTTTCCCATAGTTTGGGAGCAATATTTTGTGTAAGGAAATCAAGCTGTGTGAGAAAAGAAGGATGGATGCTGGGTGGAAAAACAACCCTCCACCTATATATACTTTAGCAGCCTGTTCATATTTGAAGTTCTCAATGGGAGAATCTTTGCCTCAGATTTGGTTTCTAGAGCCATGTCAGCAGCTCCAGCTGTGAGGCGATGAAGCTGGAAGAGTCTAGAGAGGCTGTGTCCACCTTAGAAGCACCACTCAATCTCAGCAAACAACCTTTATTTTCACTTAATAAGCCACTAGCTCAAGAGACCTACCAATCCCTGGCATGCGTGCTAGGTGGCTAATTTCATGATCAAGAACCAACATGCTTCCTTCATGATCTAGAGAAGACAGAAGGACGGTATTTCCAGTCTGCCAGCCATTAGTTAATTAAATTGCTTAATCACACCATTCCATGACAACTGGTAAATTAGCATCATCCCTCCATCCAAAGGGAATTAAAAACCACGAAGATACATTATTCTGGGACAGTAAGACAGTTAACAGGAAGGCAATATGATTTAGGAGCCAAAAATATAAACAATGCTTTTCACACTACAGGTTTTCAATGTATTCATAGTCTTAAACTTAATAATAATGAGATTATTATTTATTGGAAGAATTTAGTTGTATTAGTTGAGAGAGCTAAAGGAAAAGGAACACTCCTAGTAAGGGAAAGGTTTCGTCTATTCCCGAATTTTACAATCCTTGATTTTTAAGTCATCTAGTGTTCCAGAATTGTTTTCATTTTACATTTAGCTTAGTTGAAGCAGGAAGCATTGCATGAGTTTCCTTCAACCACTGACAAAGCAGAAACTTGCAAACAACCTGGTTCTCCTGAGGCCCAGACTTTAGAAGGCTCCACCATGCTACTTATGCTTTAAAACAAAAATTTCCCCCACTTTGTGTTTTATACAGATCTCAGTGCTAGAAGACAGGTTCACGTTTTTGTAGAGGATGTTGAGTTTCGTATGACCAGGGTTTATAGTTGCAGACAACTGAAGCTTACGTTGTATGATTTATTCTCACAGAATTTCTGGTAATGATGCAGAAGTAGGCTTGGAAACCAAGCAGAAGACAGGAAGGTATTTAGCAGCCTGGAAGATGCCTGATAAACCCAGTCTGATGAGGGCTCTCCTACCTTCACCACTCAACACTCTGCTGCTACCAGAAACTGGATGCCATTGGATAAGGGTTGTCAGACAAAATACAAGGTACCTAGTTATATTGGAATTTTAAATAAATGATATATTTCTGAACATAAATAGGTTCCACACAATATATCAGGCATACTCATACTAAAATTATACTAAAAATATTTGTTCTTAGGCTGGACATGGTGGCTCACGCCTGTAATCCTAGTACTTTGGGAGGCCCAGGTGGGTGGATTTCTTGGCACTTTGGGAGGCCAAGGTGGGTGAATTGCTTGAGCTTGGGAGTTTGACAACAGCCTAGCCAACATGGTGAAACCCTGTCTCTATAGCTGGGCGTGGTGGTGGGTCCCTATAATCTCAGCTACTTGGGAGGCTGAGGCAGGAGAATCGCTTGAACCTGGGAGGTGGAGATTGCAGTGAGCTGGTATGGTACTACTGCATTCCAGCCTGGGGGACAGAGCGAGACTCCATCTCAAAAAAAAAAAAAAAAAGAAAAAGTTGTTTATCTGAAATTCAGATTTAACTGGACCTCTTGTATTTTCATGTTAAATCTGGTAACCCCGTACTGGATGTCCCATTGCTACTGCCACGGCTGTCCGTGTAAACTAGCCACCACCTGCCACTCAAATGGATTTTCCAGGTGGTTCCTGGCTCTTTGCATCATGGGTTCTGAAAAGAACCTGAGTCAGGTATGTGTGATCGGTGTAGCCTCTGCTACAAGCCCCTGATTCGAGGGAGCAGAAAGCTCATGGTGTCTTCAGCATTGTTGGTGGGAAGTGGCCCCTGTCTTCTACTGAATCTTAAATTTCTCAAACATGGGGGTGGGCAGCAGTGAGGTCCAGATATTGGAGCACTGGTGGGGAAGACAAATGCCTATCCTATTTTCTCTTTAACATATATCCCTCCTCTTTTTTACTGTCTAGTGGCCTGTGAGTGGGGGCCAGGCATGATTTGTGTGTGTGTGTGTGTGTGTGTGGGTGTGTGTGTGTGTTTGTCAGTGACTGGTTCAAGAACCCACATCTAAGCCAGTTAGCAAGGCCGGGAGCAGTGGCTCATGCCTGTAATCCCAGCACTTTGGGAGGCCAAGAACGGCAGATCGCCTGAAGTCAGGGGTTCGAGACCAGCCTGGGCAACATGGTGAAACCCCGTCTCTACTAAACATACAAAAATTAGCCAGGTGTGGTGGTGGTAATAAACGCCTGTAGTCCCAGCTACTTGGGAGGGTGAGGCAGGAGAATCACTTGAACCTGGGAGGCAGAGGTTGCAATGAGCCCGGATTGCGCCACTGCACTCCAGCCTAGGCAACAGAGCGAGACTCTGTCTCAAAAGTAAAAGAAAAGGAAAAGAAAAAATAAAATAAAATTTCATCAAGCCAGTTAGCAGATGACACTGCCGTGGCCACTGGGTTATTTTAAGACTGAGCACATGACCCAATCTGGGCCAATGAGATGAGAGGAAGGTTTGCTGGAGGATTCCAGGGAAAGTTACCTTATTCCTGATACCCGAATAAAGAAACGATCTTGACCAGGTGTGGTGGCTCACGCCTGTAATTTCAAAACTTTGGGAAGCCGAGGCGGGCAGATGGCTTGAGCCCAGGACTTAAGAGACCAGCCTGGACAACAAGGTGAGACCCCCATCTCTATTTATAATAGTAATAAGAAAAGAAATGATCTTATCTTCATCCAGATATTTTTGTGTGTAGTGGCGAGGTCTAGAAATTTTGTAGCCATCCTGCTTCCAGCCAGAGATGAACACAGAGAGAAAACAAGGGCAGAAAGCATCCTGGTAGTTGCTCAGGTGTGGAGCTGGGACTACTGGATTAAGTTCCCTGAAGGCTGTTCTCCATCTGGATATCCAGTTATGTGCACAGGTTCATTTTTATTTGGCTTAAGCAACTTCAAGTTGTGTGTTCTGGTACTTACAGCCAAAACCAACCCAACTAAAAAGAAGATTCATGAATATGTGAAGTGCTTTTGTAACCTTATCATTTGCTGAAATCTGAAAGTATAGCATAATGTTGTTTTGGTTGAACTAGAAATTATTGATATTATGAAACTGTATTTCAAAGATTAGTATTTAAATTAATGCAACACAAACAACTGGAGATCTGCTTCATTAGGCCAGAGAAAGCAATTTATGATGATTGCCAGATTCTTGCTCTTTTTGCATGAAGGCTTGGAGGATGAAGAGCATGAGACAGCCTCTCAGGGAGTACCCTCTGAGGAGAGAAACATATTTAAATTTTTGGAAAGGCCTACAGTGCAAACATAAACAGGATTTTAGAGAACACTGCCCTCCCTCCGTTTTTCTTCATATGGTGGACAGCTGCTACTTTGGCCTGCCTAGCAACTTTCCCCACTTCTTTGAGAATAGCATTCTGCTTTTCCTTTGTATAACTCTCTCCTTCATGCCCTGCAATCCTGTTGGGACCAGCCACCCAGGTCACACATCTGCTCTCAACCATTAGCCCCGAAGGTGGGCGTGTGATTTCTCACAGATTTTAGATCTCCAAGGGAGTGATGCAAGAGGGAAAATCTTCTTGGGATTATTCCCAAACGAACTCGCCATGGATCCCTGTTCTTGAAATCCCCAGAAATGGAAATACCTGATTCCTGTTCTTTCTGTGTAGCTTGATTCTAGCCAGCCCCTCTAATGGCTTTGCTTAAGGTAGCCAGTGTGAGTTTCTGTCGTATGCCACCAAAGACCTTAGACCATACTCCACCAGAACAGTCTGTGAAAAAAAATCAAGCCTTCATGTAGGAGCTACATTTATGTTTTCACTAGACGTGCAAATACAAGTCTGATATAAACCTGTTTATAGTAACTTCTATCACATGCCTAAACTATCATATAATCAATTGTTAAGAAAAGCTTTTTGGGAACCGAAGTGTATTTTATTTATTTATTCATTTACCAGTTATGTGACACTTAGTGTGTTGAAGGCATTGCTTATTTGTTTAATCCTCATTACAATCTAGTAATGTAAGTACTATATTTATTCCTATTTTACAGATTCTGAAACTAAAGCACAGAAAGGTTAAGTAATGTGCTCAGTGTCACACAGCTAGTAAATTATGGAGCTGCGATCCAAGCTGTGAGAGGCTGACTTCAGTCTGTGTTTTTTATCCATTGTGTAAAACTGCATCATTAGAAGACTGAAACTTAAAATATAAAATCAACTTCTAATAAATAGGATTAGATATATGGAAAAGCAGCTTAACAATAAAATATCTTCCAGGCCAGAAGCCAGAAAGAGAAACAGAGGTGTCTGAAGCCCTTGGATTGCAGCTTTCAATTTCTGAGCCAAATAAAACTGCTTAGGATTTCCAGGTGGGCGGTGGGGGTGGGGGGTGGGAATCCTCATCTAATGAATGAGCAAGCACGAACTAAGTCCAAACACCTGCTACTTTTTTTTGTTGTTGTTGTTCACTGTTGCCAGGTGATCCATGATGAGCCTTGGATCAATAAGTAATTATAATTGACATAGTATATAATTAATTATGTAATTTCAACTTACTAAGTTTATTTCCACTAAGATTGTCCCATAAAACTGGGATATTTTAAAGGCTTCCATGGAAAAGGAGAGACTAAAGATCAAAGACTTTTTTACATTTGACTCAGCTATGAATCATATCCTCTACAGTGTGAATTATCTCAGCCCACCATTATTAACTCTAGCAAATATAATGAAATTATTCTATCATTCATTCAACTTTATGCAGTTGGTGCCAAGTGCCAGCCACACTTCTGGGCACTGAGGATATGACAGTGAATAAGCAGGTGAAAATTCCTTCCTTGATGGCACCGATATTCTAGTGGGCAGTTGTAATCCCACCACTGCACAACTGAACAAGCCTGAATGTCTCCAGTCTCCAAATTGTTTCCATTACTACACAGAATGAAAGAATAGATTCATCTAGCCAGGCGTGGTGGCTCATGCTTGTAATCTCAGCACTTTGGGAGGCCGAGGTGGGTGGATCACCTAAGGTCAGGAGTTTGAGACCAGCTTGGCCAACATGGTGAAACCTCTTCTCCACTAAAAACACAAGAATTAGCTGGTTGCGGTGGCACATACCTGTAGTCCCAGCTACTCGGGAGGCTGAGGCAGGAGAATTGCTTGAACCCCGGAGGCAGAGGTTGCAGTGAGTTGAGATGGCACCACTGCACTCCAGCCTGGGTGACAGAGAGAGACTTTGTCTGAAAAAAGAAACTAAAAAAAAAAAGAGAATAGATTTCTCCGATAGCTGTGCTGAGTGTTTAGGGGAGACATCAGTTGGCTTGATCCTTCTAGAGGTGCCAAGAGAGAGGACACTTGGTGGAAGACTGCCTGGCAGAGGCAGTAATATCTGCTTGGAGATAATGATGATTTGTTATTGTATGTTTAAGGTTTCACAGGAACAGATTGTGCCCAAAGGAACTCTCCATGGATCCCAAATTTTGAATATATAAAATTTATATACTTTAATGTACTTAATTCTCACAACAACCTAAGATCTACCGTAGTTCATAAATTTACTATTTTCATATCTTAACTTTTCTGAAATTGAGATGCATCTTACAAGCCATGGTCTCTTATTATTACTGTCAGTAGAGTGGAAGTGCCGATGGAGATACTGGGGGTGTTGCACTTGGCCAGAGCTGTTCATATTTTCAGCAGTTCAGGTGAATTATGAACATTGCTGATACGGCATGTGTTGGGTTACTTGTTGTTTATATGTTCCTGGTTCTTGTCTGAAACCTTCTGTTGACACCTGCTGTTCAGATCATCTTGCAGAATGGGTGCCAACAGCATGGAAGAAAGTCTCCAAGATGGAGCTGGGAGTTAGATGAGGCATGCACAGTGGAGCATTTCTCTAGGAAATGCGGCTTCACCAGTCCTATTGCTGGAACAGATGGTAGTTTTGTATGGAAAAAGTCTGAGTAAGCATTGGATTCTAATGTAACAGGATTGTTTTTCATTGTAGTACATGGTGTGTATTGTAATCAAAGGCATCCTAGATTCAATGAAATACAGAACTATTACCTCATTTTACAGAGGAGGAAGCTGAGCCACAATAATGTGAATTAACTTGCCCCAAACTTCACAGTTTGAGATGGCAGATCCAGGACCTAATCCTGAACTGCATGGTTTCAGAGTTCACGTACTCAGTTAACTATTGTACTATGCTGCCTGTCAGTATAAATGCAGCTGGCTGAGGGAGGTTACCACAGCCTGATTTACTTACTTAGTGAATCAGTATTCATTGCGTGCCCACCATGTGCCCGATATTGGCATATATTTGGGGACAGGCACAGTGGCGTGAAAGAAATTAAAGCCTTGTGGAGTACATAGCTTAATAAAAAGGAATAGGTCTTAATCAAATAACAACAGGAGAGCCAGGCACGGTGACTCACACCTGTAATCCTAGCACTTTGGAATGCTGAGGTGGGCAGATTGCCTGAGCTCAGGCGTTCTAGACCACCATGGGCAACATGGTGAAACCCCATCTGTACTAAAATACAAAAAAATTAGCTGGGCGTGGTGGTGCGCACCTGTAATCCCAGCTACTCGGGAGGCTGAGGCACAAGAATAGCTTGAACCCGGGAGGTGGAGGTTGCAGTGAGCCAAGATCACAGCACTGCACTCAAGCCTGGGTGACAGAATGAGACTCTGTCTCAGAAAAAAAACAAAACAAACAAACAAAAAACCCAGGAGTAAATGTCAAGTTGCAAATGTGCAGTAAGTGGCAGGAGAGCTACATCATGCTGTTAAAATGTAAAAGCGAGGGGCCCTTTTATAACCTGAGGAATCATGGAAGGCTTCCTGGAGGGAGAGTCCTTTGGGCTAAAGGTAAATAGGCAAATAGGGTACAGGGAGAAGCATAGCAGAAGGAGGAAACAGCATGTAAAAAAGACCCTGTGGTAGGAAAGAACTTATTGCCTTTCTTTTATTTATTCAATTTAAAAAAATAGAGACAGGGTCTCACTATGTTGGCCAGGTTGGTCTTGAATTCCTGGCCTCAAGCAATCCTCCCACCTCTGCCTCCCAAAGTGCTAGGATTACAGGCATGAGCCACCATGCCCAACCAAACTTATCAACTTTCCATATTGGAAGGAAGCCAGCGTGGCATGTCTCTGTGTGTGCATGTGCATGCGGGTGTGTGTGTGTGTGTGTGTGTGTGTGTGTGTGTGTGTGTGTGTGTAGGTGGGGGTCAGAGGGTTATGAGATGAAGGTAGAGAAGTAGATGGAGATGAGATCACATATGGCCCTGTAGCCATGTTAAAGATTGTAGTCTCCATCCTGAAAGGAATGGGGGCCTTTTGTACCCCAAAATGAGTCATTGACTATGGATGCCTTTGGAAGCGTCATAACCTTTTAGACAAAGCACTCCCATCAGACAAGGGTCATTCTTGGGAGAAGTGGGGCAGCTAAGAGCCATTAGCAGCCAATAGCCACAGTAAGCAGTGGTTGAGACTTTCTACTTGGTACTGGGGATTTAGGGAACATTTCAGCATCCACTATGAGAATTGTGCTCAGCTTCATGGTTCATAGTGTCCACGAAGTAAAAACCAGCTACTCTGAAGAAGAAGAATTCCTCTTGCTGAAACCAGGATAAATTTGTTCTGATGTGGTGTGATTTGCAATGTTCTCAGTAATATCCCTAGAGTAGACTCAGGGCTGTTTCTTCCAGTTCTCCTGAGAACAGGGCAATCAGATGCTGTGAGAAGCCAGAGTTGCCACAGGTACAGAGCTTTTTTGATCTGTATGTGGCAGATTTGGCTCCCAATGGAATCCACTGACTTCTCACTTCCAGGGGGTAGCTCAGAGGTGAAACTATAAAGTCGGTGGAGAGTATCTTCTCTGTCCCTGCCTCACTACCACCCTCTCAGCATCCTTTTCTGTCCCCACTTCACTACTACCTTTCTTCCATTTGATCTCCAACTTTAAATTGTTTTCCAGATATTTCTTTCTTTCTTTTTTTCTAAAGGAACTTAACTTTAAAAAGTGTTAGAGATTTATGGTACACGTAGGATGTTTGCATTTTAAAGACCACTGGGAACCAACAGTGTTTATCATAGGGAAATGAGTAACTATTCATATAATTTAAGGCATGTGGACCCCTTTAAATTATGTAAGATGACTAAGCTCCTCATACAAACTACATACACAGGGTGATCGAATAAGCAAACAGTAGAGAAAAGTTGGGAAGCTCTTATTCTGCACTCTCACTTTGCATATAGAACAATCCAGGCCATTACTCTTAGCTAATCTTCTTTTCCTCTCCCTTCCTGTGTCTTAGTTTTCTCTTCACCAAATAGAGAGAGTGGCAGGGTAGATGGCATTGCTAGGCCCAATCAAAGACAGAGACAAGGATGGAATAATTCTGATACATTCATTTTCCCCATGGCAGTGATAACCAGCACAACAGCAATGGCACAACCAACAATTACTGAATGTCTTCCAGCTGTCAAGTTCCTTTCAGTTTCCAAGTCTTGTGAAAAGGAAGATGTCAGTGGATTTTCTGGCTAATGAGAGCCAAACCTCAACCTTTGGATCCTTCTTAGTTTCATCAGCTTGAGTACACATAGAAGCTGACCTAGAATGGGTGCTAAAATGGCTAGAAAAAAATAGACCACTGTAGTCTTTCCTAGACTTACACTTAGCACTGGGGAGAAGCTGGCTCAGTTAAAAATTTACCTTACAGACAAAGTAAACTGTCCAAAGCCACAGAGTTCCAAGAAGAGGCTTTGGGGCAGGGGTGACATTGGCAGGTGCCAATGAGGACTTTGCTAGGGTTAAGTTATTTTATTATGGAAAAACAAATGAAATGATAGCTGCAGTTAAATTAAGCTAGGAACGAATAAGGACTAAAACTGGAGACTAGCTTCTCCATGGTGAGTGTTCGTTTGTCCAGAGTAGACTGTCAATCACTTTGAACTCTTTTCTTGAATGGCTGGGCAACCACCATCTATTTTGAGATGTGTTAGCAATAGTTGGTGCCTGTGGTTAGGGCGTGTATCCAATAGAATGTCTTGGTGGGAAATGTGGGAAGAGGAGTTTTTATGCCAAAATCGTCCTTCTCTATTTTAAGAAATGCCTACTTCTTTATTTCTTTCATGTCTCTTATCTGCCCAAACTCAGTCTATCAGTGATTTAGGGAAGACAATTTGCAGTCCACTCGTCACCTACAAAGGTTAATTTTTGTTCATACCTTACTCTACGGTGGTTAAATATTGTCAGCTTTATGAAAGGCACTAAAACACTGAGAATTTTTTGTTTGTTTGTTTTTGAGACGGAGTTTTGCTTTGTTGTCTAGGCTGGAGTGCAGTGGCACCATCTCGGCTCATTGCAACCTTTGCCTCCTGGGTTTGAGCAATTCTCCTTCCTCAGCATTCCAAGTAGCTGGGATTACAGGCGCGTGCCACCATGCCTGGCTAATTTTTGTATTTTTAGAAGAGACAAGGTTTCACCATGTTGGTCAGGCTGATCTCGAACTCCTGACCTCAAGTGGTCCGGTGGCTCACGCCTATAATCCCAGCACTTTGGGAGGCTGAGGCAGGCGGAACGCTGAGAATTTTCTAAACTTTGGTCTTTTTGGATGTATACAGGATAACTACTCTTCGTTGTGTTTTACGCTAGAGGTTTCTGGGGAATATAAAAGAAGTAAAGGGCTGGGCACAGTGGCTCATGCCTGTAATCCCAGCACTTTGGGAGGCCAAGGCAGGAGGAGCAGTTGGGCCCAGGAATTCAAGACCAGCCTGGTCAACATGGTCAGACCCCATCTTTAGAAAAGATAAAAAAATTAGCCAGGCATGGTGGCATGTCCCAGCCACCCAGGAGGCTGAGGTGAAATGATTGTTTGAACCCAGGAAGTGGAGGCTGCAGTGAGCTATGATCACACCGAGGCACTCCAACCTGGGAAACAGAGGGAGATCCTTTCTCAAAAAACAAAAGGAAGTAAAAAACAAATAAAGCAGTTAATATGTTAAAGGAGATTGTAAATCTAGCTGGAAAAGTAGAAATGAAAATACAATCATCCTCATCACCATCATCATTACCACTCTTGAACACCTGCTATGGGCAGGGACCCTACAAAACACTTCATGCACCTTACCTCATTTAATACTCAAAGTGACCTCTTGGAGGTAGCCATTATAACCTGGTTTACAGGTAAGAAAGCTGAGCCCCAGAGAGGTCTTTAGCTTGGCAGTAGCTGAGTCATAACTGCAAACCTAGGTCTGTCCAACTTCAGAGCCTGTGATTGACTCTTCTGTTACTGCACTCTGCCCTCACAGGAAAACTTTAAACCCAAACACAGTGATTAATTATCAGCCTGATTAATAGAGACAGAACAAGTCTCAACATGGAGTAGATTCGCTCTTGGCT
The DNA here is from genome assembly GCF_000001405.40 of Homo sapiens. Lineage (NCBI taxonomy): Eukaryota > Metazoa > Chordata > Mammalia > Primates > Hominidae > Homo > Homo sapiens. Next base: position 110,284,019 of record NC_000009.12, read on the forward strand.
GCTGTTGCTATTTATTCTGCCTGGCTTTGGACTGAGTGTAAGTTCTCACCTTCATAATGCAATCTGTGTGGGAGCAGATTGCAGACTCATAAATTATAGGGAAACCATGCAGTATGTGAGTTGTTATTCTATGTGTTAAAGACAAGATAGAGAATAATACAGATGCCTTTGCTCCTTCCTTCAGGACCAGTCTATAGATTATGAGTGTATTATATTTGAACACATGATCTTTCCCCCTTCCAAACCTGCATTTCTAGGTAGAAATAGAACTGTACTCATGATCTTAGTTGAAATGCTATGTTATCTCGTAGGTGAGTTCGGTGCAGTCATTCATGCAATGATTCATAACCAAACCTTCACTAAGTCCCTGGTAATGTCCTAGGTACCGCACACACAAAGCTGGAACGCCACAGTCTTTGTCTTTAGGAAGCTGAATCTCACTGAAGAAAGGCATAGCACTGCCAGATTTAGCAAGTAAAAAAATACAGGACACTCAGGTAATTATTACACAAGACGTAGTAAAAAATTATCTCTTGTTTAACTGAAATTCAAATGTAACTAGGCACCATGTATTTTATCTGGCAACTCTGGGCAGTCATAAAAATCCACCACACCTGACAAAAAGATGGCTGCTGTCAAGGGTGTGTACATGTCTCTGTAGCTACTGAAGGGAAGGAACACTTTTCCCTGCCTGGAAGTGCCAGCTTAGGCTTCATAGCACTGCGTGGGCTGGCTAGTAGGAATTATCAACTTGCTGGGTGATCTTGAAGGATGATTAACAGGTATGTTTATAGCAGCACTATTCACAATAGCAAAGACTTGGAACCAACCTAAATGTCCAACAACGATAGACTGGATTAAGAAAATGTGGCACATATACACCATGGAATACTATGCAGCCATAAAAAATGATGAGTTCATGTCCTTTGTAGGGACATGGATGAAACTGGAAACCATCATTCTCAGCAAACTATTGCAAAGACAAAAAACCAAACACTGCATGTTCTCACTCATAGGTGGGAATTGAACAATGAGAACACATGGACACAGGAAGGGGAACATCACACACCAGGGACTGTTGTGGGGTGGGGGGAGGTGGGAGGGATAGCATTAGGAGATATACCTAATGTTAAATGACGAGTTACTGGGTGCAGCACACCAACATGGCACACGTATACATATGTAACAAACCTGCACGTTGTGCACATGTACCCTAAAACTTTAAGTATAATAATAATAAAATTAAAAAAACAAAAGTAAACTGTAAAAAAAAAAAAAGATCTGACAGGCAGAGATGGGGGAAGAAAGTTTCAGACACAGGGAAGACCGTAGAGTTTGGAAATAATGCCTGGGGTGTGTGGGCAATGGGAGGAGGGAAAAAATGAATGTGAGTGCCAGGTCATGAAGGGATTTGGCAGGAAGGTGAACCATTCAAAATTTCTTTCTGCCATCAATAGGAAACCATCCAAACAACACCTTTTCTTTTCTTTTTTCTCTTCTCTTTTCTCTTCTCTTCTCTTCTCTTTTCTTTTTTCTTTTCTTTTCTTTCTTTCAATTTTGCTCTTGCTGCCCAGGCTGGAGTGCAATGGCACAATCTCAGCTCACTGCAACCTCCGCCTCCCAGGTTCAAGCAATTCTCCTGCCTCAGCCTCCCAAGGAGCTGGGATTACAGGCATTTGCCACCACGCCCAGCTAATTTTTGTATTTTTAGCAGAGACGGGGTTTCACTATGTTGGCCAGGCTGGTCTTGAACTCCTGACATTAGGTGATCCGCCTGCCTCGGCCTCCCAAAGTGCTGAGATTACAGGCATGAGCCACTGCGCTTGGCCTCTTATTTTTATTTTTATTTTATTTCTTCAAACTTCAGCTTAGCAGAGTTCACAAAATGTGGGCCATGGACTGTTGTTACTGTTGGAGGTAATTTCAGGTAAATTCTGGTGATTTAGGGTAGTCTGGGGAATGCAGAATTAAATAACCTTGATTTACCCAGGGAGAAGATTAATTTATTAAAAAAAATTAAAAGTCTTAATTTTATTTCTATGTGTACACTTTTTAAAAATTAAGACTTTAATTTTTAGAAAAGTCTTAGGTTTGCAGAAAAATTGAGGAGAAAGTAAAGAGAGTTCTCATATAGACCCCTCTTGAATCCTTTTCATTCTCTTCCAAGGCCGGACTTGGTGGCGCGTGCCTGTAATGCCAGCTACATGGGTAGCTGAGGCACTAGAATCGCTGGGACCCCAGAGGCAGAAGAAAGTTCAGTGAGCTGAGATCATGCCACTGCACTCCAGCCGGGGTGACAGAGCAAGACTGTCTCCAAAAAAAAAAAAAAAAAAAAAAGCCAGGCACAGTGGTTCGTGCCTGTAATCCTAGCAGTTCGGGAGGCTGAGGCGGGAGGATCACCTGAAGTCAGGAGTTCGAGACCACCCTGGCCAACATGGTGAACCTGTCTCTGCTAAAAATACAAAAAATTATCTGGGCGTGGTGGTGCGTACCTGTAATCCCAAGCTACTCAGGAGGCTGAGGCAGGAGAATTGCTTGAGCCAGGGAGGCTGAGGTTGCAGTGAGCGGAGATCATGCCACCACACTCCAGCCTGGGTGACAGAGTGAGACTCCGTCTCAAAAAAAAAAAAAAAGAAAAAAATCAATCATTTTTCAATACTGATTGATTACTCAAGAAGAAAGTCTTAGTTGGTGCTGTTGTATCTTTAACATCTCTCTGATAATTGCTCATCCTGCTGAAGAGGGTGGGGGAGGGAAAGAAAGAGACAGGGAAGAAGAGAGGGAAGAAAAGAGAGAGAATGAACACTCACGTTTTGAGTCTTTGACAAGCCACATATCAAGTTAGAATTGAAAAAAAAGTCATTTTGTTTTCAGTGCACTCATGTTTGAAGTTTTCTTCCACTTCTGAGAGCAACACTCATTTTCTCTTTAAGGCGTGGTGATAAAAGCTTTCATTGTAAAATCTATTCATATACAAAAAGTGAATAGGTGAAGTAAATGATGATAAAGGTGACTTGCTGATGACTAAAGCTTGAAAAGTTAAGGGCTAAGGAATTCTGGCAGAGGTTGCATTCTTACCTCATGGTAAATTGCCATCTGATCTTTCCAGGGTTGATGGAATTTTCTGGAGAAAAGCCCCACCTTCTTTAGTAAGAAGGAATAAGGATCGCCCCAGGGGAGCAGTGGCTTTATAATACTGTACCGTATATTGCTTAAATGCAGCCTTCTTTCCTTGGCTGCTCTTCTCTGCCCTCTCATCCCCATCCAGTCTTTTCTTTTTTAAAAGTTTTTATTATTATTATTATTATTATTATTATTATTATTATTTTGAGACAGGATTTCACAACTGTCACCCAGGCTGGAGTGCAGTGGCACAATCACGGCTCACTGCAACCTCTACCTCCTGGCTCAAGCGATCCTTCCGCCTCAGCCTCCCAAGTAGTTGGAATTACAGGCACATGCCACGACACCCAGCTCATCTTTGTATTTTTTGTAGAGATGAGGTCTCACTATGTTGCCGAAACTGGTCTTGAACTCCTGGGCTCAAGTGATCCATCCACCTTGGCCTCCCACAGTACTGGGATGACAGGCATGAGCCACCGTGCCTGGCCAGTCTCTTCTGTAAAGCCCCAATGAGGAATAATAAAATTAATGCTTCCTTTTAAGAGGACGCCTAATGTGAACAACAACAATGGCAAGAAGACAGGCTCAGGATTTTTTTTTTTTAAGAGTGAGCACACATAGTATATTAAAAAGCTATCAGTGGCACACACAGATTTTCGGGAACACTCCTGGGAGAGGGGAATATGCTAGCCAAGGCAATTTCTCTGAAATCCATTTCCTGTATCCTAGGGCACATGGGCCCAAGGGTGACACCAATAAAAGGATCGACTGAGGCAGTAAATTTTCTTTGCTTTGAGGGAATCTTTGTCATATTAGTGTACCATGCTTTTAATTTTCTCTAGCATACCTGGGTTCACATCTACACTCAACCATTTGCTGGTTGTGTGACCTTGGACAAGCTACCTCAACCTTTAAACTTCGTGTCTGTACAATAAGAAAGGTATTACTGATCTCTGGAGTTCAAGACCAGCCTGGACAACATGGCAAAGCCCCATCTCTACTAAAAAGATAAAAATATTACCCAGACATGGCGTTGCATGCCTGTAGTCCCAGCTACTCGGGAGGCTGAGGTGGGAGGATTGCTTCAGCCAGGGCCTGGTCAACATGCTGAAACCCCATCTCTACTAAAAATACAAAAAATTAACTAGATGTGGTGGCTAATACAGGTACATGCCTGTAGTCCCAGCCACCCAGGAGGCTGAGGTGGGAGGATTGCTTCAGCACCAGAGGCAAAGGTTGCAGCGAGCACCACTGTACTCCAGCCTGGGCAACGGAGTGAGACTCTGTCTCAAAAAAGCCCCCCCCAAAAACCAAAAAAGTATTACTGATCTTACAGCGTTGTGCAAAGAGTAAATGAAATTGTGTGTGTGTGTGTGTGTGTGTGTGCGCATCCCTTTTGGGGAAGGAAAAGTTACTAAGTAAATGGTGGATAACTGGAATTGCATCTGCTGCAAAGGTAACTTGTGGTGACTTCAACTATACGAAGAGAGAGAAAATAATATAAACACCTCCTACTCCCAGCCACACACACATACTGGGAAATTAGTTTGTTTGCCCAGGTGGGTACCATCTCACTGCACAGAACGGATTCTAGTATTTTCAATTAATATTTGTGGAACAATACGGCCCTAGACACAAGCCAACTACTCCATCTGGCCCTCCATCAAGGAAATGATGATGGGTTTCAGTGCAGAAGAGCAAAAATGACCTTACTGGGACAAAGGACTGACTGTACTTTATGGAGGATCTTGACTGATGTTACTTTTTTCTTACCCTCTATCTTTAGATCCTAGCCTTGTGTAAGATGCAACTCTATTAAAGAAAACTTACTTACCCCTGTAAGAGTTTTTGTAGTTGTTCTTCTGGCTATTTATTTGGGATTCTTGAGCCTCATTGTTTATCAAAGGGTTGCAACTTGTTTTTGTCTTTACTCTTTTGTTTTAATGCCTCATTGATATTTTTAATAAGTCCTTTGGTGTACTTCACCAGGGTTGCTCAAAAGCGAGTGTGTATCAGAATCATCTCCATTTTCCTTGCATGTGTCCTCTGCCTCCACCTCTAACAGCTTCTGATTAGGGGCATCTGGAGTGGGGTCTGAAGTGTGCATTTCTAACATATTCCCAAGTGATGCTAACACTCCCAGTCCCAGACCTTCACTTTGAGAATCCCTGAACTAGGTCATCCCAATGAAGATGAGGCCCCTACCACAATGACTTTCAAACTTGACTACCAGAACCCACATTATTATAGTAGATGCACTCTGATTTTTTTGTTTGTTTTTTTTTTAGACAAGGTATCACTCTGTCACCCAGGCTGGAGTGCAGTGACACAACCTCTGCTCACTTCAACCTCTGCCTCCTAGGCTGAAGCAATTCTTTCACCTCAGCTTCCTGAGTATCTGGAACTACAGGCTTGCGCCACCATGCCTGGCTAATTTTTTTTTTTTTTTTTTTGTATTTTTAGTAGAGACAGGGTTTTGCCATGTTTCTCAGGCTGGTCTTGACCTCGGCTCAAATGATCCGCCTGCCTCAGCCTCCCAAAGTGCTGGGATTACAGGTGTGAGCCACCGCACATGGCCTCAGATTTTGTTTGTTTGTTTGTTTGTTTGAGTTTAAGAAAATGCTGACCCACTGATTGCATTTGATCAGCCATTACTGGGTCATGTTTCAGCTGGAAACACTGTTAGTGTTTGATAAACAAAAATTGCACTGGTAAAAATGCATGGCTCTTCATTAGACAACAGGCAAAAATTAAGTCACCTCTCTCTTTTCCTATAACAATAGAAAGGCCATTATAAAAGCATGGATCCTTCTACTTGTAAGCAAGTGAAGTCACATCGAGACTTTGGCTGCTGAAAGTGAGATGGAGAAGCCTTTGGTTTCCAGAGAATTCTCTTGGATTCTGACATATGGCTTGTTTTATTGTTCCAATGTAAGGCAGAACTGAAAGAATAGTGAAGAAAACTGAACATCTGCCTGCTCCAACATGTAGAGAGATGCTACAGAACATAAAATGCCTGAGCTGCCAGAGTGATTCCATGTGACATCTGCCACATGTGGGCATGAAATTCATTCTCCATCCTGTTCTTCTCTAAAGACATTTTCACAGCTGCTCTTTCCAGAGGGCCTGTGACTTGTGAGTGTTGGCTTGGGTTTACAGGTGGTCTTTGACTTTCATTTGTCTAACTTGCACATACTACACGTTGACATTAAACCTTCATGCACATAATTTGGCCTTTCTATTGTCACTGGCTATATAATGATTTTCCAGCCATCCTCATTACAGTGGCCTGTGCTCTGGAATGGTGGGGCCTGAGCCAAGGTGCCAGGCATATTCAGTCGCTTTTACTAATACGAGTGCTGCTCTAGGTCCAGGGACCTTGTTTTAGTCCACACCTCCTTGGTCATATTCTTTGCCCTTCAGCAGCCAGACTATCTAGAGCAAGCTAGCTCCAGGCTTCCATCCTTGGCGTGGAAATCTTGTCTGCCCCACTTCTGTCTGCTTCTCACTCCCATATCACCTGGGCTTGGAAGAATGGCATGCATGGGGATAGGCTGCTTTGGTGGAGTGAAGAACACACTTCATTTGTCCTACTTAATGAACGCATCACATCTGGGCCCAAATATTTAAAAATTACAGGCTGTAGAGTTTTCCAGTCCTGTCTCTGGCAACATCAGGTTTGTGGGAAAGAGAAATGGCCTCAAAAGCAGTGCACAGTCTCCTCACCCACTGAAGATTTCCATCTGCCTCACTAGGCAGAGGTCTGGGCTGAAAATGTGCAATGCATCAGCAATAATACTTATGATCTTTACTTGAAAAACTTTCTCGGAAGCAAAATGCTTGTTTGTGTGTGTGTGTGTTTGAAGAGATGGGTCTTGCTATGTCACCCAGGCTTGAGTGTAGTGGCTATTCACAGACGCAATTGTAGTGCCTTGAACTCCTGGCCTCAAGCAATCCTCCCTCCTTAGCCTCCTGAGTAGCTGGGACTACAGACTCAAACCACTGTGTATGGCCAAAATACTCTTGTAATGTCTAAGTATGAGTTTGTTTGACTTTGAGAACTGCGGTTTTCAAAAATGCCCCCTCATTCTTAAGGTCTCAGGTCTACAGTTATTTCATCAGGAAGCCATCTCTGACTCCTGGCAAGTTCAAATTTCCTTTCCTTAGGACATGCTCACAAAGCACGAGCGCTTCTCCTTCATAGCACATCTCCTTACAAATGCATTTTTTTAAAAAATGGACTTTATTTTGGATTTTTAAAAAATTTATGTATTTATTTATTTTTGAGACAGAGTCCTGCTCTATTGCCTATGCTGGAGTGCAGTGGTGTGACCTCAGCTCACTGCAGCCTCTGCCTCCCAGGTTCAAGTGATTCTCCTACTTCAGCCTCCTGAGTAGCTGGGACTAAAGGCACTTGCCACCACGCCCAAAATTTTTTTTTTTTTTTGTATTTTTTTTTTTAGTAGACATGGGGTTTCACCATGTTGGCCAGGCTGCTCTTGAACTCCTGACCTCAGGTGATACACCCACCTCAGCCTCCCAAAGTGTTGGGATTACAGGCGTGAGCCACTGCGCTGGCCTGGATTTATTTTTAAAAAGTTGCAGAGATGGTAGAGAGTACCTGTGTATTCCTCACTCAGTCTCTTGATATTAACATTTTTTGTTTCTTGAGGCAGGGTCTTGCTCTGTTGCCCAGGCTGGAGTGCAGTGGCATGATCTCAGCTCATTGCAGCCTCGACCTCCTAGTCTCAAGCAATCCTCCCGCCTCAGCCTCCTGAGTAGCTGGGACTACATGTGCATGCCGCCACACTTCGCTAGTTTTTGTACATTTTTGTAGAGATGGGGTTTTGCCATGTTGCCCAGGCTGGTGCTGAACTCCTTAGCTCAGGCGATCCACCTACTTTGGCCTCCCAAAGTGCTGGGATTATAGGCGTGAGTCACCGTGCCCGGCCCTGATGTTAGCATCTTAAGTTACCATGCTGTGTTTGTCAAAACTAAGAAACCAACATTGTTACATTACCTTAGACTAAACTCCAGCCCTGCCCACAGCCCCCGGCTGCCCACGCACTGTCCGGGAAACCAGCAGCAAATAGGCGGAAGAACCATCCACTGCCTGCTCCCCAGGGCTGCAGCAAGCAAGGTGGAGCCAGAGACCACCACCAGGCAAGTGAGACCCAGCCCCACTTCCACGTGGGCAAAGCTGCCGCCACCCCGGCCAGTCCAGGACGGCCGCAGAGGCCCCACCTCGTCCTGCAAAGGAGGGAGCCTGCCGCGCTCCCGGCTCTGCCAGACGCTCCTGCCCGAGGGCCTGCGTCCTGCAGTTCCCCAGTGCGGGCTCCCGGTCCCTCCCACCAGGTGCCCGGTCGGTCGGTCGTAGGGGACAAATTTCTAACCAGCAGGTACCTACAGGAAATAACTCTTTTAGGAATTATTCGGAATGTAATTCTTTTAGGAAATACATCTCTCCTAATTGGCCACCAGTACCTTTTCATTTGTCCTCTTGAATAGTAAAACCCAAGTTCCAGAGGCAACTAATCAGTTTCCCACCCCACTGTTGCCAGTGGCCTCTATGTTGCTCAAGCTAATGGTCAATTCTTACTCTGCATTGTACTTGATCCATTGTTTGGTATAGTTGATCACTCCCTCTTCCTCTATACGCTTTCTTTACTTGGCTTCTGGGACACTATACTCTGTTTTCTTCCTACCTCACTTGTCATGAATTCTCAGTCTTCTTTGTAAGTTATTCTCTTCTTCTCACCCTCATAATGTGGAAGTGTCTAGGATCCTTCATCCTCATCTCAATCTATATGCACTCCCTTGAAGGTCATATTCAGGCTTGTGATTTTAAAAGGTTTATGTGCTGACTACTTCGAAATTTATATCCCAGGCCGGGCACGGTGACTTACGCCTGTAATCCCAGCACTTTGGGATGCCGAGGCAGGTGGATCACTTGAGGTCAGGGTTTTGAGACCAGCTTAGCCAAGGTGGTGAAACTCCATCTCTACTAAAAATACAAAAATTATCCGAGTGTGGTGGCGTGTGTCTGGAATCCCAGCTACTCGGGAGGCTGAAGCAGGAGAATCGCTAGAACCTGGGAGGTGGAGGTTGCAGTGAGCTGAGATTGTGCCATTGTACTTCAGCCTGGGTGATGGAGAAAGACTCCGTCTCAAAAAAACATAAAATAAAAATTTATATCCCCAACCCAGGCTTCTCTCCTGCACTGCAGATGTATATATTCTACAGCCTATTCACTGACAGCACTTGGATGCCTAGTAGATGCCTCAAACTTAACATGTCCAAACCTGAACCCTGATCTTTCCCTAGAAACCAGCTCCACCCTCAGCCATCTCTGTCAGAGTGGTTGGCAACTCCACCCTTCAAAGTGCTCAGGAAAATCTTTGGTATTATTCTTCTTTCTCTCAGGCCCCTCATACAAGCCATCAGGAAATTTAATCCCAATTTATTTATACATATAAAAAATCCATTTCTCACCCCCTCTGCTGTTACTACCTTGGTCTCAGGTCCATTCTTTTTTTTTTTTTTTTTTCTGTTGAGACAGATCTTGCTCTGTTGCCCAGACTGGAGTGCAGTGGCACCATTTTGGCTCACTGAAACCTCTGTCGCCCAAGTTCAAGCAATTCTAGCGTCTCAGCCTCCCAGGTAGCTGGGATTACAGGTGTGTGTCACCACGCCTGGCTAATTTTGTATTTTTAGTAGAGACGGGGGTTTCACTATGTTGGCCATGCTGGTCTCGAACTCCTGACCTCAAGTGATCCACCCGCCTCGGCCTCCCAAAGTGCTGGGATTACAGGCATGAGCCTCTGTGCCTGGCCAGCTCCATTAATTCTTGCCTGAGTTACTGAAACAGGCTCCTCCTGGTTTTCCCTTTGTCCCTCCTCTGCTCAAAACTTCACCAGCCCCATTCTGACATAGAATAAAAGCAAAGTCCTGACGATGTCCTGCAAAACTCTATATGATCTAGTCTTCTGAGATACTTCTGTGACCACCTCTCCCAGCACTCTTTTCCTCATTCCTACTTCAGCCAGCCCTCCTTGCCGTTTGTCACCTGCCGCCTTGTCACCTTTTATTATAATCTACTCTTTACTTATTATTTTCTGTCTTTTTTCATTAGACTGAGAGCTCTTTAAGGTAGAGGATCTTTGTTTGTTTATTTTTTTTTTCACTGTTATATGCTTTCTCACACACACCAGGCATGCTCTGTCTTGGGGTTTTTGTTCCAGCTGCTCCTTTTGCTTCAATTCCTATTCTCTCCACAGAGTTTGGCTAATTTCCTTACCTCCTCAAAACCTTTGCTTAAGTCTTACCTTCGCACTTGGAACCGCCCAACAGGTTCTCCTTGCCCGCTGCCTAGACAGAGCTGATTTATCAAGACAGGACAATTGCAATAAAGAGTGTAATTCACACAGAGCCAGCTGTACAGGGGACGGGAGTTTTATTATTACTCAAATCAGTCTCACCAACAATTGGGGCATGGGGTTTTTAAGGACATATTGGTGGGTAGGGGTCAGTGAGTTGAGAGTTCTGAATGGTTGGGTCGGAAATGAAATCAGAGAGAATCGAAACTGTCCTCTTGCATTTAGTCAGTTCCTGGGTGGGGGCCACAAGACTAGATGAGCCACTTTATCAATCTGGGTGGTGCCAGCTGATCCATCAAGTGCAGGGACTGCAAAACATCTCAAGCACTGACGTTAGGCTTTACAATAGTGATGTTATCCCCAGGAGCAATTTGAGGAGGATCAGAATCTTGTGGCCTCTAGCTTCATGACTCCTAAACCATAATTTCTAATCTTCTGGCTAACTGTTAGTCCCGCAAAGGCAGACTAGTCCCCAGGCAGGAAAAGCGTTTGTTTTGGGAAAGGGATATTATGTCTTTGTTTCAAAGTTAAACTATAAATTAAGTTTCTTCCAAAGTTAGTTTGGCCTACGCCCAGGAATGAACAAGGACAGCTCGGAGGTTAGAAGCAAGATGGAGTGAGTTAGGTCAGCTCTCTTTCACTATATCACTGTAATAATCTTCACAGTTACAATTTTGCAACGGTGGTTTCACACTGAGGCCAACTGCCATCTTATTTACCTGCCTCTTTCACCCCCCCATTCCTGATCCTCTTTATCCCATCTTATGTTTTCATTTGTTTTGCAAGATTTGTCACCTTTTATTATAATCTGCTCTTATTTATTATTTTCTGTCTTTTTTCGCTAGACTATAAGCTCCTTAAGGTAGAGGATCTTCGTTTATTTTTTTCACTGTTAGATCCTAAGAACTTTGATCCATGCCTGGTACATAATAGATGTTAAATAAATGTTTACTGACTAAATGAATTAATCAAAACTGACCTGTTACATATACTGTGTCTTCAAAAACTTGCTCTATATTCTTTAAGCAAAACTACTAAACTGTTAAAACTCATTCCTCCTCTACAAGAGACAGGAATCAGGAGAGGCTAGAGAGACTGAAGAGGTCTTTTGGAGAAAAGAGAAATTTTTGAGTCTTCTTGAATCACCCCGTGTAGATGGCTACATATACGAGTAACATTATGGTGCTATCGTAGCAGTATCTCAAACGACTACTCCATCACTTACTAGCTGCGGAGAACTTAGACAAATTCTAAATCTTAGTTTCCTCATCTATAAAGTGGCAATCATGATAATATCAATTTCAGTCATTGTGAGACTTAGATGAGCAATGTAAATTGAGTCTGAGGTATATTGCTTGGTACAGTGCTTGACATATAGCATGCATACAAGAAGAATGAACACTATTCTGCACGGAACCTTAATAGACATTGAATCTATAGCCCAGAGATGGGAAATGAAGGTCCAGAGACATGGGAAATGCATGTCTGTTTGTTTCAGTTTCCCAGGGTTGCTTGGGAGCCTTGAGAACACTACTGCCTAAGAGTGCTCAGGTGTCTTCAGGAGGACCTTCTGCCCTTGCTGAAGACACCGAGAATCAAGACTTCCCAGGTGGCAACAGTTCTGAGCTGGGCTAGCTTCAGGAAGGCCTTCAACTCTGGACCAAAGTGCTATTCAGAATATTAACCCATGGAGAAGGCCAACTGCCTTAGTCCACTGTTTTTTCTGGAGATGAGTAGTTCTATCCAAGCATGTTGTCTGAAACAGTTCTTCCCCTTTCTCATTGGAGGAAAGGATGCCTGATACTAGGACTCAGTCATAAAAGTGTAATGTGAAAAGTGACTCTGCTCCTCAGATGGGCTTTTACAAACTCTGTTGTAGTTTCTTCTTTCTTTTCTCTCTCTCTCTCTCTCTCTCTCTCTCTCTCTCAGAGCCTTACTCGCTCTATTGTCCAGGCTGGAGTGCAGTGGTGCGATCTTGGCTCACTGCAACCTCCACCTCCAGGGCTCAAACAATTCTCCTTCCTCAGCCTCCTGAGTAGCTGGGATTACACCACCACGCCTGGCTAATTTTTGTATTTTTAGTAGAGATAGGGTTTTGCCATGTTGGCAAGGTGGGTCTCGAACTCCTGACCTTAGGTGATCCACCCGCTTCAGCCTCCCAAAGTGTTGGGATTACAGGTGTGAGCCACTGCGCCAGACAGAGTAGTTTCTCTTATTGAGCACAATTCTTTTTTCTTTCTTTTTTTGTTTTTGAGACAGCCTCTTACTCTGTCACCCAGAGTGCAGTGGCACGGTCATGGCTTACTGCAGCCTTGACCTCCCAGGCTTAGGTGATCCTCCTGCATTAGCCTCCTGAGTAGCTGGGACTACAGGTGTGCACCACCACACCTGGCTAATTTTTGTAATTTTTGTAGAGACAGGGTCTCACTATGTTGCCCAGGCTGGTCTCATTCTCCTGGACTCAAGTAGTCTTCCCACCTCAGCCTCCTCAAGTGCTGGGATTATAGGCATGAGTCACCGCATCTGGGTGACAACTTCTAAATGAGCTTAGCCTACCACTGTATGTTCGCTAGTGCCCTATGCAATTTTTTTTTTTTCCTTTGACAGTGTCAGGCAGGACCTACTTCAGATTTAGGTGGGCTAACTCTGATTTTGGACAACAGCTAGACAACTGGACCACACAATAGTGCTTACTCAGGAGTGGGGTTTGAATCTCATGCTGAGCTTTCTCACAATCCACATGTGGGGTCTCATAATAGACCCTGGAGGGTGCTCTGCTCCTGTGAAGTGTGGGGCTGAATAGGAGCACCACAAGCTGTGGAAAGCAGCACAGAGAACATTCTTTCTGAGCTCAAGCATTACTCCTCTGAAATAGTACCAGAAGTTGGTCCACAGTGAAAATGTATTTTTATTATTTATTTATTTATTTTGAGACAGAGTTACATTCTTGGTGTTCATGCTGGAGTGCAGTGGCATGATCTCGGCTCACTACAACTTCCGCCTCCCGGGTTCAAGCAATTCTCCTGCCTCAGCCTTCTGAGTAGCTGGGATTACAGGGATTACAGAGATTACAGGCACATGCCGCCACACCTGGCTAATTTTTTTGTATTTTTAGTAGAGACGGGGGTTTCACCATGTTGGTCAGGCTGGTCTTGAACTCCTGACCTCGTGATCCACCCGCCTCTGCCTCCCAAAGTGCTGAGATTACAGGCATGAGCCACAGGGCCCCGCCTTTTATTTTTTAATTTCATCTTTGGAGACAGCGTCTCACTCTGTCACCCAGGCTGGAGTGCAGTGGCATGATCTCAGCTCACTGTAGCCTCCACCTCCTGGGTTCAAGCGATTCTCCCACTTCAACCTCCAGAGTAGCCGGGATTACAGGCGTGTGCCACCATACCTAGCTAAATTTTGTAATTTTAGCAGAGTCGGGGTTTCACCATGTTGACCAGGCTGGTCTCAAACTCCTGACCTCAAGTCATCCACCAGCCTTTGCCTCCCAAAGTGCTGGGACTACGGGCATGAGCCACTGTGCCTGCCCTGTAGATATATTTATGAGTGGGCCTTTTAGAGACCTTACTCCAGCTTCTCTTCCTAAGTGTTGAAAAATCAAGCTCAGAGAGATTGACATACCTCAAACAACAAAGCTGCTGATAGACTATGATGAGAACTCGTCTTCTGATGGCCAATCAAGCATGCTTTCTAACACTGAATGTTACTGTGCTGAACTTTGCTCCTATGCAAACAAATGCCTCTAAGGAGGAGACACTCTAAGCCTTTTAGGGGGCCTACTGAGATTAGCTGCTTTTTTCTATTTTCCCCAAATTCCAGCACTGCAGACTCTGCCACTGTCCCTCCGCCCTCCATTTTCAAATCACTGTTTTGTCTGTGTTATCAGCCTTTTCTTCCCTTGGGTATCTAACAGACTCCTCCCAGCCTTCAAGCCCAGCCTAACTGTCAGCTCTTCCCAGAAGCCACTGAAATGCAATCCCATTCCCTGCCCAACCTCCAGGCAAATCAATCACTCTTACCTGTTTTTCTACATCACTTTGCCTTTGCATAAATATTGATTAGAGCATCTCTTACTGTAATTCCTTTAGCTTTGTTTGCGCATGCCTGTCTCTCTTGCTGAAGTGTGAGCATCTCAAGGAGAGTATTCATGCTCTATGCATCCCTAGGATGGGCCTACTGCTAGCATCAAACCACCCCATTAATGACTGTTGGATGAATGAGTGAATGAATGGTGGGAGAAATGGATTTTGGTAAGAACAAGAAAGGCTTTGGGGAGATAAGACATAAAATGTGTGCTGGGTGGTGATAGCAGATTAGGATGAGGAAAAAAACTTGGGTGAGAAGGTAGTGAAAGTGAGGAAGGTCCCAACTTGGGTTTTGACCCACCTCACACTTTTCCAGGACTAGTGGTGAGTGTGCCCAATATAAATGTTTGGGGAGGAAGATTTTAAATTTAGACTGGAATTTGTAAATCCTAGGTGAATAAATGTTAACGATAAGTGAGAACTTTCTTAGCATGTTAAAAGTGTGTTCATCGGAGATACAAGAGCTAGGTAAATTTTTTCTTTCTTTCTTTCTTTTTTTTTTTTTTTTTTTTGGTGATGGAGTTTTGCTCTTATTGCCCAGGCTGGAGTGCAGTGGCACAATCTCGGCTCACTGCAACCTCTGCCTTCCGGTTTCAAGCGATTCTCCTGCCTCACCCTCCCAAGTAGCTGGGATTACAGGCACCTGCTACCACGCCCAGCTAATTTTTTTTTTTTGTATTTTTGGTAGAGACGGGGTTTCACCATGTTGGTCAGGCTGGTTGTTGTTTTTTTTTTGAGAGGAGGTTCTCACTCTGTTTCCCAGGCTGGAGTGCAGTGGCATGATCATGGCTCATTGCAGCCTCAAGCTCCTTGATTCAAGCCATCCACCCACCCCAGCCTCCTGAGTAGCTGGGACTACAGGCGTGTGCTACCATGCCTGGCTAATTTTTAGGTTTTGTAGAGACGGGGTCTTGTTGCATTGCCCAGGCTGGTCTCAAACTCCTGGCCTCAAGTAGTCTTCCTGCCTCAGCCTCCCAAAGTGCTGGGATTACAGGCATGAGCCCCGATCCCTGGTCCTAGATGAAATACTTTGTTGTGGTTAAGTAATGTTCTTAACTTCACTGGGAGGAAGTGATGCAGTAAATCTGGATACATATTTTTCTTTGCATTTTGTCATTAATGCAGACTTTGAGAAGTGAGAGAACTGTGCTTGGGAGCCAGGAGGTTGGGGCAGATATTGTTGAGTTGTTCGGTGCACATGGAAGAAATCAGGAGGCTGTCAGGAAAGATGGCGGGCTTGCTTCAGTGAATACTGCAGGGTACTACACTTTACTAGGAGTAAAGCCCACTGCTGGCTTAAAGGGCCCATGGGCTCTGATGGAAGAACTGCAATATATATATATATATATATATATATATATATATATATTTTTTTTTTTTTTTTTTTTTTTTTTTTTCCCGAGACAGAGTCTTGCTCTGTCGCCCAGGCTGGAGTGCAGTGGCTAGATCTCAGCTCACTGCAACCTCCGCCTCCCAGGTTCAAGCAATTCTGCTGCCTCAGCCTCCCAAGTAGCTGGGATTACAGGCACCTGCCACCACGCCTGGCTAATTTGTGTATTTTTAGTAGAGACGGGGTTTCACAATGTTGGCCAGGCTGGTCTTGAACTCCTGACCTCGTGATCCACCCGCCTTGGCCTCCCAAAGTGCTGGGATTACAGGCATGAGCCATTGTGCCCGGCGGAACTGCAGTATTCTTTGTGGAGGTTAAAAAGAGGCCCCAGGCCAGGCGTGGTGGCTCATGCCTGTAACATCAGCACGTTGGGAGGCCGAGGCGGGCAGATCATTTGAGCCCAGGAGATCTAGACCAGCCTGGGCGACATCGTGAAACCCCATTTCTACAAAAAATGCAAAAATTACCTGGGCGTGGTGGCACATACCTGTGGATTCAGGTACTTGGGAGGCTGAAGTGGGAGGATCATTTGAGCCTGGGAGATGGAGACTGCAGCAGTGAGCTGTGATCGCATCACTGCACTCCAGCCAGGGCAACAGAGTGAGAACCTGTCTCAAAAAAAAAAAAAAAAAAAGAGAGAGACAGAGAGATGATCTAAAGAAAGAAAGAGAGAAAGAGAGAGATGATCTAGATACAGTATGGTGCAAATAATTGGGTAGATCGCAGTTATGGTTCAGAAACTTAGGCATTAGCCTTGAAAGTTCAAATTGATATATGTTACTCTAAACCCCTCTAAATGAGGTCTTATTAAAATGAGGTCACCAGATAAGATGATCTGAAGTTTTTTGATGCTTAATTTTGTTAAGCAGTGACTGTGACTGGTAGAATTTAAGATAAGCATGGCATCATTATATGCCATGCTTATAAGCTTGACTATGCAACTTTTCTTTAACCTTTAGTCTTAACTTTGGCATCATAGAGCTGGGGTCCAATGCGGATTTTTCTGGGGAAATTTGGGCAAGTCATTTAACTTCTTTGTGTCGGTTTTCTCCTGTGCAAGAAAATAGGGATAAAAGTAGTACCTCCACTGTAGGTACTGGTGTGCTACAGTGAAATCTTACCAGCTCATGAGGGCCTATTGTGTACATCTCTTCCCAGCTGCATGCTCAGTGATGCCATTGGGTAGCTTGAAATCTACCAAGTATTTACACCACAGAAATTGGCAACCACTTCAGACCAGGCAGTATTTTTCTCCCAGAGAACCAGTTGTTAAACATTTCTCAAAACAATTCCACTTACAGGATTGCTGCAAAAGTTAAATGAGGTAATGAATGCAAAGGGTTTAGGATATTGTCTAGCAAGTACACTAAATATATATGTGAGCATGGCATATACAGATTTTTATCAGACAACTTTTGCTTTAAATTGTTATTTTATTTTAAAAGTTTATTTTTTGCAGTGAGCACAACATTTTAAGTCTTTTCAGCCTCTTGCTTTTCTGGGGTGCCCACCATCTCCACCCCCACCCTTATAATAGGAGCAAAATTGCCTTTATTGTTGTGATCCTGCCCCCTGGCTAGAGTTGTTCAGGAAGGAATAGTCTGGCTGGTGTCTTGAATGGAGGAGATAATACATGCTTAGGAGTTATTGGCAGGGACTACTTTCCAGCACGAAGACTGGAAAATAAAGAACATCTATCTGTAGCAACATAAAGGATGATTCAGATGAAAAGCAGAGGACAGGAATACTTGGAAATACCCCGAGTCCCCCATAGCTTTCCTCTCCCTGCTTCTAATCTCATGTGAAGGCTGACTGTATCTCTGCATTTGGATTCCGTGAATCAAGTTTTATTTTAAGTGCCTATTCCAGTGTTTGGCAGAGTAAGTGCTCAATGCATATTTGTTCTCCTTTTCACTTAAACTAGTATGTGCTGGTTTCCTCTATAGCCCAAAGAATATTTTTTATTTTTATTTATCTATTTATTTATTTATTTTATTTTTATTTTTGAGACTGAGTCTCGCTCTATTATCCAGGCTGGAGTGCAGTGGCATGATCTCAGCTCACTGCAACCTCCACCTTCCAGGCGCAAGTAATCCTCCCACCTCAGCCTCCCAAGCAGCTGGGACTACAGGCATGAACTACCATGTCTGGCTAATTTTTGTATTTTTTTTTTCTTTTTTATAGAGACAGAGTCTAGCTATGTTGCCCATGCTGGTCTCAAACTCCTGGGCTCAAGTGATCCTCCCACCTCAGCCTCTCAAGCAGCTGGGACTACAGATGCAAGCCACCATGCCTGGCTAATTTGTCTATTTTTTGTAGAGACAGGGTTTCACCATGTTGCCCAGGCTGGTCTCAAACTCCTGGGCTCAAGCAATCCACCTGCCTTGACCTCCCAAAGTTTTAAGATTACAGGCGTGAGCCACTATGCTCTGCCTACTCCAAAGAATTCTAAAAAAGCATATGGAGCCTATGCTTTGTCAAAATCTCAGTTATTAATGCCTAGGAAAGCCAGCTCCACTCTGTCTATGACTTAAGACTCCAGTGTTTATCTGGTGCAGCCTCAGCATAGACACAATTAGTACGGTACAGAAGAAGCCATCTCCTCTGGGCTCTAAATGTCTGAGTTAGCTCAGTTTTTTTTTTTTTTTCAATAGGCAGTAAAAGGACTTTCTGGTTTGTATGTGTGTGGGTCTGTGTGTGTACACGTCTGTGTTTATAGGAGGACTTTAGAAAGGGAGTGAGAGAGAGAGAAAAATGACACAGTTCAAACATAAAATGATGGCTGGGCATGGTGGCTCATGCCTGTAATCCCAGAACTTTGGGAGGCCGAGGCAGGAGGATCA
Organism: Homo sapiens; assembly: GCF_000001405.40. Lineage (NCBI taxonomy): Eukaryota > Metazoa > Chordata > Mammalia > Primates > Hominidae > Homo > Homo sapiens. Next base: position 110,302,845 of record NC_000009.12, read on the forward strand.
CTTGAGGGCAGGAGTTTGAGACCAGCCTGGACAACATAGTGAACCCCTGTTTCTACTAAAAACACAAAAATTAGCCAGTTGTGATGACGCCTGCCTATAATCCTAGCTACGCAGGTGGCTGAGGTGGGAGAATAGCTTGAACCTGGTAGGCAGAGGTTTCAGTGAGCCGAGATCATGCCACTGCACTCCAGGCTGGGCAACAGAGCAAGACTGTCTCAAAAAAAAAAAATGATGCATTGGAGAAGAATTTTGTACCATAAGAAATGGCTTAATCGGGGGAGGCTTTCATATGTTCAAAGTGCACGAGGGCACTAAGACATTTATTTGTTCCTTGACCACTGGGAAGAATTGGATCTTTGCTAATCTCTGGAAAATCTTGATGACCTGGTAATACTTAGCTGTGCAGGACCTCTCTTGTGAAGGTCATAAAAACACTGCCCAAGGAGTGTGCTCAGAGCAAGTGGGAAGCCCAAGTTGGAGAATGGAAATGATGCAATCTCTCATATTGCAACAGTTTTTAGCAATTGTGCAGTGAGATTGCATTATGGTATTCAACCAGCAAAGCATTAGGAGAGAGACCAGTGGAACACTACAGTATTTGCTGGAAATGAAAGCACAAACACATTTGCTCTTGCCTTTTCAAATGTCACAAGTGTATTTTGCCTTGGAGATCAGCTTACATTAATTCTTGAGTCTTGGCTTCCAATTTTTTAGCATCGGCTCCACAAAACTCAAAAATCTGTTCACAAATGCACAAAGGTGAAACATTTATTGATTCAAGTGCTGCGAAAATGTTGAGGCTTTAAGGAATTTTATTCCTGATTGAAAAGTTAAATCCTACTCATTTCCATCATCTGCAAGACACTTTAAATATAAATATACATTAAACACATTAAATTCATAATATTTTCATATTTGGCATCCTTTCAAAATTACTTTTGCTAAAAACTTTGCCAGATCTCTATAATTCTCCATAATATACCTTTAATCTAAGATCTAAAACGTATAATAATCTCGGAAATAAACAAACTCCATCATTGGAACTTCTCAGAGCTCTTATACATTGGTATCGAGGATTTGTCAATTAATATACACAATCTTCTGAAATCAAATGGCTTGGGATTTGTCATTCCCTGACTTCTCCCCAGGTAAGAGTATTATAATTCATTGATTCTAAGAAGCACATGTTCCTTTCAAATGTTTACATCTCTGAATCAGAATGCATTTCATAGTGGATGGTATGTTATATTTCACTTGGAACACTTCTTAGTGGTATATAAAATAATGCATCTTTTTTGAAGAAAGATGGAATTCAAAGATGGAATTCAAAATATATTACATGGTTGAAGACAAGGAAGAGTGTGAGGTTGGGATTGGGTGAAAACTTGAGTTCCCAGTAAAGGGGCGGTTGAGCCACCAGGAATGGTGTTAGGACTTTGGGGCAGGGGCTAGAAAAGTCTAGAACTAACTTTACTGCCCGGTGTGCTGCAGGGAGAAACCATCCCCACACCAAAGGCTTCTGCTTCTCCAGGCAGCAGCATTCTGCCTGAGTGTGTCATTATATTTATTCCTTCAAAGTAAACCCCAGATTTCTAACTCTAACTTGATCCCATTTCACTTACCAGGTTGCTCATGAATCCACTTCTATAACAGCAAATTATTCTTTTGATTCTTGAGAATAGGGTTACCTAAGTGTGGGTGCAGAATTTCATAATTTATCTGAGTTGCCTGGTTTGTAACCATCTCCCCTATAACTGGTTCTTTTGGCCTTGGCCAGGGAAGGAAGGTGTCAGAAAGGATCTGCAAAAGTTTCTCTTTGCTAAGAGTTAGGTGGCAGCTGGGTGGTGGCTCTTTGGCATGAAGGGAGGTTCATGATCCTCTGCAAAATCTGAGGTCAGAACTCGTGCAAAGATAAGAACGTCTGGTGGAAACATAGGCAAGGCTTGGCTACCTGAATGACCAGACTTGGCAGGAAACATAATAAATTCATTTTGCCTGTTTTTGGACTTTTAAAGATGGATGGCCGGGTGCAGTGGCTCATGCCTGTAATCTGAGCACCTCGGGAGGCTGAGGTGGGTGGGTCACTTGAGATCAGGAGTTTGAAACCAGTCTGGCCAACATGGCAAAACCCCATCTCTACCAAAAATACAAAAATTAGCCAGGCGTGGTGGTGTGCACCTGTAATTCCAGCTACATGGGAGGCGGAGGCACGAGAATCACTTGAACCCAGGAGGTGGAGGTTGCAGTGAGCCACGATCAAGCCACTGCATTCCAGCCTGGGTGACAGAGAGAGATTCTGTCTCAAAAAAAAAAAAAAAAAAAAAAAGGAATATGGTGCACTGATTCAAATGTAATTGTTTTTAAAAAATAGAAAAAAAGAAAGATGGAATTCTACGATATGTATTCTTCTGTGTCTGGCATCTTCCACTCAACATGATGTTTATGAGACTTACCTGGAGAGTGTCACTACAGTCATTTTTCAGTGTTTCTTTGGTATTCCATTGCATGAATGTAACACAGTTTATCCATTTTTGCTGTGACAAATAGTGCTACTGTGGATGTTCTTGTCCATATCTTTGTAGGGATATCTTTGTGAGCACATAAGCACTGATTTCTGTTGTATAGCTAGAAGTGGGATTGTGGGTTCTGCTTCAGTAGAAGCTACCCCACAGTTTTTGAAATTATACTGCATGTATTTTCTTTTTCTTTCTTTCTTTCTTTCTTTCTTTCTTTCTTTCTTTCTTTCTTTCTTTCTTTCTTTCTTTCTTTTTCTTCCTTCCTTCCTTTCTTTTTCTTTCTTTCTATTTTCTTCTTTCTTTCTTTCTCTTTCTTACTCTCTTTCTTTCTCCTCTTTATATCTTTCCTTCTTTTTCTTTCTTTCTTTCCTGTTTCTTTCTTCCCTTCCTTCCCTTCCCTTCCCTTTCTTTTCTTTTCTTTTCTTTTCTTTCTTTTCTTTTCTTTTCTTTCCTTTCCTTTCCTTTCCTTTCTTTTCCTTTCTTTTCTTTTCTTTCTTTTTCTTTTCTTTTCTTTTCTTTTTTTGACAGAGTCTTTCTCTGTCACCGACTTTGGAGTGCCGCAATCTCAGCTCACTGGAACCTCAGCTCACTGCAACCTCAGCTCACTGCAATCTCTGCCTCCCGGCTTCAAGCGATTCTCCCACCTCTGCCTCCCACCACCACTCCTGGTTAATTTTTAAAATTTTAGCAGAAACGGGCTTTCACCATGTTGGCTAGGCTGGTCTCAAACTTCTGACCTCCAGTGATCTGCTCATCTCAGCCTCCCAAGGTGCTGGGATTACAGGTGTGAGCCACCATGCCTGGCCTGCATATATTTTCAATTTATACTCTACCAGCAGAGGATGAGTGTTCTAGCTCTAGCTCTGCATCCTTGACAACACTTGATATTGCCAGTCTTTTTCATGTTAACAATTCTGGTGGCTTTAGGGGACAAGTTTGCTACCAAATTCCATATGTTTTACCTTGGTCAGCTTTCACCTGACTTTAGCAATGGCTATATAACTTGTCTCTTTCGGTCTCCAGTCTTGTGCCACTTAGGTCCTTTCTCATCCCTGAAGCTCAAAACCACAAATCCAGGCATGCCATCCTTGTTTGTAAACATCTTCAGTTTTTCCCCATCACCATACAATCCAAGCTTCTTCCAAGGTCTCCGTAATTTTGTCCTGTCTCCCTCCCTGTTGCTCCTTGCCATAAAGCTTGAACTCAGTCAGATCCATTTGTTCATTTAACAAATACTTAATAAGTGCCTACTATGAGCCACACTTACTGTGAACAAAACTGACAAAATCCTCTCATGAGCTCATCTGCTAGTGATAACTTTTTACTATTGTTGTGTTATTATCCAAAGAATTCCTGACATATACCCATGTTATTTTATAACACTGCTTCCTGTCATCTTTTCTCACTTGCTATTCTTAACTATCCCTCAAGATGGTTTGAGTAACTCATAGAGCCTTCCTTGAACCTTTTCTCTGTGATCCCATAGTACTCTGGGCATCGCAGTATTAACTAATTTTTGTCATCTATCTTTCCCACTACACCAAGGATGAAGACTATACCCGAAATTTTTTTCCATATATTATTTATTTATTTATTTTAGAGATGAGGTCTCGCTCTGTCACCCAGGCTGGAGTGCAGTGATGCGATCATAGTTCACTGCAGTCTTGAACCCCAGGGCTCAAGTGATCCTCCCACCTCAGCTTCCTGAATAGCTAGGACTACAAGCATGCACCAATACACTGGCTTTTTTTTTTTTTTAATTTTTAAATTTTTTGTAAAGGCGAGATCTTGCTGTGTTACCTAGGCTGGTCTCAAACTCCTGGCCTCAAAAGATCCTCCTGCCTCCCCTCCCAAAGTGCTGGGTTTACAGGCATAAATCACTGTGCCTGGCTTTATAGTTTTAGTATCTAATCTAGTACCTTACACAGAGTAAGTGTACCATTGATGACCATAGGCCTGTGTTGAGCTAAGTTTCAGCAACTAGGTATTACCTGTCTTATTCTATCTTTATCTTGTTTGCCAAAGAGAAATGTTACATTCGTGTCTTCCTATCCAGCACTGGGCTTTGCATACAGGAACTTAATAGGTGGAGTTCATGGATAAGGAGCAATTTACTGATAAGAGCTTATTGCACAGATAGCTTTCTTTTGAAGAGAGATGTATGCAAGGCAAATAGTTTAATTTCTGCCCAAAGTGTTGTGAGAGGAAAATAAATAAATCTTGGGGTCCCCAAATCACTAAGCTAAAGGGAAAAGTCAAGCTGGAACTACTTAGGGAAAACCTGCCTCCCATTCTTTTCAAAGTCACCTCTCCACTCACTGAGATAAATGCATATCTGATTGCCTCCTTTGGAAATGCTAATCAGAAACTCAAAAGAATGTAACCATTTGTCTTTTATCTACCTATGACCTGGAAGCCCCCTCCCCGCTTCAAGTTGTCCTGCCTTTCCGGACCAAACCAGTGTTCATCATATATGTTGATTGATGTCTCATATCTCCCTAACATGTATAAAACCAAGCTGTCCTCTAACCGTCTTGGGCACATAGCATCAGGACCTCCTGAGGCTGTGTCACAGGCACATGTTCTCAACCTTGGCAAAATAAACTTTCTAAATTAACTGAAACCTATCTCAGGTGTTTGGGGTTCACATTTGGCAACCACAAAGGGATTCTGAGTGGAGTTACCCCTGACCTTTGGCAAATCTCCTGTTGGTGCTTGATACCAGCATGAGCTAACTTTATGGCTCAAACCAATAGGACAATTTGCTGAGGCCTGGGAGCACCCCACTCCAGAGAATCCCCAATCTCCCAAGATTTGGTCAAGATCTAGTTTATTTTGCTGTACAACTCCCTTTTTTTAGAGTTTTACTTGCTTCCAACAAGGAAGGCAAGATTTCCTGCTTTCATGATGATGGAAGGCAGGTAATTCCTTTATAGAGTCTGAGGTTGCTCCCAACAAGGGAGACAAGTTTGATTTTTTTGCTGGTTCTTCAGCCCAAGACCCAACCCTAGGTAAGTATCTGAATTTGGGTTTTGTCTTGGCTAAAGTTAATAACCAGCTGTTTTTAATTTCTCCTTACCATTAGCATGCTCAGAGATCACATTGTTTTTTTTTTTGTTGTTGTTGTTTGTTCTTTTCTTTCTCCCATCAGATTTGACCTACTCTACCTGACTTGCTCAAATCTGAGTGAGAATTCCAAATTATGGGTAACAAGGCCTCTCTAATTTGGCTAAAATTCCTTGCAGCTGCAAAAGAGGGAAAACAAAACAGAAAACCATGCACTTGGTTTCTGTGTTTGCTTCCTGTCTTTAAAAAAAAAAAGGTTCTCTCATTTACTTTCCTTCTACCACGTACCTCCTTCCCCTTTGCCACCTGCAGTACCAAAAAAATCTAGAGAAGGCTTCTAACGATTTGAACCCCTTTAAAGAATTCAGAGCAAAGGTGCCACTCACCCCTTTTGATGTGTTCTGTTTTCTTTGTGGAGTTTCAAGAGTCATGGGCAGATTCTTCTTAGGTCTAAAGCTCTATTTTCCTGTATTGCATGACCTGACCTCTTTGGCTTTGTAGATACCAGAGATGACCTTGTACTGTGAGAGGTTTTGACCTTAGCGTGTGTAATGGCGAATGAGAACTACAAAGTTAGGGATGGCTGAGAACAGTTTACAGGAAGTGGTCTTGGCTGTTATTTTATTTTTTCTCGTAGGAAGTTGTTAAGGATCCTAATTCTAGTTCAGATATGCATTCTAAAGGATCTTCTCCATTGCTTTTTCTCTGAAAATTAATCTTGATTTGGCTTGTCTGTGTATATTTGCATAAGAGACTGAATTTTCTTAGCTCGGAAGAGAAACAACATTTGCTCCTTCCAGCTGAAAGTTGCCCCTGGGTGACTCGGGCCTCAAGGGAGTATCTGGGGGATTGACCCCCCCACAATATGCAGCAGCCCTACAGGAAAATCCCCCCAAAAATTAATTTTATTTATTTATTTATTTTTTTGAGATAGAGTCTTGCTGTGTCATCCAGGCTGGAGTGCAGTGGCACCATCTCAGCTCACTGCAACCTCTGCCTCCCATGTTCAAGTGATTCTCCTGCCTCTGCCTCCCTAGTAGCTGGAATTACAGGCATGCACCACCATGCCTGGCTATTTTTTGTATTTTTAGTAGAGACAGGGTTTCACCATGTTGACCAGGCTGGGCTTGAACGCCTGACTTCAGGTGATCTGCGCATCTTGACCTCCCAAGGTGCTGGGATTACAGGCGTGAGCCACTGCTCCTGGCCTAAAAAGTAATTTAAAAAAAGGCTTATCCAGGAAACACATATAAGGGCTGATTACCTAGTGTTTTGAGCCCTCTCAGAGATAATAGACCTCTGGAGAGAGAAACTGAGGCATGTAAGAGGGTAGAAACAACTCAGTGGTGTGGAGTGCTGCTTACAAGCAGCACACATCAATTCATCACACAAAAACTCTAGGCCACGGCTCAGTTCCTTTTATTAAGGAAAAAAAAGTGGGAAACCAATAATCTAAGTTCCTTATTAATAATCTCAGTTCCTTTTATTAAGAAAAAAAAAGTGGGAAACCAATAATCTAAGTTCCTTATTAATAATCTCAGTTCCTTTTATTAAGAAAAAGAAAGTGGGAAACCAATAATCTAAGAATGAGAAGAAAACAAGGAGACTGACTCCCCTTTCAAGCACTCCATAGGTTTTATGGCACCTCTACTTGCCAGAGTTTATGTAAAATGGAAGTAATATGGTCTTTGTGCACATTCACATTAAAGAAAAAAGAGTCCTAGGATCCATCTGCAAACTATAGAGTTCCTAAGTTATAGGATCTTTGTGTGTGGTGTGTGTGTGTGTGTGTGTGTGTGCATGTGTATATTGGAAAGGCCTTTATAATTTCTATAATTTTTTGTTTAGTTGGCAATTAAATCCATTTTAATTTCCCTCTAGCACACCAGACATTTTCTCTCCATACTTGATTATGTAAATTTTGCTGCTTTTCACCTGAGTTGTTTAAATTTAATATGCAAATTTAAGGCGATTTAGCTGACAACTGTCTAGGGTAGTGAAACAGGTTATCAAGAATTTGAAAGTATAAGATAGGAAAAAATAGAGTCTATGAATCTACAAGATGTACTTCTACCGGCATGCCTAATACATTTATGTATTTATGTGTTATGTTACACAATGTTTCATTCCTGAAAATATATAAAAGAGCTCTAATTAATTGGCTTAAGAAAATAAAAGCACTTGAATCAAATACTTTATCAGGAAAAAATAAAAGACTAGCCAAATGCTTTTTCAAGTTTATGTAACTTAAGTAAAATCTTTAATAAACAAGCTAGCTTTAAAATTATTGGAAGCGTAATATTAGAAATGTCTTAAGAATTGCCAGCATACATTTTTGTTTGCATTTATTAATCAAGCAATTTCATACTTATCCCTGCTAAACACTATAAGGTGTCAAAATTTGGCATAGGGGTTACAAAACTATAAACCCAGCCCAAAACAGAATGAACTTTGCTTGTGTAATTTTTAATAAATAAGACATTGATATTGGTTTAATGAAAATAGTTACATCTTGAATTTAGTAACTTCTAATCTTTTGGCTTCAAGCAGTCTAGTCCACAGGCAGTAAAGTTTGTTTTAGGAAAGGACTGTTACCATCTTTGTTTCAAAGCTAAGCTATAAACTAAGTTCCTCCCAAAGTTAGTTTGGCCTATGCCCAGGAATGAACAAAGACAGCTTGGAGGTTAGAAGCATGATAGATTCAGTTAGGTCAGATCTGTTTCACTGTCTCAGTAATAATTTTGCAATGGTCATTCCATAACTTTAAATGATTATTATCACAGTTTACATAAATCATCTAGGTAAATGATTAAAATAATTAGGTAAATACAACGGGGAAAATACTTGTAGACAAACTCATCATAATTGAGAATCTAAAGTTATATTAAATTAATAGATATTTCATTATTTGGGTATTTTTCAATAAAAATATATTGTAGGAAAACATTCTTTTTTAAAGAAAAGAAGTGTGTCCTTTTTAAAAAGGTGAACAATTTTTGTCTAATTCAAAAGCTTATTTAAAGGTTATGTATAAAACAAGGTAAAAGAAACCAGGAAATAAGAGCGATGTAAAGAAAGTTACAAAAATAAAGAGGTATATATATATATATATATATATATATATATATATATCTCCATACTATATATATATGGATTACTATATTACTATATCCATATATATATGGATATAGTAATAGATATATATATCTCCATACTATATATATATATGGATATAGTAATATAGTATATCCTTATATATATATATATATACATGGATATACTATATTACTATATCCATATATATACTATATATACACTATATATGGATATACTATGTACTATATATATACTATATATGGATATACTATATACTATATATACTATATATGGATATACTATATACTATATATATACTATATATGGATATACTATATACTATATATATATGGATATAGTAAACTAATTTAACTTTTTTTTTTAAGATGAAGTTTCACTCTTGTTGCTCAGGCTAGAGGGCAGTGGCACTATCTCTGCTTGCCGCAACCTCCACCTCCCAGGTTCAAGCAGTTCTCCAGGGAGAGCTGAAATGTTTATGAATATCAAGCAGAGCAGGAGTTATCTGCATGGACTGAACTAAAAAAAAACCGAAGTAATATTTTTGACTTTTTCTTAAAATGTTGCTGATCCTTTGTATTGTTTTTCAGAGTCAAGGAAACTTTTGCTTTATTGACAGCTTTTAATAATTTAGTATACTCCTATGAACAAAATTTGGAGCATATTTGTTTCTCTCTACCTGATTTCTCCAGAATTTGGAAACTATTTGTGAGTATTCTTAACTTATGGCAATACAGTTATGGCATAAGTGCAATAAGAACCTGTTTTCATTTGTAACAGGACACAATTGGAGAAACCGGTTATTTTACCAAAGCTTTGGAATGGTGTACTTTCCCTTAAGGAATCAAATATGACTTATGGAAACAATAAAAGTCCCTTGGGAAAACTGGCCTCATACCTTGTCTACACAGTTTCTGTACAGGATTCCTGACCTGTGGTAAGTAAAGAATGTCACTTTCTGACAGGCCCAGGAGCCCCAAGTTTATCATGGAACCTCAAGAGGAGAGGAATTCCCATAGGCATTTGATGGTACAAATCCATCTATGGCTGGGCTCAGCTTCAAAAAAGTCTTATCTGAGATTCTTTCTATGGAACGAAGTTCCATCAAAGTCAATTTAAAAGCCTATGTAAAAAAAATTATTCTTGCTGCACTGTATACAAATACTCAGTCCAAGTATAATAAAGCAAATCTGTCCTATCATGATTTGTCTTTAGTAGAAATGGGAACCTGGAGAGAGAAAATTGTTTCAAAAATTATAGTACATCTGTTGTTAGATTCTAGTCTTGCCTAATGTTTTTCCATTTATATTATTTTCTGCAGTTTGGACTAAATTCTAATTTCTCTTGGCTACAAGTCTTCTTTTTTTAGTTGTTTTTGAGACAGAGTCTCGCTGTTGCCCAAGCTGGAGTTCAGTGGCATGATCTTGCAATCTCAGTTCACTGCAACCTCCGCCACCCGGATTCAAGTGATTCTCCTGCCTCAGCCTCCCAAGTAGCTGGGATTACAGATGCCCGCCACCTTACCCAGCTAATTTTTGTATTTTTAGTAGAGACAGGGTTTCAACATGTTGGCCAGGCTGGTCTTGAACTCCTGACCTCAGGTGATGTGCTCACCTTGGCCTCCCAAAGTGCTGGGATTACAGGTGTGAGCCACCATGCCTGCCCCTACGAGTCTTCAAAATAATGTTTCAATTTTTTTCTTATCTTTTCCCCCAATTTTTCCTAATTTGGAGTCACTGAAAACTAAGCTGTGCTTTTTTAAAGCCCTGCAAACTGAAGCTAGACAATTTAAACTTCCGAAGAAAATAACAGCAATCTATTTACATATATAAGCCACTTTCTGAAGTCCATGTGTAGACTTCAGAGTAATATGACTTAGGCTGGACACAGTGGCTCACACCTGTAATCTCAGCACTTTGGGAGGCTGACGTGGGCAGATCACCTGAGATTAGGAGTTTGAGACCAGCCTGGCCAACGTGGCAAAATCCTGTCTCTACTAAAAATACAAAAATTAGCCAGGCGTGGTGGCACATGCCTGTAATCCCAGCTACTTGGGAGGCTGAGGCAGGAGAATCACTTGTACCCAGGAGGTGGAGGTTGCAGTGAGCCGAGACCGTGCCCCTGACTCCAGCCTGGTTGATAAGAGCAAAACTCTGTCTCAAAACAAACAAATAACAAACAAACAACCAAAATGGAGTAATGTGGCCTATACAGATTTTCCAGGATTGTTCTTTTGTTTGTTGTTGTTCTTCTCCCTTCTTCCCCCTATTTTCTTTTCATAGGATGTGAGGCTTCACAAGCTGCTAAAAATAAGCTTTCCTAATAACTTGGCACCTACCTGTCTAGGAATAAACCACCCTAGCCATGAGAGATCAGATGAAACCTGAGACCAGAAACTCATTTTCTTCTAAAATGATTTCTCCAAAAGATTTTTAAATAGAAAAGGGGGTAAATGTGAAAGGAAAATAAATCTTGGGACCCCAAAATCACTAAGCTAAAGGGAAAAGTCAAGCTGGGAACTGCTTAGGGCCAAACTGCCTCCCATTCTATTCAAACTCACCCCTCTGCTCACTGAGATAAATCCAAATCTGATTGCCTCCTTTGGAGAGGCTAATCAGAAACTCAAAGAAGGCAACCATTTGTCTTTTATCTACCTATGACCTGGAAGCCCCCTCCCCACTTTGAGTTGTCCTGCCTTTCTTGACTGAACCAATGTTCATCTTACATATGTTGATTGATGTCTCATGCCTCCCTACAATGTATAAAACCAAGCTGTGCTCTCACCACCTGGGCACATGTCATCAGGGACTCTTGAGGCTGTGTCACAGGTGGATGTCCTCAAAATCGGCAAATTAAACTTTCTTTTTTTTCTTTTTTTCTTTTTCTTTTTCTTTTTTCTTTTTTTTTTTTGAGATGGAGTCTCGCTCTGTCACCCAGGCTGGAGTGCAGTGGCGCGATCTCGGCTCACTGCAAGCTCCGCCTCCTGGGTTCTCGCCATTCTCCTGCCTCAGCCTCCGGAGTAGCTGGGACTACAGGCGCCCGCCACCCCGTCCGGCTAATTTTTTGTATTTTTAGTAGAGACGGGGTTTCACTGTGTTAGCCAGGATGGTCTCTATCTCCTGACCTCGTGATCCGCCCACCTCGGCCTCCCAAAGTGCTGGGATTACAGGCTTGAGCCACCGCGCCCGGCCAGCAAATTAAACTTTCTAAATTAACTGAGACATGTCTCAGATATTCAGGGTTCACATTGTTTTCTCGTTTTATTCCGATGTCGGGTTATGCCTCTCAAAGGCATGCTCCACTCTGAAATATTAAGGGAGCGAGTTTACTTCTCTCTCCTCAAGGCACTGCTGCAACCCTAGTAATAACTGCTAATGAAAATTATAAGCTCTGGTTTGCTGAGACCAAGAGAATGGGGTGTGGCTGTCCATGCATAATAGAACCAACTAAGCTCAATGATCAGTTTTGAAGTCTTTTATTATGAACATTTTCAAACATCCACAAAAATAAAATAATGAAGTGAACCCTCCTATCCCCTGCATTTGCCCATCATCCAGAGGCAGGTTTTTTTTTGTTTTGTTTTTTTGGCTCTTGTTGCCCAGGCTGGAGTGCAATGGCATGCTCTTGGCTCACTGCAACCTCCGCCTGCTGGGTTCAAGTGATTCTCTTGCCTCAGCCTCCCGAGTAGCTGGGATTACAAGCACCCGCCACCACACCCAGCTAATTTTTGTATTTTTAGTACAGACGGGGTTTTGCCATGTTGGCCAGGCTGGTCTCGAACTCCTGACCTCAGGTAATCCACCCGCCTCAGCCTCCCAAAGTGCTGGGATTACAAGTGTGAGCCACTGCACCCAGCCCGGGGCAATTTTTTTTAATGCCAAAGACATTGAATCACCTGCAAAAATTCTAGTACTGCTGCTGCAAAATGCAAAGGGGCTGGAGACAGCGGTCCCCTCCTCACAAATGGACTTCCAAGAGTACCAATTAGACTTTAGAGTCTGACTAATGACACACTCAAAAGATAATTATAGCAAAATATCTTGGCCAGTTGATATGCAATTTTGGTTTTGATCTTCTTGCCTCAGCCTGCCAAGTAGCTGGGACTACAGAATCCTGCTACTATGCCTGGCTAATTTTTGTATTTTTTTTTTTTGTAGAGATAGGGTTTCACTATGTTGTTCAGGCTGGTCTTGATCTCCTGGGCTCAAGGAACCCACCTGGCTTGGCTTCCCAAAGTGCTGGAATTACAGGTGTGAGCCACTGTGCCCAGCCACAAGACACTTTTTTTTTTGGCGGCAGGGGAGGGGGTTGAGGGGGCGGGGGGCGCAGGCTGTAGAAATGTATGTACAATATAATTTCTTTTTTCTTTTTTTTTGAGACAGGGTCTTGCTCTGTCACTGAGGCTGGAGTGCGGTGGTATGATCTTGGCTCACTGCAACCTCCGCCTCCCGGGTCCAGGTGGTTCTCCTGCCTCACACTCCTGAGTAGCTGGGATTATAGACATGTGCCACCACACTCGGCTAATTTTTTTTTTTTGTATTTTTAGAAGAGATGGGGTTTCACCATCTAGGCTACTACCTGCTAGGCTGGTCTCGAACACCTGGCCTCAAAGTGATCTGCCTGCCTCGGCCTCCCAAAGTGCTGAGATTACAGGTGTGAGCCACTGTGCCTGGCCTGTACAATATAATTTTATAATTTATAATGATATTATATTCTCTTTTTTAAAAAGAGGAGTTTACTAAAGCATTGAATAGTATGAATAAGATGAAAAGAATATGTCTAATAAAAATTTTTAAAATTTCTCTACCTTCTGTGGAGAGGTGAGCAACATTAATTACTGTTTGATCCTATCTGGGCCCCTTTCTCTGACTCCTCCCCACCCATCTGTTCCCCAGAGCCATCTGCATCACGTTGCAGGTATTTGAACACTTCCCCTTTGACTTTCACAAGACTCAAGACAGGCTTTGCAACTGCAAGGGGCTTGATTAAAGTTTTTGGAGGAGCTAAATAAAAATCAAGCAAGCAGCTTGAATTTATATGCACTCGAATTCAAGAACAAGAGCCTATAAAAACAATGTTAATTTTTTTCCTTATCTATACTGGCCTTCTTCTCAACTTGTTCTAATAGTGCGATACCAGCAAAATACAAATTTACTTTCATTTTCTTGTAGCTGATTTAGAAACTCTACTTACAGATCTGATTCTTTGAGCGTTGGTGGCATAAATAATGCAAGAGTGCTTTTCTTCTGTGTAGGGGTTGACAAGCTTTTTTTGTAAAGGATCAGATAATACCAGCTTTAGGCTTTGCAGGCCATTTGGTCTCTGTTGCAACTACTCAAATTTGCTGTTGTAATGCTAAAGCAGCTAGTGACAATTCATAAACAAATGGGCATGGCTGTGTTCCAGTGAAAGTTTATTTACAAAAACAAGTGGAGGGTCGGATATGGCCCTGGGACTGTTCACCGACTCTTATTCTGTGCCATCAACTGAAGTTGTTGAGGCTTCATGCAACTGCCTAAGAGCTAGGTAGTCAGTACAATGTGGCTTTCTGTGGAAGGGCAAAAGCGTGTGCATCTAATGTCGTGGGAATTCACCTCAAGCCACACCTTGAACAGGAAAACTGATTTTGGACTCTGGCTAGAGGAGATGTCATTTTTCCCGTTTACTGGAAGTGTAGGGTGAAACTTTATTCTCAGGGATAAACATGGTTTGGGGGCCATTCCCTTCAATGGCTCATATACTTGTTCTCATGTTTCCACTGGAAAATCTGCTCAAATGCCCAGTTTTGAGAAAATATGCCTGTTTCCTATATCCCTTCACTTCTCCCCATGTTTAGAGGTGAGCTTATCTGTTAAGCTGACACAAAGGAATGAACTTGTGCCTATCCTCTCTCCTTTTGGGGATGCTCTGCTCAAGGGACAGGTATGCTCTCTTCCCACTGTCTTTCTGCACAACACATGGGAAGTGGGCCCTAAACCTGCCCAGATAGATCTGGAAGGCCATCATACTATAGCCTCACTTTTGGGGCTTGATAGTTGTGCAAAGCAACAATACCTCTTTTACCTGCACAGGTAAGTTTCTTCTTTGCAGCCCCAGATTCTCCCACAGGTGGGTCACCCCAATGTCTAGGCTTTAAGGGAATAGTAGGAAGTCTGTTGACATAGATCCCAGCCACATTGTTCAATGAGCACAGTGTAGCATTATGACTACTTATAATAAAGGTGATATTGTGATTAGCCACGTGACTCCTTGGGAGAAAAGAGTTAATGCAGCAGGTCTGGTTGCTTTCTTCTTGTGTGTCTCCAAGAGAACTATGTTTGACCCTTCACCACCCCCTAGAAATGTGGCCCTCCAAGTGTTCCTTGTGTTGGTGATTGACGGACTTTGTTATATATTCCTGGAGGGATGGACCATGCCATGCTGGCGTGTCA
Organism: Homo sapiens; assembly: GCF_000001405.40. Taxonomy (NCBI): domain Eukaryota; kingdom Metazoa; phylum Chordata; class Mammalia; order Primates; family Hominidae; genus Homo; species Homo sapiens. The sequence goes on from NC_000009.12 coordinate 110,317,972, forward strand.
AGTTGCTTTGCATACACATCAATATTGATGATATGCCCCTGGTTTTATTGTTGGGGTTCTGAGTTTCTATTGCCATGGCCTGTTGTGTAGCAATGGTTGCACAAGATAAGTGTATGTCACAACTACTCCCCTACTTCCACAAAGACCTCAGTCTCTGAGCTCCAAGTGGTGTTCCTAAGTAGGGCCATACCACATAGCTACCGGAAGTTCATTGCTAGAGAGAGAGCATTCCTATGTGTCTGACAAGGAAAGACCTCAGAAGTCTCTGCTGGACCTTTCTGGACTCCATCAATGCATATCTTTTTTTTCTGCGCTTTTTCTCTGTATTCTTTGCTGTACTAAATCTTAGTTATGAATATAACTTGTGATTGGGTCTTGTAAGTCCTTCTGGTGAATCACCAAACATATCACTCCTATATTTCAACAACTTAAAATTCAGAGGAGAAGAGCAGGGTAGGTACTGGGGTAAAAAATTTAAGGGGTGGCCAGGCGCGGTTGCTCACGCCTGTAATCCCAGCCCTTTGGGAGGCCGAGGCAGGTGGATCACGAGGTCAGGAGATCGAGACCATCCTGCCTAACACGATGAAACCCTGTCTCTACTACAAAAATACAAAAAATTAGCCAGGCATCATGGCTGGCACCTGTAGTCCCAGCTACTTGGGAGGCTGAGGCAGGAGAATGGCGTGAAGCCGGGAGGCGGAGCTTGCAGTGAGCTGAGATAGTGCCACTGCCCTCCAGCCTGGGCGACAGAGCAAGACTCCGTCTAAAAAAAAAAAAAATTTTAAGGGGTAGCTGCCAAAACTCAGTAATCAACATAAATATTATGTTAATAAGTATTATATAAAAGTATTAAAACTCAGTGCAAAAAATACATGATGAACAAAATATCAAAAATTTAAATAAAGGTAAGATTTAATCCTGCACTTGTCATATCCTGACTTGCTTGCTGCACCCTAATCCCTGCCTGGGAGAAGAGACACATGTGAGCCTTTGAACTGTCAAAGCAGAGAGCAGCATCTTTAGCAAAGGTGCTGAAGGTTGCTAGATGTTTCTAAATAGTTACTACACTTTGCCCACTTTTGTTCCATCTCACTTAGTTCTTGCCCCCCGACCCCCAGTCAATCTCTGCCAGTGCATCAACTGTTTATGGAGTTGATAGGAACCCCTTTTAGGGATCTGCACCCTTTAGAGTCCTGCACGTAAGAGGTTTCTTTTTTTCCTCATGCAGAACATCTCTGTGTGTAACACAATCCTTGACAGGTTAAATATTATTGGGTAGGCAACCCCTGAATGCTAAGATGACTTAGCTTAAATGGATGTTGTAGTTATTGAAAGAGCCTTAGAGGTCTTCATAAACTTTATTTCTAAATTACTATTTATTTATACATTTTCAGAGAGATGGCCGTGCACAGCTAGATCCTGGGACTCTAATGATAGCTACATCTTCTAGTATTTACCAAGTCCAGTGCTAGGCACTTTAGATACAATATCACAAATTTGTCTGACAGTTGTTTAAACATAGGTGGTGTCCTCATTTTACAGAGAAGGAAACTAAGCCTCAAGGTGGTTATGGTACATTGCCACTAATAAGAGGCAGACCTGGGGCTCAACCTGCAGTTGTCTGACTCTATAGATGGCAAAAACTTACTGAAGATGCTCTTTTGGGAGATGGATCAAGCACTGTGTTTTATGAAGTTGAACAGAGAGAAGTTGGGAACGTGATTCTCCAGGCACCAACATCTTCCTCAAAAGTATTGTTTACCTTATTGTCCCTACTTGGTCCTTGAAGAAACAGAGTGTGTGACCCTTGCTTCCAATCTTGTCCTCTTTCTAGCATACCACGGTATCACCTCTTTGATATTATTTTAATTCCTGTACCTACTTGAAGGAGCATGCTGTTGAAATGACTTTTATAATCTCAGCAAGAGCCCTACAGTTCATAAACATAAGGGCACAAGCTTCCTCCCACTTTATGTGATAGCTCAGTCTAGCAGATGGGTTTTCCTGAATTATTCATTTGTGACTAATTTGTTTAGTAGCATCTATGTACTCATATCCCATCTCTCTTATGAGTGAACCTAAGTGCTTTGGCAAACTATTTTATTCTATAATCAAAGAATGAAAGATGGAGTCAACTTTTGATGGTTGGCTTATATTTAAGCAGTTGCCCCAAACTTGCTAATTCTTGGTTTCTCTTTCCCTACTCCATAGACATACACCAACCATGAGTTGTGTATCCAAATCTCATCTTGAGTTGTAGCTCCGATAATTCCCATGTGTCATGGGAGGGACCTAGCAGGAGGTAATTGAATCATGGGGGCGGGTCTTTCCTGTGCTATTCTCGTGATAGTGAATAAGTCTTATGAGAACCTGATGGTTTTATGAAGGGGAGTTCCCCTGCATGCACCCTCTTGCCTGCCATCATATAAGACATCCCTTTGGTTCTCCTTTGCCTTCCACCATGATTTTGAGGCCTCCCTGGTCATGTGGAGCTGTGAATCAATTAAACCTCTTTCCTGTGTAAATTACCCAGTCTCAGGTGTGTCTTTATTAGCAGCATGAGAACGGATTAATACAATGGGTCTACAACCAAAGTTATTCACTTTGGGGATCCACTGATAGGCTTCAGACGGTCACTGAATATCCTAGTATTATCTCACATTTTAGTTTATGTGCCTATGTTCTTTTGTCCGGATGGAGACGGTTCATAGCCTTTATTAGATTTTAAGAGGGTCTATAAATCCAATTTATGAACAACTTACAAGAGAATGCAGTTTAATATTCTGGTTACAAAGACCAGACAAAGTTTTGGGTCCCCCATCTGGAAGAAACCACAGGAATGATCTTATTCACCACAATTAATCTTCCTGAAACATGGTGTGATGTCCTAGATGAAAACACTAAGGAGTACAGCAGGAAGGAACAAGCTCCCCTTATTTATTACCTGGAATTTGCTTAGGCTCTTCTTTGCCCTAGAACTAGGACATAACTTCAGCCACTGCTTATATTGCATCCCTGCCAGATGTTCATTCAATCTCTGCATGAAAACTTCAGCAACCAGGGATGGCCCATAATCTGCCATGGTCCTAGGTCAGTGTATATAGCTTTGTTTGTTTTAGTTTTTTCAAGTTCTATTTTATTGATGTTTTATATACTTTGAAAATAATTGAAATGAGCTAGAATCAAGGGGAAGAAAAAATAATGAAACCATTCAAGGATGTTGCAGTGTGGGGGTGGCTGATAGGGAGTGCCAGGAAACTGCTGGTAAGGGAGATTACTGTGTTTGAGCAGAGGAGGCAATCCTGAGATTCTTGGCGGCCATGGCAAAAAGAGAAGCCCAAGGGATTCCCTAACTTTTCTGATCCAATGCAGAGAAGAGAGCCATGCTTTCAAGGGAGGTGAGTATTCTCCTAACTCTTGTGTTCTGGGAGAAATTATCATAAAGCTTTTTATACAATGTACATTTAAAAGGGTATAATGGACAAGTGGCTCTTTGCCAGATGTTTTATCAGAAATGTAAGACATTTCTTGTAAGAAGCCTTAATAGGAACTGAACTCTAGGTTTTATTTTTTAAAATAATAAAGGACACACAGTACTTAACTGCTTCAATAAGTCAGTTTTCAGTTGCGCTGTCCCAGATAAAAGAGAGGAGCACATTTATGGAGGTAGTCCTCAAAAAAGTGCATTTGATTTTTCTTGACCCACCAGGAAAACAGTGGATGTTCACGGACACCTTCCTAGTCAGTTCTATGAAAAAAAAAAAAAAAGGAAATTTATAGGAACATGTCTTTTTGGCTGGCCATCCAAACCTGCCTCCTCTGGTTCTAGTGACTTTCCTTGCAGGTCACTGTGAGGTAAGACCAGGGGAGAGTTTCAGAGGTGTCATGGCTTAACTGCAGCTCTGGAGGCAATGTAGAAGTGGGGACCTCACTGACCCTGACAGTGCTGCTCAGATACCAAATCCTGCAGTCTGAGTCACAAGAGGTAAACGATTTGTAATACTCTCTCTTTAGGATCTCCTCCTCCTTTTTGTATCTTTTGCATAGAAAATTGATATTCTTTGTCAAATGAAGTCAGTATTACAAATTTTTCTGGAGGTTTTCAAATTATATCTAAATTGATCCAGGTATGAATCTGTCAAAGATATGATTACGATGTACAAAACGTTTAGAAGTAGAGTCATTTGTATAATGTGACATAAATGGTCTCAAGTTTTTTTTTTTTTAAATTCATAACCAGGATGCTAAGTTACTAATATTCAATGATAAATTGAATCCTCAATAAAACTTCTTGAGATATGAGTATCCACATTATAATCAGAGGCTTGTTGGGTGACCCTGGAATTAGAATATGGAAGTGTAATCATCTTAATGGTTTAATTTGTTTTCTAATAGCTGCCTGGCAGAAAATTCAGATTTGAGATCTTTAGTGATCTCTGGAATGCAGGATCTATCAATTCAAAAGAGATACATATCCATTAGAGACCAGTTAGATATAATTGTTTATAAATGTCCTCTCTCCCCAGCTTATTGAGGGCACTTCCATCCCCATACAGAATTGAGACCAAGCAGGGCCATGCCTTTCCTCAAAAGCATAGCTTGAATTGGTTCAAGAGCATAGACACAAAATCAGTTGAGAACTCAGAGTCTTGTGTCATCATAAAATGGAGTAAAAACTGTTGAGTGGCAGCAGCTACCAAACAATATCAGCAGCAGCAGGAATAAAACCAGAAAATTATACTGAACTGGAGAGAAACTTGCCCTGAATCAGGTTGGTACCAGGACAGAATCAGGAGGAGAGGCTGAGCTGGCAGTGGGATGCAGGGAAAAAACAGAAGCATTCATTCATTCATTCATGCACTCACTCATTCATCACACACATCATGAGTATTTTCTATCCACTTGGGATTCTTCTAGTCACTGAGCTTTCAAATCAGACATGACCTCCTTCAGGTGCTTGGACTAGTATGAGAAAAATACATGAAGATCTGAGTTAAACAGAGAAAGGCTTGGAGCAGTAGATTGGGTCAAAATTATGGAGAAACTTGAATGCCAGCCTTAAATACAATGGTTTAGCCTTGATTCTATAGGCAATGGAGGGGGAGGACATCACATGTTAAAAAAGGATGCCATACAGGGAGCTGTGCACAAATCTGGAGAACAGAGATATGGTGCTAAGTTGAGGGTGAGGAGGGGGCATTGCAATTGTCTAAGTAAAAAAGTATTTATAGATGGAACTAGAAGTAGGAATGACATTGCTAAAGGAGAGAGGTAGAATGGGAAATGGATTGAACCAAAAAGATAGATATCCAAAACGGATATATTTGACTATAACAGGAGACAAGCCAGAGGAGAGCATAGGGAGGGATGAGAGATAAAGTCAAAAGAGAAGAAAATTTCCAGAATATAGAAGCTCATTAGTTAATGGTGCTTCTGTGTAGCTAAGGAATCAAGAATTGAGAAATGGCTATTTAAATTAGGTGCAGGGAGATCCTTGGTGACTTTAGAGAGGACAGAAAGATAAATAGATAAATAGATGAGGGAATGAGTGGAAAATGAGAATTGGAAACTGCAAATATATTCTACTCTTTTAACAATTACACCATGAAATGAAGGAGAGTAGCCTGGGAGAACACCAGATATGTTCATCAGAATTTTTTGGGTTGCAAGTGACAGAGAAACCAACCCAGAGTTTACATAGCTGAAGAATCTATGGGGATAGTGTAGGCTTCAGGCATGGATAGATTCAGGGTGCAGTCAATGCCATTAGTACTCTTGGCTTGACTCTGTTTTCTTCTGTGTGGTAGATTCGTTTTCAGGTTTTACATGGTGACAAGCTGTAGTAGCTTCAGACTCATATCTTCCCAAATTCAAATCCAGTGATATCAAAGGAGAAGGTTATTTACCTAGCTGCTTAAGCAAAGTCCTGAAATTAGCTCTGGTTTGACTTGGATTGGCTTGACTGGAGTCAAGGGTCCATTTCTGATGGGGATGGAGTTCACTGGTTGGTGTAGGCCTGGAGATGGAGCCCTAAGGAAGTACATGGGATAAGAATGCAAAAGGGAGTGGTTCCTTGGAGGAAAATCAGAGTACTATTAATAGAGAATGGATGCTGGGTGCCAAAAAGAAGTGTCTAAACTCCAAGTTTTAAAGAGAGTAACTGATGGATAGAGGCCTGAAGCAGAAGGTAGGGAATGCAATCAAGCTGCATGGATGAAACTGATTTTGAAAGGAGGAAGCATTCTCACTTCCGAAATGGGAGTGAAGGAGAAGATAATAAAAGATGATATGTAGACAATTGGACATCTAAGTCAGGTAAGTTGAGGGAGCATATGTTAAATAACTTTAATTTTCAAGTAAAAATCCAAATGAGGGAATATGTAGTGTTATTTTAAAAAATAATTTAAATATATTGCACCAGCTATATTACAGAAAATACTTAGAAATTGAAAATAAAATTCTGCAGCTAGCATATCCAATGTTTTCATTCTTTACACTGCAGACATAATCTTTACAAAGCTTAAGCATGCATTTTGCTTTAAATTATTCTTTATAACTTTTTTTTTGCTTGCATCCTATTTCATGGAGTAGATGTATCAGAATTTACTTAGCCTTTTTACTTAAAGACATTGAGATTGCTTTCATTTTTTAAAACTAGATATAGTGCTACAAATATTATTATATATGAAACTGTTTTTTTTTCCTTGAGGTATTTCTGTACCGAAAGTTCCCAGGAATGGGGTAATTGTGTAAAACGGAATAAGCATTTTGTGTCTCCTACATATGTTTGCAAAATCGCCTTTCATAAGGTATGGAAAATTGCCAATGCCCCCGGCCATGTAAGAAAGTGCTAGTTTCCACCAAGTGCGGTGGCACATGCCTGTAATCCCATTACTTTGGGAGGCCAAGGTGGATGGATCACTTGAGGCCAGGAGTTTGAGACCAGTCTGGCCAACATGGTGAAACCCCATCTCTACTAGAAATACAAAAATTAGCTGGGCATGTTGGTTCTTGCCTGTAATCCCAGCTACTCGGGAGGCTGAAGTAGGAAAATAGCTTGAACCCAGGAGGCGGAGGTTGCAGTGAGCTGAGATGGGGAGATCATGCCACTGCTGTCCAGCCTGGGTGACCTTGCAAGACTCCATCCCCCCACCCCCGAAAAAAAAAGAACAAAGTACTAGTTTCATAACTTGCTGAATATTTTAGACATTTTATTCCATTAATATTTTTAAGATAACTAACATAACACAGTAAGCACTTAATGCCAGGATGGGTCTAAACACCTGAGTCATGTTAATTCATTTAATTATCACACCAACCCTATGAGGGGAAAATTTATTATGATTCATGTATAAATAGGAAAACTAAGATATAAACAGATTAAATACACTACTCAAGGCGCTACAGCTAGGAAGTGCTAGAAGCAGTATGTGAATCATGGGAACCTGAATCCCGAGCCTGCGTGCTCAACCACTAGGCAATATTGCTTTGTGATAGCTTTTGGTTAGCATTTCCTCAAGTATTGTTTAAACTTGTATACACTTTTTTTTTTTTTTTTTTTTTGAGACGGAGTCTCACTCTGTCGCCCAGGCTGGATGGAGTGCAGTGGCGCGATCTTGGCTCACTGCAAGCTCCGCGTCCTGGGTTCATGCCATTCTCCTGCCTCAGCCTCTCGAGTACCTGGGACTACAGGCGCCCGCCACCACGCCTGGCTAATTTTTGTATTTTTAATAGAGACGGGGTTTCACTGTGTTAGCCAGGATGGTCTCTATCTCGTGACCTTGTGATCTGCCCGCCTTGGCCTCCCAAAGTGCTGGGATTACAGGCGTGAGCCACCGCGCCCGGCCTGCAACTTGTATACATTTTTGTAAGAATTTCAGAATGTCTTTCTCTGAAAAGAGTCTTTCTTGATGGTTTTGCCCCAGTGTAGAGATAATAGTGGGAAAATACTTATGGACTTGGATACCTCAGATGGTCTGAATGGGGAGATTTATTAATAAGTCATACATTTTTTAACCCTTTGTAAAGTTGTATGTAAAGTTGTTGTATGTAAAGTACAACATACTTGTATGTAGAGAATTATATTGGTAAGCATTAAAAATAAATGTAGTTATTTCATCCACCCAGGACAGCCAGGCTTTTTTGAGGGACTCTGATGGTTCTATAATCTAATTCAACCCTGCTGGTTACCCTGGAAACATACCTTCTGGCTTTTCTTGAACATCTGAAATGTGGGTATTGTTTTGATGTGACAAGTTTCAGCCAGCTCCTGGGAAAGCAAAGAAATGGCATGAAGTTACAGTATTGGTGTCCTCTCTCTGTACCAAGCATGTTATTTGGTAACTTTTTAGGAGGCGTGTCTGAAATTCCAAGGACACCTGACACTTTACAGACTCTCCTGCTATGAACTTTTCTAACATTCCTTCAGGAATGTCACAATGATTGACATAAAATGATTGATAGAAAATGATCGTTACAGCGTTCCTGGGCTTTTTCATCCCATAGAACCAGGAGGTGGGTAAGAGATGGAGGCCACAACAGAATAGATGCTCAATAACAATATGAGCTGCATTTAAAGGACCTTGTGAAAGAGTACAGAGGGGCCCCAGTGGAACTCAGTATAAGAAGAGCTTATTGCAAAAATAGAAAAGAGTAAACAAATCTTTATAACTCTACTTGAGACGTGGAACGCATCCTGATCTAGCATTTTAAGTAAGGCTTATACATGTCTTTCTTTTAAGTCCTTCACTGCCAATCTTTGTGAAAGATTTGGAGCCAAAATATGAGAAAATATGCCAGAATCCCAATTGTTTTAATCTATTTCAAACTACTTTCAAAGGTTAGTTTTTGTTTTTCTTGTTTAGGAGTCAAAAGAAAATTAGTCACCCACAGGATCAACAGAACAGGACATCTCTCTCTAATATACCAATCATTTTGTTGGCATTAAATCTCTTGCCCTGCTACTCATGCACACACACACACACACACACACACACACACACACGTGAAGACATACTGTATTATAATTTTTCATGACCACACAGTGATAACAACTGATACATAAATTACTATTAGACAATTACGCATTTTGTTTTACCTTCAAAGACAATGAGCTCTAATCAAAAAGCCAGACAATAACACAGGTTGGCAAGGATGTGGAGAAATCAGAGCTCTCATCCATTGCTGGTGAGAATGTAAAATGGTGCAGCTGCTTTAGAAAACAGTTTGCCACTTCCTCAGAAAGTTAAACACAGAGTTACCATATTACCCCAAAATTCCAATCCTGGATATATACCCAAGGGAAATGGAAATTTTGTTTACACAAAAATTTGTACACTAATGTTTATACTATATATTTTTTTTTTTTTGAGATGGAATTTCGCTCTTGTCGCCCTGGCTGGAGTGCAATGGTGCGATCTGGGCTCACTGCAACCTCTGCCTCCCAGGTTCAAGCGATTCTCCTGCCTCAGCCTCTCAAGTAGCTGGGATTACAGGTGTGCATCATCACGCCTGGCCAATTTTTGTATTTTTAGTAGAGATGGGGGTTCGCCACGTTGGCCAGGCTGGTCTTGAACTCCTGACCTCAAGCGATCCACCCATCTGGGCCTCCCAAAGTGCTGATATTACAGGTGTGAGCCACTGTGCCTGGCCAAAGTACTGATACATTCTATAATATGAATGCACCTTGAAAATGTATGCAGTGAAAGCAGCCAGAGATTAAAGACCACATATTCTATGATTCCCTTTATAGGAAATGTTCAGAATAAGCAAATCTATTTTGCTTACTGTGGATTTGTGGTTGCCTAGGATTGGGGGGTGGAGGATGGAGGGAATTGGGTGTAACTACTAAAGGGTACAGTGTTTCTTCTTAGAGTGATGAAAGTGTTCTAAAATTGATTGTAGTGATGATTGCACAACTCTGTGAATATAGAAAAGGTAAAGAGATAGTCATACTAGCTGTGTATTCTGAATTTATAGGTTATGATTCATCCTAAAGGGCAATTAAACACTCACACTTTAATGAAGCTTGAAGGAAATGGAGAAAGGGAACTTCTATTATGCTCTGGGCACCATGTCATTTATTTAATGTATTTTATCTCATTTTATCTTCGGTTAAGTGTTATTATCCTGTTTTACAAATGAAGAAACTGAAGTTTATGGAGGTTGAACTATAATGGGTCATAAAATCATTAAAGGGCAGAATGGTAGATATCACTTTTTTCATTCTAAAGCTCAAATGCATTCTAACATGTGGATAGACCACCTGTTGGTACCTCTCATCATTACAAATTAACAGATGTTTAAAATAATAATTTTGTAGAAACATTGTGTGTATTAATAAGACACACTTTGTTTGAGGTTATGGGGTTGATTATTTTTTGGGGGGATGGGATGAGGAAGGATGGCTCCAGAGACAGGAAGAAGGGATTTCTGGGAATTTCTTATGATGCTTCAAAAAAACACACAAAAAGCGTAAGATATTGCAAGAGAAAAGCAAAATATATTAAGATGTCTGTAATGCACTGAGGTAGGTTTTAGAAGTTGATTAACAAGGCTGGATGCAGTGGCTCACGCCTGTAATCCCAACACTTTGGGAGGCTGAGGCAGGTGGATCACCTGAGGTTGGGAGTTCAAGACCAGCCTGACCAACACGGAGAAACCCTGTCTCTAATAAAAATACAAAATTAGCCGGGCGTGGTGGCACATGCCTGTAATCCCAGCGACTCGGGAGGCTGAGGCAGGAGAATCACTTGAACCCAGTAGGCGGAGGTTATGGTGAGCCAAGATCACGCCATTGCACTCCAGCCTGGGTAACAAGAGTGAAACTCTGTCCCCCACCCCCCAAATAAAGAAATTGATTAACAATCCATCACAGGGATGAAAACCATCTTTCACCTTGAGCTCAACTTTAACAGATTTCTATTGTCTCCCTAGAGCAACTCTGCTGAGGAGGATTCTGAGGCAGAACGCAGAGCAAGTGGTGAAGAAAACTGGGATTGATTAGTGAGGCCTGCCACAGCATAAGAGGGGAGAGGGGTATCAGGAGAGCTAATCTTTTTCTTGCTAATCTTTTTTTTTGTTTTTAAGTAATACAAAACATATAAGAGCATAATGAGGAAGTTTACTGTAGTTATTAGAAAAAATGTAAAATTCTAGTTGATTTTAAATTGGTCATGTATTAATAATTACTGAGACAGTGCTATTCAATTACAATGCCTTTGGATTTTGAGTATGTGCACAGAAGATTTAAGATTCTTACCGGAGAATTGTTCACATCCACATTAGCAAAAAATACATTTTGGTATTTCACAGACATAGCCTTCAAAATAAAAAATAAATATTTCCCATTAGTTTGGTGTTAATATTAAAATACACACTGGAAGTGTCTTTTCAGTAGAAAAGAAAATTGAACAGAAAGGCTGTTAAAGAGGACTAAGCATCATTCTGACATTTCACTACAGCCTAGAGCCTGAAGCATCAAGTCAAATACCAGATGATGCCAAGGTCAGATGATGTAAGGACCAGTGGCAGAAGCAGAGTCAAAGAACCAAACTGAAGATTAGAGTTTCAAGGTTGGCAAAGACATAACAGAATGTGCGTGGTGGATCCAGACTTACTTTGTGGGGTGGAGGAAGGGATAGTAGAGTAGCTTTCTCCTGGGAGAGCAGTTGGGGGAGTCTGTCTTCAGTGATCTTTGAGATACAGTTCTCCGAGCCAAACTCTACCTTCTCTTGCCTGGCATTTTGGGAGGTGCTGGTGCTACTGGTGCTAGAAGGCTGTTCTGCTTGAAGCGATGTCAACATTTTAATGCTGACCATTAGCCTAATTTATTTGCACTCCTGTTGCCGTCTCTCTGTGCTCTACTATGTGTGGAAACTAGATTTTCCAGGTTCCATTGCTGGCTGACTTCCAATTAGCTTCTTCCAATGGGAAGTATTTGCAGGAAATGGAAGGGGAGGAGGGAAGAAGTAACTCCCTCCTACTTCTGTTTTGTTCTGGAATCATCTTTGGCAGTGACGGTGACCATGGTGCTGGTAGTGGGTCTAGGGGAAGAGGAAGTGGCAGCAGCCACAGCAGCAGCAGTGACAACAGTGGCCTGTAAATGTCAGCTCCTGGGTATCTTTTCAGACAGCTGTGTTCATACCTTAAGGACACTTGATGGCATTTTGAATTGTTTGCTTAAAATCATATCTCATGTATTTCTAGTCGCTTATTTCTGTTGATCTAACTCTAAAATGTTTCCTGAATTTTGATCTTTCCTTTTTCTCTGAAAGTCACTGCTCTAGTTTTGGAAAAACCTATCATTACTGACATTCACTCTGGGTTTCCTGCTTTTAGACTTTCCAATCTATTCTTGTGCAACCTCCAAAAATATTTTCTATATGCCACATTTGATTGTGGCAAAATCCTTCCTAAAATTGTCCTATTGGACTCTCCACAGCAGTTTGTTAAGTTATAACACAAGATCCTACTTGATCTGGCCTCAGCTTCCTTTTTGAGGCTCATTTTTTGCCACTTCCATTGCACACTATATGTAAGCCTCACAGACTACATATTGCCTTCCCCCGATCACATCATACAATTTCTCAACAAAATTTTAGCCTCTCCTTTTCCAGAAATGTTCTTTTCAGGGATCTATGCCTAGTGATCCTCTTAGCCCAGGATCAGCAAACTATGCCCTGTGGACCAAATCCATCCCTCTACCTGTTCTTTTAAATAAAGTTTTATTGGAACTAGTTGCCCATCTGTTTTTGTGTTGTCACTGGATTTTGCACTACAGCAGCAAAGTTGAGTAACTGTGACAGAGATCATATGGCCTGCAAAGCTGAAAATGTTTTCTATCTTGTCTTTTACAGGAAAAGTTTGTTGACCCCTGCTCTTGCATAATTTCAATCACTTCTTAAAACCCACATTTTCTTATGATTCACTGTTTTTTTTTTCTTGTTGTAATACATCCATTAGCAATTTCTTCAGAGAGATTCTGTGGTTAGTAAACTTTTAGTTTTTGTGTGTCTGAAAATGTCTTGAATTCTTTCCCTCTCTTGAATAATGGTTTTGCTAACTAACTTCCATTTCACCATCCTGGAGAGCCTGGAAAGGAAAAGTGGTGAAGATTTCTTTGCCTCCCTTGCAGCTAGAGTTCTGGATGCAAATTTCATTTTACTAGTCAGATGCATGCCAGTGTAAATGAGACAGAAGCTATTTTCTTCTTCTTTTTTGGTGGAAAGTGAGGTCATGGGTACTGGTTGTGCTAGAGGCAAGCAGTGGTGGCAGCCAGACTCAGGGTCCAGAAATTAACTTCTTAGATGTCCAGAGGCCATGGTGGCTGTAGTAGCTGCCTAATTCTGCTTCTGACTCTGACCGCTGCTCTGTTGGTGGTTCTTTAACTCCCAATCATGGCCTCCCGTTTCCCATGACTTCTGGTTATGGCAATGTTAGAATCTCCACAGGTGGGTCTGTGGTGCTCTGAAGAGTGGTTCGTGGAGTTTCTGTCCCAAGCCCATTCACCCAGTCTTCTGATGATTTTATGAGCATTTAATTCCTTGTATTAAAATCCTTTTCTAATTTGGTTCTAATGTGGTTTATGTTTCTTGCTTTGATCTCTGACTGATACAGTCATCTAACCTTTTTGATACCAGGGACCAGTTTCATGGAAGACATTTTTTTCCCCAGACTGGGGGTGGGGGGATGGTTTCAGGATGAAACTGTTCCACCTCAGATCATCAGGTATTCGATTCTCATAAGGAGGGTGCAACCTAGATCCCTCGCATGTGCAATTCACAATAGGGTTTGCACTCCTATGAAAACCTAATGCTGCCGCTAATATAACAGGAGGCAGAGCTCAGGAGGTAATGCTTACTCGCTGGCCGCTCACCTCCTGCTGTGTGGCCAGTTCCGAATAGGCCATGCACCTGTGGAGTGGTACTGATCCATGGCTTGGGGGTTGGGGACCCCTGATCTAGGGTAAGTAAAGTCTTCCTCCAACCCCCTCATATACTATGAGTTAAAAAAAATTACACACATAATACAGGAATGTCTTCTTTTGCAAAAGTTCAAACATTACAAGAAAAAACTGGTTATGGCGAAGTTAGAATCTCCACAGGTGGGTCTGTGCTGTTCTGAAGAGTGGTTAAAAAACTGAACACTAGATATTCTGTGGCAAAGTCAAGGAGATCCTCTTTCCTAAGTCTTGAGTGTCAGCATGGTAGGACCTGTCAGAAACTAAAATGTTCCCTCAGAATATTCTTCATTTTTTATTTTTAAATACAGACAGGGTTTCACTATGTTGGCCAGGGTGGTCTGGAACTCCTGGCCCCAAGCAATCCTCCCTCTTTGTCCTCCCAAAGTGCTGAGATTACAGGCATCAGCCACCATGGCTGGCCTCCCTTCTAGATATTCTAAGAATTTTAGGCGGATAAGGGATGTTGTGATGTTATGTAGCCAGTTTCTCTATTGGAATATAAGTTCATTTTGAATTAAATATCAAAGATTGTGACTGTGGTTAAAATTAACTCAGGCTGTGACTGAGGCTCAGGTGGATTAAAAAAAGTAGAAATGTTAGAAACCTTGCTAAAAATAAACCAGAGTATTTTTAGCTGTATAGTCTTTACATTTGAAGGAATAAACTTTACAAAAGTGACCATAAAAACATGTAAAGTTTTATACAATAAGGAAAAATGAGAAAAAGTGCCCTGAGATTCTTTCTGCTGTATGTTATACCAAAAATAAATATATAAAATGTTAAAAACTGTTATGTAGGATATTACAGAAATTAACCAGATAAAATATTGTATAGATATTAAAAGATTCATTTGGAGACTATGAAAACATGAACCAATGTGTATGTGGGAAAAAGATTTGAATATAAATATATGATTACAACTCACTAGAATATTTTACAAAGTAAATCAAGGACAAGAAAGGAACATGCAAGGCGTATTATTCGCCTCATTGCAATAACATGTATGGACCTGGAGGACATCATGCTAAGTGAAACGAGTGAGTCACCATAGAATAAATACTGCATGATTCAATTTTTATGAAGTATGTAAAATATAGTCAACTTAGAGAAGCAGAAAATATAATGGAGGTTGCCAGGGAACAGGGAAGGAGTAAATGAGTTGTTTAATGGGTGTAAAGATACAGTTGTACAGGATGATAAGTTCTAGAGATCTGATATACCAGGCATCCTCAATCCCAGGGCCAGTCTACAGCCTGTTAGGAACCAGGCTGCACAACGGGAGGTGAGCGGTGGGTGAGCTGTCATTACTGCCTGAGCTCTGCCTCCTGTCAGATCAGCGTGGAATTAGATCCTCATAGGAGCAAGAACCGTATTCTGAACTGTGCATGTGAGGGAGCTAAGTTGCGCTACTTATGAGAATCTTAATACCTGATGATCTGAGGCGGAACAGTTTCTTCCTGAAACCATCCCGGCACCCCCTACCCTAAGCCCTAGTCCATGGAAAAATTGTCTTCCACAAAACTGGTCCTGGTGTCAAAAAGGTTGGGGACCACTGTGATATACAACATAGTGCTTAGAGTTAACATTAGGGTGTTGCACACTTAAAAATTTAGTGTAGATTCCATGTTAAGTGTTCTTATCACACATACACACACACACAAAAGCAGATGTACACAAGGTTTCATTTGGAGGTGATGGATTTTGATTGTGGTGATAATATCATGGGTGTATACATATGTCCCAACATCAATTGTATACATTAAATAAACAGATTTTGTTTATTTAACAATTATACCTCAATAAAGATATTTAACAATTATATATCAATAAAGCTGTAGGAAAAATAACAAAGACATATGGTTTGTTCTGATAATAAGGTTGAAGAATTGGGAGAAATTTATTCTTTTATGTTATATTTAAAAACAAATATCATATTTATCTGTATTCTAATCCAGTGTTTGAAAGTTCTGAACTCTTGAAACTTTGGTAAAATGTCATTGCTATAATATGAAGAATCCATTAATTTGTACAATTGGACTCCTTTGCACATCTTGGGATGTTCTTGCAGAATTACCTGTGGACAAGTAGTATTAATCTTCTGGTGTGTACACTTATTATCTAATTAGATCTCGGTATATTATCTTCAGTTAATCAGGGTGCTTCAAAAATCTATGGCTCCAGAATGGCTCATAATTGCCAAACTTTTAAGAATTACTGGGAAAAATATTCTGGAACTTTAAATTTCTTCTGAAACTATGAGATATATACTGGTTGTACTCACATGGAAAACAGGAAACATCCTTTTGCAGGGACCACACCGTTTCGAAGAAAATTGAACCACTGCGAGTTTGTGTCCGGCAGCTGTCAAAAATGTTTTAAATTCATTCTGAAAACAGAAAATAAATGAGGAAATGTGCATAATCACTGAATCTCATGACATTTTGTAGAGAAGAAGATGACAGATTAGTTTTGGTTTTGTTTTTGGTTTTTTTAAAGCCAGGTTATCACTATGCTGCCCAGGCTGGTCTCAAACTCCTGGGCTCAAGTGATCCTCCTGCCTCAGCTTCCCAAAGTGCTGGGATTACAGGTGTGAGCCACCTTATCTGGCCATGTTAGTTCTTAAAAACCTTAACCAGGTGTACCATGCCATTGTTCTCTAGCTGACCCCACCTTAAATGTCCCTCATGTCAAATATATTTCTCTTTGTAAGTACATAAAAATCATGGAAGTCTATGCACCAAAAAGGTTGGTAATGGAAGTTGATAACGGTGGTTACCTCTGAGGAGAAACAGGTTGGCCAGGGAGGGATGGGGGCTGGAGGGTGGAGGTGAACTGCTGTTCAGGGTGGATATCTATAATACTGGATTTTTATTAAACAAGGGCCTAAACATGCATGACTAGTGAACTTTAAAAGGAGAAGAATTAATCTCACACCTTGAGTAATTTCTTGTTTTTTGGGGGGGAAGTGATCATTATTACAGCTACAGTTAAAACTATACATTTAAGGATTTGACATGCTTATTGCTGAATGTCAAGTGAATTTCCCATCAACTGTTTGTATCATCTAAGTAAATAAAGGTTTCCCTTCCTGGGACTCAGATGACTGCATCTATATTTGCTTGCTTTATGACAAGTGACTGGTCCTACACTAGTTATTTCATGCATGATTGATCTCCCCAAGTCCTTACAGGATTTAATCTTGATTCATTCCTGTACCTCCCATGATCCCTAACTGACACATAAGTGCTCATAGTGTACTCATAGAGTAAGTGCTCATAGAGTGTTTTCTTTATTTTTATTTTAATTTAATTTTATTTTTTGGTGACAGGGTCTGGCTGTTCATCCAGGCTGGGGTGTAGCGGTGCGATCTCAGCTCACTGCAGACTCTGCCTCCCGGACTCAAGCCATCCTCCCACCTCAGTCTCCCAAAGTGCTGGGATTACAGGTGTGAGCCACCCCGCCCAGCCTGCGTGTCTTCTTGATGAATGAATGATTTGCTAATACATAGTACTCTGTTCAAGACTTTTCCTTTTCTCACTGGAATTGCAACAATTGTAGCTAATTTACTCTGTGCCCTATATTCTCTCCCATAATCTTTACAACAACACTACAACGTGTGTACTATTATTATCTCCATTTTACAAATGAGAAAAGTGAAGTTCACTAACTTTATCATGATCAGTTAGCTGGTGAGTGGTGTAGCTGGCATTGGTATCCTAGGCAGCCTGACTCCAGTTCCTATTTCCTTAACCACTACAGAAAATCCACTCCTGAGTTCATTATAGAATTAGGACTTATTCTCCCTTTCATTGGCCCTAATTGCATTGTGTGCTTATTCCTGGACCGAACATTAAGAGGAGGGGGATGGGATTGTTAATTGTATTAAGTCAAGCAAGGCCTATTCCCACTATGGATGGGTTTAATCCATACAAATGACATGTGATACAGTTTGGCTGAGTCCCCACCCAAATCTCATCTTGAATTGTAGCTCCCATAATCCCCACATGTCATGGGAGAGACCTAGTGGGAGGTAAATGAATTATGGGGGTGGGTTTTTCCCATGCTGTTCTCATGACAGTGAGTCAGTCTAAAAATATCTGACGGTTTTATAAAGGGCAGTTCCCCTGCACACGCTGTCTTGCCTGCCGCCATGTCAGACATGCCTTTGCCCCTCCTTCGCCTTCACCATGATTGTGAGGTCTTCCCAGCCATGTGGAACCGTGAGTTCATTAGATCTTTTTTTCTTTATAAATTACCAAGTATTGGGCATTTCTTCATAGCAGTATGCAAATAGACTAATACAACATGCCTGCTCTATAATAGCCTTGACAATTATGTGGCTACTTTGTTTAGTTTCAATCAGGTGAAAGTGATGACTCAAAGAAGATGCACTCTCTTTCTTTATCAATATTCCTCTGGGAGGGAGTAACTAACTTTTCAGAGAACCTTGCCAAGCCTTTATTTCTCACTTGCTTCTGAAGTTGTAAGGTAGATGCTATCCTCACAAACTCCCAACACTCTTCACTTTCCAGTAGTTGTTGTTTGGGTGTGAGCTGGCCTAATTGGACCCATGAACTTGACTTGACTAAACTATCTGAAGGGAATACTCTCATAGTATAGGTATTTATTTAACATATGCGTATTGAGGCCTATACTATGCCAGCTACTGCACAAACTGCTAGGATACCACTGTGGACAAAAACAAAACAAAACAAAACAAAAACTAGGCATTCTGTCTCCATGGAGTTTACATTTTAGAATGGGAAGCTTACTATAAGGTCAATAGGTAATATTTGTAGTATATTAGTGCTAATTGCTAATAAAGAAAATAAAAAGAAAATGAAGTAGGAAGGAAGAATGGGGGTTGGATTACAACTGTAGTCTGGATGGCCAAGGTCAACCTCAAAGAGAAGGTGGCATCTGAATAAAGATGGGATGGAGATCAGGGCCTCTGGAAAGGTCCCTGGGGAGGAGATGAAAGGTCTTCTGAGGGAATAAGGCTCCAGGCTATTCTGTGACATCCCCAGAATATTAAAACAATAAGTGTCAAAAGCATTAGCAAATGTGTGATGTTTCAAAACATGTTCTTATGTCGAAGTTACAGGGCAGTACTCTCTTTCAATCTGGTCAGTGTCATTTTTGTGATCTGTATAGCCACCTTTGGGGAAAATGTCACAAGTCTAAATCTGAGGCTGCTGGTGGACATGAGGCTCAGGCCCCAAACCCCCTCCCCTCCTCCAGCTCTTGACTTCTTGTAATGAGGGCAGGCATCAGAAGGTCTGGGTTCTAATGCCCACACCACCTCTTAAACGAACTAGCCCTGAACCTCTCTTTTAGAGGCAATTTTCTCCTTTATAAATCAAGAATTATCTCTGTCCTATACATGAATTTAGATTTGTTGTGACAGCAACATTGGGCTGTTCCCAATTTTCCCACCCCATTCCACATCTGGGGTTTCTATTATTTTTCCTTGGATAAGAGAAAAGATGTGGACTTCCTTACTTCCATGGAATTTTCCAAGCACAACTGAGGTACGATCCATGGGATCAGATACAGGATGGGATGTACTAGGAGCTGGTCTGGGATTCACCTGAAGTCAGGCAGGAAATAAAAGTCCAGGAGGAAGAAAGCCCTTCTTTATCAATTTGACCCTTGGCTGCTTTTCTTGATAGTACCATCCCTCAAGGAACAAGATAAAGAACAAGAATTTAGAACTCTCCCCTTGCTACAATGCAATGATAGAATACTGGATAGAGAGAACACATTCTTAAAGTTTTTCAAATCTGTTCCCAAGATGTCCACATTTGAAATACTCAGTGAAGCCAAATAAATACTTGCCGTGTCTTTAATAATCTGTACCATGATTACACCAGGGAAGTGCTGATGAAAATCCCCTGTTGGTTTAGTTGGATCACTGTAGCTGTCTCCTATTTATTACAGTATCCTGCCTGGAATACATGGATAACTTCTCTATGACATCATTAAACATGTCATCTCAGAACCTGGAACTTTGGCAGACTTTGGATCCTATTTCACTTTTATGCCATGACTAGTTCATTTGTGGACAGCCAAGAATCAGAAAACTGAGGGCTTTATATGCAGAATCAGTAATGTGTTTGCTTTATTTTCATCTTTTATAACCTATTTCTAAATATCCTTCTCCCTTCTCTAATCCCTCCATCCCATCACCAAATGAGAAGTAAGCAGAGTAATATTAAATAGATGAGATTTTCACTTAAGAATTTGAAGATTTTGCTGTTGAGAAAAATACTAAAGTCTTAACCCTATAATAATGAGTTTCCTGTAAGTTTGATTTCATGAGTCATAAATTCCCTGAACTTTGTTATTTTGCTCTAATTATTTAGAGAGTAAAGAAATGTCACTTTTATGCTCTAGATCAAGGGTTGGCAAATGTTTTCTCTAAGGGAACAGATACTATTTTAGTTTTATGGGCCTCATACAGTCTTTGTTGCATGTTCCTTATGTTTTTGCAACCTTTAAAAAATGTAAAAACCATTCGCAGCTAGTAGGATGTACAAAGAACAGCAGCAGTTTGCTGACCCCTGCACTTGATGATTTGCCATTTTCAGAACTGATGTCAGAAAAATTCTGAACATGACCATGGCCAATGTTCTTCAAATCTACAGAGCAACAAGAACAACCAAAATGAGAAATAGTAGATTCTATAATAAAACAAAAATAGCAAAATCCTTCTTTCTGTTTTTCTATATATGCAGCTCTGGGCCTTCAATCATGTGTTGCATGAAAACTGTCAGATGGAGACAGTGGCTGCCTCTGTAGAGGTATTTGAAGTATGCATGTAACAAAATATCACATGTACCCCATAAATACGTAGAAGTATTATGTATTGATATGGTTTGGCTGTGTCCCCACTCAAATCTCATCTTGAATTGTAGCTCCCATAATTCCCAAGGGTTGTGGGAGGGACCGGTGGGAGATAATTGAATAATGGGGGCAGTTCTTCCATACTGTTCTCATGGTAGTGAATACATCTCATGAGATCTGATGGTTTTATAAGACGTTTCCCCATTTGCTTGGCTCTCATTCTCTCTTGCCTGCTGCCATGTAAGACGTGACTTTCACCTTCTGCCAGAATTGTGAGGCCTCCCCAGCCACATGGAACTGTGAATCTATTAAACCTCTTTTTCTTTATAAATTACCTAGACTTGGGTATGTCTTTATCAGCAACGTGAAAAGAGACTAATACACGTATTAACAAAAAAATTTTTTTTATTATAGTTTAAGTTTTAGGGTACATGTGCACAATGTGCAGGTTAGTTACAAATGTATACATGTGCCATGTTGGTGTGCTGCACCCAGTAACTCGTCATTTAACATTAGGTATATCTCCAAATGCTATCCCTCCTCCCTCCCCCCACCCCACAACAGGCCCCGGTGTGTGATGTTCCCCTTCCTGTGTCCATGTGTTCTCATTGTTCAATTCCCACCTATGAGTGAGAACATGCGGTGTTTGGTTTTTTGTCCTCGTGATAGTTTGCTGAGAATGATGCTTTCCAGCTTCATCCATGTCCCTACAAAGGACATGAACTCATCCTTTTTTATGGCTGCATAGTATTTCATGGTGTATATGTGCCACATTTTCTTAATCCAGTCTATCATTGTTGGACATTTGGGTTGGTTCCAAGTCTTTGCTATTGTGAATAGTGCCGCAATAAACATACATGTGCATGTGTCTTTATAGCAGCATGATTTATAATCCTTTGGGTATATACCCAGTAATGGGATTGCTGGGTCAAATGGTATTTCTAGTTCTAGATCCCTGAGGAATCGCCACACTGACTTCCACAATGGTTGAACTAGTTTACAGTCCCACCAACAGCCCAAAAGTGTTCCTATTTCTCCACATCCTCTCCAGCACCTGTTGTCTCCTGACTTTTTAATGATCGCCGTTCTAACTGGTGTGAGATGGTATCTCATTGTGGTTTTGATTTGCATTTTTCTGATGGCCAGTGATGATGAGCATTTTTTCATGTGTCTTTTGGCTGCATAAATGTCTTCTTTTGAGAAGTATCTGTTCATATCCTTCGCCCACTTGTTGATAGGGTTGTTTTTTTCTTGTAAATTTGTTTGAGTTCATTGTAGATTCTGGATATTAGCCCTTTGTCAGATGAGTAGATTGCAAAAATTTTCTCCCATTCTGTAGGTTGCCTGTTCACTCTGATGATAGTTTCTTTTGCTGTGCAGAAGCTCTTTAGTTTAATTAGATCCCATTTGTCAATTTTGGCTTAAAAAATTAAAAAAGGTACTTGAAGTATTTTCAATGTCTTTGTTCATTGCTTGTTCTCTCTCGTTTTCACTGGGATGCATCCTCCATCACAGCCAGAAATTTTATTCATGCTTATATATTGTAGAGCTTATCCTCATCTATTTCTCCTCCATCTTTTCTCTCATTTTCATTCAAGAAGGAAAAATGGATGTTGACACAAACTGAACATCTTCCAAGCAGGGTTTCTTAACCACAGCATTTCTGACGCTTTGGGCCAATAATGCTTTGTTATAGGGGGCTGTCCTGTGCATTGTAGGCTGTTTAGCAGCATTCCTGACTTCTACCCACTAGATGTCAGTAGCACCTCCAAGTGGTAATAACCACAAGTGTCTCCAGGGGGGCAAAATTGTCCCCACTGGAAAACCGCTACTTCAAAGTGTGAGCTCCATTGTAAGCATTATTTTCATACATCTTATAAGTGCCCAGTTAGCTAAGGTAACTGTGTCCATCTACAGGTAAGATGGTCCAGGTACAGCAAGTTTCGATAACTTACGATTGGTAGAATTAATTTGGAATCCAAGCCTGGGTTGCTTCTCATGTAGGAAGGAACACAGGGTCGGCTAAAATATATAGGTCTCTAAGAAAGCCATTTAGCACTGGATGATCTGAATTCAGAGTGAATTCCTTTTTTCTCTGCACCAGGAAGACACCTACCATTTCCATTCTCCTTTTTCTTGTGGAATTAGCTCTTCTTGAACTTCTCTCCACAGCATTTGAAAAGAAGATGGTTCATAACGAACGCTCAGACACAGCTGCTACACCAACAAACCCTGGTCATGTCCCTGGGGTTTCTGGAAGTCAAGCAAGGCTGGGCCAGTACGTCTACCTTTCAGTGCTAGGGCTTGTAGACTTTTTCATGGAATTTGCTGCTAAGAAGCTTGCCTAGCCCAAGGACAGGGAGAGTACAAGCTGATGGCTCACAGAGGTTTATTTATTCTCAACTAGAATAAACACTACTACAATCCAGAAAATGGCCAAATTCACTAAAATTGATATTTTTTTATGTTTTGCAGACAGAGAGAGCTAGTCAGTAAGCATGGCAAATTTCTAGTCCTGGAAAAAGGCTCCTGGCCTAGTATTTTCTAGAAAAGAGCCATCTGGGCTTTCCCTTTGCACTTGACTGCCTTCTTTGTTTCCCTAGACTAATTTCTTACTTCGTTGGACTCACAAAGCTCCAGAACAGTCTGGGTGGAGTCTCTTTTTGAGTAGTGAGGGTTGCATTTTTTGTTTTTGTTTTTATTTTGTTTTTTAAAAAATTTAACCAGGAAGAGAATCCTGAGAGTGGGTTGGGAATTTTAAATCTTGAAAAATCTACAAGAAAAACAGACTGGAAAGAAAAGAAGTAAAAAGAGAAAGGAAAGGAGGAGAAGAAAACTGGTAAGAGGAAAAGGGAGAAAGGAAGAGCAAAAGAAGGCAAAGCAAAGTTTAAAAATTAAATGAAAGAAGGGTGAAAAAGTAATTATAGAGAGAGGATAAAGAACTTATAATTAGGGGTTGGGCGTGATGGCTCACACCTGTAATACCAACACTTTGGGAGGCCGAGGTGGGTGGATCACTTGAGGTCAGGAGTTCGAGACCAGCCCGGCCAGCATGGTGAAACCCCGTCTCAGTATACCAAAAATACAAAAATTAGCCAGGCCTGGTGGCATGTGCCTGTAATCCCAGCTACTCAGGAGGCTGAGGCAGGAGAAATGTTTGAACCCAGGAGGTGGAGGCTGCAGTGAGTTGATATTGAACCACTGCATTCCAGCCTGGGTGAAAGAGTGACACTCTGTCTCAAAAAAAAAAAAAAAAAAAAAAAGAAACAAAAACAAAAGAAAACCAGAAAACATATAAGTAAGACTTTCATTACGTGGTCATATATAGACATTAGCGTCACCTGGGAGCTTGATAGAACTATAGAACTTCTAGTTCCACCCCAGATCCATTGAATTATAATCTGTGTGATTCTTGTGAACATTGATGTTTGAGAAGCACTGTTCTGGAGACAGAATTTCTAACAGAGAACTGTTCTGTGGACCTGTGGACCTGTGAACCAGCAGCATCAGCACCACTTGAGAACTGTGAGAAATGCCAATTCCCAGGCCCCACCCTGGACCCGCTGACTCAGAATCTCTGAGGGTAGGGCTGACAGTGTATGTTTTAACAAGCTCCCCAGATGATGCTGCTGCCTGTTCAAGTTTGAGAACCGCTGGGCTAGTTTTTTTTTTTAAACCACTGGATGGGTTTATGTTGCTCAGGTGTATCATGTCTTCGACACCGTGATGGCTCAGGATTATTATTCAAAATATTTAACAATTTGAGTGGCTTGGATGATGATCAGTCAGAATGAGCAACAGCTATGCATCTACTCAGCTAATTGCTTTGCCAGGCATAAACCCTTTTAGTTTCTGGATTTGGGGGAGATCCAGTGTGTCCTAGGGAACAGATTAGGTCAGCCTCAGTGAGGTAGGACGTGGGAATAGGGTGGGGGGGGCAGAGCCTATTTATCAACCATTATGTATTTCAATAATTTAACAACTGCTATGAGCATTCCTGTGTGTGTCAGCTAAACATTAGCCTTGTAATGTTGATGATAAATTCAACAACCGCTCTTCCTAAATGCCAAGTAGTCAACTGCAACAAATTGATTTATTTGTCAGAAAAAAAAAGTTTATTTGAAATTAGTGGCTGGGCACAGTGGCTCATGACTGTAATCCCAGCATTTTGGGAAGCTGAGGTAGGCAGATTGCTCGAGCCCAGGAGTTTGAGACCAGCCTGGGCAACATGGCGAGATACCATCTCCACAAAAAATTAAAAAAATTAGCTGGGACTACTGCATGCCTGTAGTCCCAGCTACTCAGGAGGCTGAGGAGGGAGGATTGTTTGATCTTGGGAGGTCGAGGCTACAGAGAGCCATGGTCATGCTACTGCACTCCAGCTTGGGTAAAAGAGCAAGATTCTGTCTCAAAACAACAACAAAACCCCGAAAAACAAAATTAGTCAGTTTACTTGGAATCTCAACATGAACATGGGGCTCCTTGATACATTTATAACCTTCAGTGACCCTCCTTATTGTTAGGAAGCAAAACTCTGCTAGGTCCCTGGGCCAGTAGCTGATCTCAAGGACAGGACCAGAAAAAGCTCTATTAATTGAAGGGCACTCAGTGCTGGCCCCAGGTTATTGAGCAGGAGTTGAGGGGTTGGATACCATGGATAGTGCACATCTTGAAAAGTGTGGAGAAAAAGAAATCCACGAGGCCAAGAACTGAACAAAATACCAAGACAGAAAAGACCATTCTCACTCTTCATTCATCCCCTGCAATGTGCATTAAGGGCCATGAATGAATTTACATGTGCAAAACCTATGCCAAGGACAAAATGTTCCACAAAATTGAGTTATGTAGTATTAACGGCAATTATCGCCAGCATGGGGCAAACTCATGCCTCTGGCTTTTGTAGGCTGTATCTTTGTGTGCTGTTGTGAGATATGCAGAAATTGATCATAGTGAGGACAAACATGTACATCATTATCTAAAACTTTGTAGATTCTGATCGTAAAAGTCCTTGGATTTTCCTTCAGGCATGAAAAATGCTGGGACAGAGACTGAGGTCAGGGAAATGCCTGCCTCTCTGCAGTAAACAAGCACTTAGAGTAAGGGAGCTGTTACATGTGGGTCAGTTTAGAAAAATGATTCAGCAGGCCAGGCACGGTGGCTCACGCCTGTAATCCCAGCACTTTGGGAAGCCGAGGCAGGTGGATCATGAGGTCAGGAGTTTGAGACCAGCCTGACCAACATGGTGAAACCCCGTCTCTACTAAAAATAAAAAAATTAGCTGGGTGTAGTGGCGTGCACCTGTAATCCCAGCTACTCAGGAGGCTGAGGCAGGAGAATCTCTTGAACCCGGGAGGCGGAGATTGCAGTGAGCTGAGGTTGCGCCATTGCACTCCAGCCTGGGCAACAAAGTGAGACTCCATCTAAAAAAAAATGATTCAATAAACATATTTCGTGAAAACGGAAATGAACCTCAGTGTGCCCTTGCATAAACCAAGGAATAGAGACAAGAACGTTAAGAAAGAATATCAAGTTTTAATGTTTTAGCAAGAAAAAAAGTCACTGTAATAAATTCAGGAAAACTGCCTCATTGGAGCAGCCTACTATTGGGAAAGGATAGAAAAACGTGTGATGGTATTATTTTATTTTTTATTTTATGTATTTTATTTGATGGGGTCTTGCTTTGTCACTCAGGCTGGTGTGCAGTGGCGCCGTCATTGTGCAGTGGTGCTGATGTGCAGGTTGCCCCATCACTGCAGCCTCAATCTCCCAGGCTCAAGCCATCCTCCCACCTCACCCTCCTGAGTAGCTGGAACTACAGGCATGCACCACCATGCCGGGCTAAGAGATGGCATTATTAAAGAGGGTCCCCAAATGCATATTGCTTGTAGACAGAACTTATAATGTATTATCAGTGTAAGAGTCTATTCCTGCGCAATTCTGTATCTTGTATCTGTCTTGTGCACGATAATGTGGCTTAGTAATATTATACCATCGTATAGAAAAAAACTTAGCAGTAGCAGAAAAAGCTCTGGAGGGAAATAATTTTAAAGTGTTTATTTTTTTGTTTAAGCATTTCACAAAATAGTTTTTAAAATAACATGTATTTGATTAAAAGATGAATATACGTTTTTGAAGAAAATTTGGTTCATCAGGGATAAACCGAATATATGATAATGGTCTCATAGGATTAGAATTCCTGTCATCTGCTAACACTTTACTTGCGTGTTTGTGGCAAGGCTGTTGTAAACATGTCGTGCTGCCAGATCTGCAAAATGTAGCTCATACAATTATGTATAGCACAGAATACTCGATAATGGCGACAAACAACTATGCTACTGATGAATGTATTTACTATACAGTTGACCCTTTAACAAAATGGGTTTGAAATGTATGGGTCTACTTCTATGTGGATTTTTTTCAATAAATATTTTAGAAAAATTTTTGGAAATTTGCGACAATTTGAAAAAACTTGAAGCCCAACTGCGCAGCCTGGGAATATAAAAAAAATTAAGAAAAAGGTATGTCATGAATCCAAGAAACACACATAAATACCAATTTTATAATTTACTACCATAAAATAGACACGTCTTTTTTTTTTTTTTTTTTTTTTTTTTTTAAGACAGATCCTTGCTCTTGTCACCCAGGCTGGAGTGCAGTGGCATGATCTTGGCTCACTGCAACCTCTGCCTCCTGGGTTCAAGCGATTCTCCTGCCTCAGCCTCCTGTGTAGCGGGGATTACAGGTGCCTGTCAACACGCCCGGCTGATTTTTGTATTTTCAGTATAGACAGGGTTTTGCCATGTTCGCTAGGCTGGTCTCGAACTCCTGACCTCAGGTGATCCACCCACCTCGGCCTCCCGAAGTGCTGGGATTACAAGCATGAGCCACCGCACCCGGCTGACACAAATCTATTATAAAAACTTAAAATTTATCAAAACTTACATACACAAACAGATCGCACATGGTACGTTTCATAGTCCAGAGAAATATGAACAAATGCAAAGATGCAGTATTAGATCATTTAGTACAATTTAGTACAAATTAGATCAATTTAGTACAACTGTACTACTGTAATAATTTTGTAACCATCTCCTGTTGCCATTGTGGTGAGCTTAAGTATTAACAAGTATTCTCTTAAAACACTGTGAGATGCTCATCATCTCTGAGTGTTGTCACTCCAGTAAAGTGTGTCTCACCGTAAGATGTGATCTCTGGCAGTTCTTGCATATTTTTCATAGTGTTTAGTGCAATACTATAAAGCTTGAATAACACCATGGGACGCATATGAAGTGCCGTTAGTGATGCTGGAAGTGCTCCCAAGAAGCAGAGAAAAGTCATGACATTACAAGAAAAAGCTGAATCGCTTGATATGTACCATAGATTGAGGTCTGCAGCTGCGGTTGCCTGCCATTTCACGATAAATGAATCCAGCATAAGGACAATTATAAAAAAAGAAAACAAAATTTCTGAAGTCATCACTGCAGCTATGCCAGCAAGCATGAATACTTTACACTTTTTGCAAACTCCCTTTTTATCTCATATTAAAAATGCAGCGTTTATATGTAAGTAGGATTGCTGTAAGAAAGGCATACCTATAGACTCTAATATGATTAGAGAAAAAGTAAAGTAATTGTATGACAACTCTGTCAGCACACTTTTTCTGTGAAGGGCCAGATAGTCACACAAAAGTGGCCATAGATAATAGATAAATAAACAGGCATGGCTGTGTTCCCATAAAACTTTATTTACAAAACAGGCACTGGGCTGAATTTAGCCCACAGGCCTTTGTTTCATGGTCCACGTCCTAGATTAAAATGTAGTTTAATCACGCTGGGCATGGTGGCTCATGCCTATAAACCCAGCACTTTGGGATGCTGAGGCTGTGGAGGATTGCTTGAGGCCAGGAGTTTGAGACCAGCCTGGATAACATAGCTAGACCCTGTCTCTATTTAATATATATATAGTTAATCAAAGAGAACACAAATACCTAGAGACATAAATAAGTATGTGAATCACTACATATCAAGTTGGACACAGTGGTTTATCATAAGGTGACACAATCCTATCTGAGCACCTTCCAGTCATTCCAGATTGGGAAGAATTGCATGTGATTCTATAGATAAGAGGGGGATGGGTTAGATGGCTTCGCTATTGAAGTTCTAGAGCCATTTGAACTTCAATCACTTTTCTTTTATATCTCCTAGATTATTAATCAATCTTTAAGATTTTCATGCTAGCCAGGTGCAGTGGCTCATGCCTGTAATCCCAGAACTTTGGAAAGCTGAGGCGAGCCGATCACTTGAGATCAGGAGTTCAAGATCAGCCTGGCCTACATGGTGAAACCTCATCTCTACTAAAAATACAAAAATTAGCCAGACATGGTGGCAGGCGCCTGTAGTCCCAGCTACTCAGGAGCCTGAGGCATGAGAATTGCTTGAACCCAGGAGATGGAGGTTGCGGTAAGCTGAGATCGCACCACTGAACTGCAGCCTGGGTGAGAGTGAGACTCTGTCTCAAAAAAAAAAAAAAAATGATTTTCATGCTAACTAAATTTCAAGAGGCTACTTGGTCTCATGGAAAAAGGATTGAACTCTGACTATGTTACTGATTACTTGTGTGACCGTGAGAAAGCCACTTAATCCCTTATGAATCAGTATTTTCACTTACAGGCGTTGGTCTGAAACCATGCTTCTCCAGAGCACAGGTGTTTCTTTAATTGAATTGAGGTGTTCTGCTGCTAACATGCCCAGATTAAATATCATTTCTAGGCGTGTCTGTGAAGGTGTTTCTGGATGAGATGAACATTTCACTCTGTGGACTCAGTCAAGTAGATCGCCTTTCCCATTTGATTGGGCACCATCTAATCCATTGAGTGCCTGAATAGAAAAAAAAGCAGAAGGAGGAGTTCACCCCTTTTTTTTCCTGTCTCACTGTGGCAACTGAATATCTCATCTAATCTGTATTCTGGGACAGGGATTTATACCATCAGCTCCTTTGGTTTTTAGCCTTTGGACTTGGACTGAATTATACCACCGGCTTTTCTGAGCCTATAGCTTGAGATGGTAGATTGTGGAACTTAACCTCCATAATCCTATGAGCCAATTCCTCATAATAAACACACACACACACACACACACACACACACACACACACACACACACACACACACACAATCAGTTCTGTTTGTCCAGAGAACTTTGACTAATATACCCACCAATAGTCCGCATGGTTTCTGCCTGACCTGTAGTCAGACATTGCCTGCCCCAGAATCTACAATTTAAGTTGCTATCTAATTTAAAGTGCCAGTAGATCATGTTGTTCCTCAGAGGATACCATGACCTCTTATTGCTTTAAACCTAAACACTGTGATTTATAAAAATAAGGATAGGGCCGGGCACAGTGGCTCATGCCTGTAATCCCAGCACTTTTGGAGGCCGAGGAGGGTGGATTACGAGGTCAGGAGACCATCCTGGCCAACATGGTGAAACCCCATCTCTACTAAAATACAAAAAAATTAGCTGGGTGTGGTGGCGGGTGCCTGTAGTCCCAGCTACTCAGGAGGCTGAGGCAGGGGAATTGCTTGAACCCGGGAGGTGAAGGTTGCAGTGAGCTGAGATCGCACCACTGCACTTCAGCCTGGCAACAGAGCAAGACTCTGTCTCAAAAAAAAAAAAAGTGGGGATTAGATGACTTGGCCTACCTAACTTACTGAGTTGTTGTGAGGTAAAAATAAAAAGAGAAACTGGCTTTGAAAGCAATGAAGTGCTCCACAAATGCATGAGATTGTGATTCTCATTCATTTAATACTAAGCCAACTGTCACTGTGCACCTATACTAGGGCCTAAAGATGAATGACAGAGTTAAGACATTTAGAAGTTAGGTAGAACCCAGGTCTGAAGTTTACTGAAACAGAGTTTCCCTTTGGCCTGTCTAGGAAAAATCCTCTTCTGGATTTTGATAATGCTATTTCATGATAAAAGCAAAACAACTCAAATAGAAGATTTAGAGCACATAGCTCCTTAGCTAAGCTACCTTCTCTCTTTTTTTTGGTGTGTGTGTGGGGGGGTCTCAATCCACACTTTTTCACATGTGATGTGAAACAAGTAAAAGAAGTGTTTGGGTCATAGAAGAGGTAGATTTTAGTGTATGTGAGTCCAATTTTCTAGAAGCTCTTTGATGATCAGGTATGTAGCTCAATCGCTTGTGACTTTCTAGACTTTTACCACTGTTACTTTTTGAATGATGCTCCTTGGGACATTTGCTGTAATCGAGAATTCTACCAGAGTGTACGGCATGTGCTGCAGGATGTGGGAAAGGCACAGGGCCTGTGATTCCTGGCTTGCCTAATATGAATTCTGGAAACACAAACACCTTGTGGGAGCAGTTCTTGGTCCTGTAGTTGGTGCTTAATCACCCAGCCCTGTCACTTGGAAACAGTTTGGTGCTTGATCAAAATCTTTTGCACTCCTTTCCCTCTATCACTTCCCTAGCTGCTTTCCTTTCTTTCTGCCCTCAATTCCCCTCTCCCCAAGAAAAAAAGACAAAACAAGAAGCAAAGCCAATGTAGACATGCGGAGGAGATTATATTACCACTTTTTGGTTTTTTGAGATGGGGT
The DNA here is from genome assembly GCF_000001405.40 of Homo sapiens. Classification (NCBI taxonomy): domain Eukaryota; kingdom Metazoa; phylum Chordata; class Mammalia; order Primates; family Hominidae; genus Homo; species Homo sapiens. Next base: position 110,349,397 of record NC_000009.12, read on the forward strand.
CTCGCTCTGTTGCCCAGGCTGGAGTGCAGTGGCATGATCATGGCTTACTGCAGCCTTGACTGCCTGGGCTTGAGCAATCCCAAGTCAGCCTCCTGAGTCGCTATGACAACAGGTGCATGCCACCATTCCCGGCTAGTTTTTTAAAAAAATTATTTATTACTTGCAGAGATGGGGGGCTCATTATGTTGCCTAGGCTGGTCTTGAACTCCTGGGCTCAAATGATCCTCCCATCTCAGCCTCCAAAAGTGCTGGGATTCCAGGTGTAAGCCACCACACCCTCCCCACACACACTCCTCATAAGATGTTGGGAATGTGAGCCGTGATCCTTGGTGATCATCGTGCTACACTGCTGCAACAATGAGTGGGTGGGAAAAGGGCTTCTTTTTCCTTAGTAGCATGTCATAAGCCAGTATGTTGAGCACAGGACAACTGCAGGGACATGGATTCCTGGCAGGGAAGGACAGTGACAACAAATGTCAAAAGTCACTTCACAACACAGATTGCAGAGATGTCTCATGTTAAGGATCCAGAGCTGGAGAGAGGTGGAGACTTCTGGAGGAAAAGAAATGTTGAAAGGAAAATGGGAAGAGGAGAGAAGGGGGGACTTGGACTGGGCCTCTCTCCTTGATTTTAGGGAACATCTATGAGGGAACATCACGATCGTCTGGGCAGGGAGGCCTCCTACTTTTCTGGAGAGCAAGAGGACTAAGTTGGAATAAGAGGGGCAAATGCCAGATTCTTTTTACTCCCAACTATTACTAAGCCTGTTAAGTTTTGGTTTCTTGCCTTTATTTGAGACAAAATTATTGAAACTTTTTGGGATTGTGTGTGTGTGTGTTCCCATGTGTTTTTGTTCAAAAGGGAATGCAGCCAAGATGTTTGCTAGCATGGGAAAGGAGAGTTCATCCCCAAGTCAATGTCATATAATTTTACCATAAAGAATGGATGATAAAGGGACCTAGTCAGGGAAGATCTCCAAATGGGGAAGGCATCCAAAGGGTCAAAGATGAGGAACCTATTGCCTGGTTGAGTGAGGATGCCAAGGACATAGGTTGGGTCATGCTGTTACCCTTTCCACATACCCTCCATGCTTCAATGCAGACAACTGATTCTTTCTTAATCTTAAATAAAGTCATATGCACATGTACCTTCAAGCTCTACTTCCAAGCATGCTGCTACACTTATAGAGTCACCACCTTTTGTATTATGACAGTGATGTCCAGTGCATTCTCATACCCTTTTATTATAATCCGGAAAGATTACAAAGAGCATGATAGCTGTCCAGGATTGCAATTTATCTGCTGTTTTTGAGACTGTGATTGGGGAGAATCTAAACTGAGGGAAGAAGCACATCCTCCTGAAGGAAGGGCTGGAGGTGATGGCCAAGGTTCTGTTCTTCACTCTCTTAGAAGTGATGGTGTCACTCTGGGTAAGTCCCTCACCCTCTGAGCCTCATTTGTAAAATGTGAAAATCAAGAGAGGCCCTGGTCCTTAAGGATCTTAAGGACTTTACTAATGCCTTTTCCTCCTCTGGTCACAACATTGCAGAGACTTGTGCTGTCAAGGATACTGACTAGTTAAGATTCTTACTGCTGAAGCTGCTTTGGGGAAGGACACATTTCCTGGGAGAGCATGTCAAGCTGAAGGTCATCATACCAGGAAAAACAGGAGAAATTATCATATCAGCAATAGGAAGGCAAAGTAAGGGTGTAGGGTGTAGCCTAGATATTGCTGCCAAAAAAGACAGGCCTCCAGTGCCTGTGGATGTGAATCACCAGGGAGCTTGATGACAAGGCTGATATTGGGTGGAGAAGGAAGTTTAAATGTATGAAAGGGAAAGACTCTATTATAAGAGGCATCTTAGCAGGGAAGAAGCTGGATCTAGCCAACTCCTCCTTTTTATATTCTCCACTCAGCTATTAGGGAAACCAATGGGGTGGGGGTTGGAGAGGACTTGTTAAGATCTAGAGTGGCATTCTACAATGACTCATACAAACCAAAACGATGACACTTAGGAAAGAGCCTTTCTCAAATCAAGGCTCAGGTTTTCAAAGAGCTCATATGTTGTTTTTTTATCTTGATGATCATTTTTTGTTAGAAACAGCAGGGCTTTGAGAACATAGCCCTAGAGAAAAACACCATAAGGCTTTTCACAGACCTGGAAAATACTCTATTTCTGGGTAGAGAAAAAAACCGCTGAGTCTTTGGCCAGTAATTTGCCTAAGCCTGTAGGTTTCCATATGCCAAATATTATATTGATACAATGCCAGGTTCTGAAGATTTAATCTTTTTTTCTTTCTTTTTTTTTTAAATTTTTTATTTTGAGACAGCGTCTCACTCTGTTGCCCAGTCTGAAGTGCAATGGCACGATCTCAGCTCACTGCAACCTCTGCTTCCTGGGTTCAAGTGATTCTCCTGCCTCAGCCCCCTGAGTAGCTGGGATTACAGGCACCCGCCACCATGCCCAGCTAATTTTTTGTATTTTTAGTAGACAGGGTTTCACTATGTTGGCCAGACTTGTCTTGAACTCCTGACCTCAGGTGATCCACCCACCTTGGCCTTCCAAAGTGCTGGGCCACCAGGCATGAGCCACTGCGCCCAGCAAAGATTTAATCTTATCAGTTCTTGCTGAACCTAAGATATCATGTTTGTAAGATAAATCATTAAATTGCCAATCATACTACGCCATGCTATTGTAAGATGCATTCCAATTTCAGAGATGTTAAGATATGCAAAATGCATATTATATTTATATTGGATGAATAAAACAGTAAGTTAAATAGCTTAACTCTGTTGAATTTTGTGATTTATGTTTAAGTCTAACTGCTACCTAGACACTGCTCTGAGAATATGGTGAGCTGACTCTGTCAAGAGTTTATTAATCCCCAAGGCTTTATTTTAATACCTGAGTAAGAATCCTCAACACCAAGCCTGTAAAATTCCACTGGGAGAGTCACTGGTATTGTGTTGACAGCAGGGACACCAGGTGGGTAAGTTATAGGAAAATAGATTGTCTTGGCAAATTGATAGCACAGCACAGCAGGGCAAGGACAAGAGTATTCTTCAAGTTCAGTTCCAAGGGCTTGACAGAGTACATCTCTCAATATTGGCCTTTCTTTTAAGGACACTAAAGCATAAAATTCATAAGTTTGTGTGCGTACTTATTGTTTGTGAGACCCCTTAATCCTTACAGCAACATCAGTAAGAGTGGGCCCTATTATTGCTTCCATTACACAAATGAGGAAAGAGGCATCCAAATCACGTGGCTAGTAAAGGGAAGGACCAGGGTTTGGATATGGGCAGTCAAATTCCAGAGCTTGTGCTTTTAATCACTGCACCCATCCATGAGAAATAAACCTTGCTATCAAAGCAATTCAGACACGTAAACTAGCCATGATATAAAGAAAAAAGTGCTTTGATAGAGATGTGTGTAAAGTGATGCAGAGCCTGAAGGATAAAGCAACTAAGTTCAGGGATCTTACATATTAATAAAAGCCCTGAGGCCGGGCACCTGTAATCCCAGCACTTTGGTAGGCCAAGGCGGGTGGATCACTTGAGGTCAGGAGTTTGAGACCAGCCTGGTCAACATGGCGAAAACCCATCTCTACTAAAAATACAAAAATTGGCCAGACGTGATGGCACATGCCTGTAATCCCAGCTACTCAGGAGGCTGAGGCAGGAGAATCATTTGAACCTGGAAGGCAGAGGTTGCAGTGAGCTGAGATCACGCCATTGCGCTTCAGACTAGGCAACAGAGTGAGACTCTGTCTCAAAAAAAAAAAAAAAAGAAGAGCAAGCCAGATACATTGTCTTTTTAAGAAAGGATTCATCTTAATATTCTATAATTGCAGACCATGGGTTTCCTAGATACCATGCATTTGCATATTTGTGGACTGAATAGTCAATGTATTTACTCCAAGATTCATGAATATCGACACAAGGCTCATTACCTCATAGTCAGTAAATGTGGTTTAAACAAATTTTTTGGTTGTAGAAAATTTCCAGCATACACAAAAGTAGAGAGGAGCATATGCTGAACTCCCATCTACTCCTTACTCAGCTATTATCAATATTTTGCTGCGCTTGCTTTGGCTATATTCACCTTCCCCATCTCCTTATACACTTTTTTCTTTTGGGGGGATTTGAAAGCAAATCCAAGCATTTACATAATCTCACTAGTAAATACTTCAGTATAGTTATCTAATATACAAGATCTTAAAAATAATCAAAATTATTCCAACCAAAGGCATTAACAATAATTCCAAATATTCATCTAATACCCAGTCTTTGTTCAGTTTTTCCTGATTAATAAATGTGATTTAATGGAAAAACTTTTACTTCTTTTGTGTTGACTAGAAGTAGATAGTACTTCCTCTCAGACCTATTTAGGCCATATTTGCAAAAACACAAAACCTTTCTTATGAGCAATTTAGGCTGTTAGGAAATATAAATAAAATGAATAGTTTTTATAAACAGCACATGCAGTATAACTTTATTTTTAAGATTAAAGACCCAAAGTAGATTTTAAAACAAACACCTGGCAATGATAGAGCTGACCCAGCATGTGCCCAGGTGAGTCCTGTTGAGGAAGTGCACGGTAAAAATTCACAAATTGAGGGGTAAGATGGTCATTTTGCTCAGGAGGGCTGAGCAAGTAACTCTTGAATTCTGATTCATGCTTTTTCTTTGATCAACGTCATTTGTCATTACTGAATGCCTTCCAAAAACTCATTTGGATGTCGTATGTGCTAAACTTTTCTCAGGCGCCCTCTGAACCAACCCAGTCTTCAAGGTAACTGCTCATTTTATCTTTCAGTGTTTTTCTGTCTTTGACTTTAGAAAGGCAAATGATGAAAACAGAATTGAAAACTTAGGTTGTTTTCCTCTGTGAAAAAATGTATATATATGTGTATATGTACATGTACAGAAACATGTAAAATATTGTATTGTTTTTTATGACACTGTATTCCTGGGACCTTCCCTAAATATATATGTATATATTTTTTTAGACAGAGTTTTGCTCTTGTTGCCCAGGCTGGAGTTTAATGGAGCGGTCTCGGCTCACTGCAACCTCCGCTTGCAGGGTTCAAACCATTCTCCTGCCTTAGCCTCCCAAGTAGCTGGGATTACAGGTGCCTGCCACCATGCTGGGATAATTTTGTATTTTTAGTAGAGATGGGGTTTCACCATGTTGGACAGGCTGTTCTGAAACTCCTGACCTCAGGTGATCTGCCTGCCTTGGCCTCCCAAAGTGCTGGGATTATAGGCGTGAGCCACCGCACCTAGCCTCCTAAATGCTTTTTGAAATTGTTTAAAAGCTTTTCTTCTCTCATCAGTCTCTATTATTTCATTCTTTCCTCAGCATTTATTGAGCGTTTACTACATGTCAAGTATTACCAAGTATACATTGGTGAAAAAATATAATGCTTGTCTTCAAGGAGGAAGAGAGACAGGCAAATGATAAATGTCTGCCATGGGCTAACCCTGGAACCATTGTGGAAGGGCACCTATTGGTCAGGGGGAGATCAGAAAAAAGGTTTACTATACAGGAGGAGGGAAAGGCAGCAGGGAGGAAAGGAAACAAGTTGGGAGTTCAGGTGTGCCATATATCAGAAGGTGAAATGAGGCGAGAAACCAGATGGAACTATTCAGAATGATTTGCAATTTTTTTAGTACAAGAGGATGGGAACAAGAAATAACAATAGGTTTCTGTAGAGTTCAATGTCTCATTCTTATTCCTCCATTGGGCACTTTTATACCCTGGTTGTCTTATAGGAACTGTAAATTAGAACTGTATTCAACTGTCTCAAAGTATAAAGCATAAAGTAAATATAGTCTGAAGAACAACTACCTGTGGTCTAGTTAGCTTCACCTTGGAGGTGGGTATGGTTTGTGATGCTAGACTACTTCAGCTGGACCAGACCACAAAGATTGGTGCTGCTTCTTAAACTAGGGAGAAGGAAGACTCTGACTTGTATAAATTGGCTTTTCCTTTAGTTTACTACCAAACTAGCAAAATATTAGAATGGTGATTTCCATGATATCAAGAATACAAATGAGTGGGTGTGTCTTCCTGTTGCCTCCCTAGTTCTACCACGTGGGGTTATCAAAGTTTGATGATCTCAGCAGCCTGTGTAGAGTGAAGAATCAACCACAGCTGTTGTACCTTTCACTCCTCCTGGAGACACCTTAGCACCCAATAATCTATTCTATTAACATGAGCATCATCTTGCACCATAATGAGAGGTTTCTGGGTTTTATTTCTGTATTTTTGGACCTACTCAAGGTTCAAGTATAGCAAGCTGGGTAGTGGCTTAACATCAAAGTCAAACTATTCTGATAAGGACAAAATGTTTGTGGCAAGTGTGTGTGTGTGTTTGGGTTTAAGAGTGCTTCTGGATATATCTGATCTGTCACACTTCTTTTGGATCTCAATGTCACACACACACAGTATATTCATTCTATAGTTGATGTCCACATTGGCTTCTGATATGGTTTGGATTTCTGTCTCCACCCAAATCTCATGTCAAATTGTAATCCCCAGTGTTGGAGAAGGGGCCTGGTGGGAGGTAACTAGATTATGGAGGCAAGCTTCCCACTTGCTTTTCTTGTGCTAGTGAGTGAGTTCTCATGAGATTTGGTTGTTTAAGTGTGTAGCCCCTGCCCCTTCTCTCTCTTCCTCCTTCTCCAGTTATGTAAGATGGGCCTGCTTCCCCTTTGCCTTCTGCCATGATTGTAAATTTCCCCAGGCCTCCTCAGCCATACTTCCTGTACAGCCTACAGAACCGAAAGCCAATTAAACCTCTTTTCTTTATAAATTACCCAGTCTCAGGTAGTTGTTTTATTTTCTTTTATTTTTTGGAGATGGAGTCTCACTCTGTTGTCCAGGCTGGAGTGCAGTGACGCAATCTCAGCTCACTGCAACCTCCGTCTCCCAGGTTCAAGCGATTCTCCTGCCTCAGCATCCCGAGTAGCTGAGATTACAGGCACATGCCACCATGCCTGGCTAATTTTGTATTTTTAGTAAAGATGGGGTTTCATCATCTTGGTTAGGCTGGTCTCGAACTCCTGACCTCGTGATCCTCCTGTGTTGGGCTGCCAAAGTGCTAGGATTACAGGCATGAGCCACCTTTCCCAGCCTCAGGTAGTTCTTTGTAGCAATGTGAGAACAGACTAATACTTCTTGGTTCTACTCATGGGCATTGTTGGCTCAAAGGAACCCTGGAATGGGAAAGAGCAGAGTGCATTCTCCCAGCACCCTATAAAAGCTGGACTTGGAGTGGGGATGGAGGTTTAGGGCAAAGTCAACAGCATCTGAGAACTCAAGAACAAATGGTAGAAAAAATAGGGTGGGGGATGGTGAGTATGATGGTAGGGTTAGGTGAGAACTGGGAGTAAAGGGAAGTGGCAGTGGTAAAGGAGATAACTTGTGCAAAGGCCTCAAGAAGAGAACGTGGTGTATTCAGAGAACTGAAAGCTGTTCATCATGAGGTCTTCTCAATGTTGCAATTATGACTTATGGAACATTTTGCGCTGTCTTTTAAACATAGCCTAAAGTTATTTGGTGGAATTCTCACATAAACCAACACTACTTTGTGATTAGGAACACTTTTTTTTTTTTTTTTTTGCAAACACCAGAAACATAGACTGTAATAATAAACCACCATAGTTATAAAGCTTACGTGGTGTTGAAAATGCCAGGGACATGGCCTAGCTAAGGTTCATTCTCTGGAAAGGGTGTTGTGACTGACTGCTCTGAGCCCCAGCCTTGGGTCTCAGGTGTTAGGCTGTAATTTCCAGGTCATTGCTTTTCTGTGCCTCAGGTTTCTTAAATGGAAAGAAGAGGAAGCTTTGCAGAATTCGCTGAGACAGATTGAAGAAAGGTTGAGCAGAGAAAGGGACACTGACATTTATTCAGCCATTGTTACATATTAGGCATCCACATAGTTTTTAGTTCCCACAATTTATGAGATAGTGTAAGAGAAAATATATTTTAAATTACAAAGCAGAATGCAAACTATAAGGTATGTAATAAAGATTTTGGAAGTATTTCCCCATTTGAACGTATGATCTATAGATTCTCAGTCATCGCTCTTGTGAAGAATGTGGTATGATTGAGAAATGCACGTGGGTAGCTTTTGCTACTTTTTTGTGGTCTTTACCTTAATCCATTCTTGCAGGTTTTTCTGGTTTGTCAGTTTTCTCTTTATTGCCCTTGCTGATAGGATACACTTTAACTTACAGAAACATAAACTAGCTTGACCACTGCTGGGAAGGTAAAAAGATCCAGGGGGACATAATGAAAGGTGGAATGTGCATGATTCAGAAGGCTGAGGATTCGGCATTGTAATTAGACAGGTCAGGACTTAGGAGGGTGGAGAGAACTCACTTGAAAATGATGTCTGCAAGGAGTGGGTGTGATCAGCAGTTCCTCCAGAGAGACAGCAGTTTGTACTGTAACTCTTAGAAACACCCAGACAGCCTATATCTTTGTGTGTCTTTTTTTTTTTTTTGAGACGGAGTCTCGCTCTGTCGCCCAGGCTGGAGTGCAGTGGCACGATCTCGGCTCACTGCAAGCTCCGCCTCCCAGGTTCACACCATTCTCCTGCCTCAGCCTCCTGAGTAGCTGGGATTACAGGCGCCCGCCACCGCACCCGGCTAATTTTTTGTATTTTTCTTTAGTCGAGACGGGGTTTCTCTGTGGTCTCGATCTCCTGATCTCGTGATCTGCCCACCTCGGCCTCCCAAAGTGCTGGGATTACAGGCGTGAGCCACTGCTCCCGGCCTTGTGTATCTTTTTAAAGTCGGTTGTCTTGCTTCACAAAACTTAAGAGCCCAGAAATGTTGCACCCAGGAGCATGTATTTTAAGTGGCTTTGCCTGCTGATTCTTACAGCTGGGAACATGTAGCTGCAGTGCAATGTGTCTGCTCTTCTTTTTTTATTTGTATAAATTTATAGAGTACAACTATAATTTTGTAATATGGATAGATTATATGTAGTGGTGGAGCTCAGGGCTTTTAGGGTATGCATTACCTGAATAACATACACTATACCCATTAAGTGATTTATCCTCATCCAGCCCCCTCCCACTGCCCTCCCGAATCTCCCTTGTCTGTCAGTCCACATTCTATGTCCATGGGTGCACATTATTTAGCTCCCACTTGTAAGTGAGAAAATGTGGTATTTGACTTCCTGTGTCTCAACTGTTTCAACTAAGATAATGCCCCCTAGTTTCATCCATGTTGCTGCAAAAGACATAATTTCATTCTTTTATATGGCTGAATAGTGTTCCATTTTACATTTTCTTTATCCAATCGTTTGCTGATGAACACTTAGGTTGATTCCATATCTTTGCTAATGTGAATAGTGCTACAATAAATATATGAGTGCAGTTGTCTTTTTATTTTTATTTTTATTTTTTATTTTTTTATTATACTTTAAGTTTTAGGGTACATGTGCACAACGTGCAGGGTAGTTACATATGTATACATGTGCCATGTTGGTGTGCAGCACCCATTAACTAGTGATTTAACATTAGTTGTATCTCCTAATGCTATTCCTCCCCCCTCCCCCCACCCCACAACAGGCCCCAGTGTGTGATGTTCCCCTTCTTGTGTCCATGTGTTCTCATTGTTCAATTCCCACCTATGAGTGAGAACATGCGGTGTTTGGTTTTTTGTCCTTGTGATAGTTTGCTGAGAATGATGGTTTCCAGCTTCATCCATGTCCCTACAAAGGACATGAACTCATCATTTTTTATGGCTGCATAGTATTCCATGGTGTATATGTGCCACATTTGCTTAATCCAGTCTATCATTGTTGAACATTTGGCTTGGTTCCAAGTCTTTGCTATTGTGAATAGTGCCACAATAAACATACATGTGCATGTGTCTTTATAGCAGCATGATTTATAATCCTTTGGGTATATACCCAGTAATGGGATTGCTGGGTCAAATGGTATTTCTAGTTCTAGATCCCTGAGGAATCGCCACACTGACTTCCACAATGGTTGAACTAGTTTACAGTCCCATCAACAGTGTAATAGTGTTCCTATTTCTCCACATCCTTTCCAGCACCTGTTGTTTCCTGACTTTTTAATGATCGCCATTCTAACTGGTGTGAGATGGTATCTCATTGTGGTTTTGATTTGCATTTTTCTGATGGCCAGTGATGATGAGCATTTTTTCATGTGTCTTTTGGCTGCATAAATGTCTTCTTTTGAGAAGTATCTGTTCATATCCTTCTCCCACTTGTTGATGGGGTTGTTTGTTTTTTTCTTGTAAATTTGTTTGAGTTCATTGTAGATTCTGGATATTAGCCCTTTGTCAGATGAGTACATTGCAAACATTTTCTCCCATTCTGTAGGTTGCCTGTTCACTCTGATGATAGTTTCTTTTGCTGTGCAGAAGCTCTTTAGTTTAATTAGATCCCATTTGTCAATTTTGTCTTTTGTTGCCATTGCTTTTGGTGTTTTAGACATGAAGTCCTTGCCTATGCCTATGTCCTGAATGGTATTGCCTAGGTTTTCTTCTAGGGTTTTTATGGTTTTAGTTCTAACGTTTAAGTCTTTAATCCATCTCGAATTAATTTTTGTATAAGGTGTAAGGAAGGGATCCAGTTTCAGCTTTCTACATATGGCTAGCCAGTTTTCCCAGCATCATTTATTAAATAGGGAATCGTTTCCCCATTTCTTGTTTTTGTCAGGTTTGTCAAAGATCAGATGGTTGTAGATATGTGGCTTGATTTCTGAGGGCTCTGTTCTGTTCCATTGGTCTATATCTCTGTTTTGGTACCAGTACCATGCTGTTTTGGTTACTGTAGCCTTGTAGTATAGTTTGAAGTCAGGTAGCGTGATGCCTCCAGCTTTGTTCTTTTGGCTTAGGATTGACATGGCAATGCGGGCTCTTTTTGGTTCCATATGAACTTTATTTTTTTCCAATTCTGTGAAGAAAGTCATTGGTGGCTTGATGGGGATGGCATTGAATCTCTAAATTACCTTGGGCAGTATGGCCATTTTCATGATATTGATTCTTCCTACCCATGAGCATGGAATGTTCTTCCATTTGTTTGTGTCCTCTTTATTACATTGAGCAGTGGTTTGTAGTTCTCCTTGAAGAGGTCCTTCACATCCCTTGTAAGTTGGATTCCTAGGTATTTTATTCTCTTTGAAGCAGTTGTGAATGGGAGTTCACTCAGGTGTCTTTTTAAAAATAATGATTTGTTTCCCTTTGGGTAGATACCTAGTAGAGGGATTGCTGGATTGAATGGTAGTTCTATTTTTAATTCTTTGAGAAATCTCCATACTGTTTTCTGTGGAGGTTGTATTTATTTACATTCTCACTATTGGTATATAAGCGTCCCCTTTTCTGTGAATCCTTGCCATCTGTTATTTCTTGTCTTTTTAATAATAACCATCCTGACTGGCTGCTTCTCATTATTTTCAAATTACTCAATTTCTTTCTAGTTCCATCCAAACCTACACTTTCGGCCCAGGCCGCCTTGAATGGTGGCTTATAAGATAATTAGGGAAAAAAATGAACGGTCCTGGCTTAAGGTCAGAGTTAGGAGAAAATCATGAGTAATTAAATATGATCTTTTCAAAGAAATGAGTGTTGCTGCTGCTATGTTGGTTGTTGAGGAAGCATAAAAAAGTGATTCTGATGTAACTTGGCTGGAAAACTTGAGATATTATAAATGTGTCCACCTCTTTGGATGTCCCTTACCTGGAGAACCCATGAAGTACAAGGATATGCTGTAAAAATGTACTGACAATTTTAATAATTGATTTTTAAAATTCCTTGACAAGCAAATATTTTCCTCCTGTGTATGCAAATGGCTCAAAATTTATCAATATTTTCTCTTCGTAATAGCTTCTGTTTCTATATTAAACTAATCATATTGATCTGAACTCTTCAGTACAGATTCCTAAAGTTGTGTTTAAACAAAACTAAATAGAGACAAGATCTTTACATTTATAGAATAGATGCCAATGTGCTTGTCAGGTTGATTAGGGTAAATAGAAAAATTATATATGCATACACATTAATGTGGGACTTTTACTTCAATTAATTTTTATGAAGATTATTACTTTTATGAATATGAAAACATTTACAAATATAAAAAATGGAAAAGGAAAAGGTGGTACACACACAAATAGACACATATAGTAGAATACTATTAAGCCATAAAAGGAAGGAAATCCTGCCATTTGCAATAACATGAATGAATCTGAAGGACATTATGCTACACGAAATAAACCAGACACAGAGAAACACATACTGTATGATTTCACTTATATGTGGAATCTAAAGTAGTCAAACTCACAGAAGTGGAGAATGTAATGGTGGTTGCCAGGGGCTAGAAAGGGGAGGAGTGGGGGAAATGGGTAGATGTTGGTCAAAGGGTACCAACCTTCAGTTATAAGATGAGCAAGTTCTGGGAATCCAATCTACAGCATGATGACTATAGTTAACAACACTGTATTGTATACTTAAAATTTGCTAAGAGAATAGATCTTAAGTGTCCTCACCACCACCTAACTCCTCCAACAATGGTAACTATGTATGGTGATGAATTATGTTCATGAATTTGATTATGCCAATCATTTCACAATGTATACATGTATCAAATTATCACATTGTACATTCTTGAATATATACAATTTTTGTCAATTATACCTCAAAGCTGGAAAAAATAAAATAGGCAGAAAATTATGCCAACTTACACTCTCACTGACAATGCATAAAATTTTCTATTTCATCCCACATTTGCTAGCATTAGTTATTAACATTAAAAATAAGTCTCTGCTAATCCGAAAAGCAAAAGAGTTTCCACTGTTACTTGAATTTGTGTGCTGTGTTTGTGAGGTGGAATAGTTTCTCACATACATACGAAAATGAGTTTATTGCATTTCTCTGGTGGGTTGTCTGTGTTCTTGAGCTTTATTAAGTTTTTTTTTCCCATTTATATGATATAGGTAGTATAACATGATTCCTTGGTCTGTCGTAAGAAATTTGACAACATTTTGATTACGATTTTTTGAATGACATCCAGAACTCTCAATTTGCTTATGCTGTCAAATCTGCTCACCATTCCCACTGTGATTTTACTGTAACTTCTAGGTTTTTTAATCTTTCAAATGTTTGAGAAAATTAACTCTAAAGACAGTTTTTATGGTTTTCATATCAATATTTACTTCACAATCCACCTTGAATTTATTTTTATGTGGTAAGAATTCAAACAAAAAGATTTTCAAATTTTTACTAATTGTCTAATACCAGTCACTCAGTATTTTTCTCTCTTGCTTTCTAATATTTTATGATAAACATTTCACTGACTATTGAGGCTTCATTTTTTTTTGGAAGGCTTTCTTGATCACTTATGAGTTTTTTTGTTTGTTTTTGAGACAAAGTCTCACTCTGTCACCCTGGCTGGAGTGCAATGGCATGATTGTGGCTCACTGCAACCTCCGCCTCCTGGGTTCAAGCAATTTTCCTGTCTGAGCCTCCCAAGTAGCTGGGATTACAGGCATGTGCCACCATGCCCAGCTAATTTTTTGTGTTTTTAGTAGAGAAGGGGTTTCACCATATTGGCCAGGCTGGTCTTGAACTCCTGACCTCAAGTGATTCACCCGTCTTAGCCTCCCAAAGTGCTATAATTACAGGCATGAGCAACTGTGCCTGGCCACTTATGAGTTTTTAAATAAAATATTTGAATTCATATATAGAGACTATCACATTGATGCTTTTGTGATTCTTGTTCCAGCATATACTATTTTAATTACTGTAGCTTTTTATTATGCTAATTTTTAAAAAGATCTTTTTCATTGTTTTTCCCTAAAATATTTTAATTTTCCATTTTGCTTTTGTTTGTAATAAATATTAGAATAAATAATTTGGTCATGATCCCCCCAAAAACCCAATATGGCAAATATAATTAGAACTATATGAAGCTTGAAACTTTATTTGGAAAAAAAATCACATCTTTAGAACATACAGTTCTCTCATCCAAGAAATGGCATGTTTCTCCATGAGCTGAGCATTGATGAATGTTTATATTTTTCTAATTTTCTTCCTCGAGACTACATATATTTCTTATTTGTATAATCCATATGTATATATTTACTGATACTGTGAATAGAAGATTTTTACTATATTCTCTACTTATAATTAATATTCAGGGAAGCTCTCTTTTTTGGTATGTATATCTGGTTCTCATCCAGTTTACTGGACTCAGTGCTTCTAATGGATTTTCATGCCTTTGAGTTTTCATCTTACAAGACACATTATTATATCTCCTGCCAAAATGAAACTGTGACAATTTTCTCATTTCTATACTCTTTATTTATTTCATATGTTATTGCTCTGGCTAGAAATGAAGAATAATACTCAAGGTGAATGGGAATATTTTGCTTTGTTTCTGATTTTAAAGTGAGGCATGTAGTGGTTCATAATAGGATTGATTATAATTGAAACAGATAAACTTCAGTATGCTGGACACTTACTACTTTTGTAGAAATTTAAGAATGTGCTGAATTTTATCAAATGCCTTTTCCATATTTATTGCTCTTATCATGCATTTCATATTGTGTCATTGTAAAATACCATCTGCCTGTCAAGTATTGTTTTAAAACATTAAATTTGCTAAATATTACCTAGTGTTAGATGTAGGCCAAAAAGGCAGCAACAGTGGAGTAGGAAGTTCATGAGTTTTAGAGTAAATCAGGCTTGGGGTTCATTTGGCTTTGCCATTTATTTTAGATCAGTTATTTGACTTCTCAGCGTTTCACTTTCCTCATCCATAAAATAAAGTTAATAATACCTATCTCAGTAGAATTGTTGTGAAGATTCAAAGACCTAATCTCTTTAAAACACCTACTGCAGTGTGTAGCATGTATTATTAGTTGTTCAAAAACTAGTTTGAAAGCTAAATTATATGATTGATTTATAGTTCATTTTCTTCTTTGTTAGGTTTTTGCATCAGAGTGACATTTGGTAAATATTTGGCAAATATTACTCAATGTTTGTCATCTTTTCCAGCTTGTGGGATAGTTTATATAGCATGGTGAATGGCTCCGCCTTCAAAAATTCACTACAAGATATATCTAGTATGAAAGATTTTAAAATTTCTTTTTAAAATTTTTGTTTTCCTACACTGGTCTTCTCTGCATAGTATGGAAGATTAAAAAATAATATTCAACTATTTTTAGTATCATTACTCTGTGACTCACATTTCTAAACATGTATTATTTCCACACCTCACTTGTATGGTGCTTTACTTCCTTATATTCTCTATACGCCAGGACTACTTTGACTTACTGTGAAAATATAAACCTTTCAGCCTATTCAAAGTAACCCAATACAAATTCCACTTTGAAGGTAAACTTATTTAGTAGGTACTTTCAGAACTGAGTGTTGTTTCCAATTGCTTTCTTAGCTTAATTTTTTCTGCTACTATTTTTTTTTATTACTCAGATTTGGGGCTGTATTTTGTTTTCTTTTCTTTTTGAAATAGGGTCTCACTTTGTGTGAAGTGGTGCGATCTGGGCTCACTGCAGCCTCGACCTCCCAGGTTTAAGCAACCCTCCTGCCTCAGCCTCCCCAAGTAGCTAGAACTACAGGCATGCATGACCATTCCTGGCTAATTTTTGAATTTATTTTATTATTATATTATTTAGTTTTTAGAGATGGTGTTTCTCCATGTTGCTCAGGCTGGTCTCGAACTACTGAGCTCAAGCTATCTGCCCACCTCAGCCTTCCAAAGTGCTAGGATTATAGGTGTGAGGCATCACACCCGGCTTTTTTGGCTGTATTTTTGTTTTTATGATTATAAATGACAAAGATCAACAAGGTTTGGAAGTTAATGGACTATGAGTAAATTTATTGGAAAGTAGACTCATAAGCATGTAAGACTGGCCAAGAAAGTGAATGTCAAGAGAAAGAAGGAGGAGTCAATGGCTGAGGGATGCCTACGGTAGTGAAGAGAACCACTAGGAGAATCAAGATCTCTTTCATCCTTTCTGCATTCCTCCACAGTGCTACAACACACTCCAAGGCCTGTGTGGGAGCAGTTTTCCCAGAGGATGGAGGCAAGTTGATTCTGAGTTTCCTATTTTAAAACAAAATCTAGGGTTTGACTTTATTTTCTGAAGTCTGGGGAAGGCTTCATCTTGGTACAATTGTTGTGATAGAGGTAGGTGACAGTGAGGACTGAGGGGCAGCTCAGCTTTCTCTTAGGTGGCTGCAATTCTTTTTTGCAGGTGAGACCAGGAGCACAGCTCTGGGGAATGTTTCCCATTTGCCTTTTTCCTTCTCTTTCCCTGTCTTCCCCTTCCTCCCAAAATAGTGAGTTGTGGGATTACCAGTCCGGGTATCAGCTCTTTGTTAATCTTCCAGTTCTTGCATTTCTTATTCCAGCCACGAGAAAGAAGGCTAGCACTTTCATTGTGAACCAAGGTCATTATGCTGTTTCTCCACATCCATGAAGTTAATGCCTACGGCTTTTCAAATGTTGTGAAAAGAATTAGCCAGGCTACCCTAAGTACCAGGACATAATTATGTGGTGGAGAGTACCAGGTCCAACAGTTACTCTCTGATTGATTAAATGAAAGAAAAAGCTTTTATTATTACACATATTGTATAGAAGATGGAACCAGAACAAAGGGGTCTCCTTTATTGTAAGGGGTCTCCTATGTGGTGCCAGTGGCACAGATGAAAGATCATGAGTCCTCTCTATGAATCCCTTGGCCACCTCATAAAATGGTACTATCCAGCAAAATATTATTTAGTAGCAAAATATACTTTAATGGAAAAATCATTTTAAGTAACTGAATAAAAATGTGTACCAGGAACTTTCCCAATAGACAGCAGAATATGTACATTTTGTGAGGGTAGAGCAGCATCTATTTAATATAATTTTTATATAGAAAATACAGGCATATTTAAAAATGGAAACATGTAAGAAAGTATGTCACAAGGAATAACAAAATATATCACAAAATAAAAAAAGTAACCCCAAGTAACAAGTTTACTAAACAAGACCCAGCACCATGTTGGACTTTCTTTGCATAAGTTCCAGGATGCCCAGGCACTACCGAGGAGAGATGATCCTGCTTTTGGGAGAGCCAGATGGTCGTGCAGTGGTTAAAACCCAGTCCTCCTTTTCCTGGAAAAAAAAAAAAAAGCAACCAAATAGATTCAAAAGAAAAAATTGAACTGAAGAGCTAACATCTCTTTAGGAGTTGATGAAAACAGGATTGAAAGTCCCAGATACCTGGGCATTATCTGTGATGTTTATACGGATGGGGGTCATTCTTTGAGATAACTAAGAGGCATGGGAAACAAGTGCTAACTTATGGAAAGATCTGAGAAGCATCAGACCTGAGTTTTACTCTTGATTCTGCCACTAGTTTTCTATCTATCTTACAATTCTCTCTTCTGTAAAATGAGGGGTTTGGAGCTAATGAACCTAAAGGTCTCTTAGTCCATTAACAATCTATGGTTTTTCATTATGATATTTGCTTAGGATCAGTTTTCTGAAGATGTGCACAGAGGTCAGAGGAAACACAATTTCCTTCTGAACAACTGAATTATCTGGAGAAAAGGCCAGGTCAGTCTTATTTATCAGTAGAGAAGGTAAACATTGAGGGATTTAATGGATGCCACAAGGCATTTCTCTACCAACTGACATTCATGCCAGGAAATTGCTCCATCTGTTAACAAACCTTTATTGAGCAGCGACTTTTGTGCCTGTACAAGGCACTAGGCATATATATATATTTTAAAACAAGATCTTACTCTGTTGCCGAGGCTAGAGTGCAGTGGCACAATCTTGGCTCGCTGCAACCTCTGCCTCCTGGGTTCAAGCAATCCTCCCACCTCAGCCTCCTCAGTAGCTGAGACTACAGGTGTGTGCCACCATGCCTGGCTAATTTTTCTGGGTATTTTTTGTAGAGATGGGATCTTCCTATGTTGCCCAGGCTGGTGTTGAACTCCTGGGCCCAAGTGATCCGCTTGCTGCCTTGGCTTCCCAAATTGCTGGGATTACAGGTGTGAGCCATCACACTCAGCCCAGCATACAAACTTTAAGGCATTCAGTCTCGTAGGAGAGAAGGAAAAACTTATACGGTAACATTTATTGTTTATTTCTCAGACAAGCACTCTTCCCCCTCCCACTTTCTTTTCTTCTGGGAATTGCCAGACTCTCCTCCCTTTTACCCAGTTTTTTGCCAAAATTACCCTTTATGTTGGTACAACATAATCCAACCTAGGACATTGATTCATGCTTGGCCATTGAATCAATCTGGACCAATCAGAGTCCTGGATTTTTAAACTGGGACAGTGTACTATGTCTCCGGATACTGTATGGTGACATGTAAAAAATTCTGTAAGAAATTTTGTCCTGGCCAGGCACGGTGGCTCATGCCTGTAATCCCAGCATTTTGGGAGGCCAAGGCGGGCAGATCACTTGAGGTCAGGAGTTCGAGACTAGCCTGGCCAACATAGTGAACCCTCATCTCTACTAAAAATACAAAAATTAGGTGGGTGTGGTGGCATATGCCTGTAGTCCCAGCTACTCAGGAGGCTGAGACAGAATCGCTTGAACCCATGAGGTGGAGGTTGCAGTAAGCCGAGATTGCACACTGCATGCCAGCCTGGGCATCTGAGTGAGACTCTGTCTTAAAAAAAAAAGAGAAATTCTGTCCTTCCCTTCCACATGAACTAAACAGAAGAAAACCACTCTGTAGCTAGACAGGATGGAGGAGACCCTGGAAGAGGTGGTGACATGGGAGGTGGAGAGGTACACGTGGCTTTCAAGTCCCCAGTCTGGTCCTCCTGATGCTCAACCACTCCTCTGTCCTTGGGTTCCATACAAGGTCCCTCTATTGTGATAATAAATTCTCTTCTTTGCTTAAACTAGTTAGAGTTTTAGCAAGAATTACAGTATATACAGGAGGAGGAACCTGTCTGGTCCTCTGGGTTGCTAGTTAGCCTTCCCTTGAAGGTGAGCTACACCTCTCAGCTTAATTTGCCATTATTTTTCTTGGATGCCTATATCAAACTTTTGCGTAAAAAATCTAGATCTTGTTTTCCTGATTAATGTACAGTATTTTAATACATGCTAATAATTATCCTTTCCTCAATCAAGAAAGAACTCCTATCGACAGTTTTTAAATCATGCAAACTCTCTCTGGGCTTTTCTTTATCTGAAAAATGAAGAGGTTGAAATATAAAATCTAATATTATAAAAAAGTACTAAATACTTCTTTTTTGAGTCACTGTTTTTTCTCTTTTATTTCCTCTCTTTTGGCTCTCATTTTCTTAAATTCAGCTCTGCTCTCAGGTAAAGGTATAATCTTGGCAGCTTCTAAATATATTTGTCCATTTCAAATTTGCTGTTTAGGGTTCAGTTTATTTTTTCTCCTTTTGCAGAGATGGCATATACTTGAGATGATGTGAGGAAATTCACTGGCATTAGACAGATTTTTTTGTTGTTGTTAGGTTTTACTTTAATTGCTTTTTTATATTTGCAAGTTGACTTTGACATTCCAATCAAAATAACAAATCAGGAAATGAAAAATAAAAGTTTTCAGTTAACTGAATTTTTCCCACTTTAAAAAATGAATATGGAAATACCCATTTGTTTTTAATGAGTCCTATATGGTAGGGGTAAGTGTACATAATACAAATCTAAGTGCAGTGATATATATTGAAAGTCTTAAAATATAGCTGATAATATTTCAACATTGCAACATTGGTGAGGACAATGTTTGAATATTGAAAATATTTTATCTGTGGTATGTCACAATATGGCTGATATTTTCCTGATGTTTAAAAAGTTATAAATGATCTTTTAAGTATTTTCCCTTTGACTTGTGATAGTATTTTTAAACTGTGATATTTATCTGGTCAGAAATAAGAAACCGATGAAAAAACATATTTTTACATAATCTTTTTGTAGTCAATGAAATGCTACGCATAGAAACACTAAAATACAAAATATATTACTTTAAAATAAACGTTTCTTATCAATTCAATACTATTTTTATTGTAATGAAGAACTTAAACATCTATTGGGTCATTTTCAATAAAATTACATTGAGTTTATTTATTTTACATCCTTGCATCTGTAGGATGCAATCTTCTGTTCAAGAAGTTTATTTATTTATTTATATAACCGATTTTTTTTAATTGCAAAAACTGTGGAATGCTTCACAAATTTGTGTGTCATCCTCTAGCATGGGTCATACTAATCCTCTCTGTGAAGTTCCAGTTTTAGTATATGTGCTGCTGAAGTGAGCACAAGACTGCTTATTTTTGAGATATTCTTGTTTTGTCAATCCTGAACTAATATTTCTTAGCTTTGGCTTTAATTCAAATTTAGAGAGCCTGTCTCAAAATGGATGTTTTCACATACAAAATACTTACAGTCAAACTAGACAGAGATAACTTCTGGCTCTTAGGACAATTTACTTGAATTTTAGAGTCTTCATGTTATAGGCGAACATTAGTTTTTGGTTATCTTACCTGGAACAGTTATGTCCCGTCCAAGAAGAAAGACAGTGACATCGGTTTGGTCTTACACATTTTCCACCATTTAAGCAGGGAGACTGGCAAACAGCTGGAATAAAAAACCCATGCATTTATTTAATTAATACTTAGCAATTCTGATGATATCCATAAAGGCACGTAGGATAAGATTTGACTCTACTTCCTGCAGCAGCCACTGCTGGTCTTCATATACCGTTAGCATTATCCATTTCTGCTGTTCTGCTTGACTTCACATCCTTATGTGGTACCACCTCCCTTTTTCCTTCCAAGCTGGTCAATTTTCACATTTAAGTCCCAGATTAAGTTCTACCTACTTATTGAAGCCTTTGCTGATCACTCCAAGTCCACTGATTTTCCTCTTCTCTAATCTCTTTTAATTTATGCAACCAATCTGACACTTTGAATGTTTTGAACTATAAATTTTTTTGTGTTCAATTAGATTGTACATTTCTTTCCACTGACTTGAAGCTCAAGATTGTAAATTCCTCGAGGGAGTTAGCATTGAACTCTATGATTGATTGGGTGATTAAGTCAGACGTCAACTTTTATGATAATAAATTAGGCACATGGATTGTCTAAAATAACAGATGATTCAACATCCCTTTGTGTTTGGAGAGGAGACATATTTCACGGCTTTTGTCAGCTTTAACTAGAATTACAGAAACTGGTTAGTCACAGATAAAACCCTGAGAGGACACTGAAAGATTTACTATCTAGGTGTTTTTCTCACAAATCCATAATCTCATAACCAAACTCTTCATCTGCATAAATGTATTTGTTAAAAAACCTGAAGATGCTGGTATTTGGTCTAGATGAATTTTTAGCAAGTGTAACATATCAAAGAGAAAGGAGAACTCCCTGTAGGAAGGAAATAAAATGTCTGTTGGGAGAAAGCTGGAAGTAAGAACCATTCCAATATCTGTAGCACAGAAAGGCAGGCTCTTTCCTGGATGAAAAACTTATAATTCACCATTGTACGTATATAATATACATATTTTTGGTGAATTATAAGTAAATGTCCTTTCTTCAGTCATTCATTCATAAAATATGGAGAAAATGTCTGCTAAGCAAGTAGTAGGCACTTGATAAGCACTGGTCCTTGTCCAGAGAGAACAAGAGAAGACAAGTAAAATACGTCTTTCCCCTTAGGGAGCTCTCTTGGTAAGTTAAGAGTAAGAGCTGGCCAGCAGAATACACTTATTAGCAATCTAATGGGAAAGAAAATTATGAAACAAATCAGGATTAAAACAAGCAAAAATAAAACTCAATAATTGAAAACCAACTCCCCATAGTTTCTGCTTGCTGATATAAGAACACGTTACTCCTTTTCAGGACTATGCTGAATTAGCAGTGCCTGACTGCACTAACAAACTAGTCATTACATTTACTTCCTTGTCTAAAAGCTTAAGCCTCCTTCCCTATCACGTCGGTGGTCCCAGTATTCCACTCAGGGCCACCTTTTCATGTTGCGTGTCTTCTGCAGTGTTATTTTTTCCTCCCGTGAGTATTTTTCAATGATGACTTATAAATCTCTATCTTCATCTAAATGCATTTTCTGGGAACCTAAACTATCATCCAACTGCTTATCACTTCCCTTGTATGTTTCTGCTTATCACTCCCCTTGTATGTTTCACAGTCCTCTCAGACTCAGCGTGTCCATACTTAACTCCTTATCTCTACTCTCAAGCTTGCTTCTCCTGGCTTCTCTATCTCAGTAAATGGCAACACCTTCCACTCCAGTGCCCAAGCTGGAAACAGCTTTTAGTCTTCCAAGTAGTATTTGGCTCCTCACAATAGATCTGTAACCAAGTAGCGTTGATTCTTACTCTTTAACTGTCTCTCAAATCTGCTCTTTTGTGGTTGTTTCTCCAGACTTCACTAATTCTTGCCAATTCTGCTTTTACAATCCCGCAATGAATCTCTCTATTGTAAGTCTTGCTTTCTTCCACTTTTCATACTGCTGCCAAAATCAGTTTTCTAAAAGAAAATCCGATCACATGATTTTCCTGCTTAAGATCCTTCAGTGGCTTCTGTTGCTCTCAACACATAATTTAGCATCTTGCACTTCGCATGTGATGTGTTTCCTGATCGGATGCTGCCCATCTTTAGAGCTTCATTCCAGCCACTCCCCTGCATTTCCTCTATGGCTTTGGTTATCCTTTGCTGAACACACCTGTATATTTTGTGGTCCATGCCTTTAGCTGCAATGATTTTCTTCTGGGGACTCCTTTTGTTTCTCCTCAGATTCTATGCTTCAGTAGCTTTTTCTGAACTTCAACATTTGGTTAGTTTACCCATTTCACTGTTGTCATAGCCCCTCTTATAGATTTTGATTAGCCTCTATCTTAACACGTCCTAGTTATCTATTTATAGGCCATTCCACATCCC
This sequence comes from Homo sapiens, assembly GCF_000001405.40. Taxonomy (NCBI): domain Eukaryota; kingdom Metazoa; phylum Chordata; class Mammalia; order Primates; family Hominidae; genus Homo; species Homo sapiens. The sequence continues at coordinate 110,372,335 of NC_000009.12, forward strand.
TTCCCCTTTCCTAGATTGAAATTCTGGAGGGCAGGAGCCCCTGTTTTATATGGTTGTGGTATGCTTAGTACTTAGGGGTGTAACTATGCTGAGGTAGCTGCTGTAAGATTTGGCAGAACGAAGGCTATAGAGTTCAGTGTCATTAGGAGCATATTCTTATTAGAGAGCTAAGGTGTTAAAAGAAATGCAAATAAATCAGATCTATTTATTAGCTTTAAACTGCATGATTCTAACTAGTTGTGTAACGTTTATAGAAATGGAATGTTAGAAAGTAGATTATTGTGATATTGAACAAGTTTAGAGATCAGAGGAAACTTAGGCAGGACTTGGGGGTTGAGTGAGGCTAGAATAGGTGGAGGAAAGAGGAAGATCATTGCAAATGTAAGGAGATTGGGGAGGAGAAGAGGCTGCTTGCAAGGGTAGTGAGAAAACCGTCACTGCAGGGCACAGTGTGTGATGGTAGGATAACAAGTGAGTTGTGCTTCAGCTGTGCTGAAGCTGGCTTATGCAGCACCTTGGAAGTCAGAAGAATTCAGGGTGGATGTGGAGACTAAAATAGAGAACCATTTTAGCCTCTTAAACATGGCAAAGACATGCCAAAGTAGTACATTGATGATGTTCAGTCTGGAGGGACATGGAGACAAGAAGGTCAACTAGGCCATGATCCAGAGTCTTTTACTGACTGGTGACAGTGGTGTGGAGTAGAATGTGAGAGATGCTGAGCAGGAAGGAACAAAAATAATGATGGTGCTGTAACCTCAGATGAAAGGGAGGGTGAGTCAAGAGTAATTCATTTATTACCTGCACCAGTAAGGTACCTGGAAAAAAGCAGAGCTTGTTTATAGATGAGCAGGAGAAACGTGGGTAAATAGCAAAGTTGATTTGTTATAAACAAACACTATATAGACTGCTTTCAGAGTCTCAAATAAGGCCTTCAAATTCAGCCTCCAGGACATATTTCCTTCTCTACATTCATGAATGGCTCAATTTTGGCTTTAGGTAGGGTGACGACTGCACATCTGCTTTTGTCTGTAACAGTACTTTTCAGTCTCATTTCTCTGGTTTACTTATTAATAGTGCCTCTTTTACTCTCAAAAATGTCCTGGTTTGGAAGCTAAATTATATGGTCTTTCCAGCCTTAGGGTTCATGACAAGCTCTGGTGTTAGGAAGCCCTGTCTATACTTTACATGCCATTTATGTTTTACTCCACTGAGGAGGTGGTATAAACATTGTTTATAGGAGGAATAGTGGTATGTCAGAATTAATACTTCATAAATATAGCAAGCCCTATGTTTTAAGTGGTGGCTTAAAATTTTAGGACACTAGAAGGTAGTTTATCATTTTAAATTGAGTTATTTGACATTTACTAAAAATATCTACTATATTTCGGCACTATGCTAAGCACTGGGGATATAAAGATGATAAAAAAAAAATCCTTGCCCTCAAGTGGCGTATAATCTAGTGGGGGAAGGGATAGATAATCAAGCAATTGAACAGATGTCAAAGTATAGTGGGCCAAATGCTGTATTTGAGGTCTGCAAGAGGTGCTAACAGGATGTTTTTTACTAATCAATCAACTACCATTTGTTACTGTTGTCCATGATAAGAAACCATCTCTTTGATGAGTTTTGTAATATTTTTCCATTTCTTTTCCTTTAAACTTTTTTTTAACTTTTATTTTAGGTTCAAGGGTACATGTGCAGGTTTGTTATATAGGTACACTTGTGTCATGGGAGTTTGTTGTACAGATTATTTCATCACTCAGGTACTAAGCCTAGTTCCCAATAGTTATTTTGTTCTGATCCTCTCCTTCCTCCCACCCTCTACCCTCAAGTAGGCTCCAGTGTCTATTGTTCCTACGTGTTTACGTGTTCCCATCATTTAGCTCCCACTTATAAGTGAGAACATGTGGTATTTGGTTTTTTGTTCCTTTTATAAGGATGATGGCCTCCAGCTCCATCCATATTCCACAAAGAACATGATCTCGTTCTTTTTTATGGCTGCAGGGCTATTACTAAAAAGTAAAAAAATAGGCTGGATGCAGTGGCTCATGCTTGTAATCTCAAAACTTTGGGAGGCCAAGGTGGGTGGATCACTTGAGGTCAGGAGTTCAAGATCAGCCTGGCCAACATGGTGAAACTCTGTCTCTACTAAAAATAGAAAAATTAGCAGGGTATGGCAGCAGGTGACTGTAATCCCAGCTACTCCAGAGGCTGAGGCAGGAGAATTGCTTGAACCTGGGAGGCAGAGGTTTCAGTGAGTCAAGATTGCGCCACTGCAGTCCAGCCTGGGTGACAAGAGTGAAACTCTGTTCTCAAAAAACAAAACAAAACAAAACAAAAACATGCTGGGGAGGTTGTGGAGAAAAGGGAACACTTATACACTGTTGGTAAGAGTGTAAATTAGTTCAACCATTGAGGAAAGCAGTACGGCGATTCCTCAAAAACCTAAAAACAGAACTACCATTCAACCCAAGCAATCCCATTACTGGGTATATACCCAAGATAATAGAAATCATTCTACCATAAAGACACATGCTCGTGTATGTTCATTTCAGCACTATGCACAATAGCAAAGACACGGAATCAACCTAAATGCTCATCAATGGTAGACTGGATAAAGTGTTTTTTTTTTCATTTTAACTTAAATTGTATTTATGTATAACCTTGTTCTTTCTAAAGAGTAAGCATGAATTTAGTAATTTAGCTTCTTAGAGATTAAAATAAGTATTATTCTGAACCTCTGTGTAATGTCTTCTCTATGCTCTGCAAAATGAAGCAGATGACATAAAGAAGACAGATAATTGAGTAGACTTAGATGCTATTCTTCGGCACATGACCTGGAAACGTGTTTAGGCAACCATAAAATTCAGTGTTGAGACACGAATCAAGGGATCATCTTGAGGAATTTTTGAGAAACATCAGTACTTTTTCATTTTGCCACCACTTCTGAGTCTAAGTCACACTCTTCAATGTCCTCTGGAGTTTCATGGGCCTGAGCCACCAAGAAAACAAACCATGAAAGAGGCCTACCTGTATGACAGCGAGACCCCGTCCAGCCAGGCGGGCAGTCACACTGGTAAGGGGCCACACAGCGACCTCCGTTCAGACAGGGAAGAATGCAGATTGCTAAAAAAAAAAAAAAAAAAAAAAAAAGGAGGCAGGGGGGATTGAAATGGCGTTGATCAAAGTACACATCTTAGATAGGTTCAAGGGTTCAGAAAACATTTTGCAGGAGTGAAACCTTATATGACTCACTAAATAAGTTTCCTGCATGTGTTCTGCTTATTAATGAGTATCATTGGGAAAATACAATCAGGAAAGTAAGCCTGGATTCTTAGCCACATGTAATGACTTTAAGGCCAAATCCACTTTCAGTGAAGACACTCCGTAATCAGTGTCTGCAAAGTGCTTTGCTTTAACTCTTCACAAAATAAGCAGAACGGTCTCCATTTATTATAGTTTCAAATTTCCATTACAAATTACATAAAATGTTCTAAGAGGATTTGGCTGCCTTGAGGCTCTTCCTGTCTTGAACTAAATGTGAGAATGGGAATCAGATAGGCTGTAACATAGGGTTGGAGTTTGCAACATTTTGGTAGCAATGGGACAACACACCCTTTATTTCCGAGAAGCTGAGGACTGACGGTGACTGAATGATGCCTCCCGAACCCTGTTCATGACTATCATTCCTCCTCCTAGAAATCACTGAAATCTTTAAAGAGGCATAGTCTGTTTAAAAGATGTGAGTTTGTTGCTTTGCTCCCCAAAATCAAGTTCCCTAACCCCAATAGTCTTTGCATCACCTAGGAGTTGGTTAGCAATGCAGATATCAGGTACCAACTCAGATCTGCTGATCTCCCAGATGATCTGTATGCATAGCAAAGCTTGGGAAGCACTGGTATAATGAAGGAGGGCAGGCACATGCTCAGTGAGCCAGACCAGCTAAGGCAGCCAAGCCAGACCTGTCGTGGGGTACCCCAAAGTCAATGCTTACTAAGTCTTTGGACTCTTGACATAAGGGCAGGCTAAGTCTGGGAGCTCTAGGTGAAATGGAATGATTGGGGTGAGCTGGAAGAGAAAAGTGTGATTTCTCTTCTTTTTTAATCATTTGAGAATACTTGTTTTGGTGAGTTGTTAGCAGCCTAAATTTATTTCCATCATACATTTTCCTTTATAGATTAGTTGAAAAAGTCACACTTAAAACATTTTAGTCTCTTATAAAATTCCTGCCCTGTAGGAAAAACTGGTATAGACCAATGGCCATCACATGAATCACTCTTAATGGTTTACATACACTGCTCCTGTTGAAATATGAAACCATTTTATCCTTATATATATTTTAAGATATTGAAATAAAGTGTAGTTGAGATATTTAAAAATTTAACATCACTATCCATACCTCCCTGGAATTTCAAATTGTTTCTATAAGGATCAAAATTCTATATTAATTTACCAAGTATGGATATAGGAGTGCCAGCTTTTCTTATTTTCTTAATGAGTAGAAACTATTCTTAACAACAAAGAGGAAATGGTGAGCTGCAAATATTACCTGCAAAGTACATGTTTTGCAGTGGTGCACGTTTATACCAACTGCAGCAATGACTGACATAGCACATAGTAGACCTTGAGTTAAGGGAAGAGGATAGCTTGGAGACTTTACAACAAGCTCCTTCTCAAGAAGACTTTTGCAAATTTGTGCCAGGGAACATGTGAAAATGACTTTAGATGGATCTTAATAACAGTATTTTCAAAGTCATTAATATTCTAGATCTTCTGCAACCTGTTGACACATATGTGCTCTGTTTGGTGTGGACAAGGACTTACAGCAAATGAATTCTTCCCAACAGTACAACCATTTCCTGGTAACTCCCCTCAGGTGGGAGCATCCAGGCAATTTGTCAGGACTCAAAGTAAGATCTGAAGAGCAACTCACGTTCTTCACAGAGGCGCCCCATCCAGCCCTCTGGACAGGAACAAGCATTTGGGCGTTGGCAGATGCCCCCATTCTGACATGGAAATCGACAGACAGCTGGAAAAGAAGCAGGATGGGTCACAAATGTAGGGAATTATGAAGGGAAGGAGTCAGAAAATAGAATTGCCCCTTTATATCTCATACTATTTCCTTGAGTCAAGCTTTCAGGAAGAGAGACAAAAATCGAATCTCAGGAGGGAATTTCAGTATGTGGAGAAGTACAGCATTTTATTGGCTGCTATTATTTCAGTTTTCCCTGTAGCTTTATTGAGGTGCAACAAATAAAAATTGTATATATTTTTTACAACCTGATGTTTTGATTTATGTATAGATTGTGAAATAATCACCACAATGGAGCTAATTAGCACATTCATCCCCTCACATAGTTATTGTTTTCTTTCTTTCTTTTTTGTGGTGAGAACACAAGATCTATCCTTTCAGCAAATTTTCAGTATACAATACAGTATTGTTAACTACAGTCACATTGCTGGACATTAGAACTCCAGAACTTATTCATCTTGCATAACTGAAACTTTGATACCTTGAGCAACATCTCCCTATCCTCACCCCCTCCCAGCTCCTGGGAACCACCATCTACTCTCTGCTTCTATGAGTTTGACTGTTTTGGATTCCACCTATCAGCAAAGTCAGGCAGTATATGTCATTCTGTGTCTGGCTTATTTCATGTAGCATGATGTCCTCCAGGTTAGTCCATGTTGTTGTAAATGGCAGGATTTTCTTCTTTTGCAAAGCTGAATAATATTTCATTGTATCTGCCTATTTTTATCTGCATGTCTATCTAATCTATCTTCTTAATCATCATCATCATCATCTATCAACATACATTTTTTTATCCATTTATCTGTCAACAGACATTTATGTTGTTCAATATCACACACACAACACTCATTCTGACTTTAGACTTTAAGTGAAGTCTGGGATATTCCTTTAAGATGTCCCCCCTCAAAAGGCTCTACATTCTCTTACATCCCATGTATTGGTGATCTCACTTCTCATTGTTGCTGCCAGACAATGAGTCCTCTTTCTCTTGCAATAGCCCCTGTTTCTTTTGAGGCTCATGCCATTCATCCATTGACTTCCTCAATCTTCCCTGCTTCACCAGTTATTAAAGTCCAAATCTGTTTTTCTTGTAAATTTGTTTGAGTTCATTGTAGATTCTGGATATTAGCCCTTTGTCAGATGAGTACATTGCAAAAAATTTCCCCCATGCTGTAGGTTGCCTGTTCACTCTGATGGTAGTTTCTTTTGCTGTGCAGAAGCTCTTTAGTTTAATTAGATCCCATTTGTCAATTTTGTCTTTTGTTGCCATTGCTTTTGGTGTTTTAGACATGAAGTCCTTGCCCATGCCTAAGTCCTGAATGGCAGGTGGGAATTGAACGATGAGAACACATGGACACAGGAAGGGGAACATCACACTCTGGGGACTGTTGTGGGGTGGGGGGAGGGCGGAGGGATAGCATTAGGAGATATACCTAATGTTAAATGACGAGTTAATGGGTGCAGCACACCAACATGGCACATGTAGACATATGTAACAAACCCGCATGTTGTGTGCATGTACCCTAAAACTTAAAGTATTAAAAAAAAAAAAAGTCCAAATCTGAACAGTTTGTGGTCAACTCATCCAACAACTCAATTATTTAGTTCCTTGGTTTTATCTGTGTGTACTAGCGTACTTCTCGACTTCTAGCAAATATTTGTAGAATGAATGAAATAATTATTATGATGTATAAAAATCATATTTTATTATAAAAGTGTAAGTTTTAGAAGGATATAATACTAGGGTGCCTCATTACCTCTTTCTATTTTGCAACATTTCAAGCACAGAACCTAAGAGTTCTATGTGCTTTTAAAACTCAAACCATAACATTAAAAGAAAATTACACAGCTGCTAAAAGAAATTTTAAAGCCAAGGAAAAATAAAGTAGTATGCATATTAATTGCTGGACAAATCAGATTTCTATACACATTTCCCTGCAGTTTCACTAAGAAATAACCATTCAAATATTTCCTTACCTCTGCAAATAGGAGGTGATGTCCATGTTCCATTTTCTAAACAAACACTCCTCAGGAAACCCTCCAACATGTATCCACTGTAACATGAGTAGGTGATCATGTCTCCATATTGATAATGTACGCCTCGAGCAATTGCATTTTCTACGTGAGCTGGTGGACCACATGAGATTTCTACAGGATAACAAAACAACAATTAAGCTTGTGCTATTAACACAGACTGAGAACACAGTCTCATCTCTCAGAATGAATTAAAGAGCAAAAATAAAATACATAAGGGAAACATTTTCACCTACTTATCTAGAATAGTAAGAACTAAAAGAATTAACTGCTGCTGTTGAGAAAAATTGGACACACAAAGATCAAAGGTTTTTTGTCTTCTGATTCAAATGTTGAAGGTGAGCCTGTTTTAAACCTAAGGAAAGCAGTCTGTAGGACACCAAGAATTAGCTCTTGTACCTCATCAAATAAATGGCTGCAAGAGACTTTCAAAACAGGATGCTTATTAAATTAGGAGAGAAAGCATGATGATTGTAGTCTACTGTTTCAGAGTAAAGATCATTAATTGTAGTACTGCATATTGTATCAGGGCTATTTTATTAATGCCTAGCATTTATTAGTGCCTAGCATGCAACATGCTCTTGAAAATGAGTCAGTGAATGAATATTGTCTCTAGTCTATAGATGCTCAGTGAATACAACTTGATGAGGTTTATGAAATTCAAGGTTTCATGTTAGTTTTCCTCTTTTCAATACTGTAAAAGAGTGACTTTCTGCTTTTGGGATCTGTGATAGATTGGATGACAATCCTCTCTTTTAAAAGGGACATATGCGTATATTTAAATAGAAATTTTTATAACTGATATTGTTTTGAGAATTTTACAAGAAGCCTCAAGATAATTAGAATTATTCTGTGGTGGGCAAGGGTTAGATTGGTGTCAGGATTCTAATCAGAATCCAGTTTGTTCAACTTTTGAATGAAGAGTCCTTATAAGCCGGCGTCTAAAAGATCACTTTGTTGTCATAATACTACCATAAACTTGTTAGAGGAGATAATAAATTTGTATGATTTTTCTAAAATTTTTTCCCCTCTAAGGTGGACAAAATGCCTACTATGCAACAGAAATCAGAAGGAAATAAATGAATTATGTTTATTGATTTGCATATGTTAAACCAGCCTTGCATCCAGGGGAAGAAGCCAACTTGATTGTGATGGATAAGCTTTTTGATGTGCTGCTGGATTCGGTTCTCCGGTATTTTATTGAGGATTTTTGTATTGATGTTCATCGGGGAAATTGGCCTGAAGTTTTCTTTTTCTTGTATCTCCATCAGGTTTTGGTATCAGGATGATGCTAGCCTCATAAAATGAGTTAGGGAGGAGTCCCTCCTTTTCAATTGTTTGGAATAGTTTCTGAAGGAATGGTACCAGCTCCTCTTTATACCTCTAGGAGAATTCAGCTATAAATCTGTCTGGTCCTTGGCTTTTTTTGGTTGTAGGCTATTTATTACTGCCTCAATTTCAGAACTAGTTATTGGTCTATTCAGGGATTCAGCTTTTTCCTGGTTCAGTCTTGGAAGGGTATATCTGTCTAGGAATTTATCCAAGGGTGCATGTGTCCAGGAATTTATCCATTTCTTCTAGATTTTCTAGTTTATGTGCATAGAAGTGTTTATAGTATTCTCTGATGGTTGTTGTTTGTATTTCTGTGGCATCAGTGGTGATATTCCCTTTATCATTTTTATTGTCTATTTGATTCTTCCCTTTTTTTAATTAGCTAGTGGTCTATTTTATTACTTTTTTCAGAAAAACAGCTCCTTGATTAATTGATTGTTTTGAAGGGCTTTTTGTGTCTGTATCTCCTTCAGTTATGCTCTGATCTTGGTTATTTCTTGTCTTCTGCTAGCTTTAGGGTTTGTTTGCTCTTGGTTCACTAGTTCTTTTAGTTGTGATGTTAGGGTGTCAATCTGAGATCTTTTTACCTTTTCGATGTGGGCATTTAGTGCTATAAATTTCCCTCTTAACACTGCTTTAACTGTGTCCCAGAGATTCTGGTACATTGTCTCATTGTTCTCATTGCTTTCTGATTTCTTCCTTATTTAATTATGTACCAAGGAGTCATTCAGGAGCAGATTGTTCAATTTCCACGTAGTTGTGTGGTTTTGAGTTTCTTAATCCTGAGTTCTAATTTTTGATTGAGCTGTGGTCTGAGAGAATGTTTGTTATGATTTCAGTTGTTTTGCATTTGCTGAGGAGTGTTTTAGTTCCAATTATGTGATCAATTTTAGAGTAAGTACTGTGTAGCAATGAGAAGAATGTATATTCTGTTGTTTTGGGGTGGAGAGTTCTGTAGATGTCTATCAAGACCACTTGATCTAGAGCTGAGTTCAAGTCCTGAATATCCTTGTTAATTTTCTGTCTCGATGATCTAATATTGACAGTGAGGTGTTAAAGTCTCCCACTATTATTGTGTAAATGTCAAAGACTCTTTGTAAGTCTCTAAGAACTTGATTTATGAATTTGGGTGCTCCTGTACTGGGTGCCTATATATTTAGGATAGTTAGTTCTTCTTCTTGAATTGAACCCTTTACCATTATGAAATGCCCTTGTCTTTTTTGATCTTCGCTGGTTTAAAATCTGTTATGTCAGAAACTAGAAATACAACCCCTATTTTTTTCCTGCTTTTCATTTGCTTGGCATTTTGTGTCTTTTAAGTGGGGCATTTAGCTCATTTACATTTAAGGTTAGCATTGTTATGTGTGAATTTGAGCCTGTCATCATGATTCTAGGTGGTTATTTTGCAGACTTGTTGATGTAGTTGCTTCATCTTGTCATTGATCTTTGTACTTCAGGGTGTTTTTTGTAGCGGCTGGTAACAATTCTTCCTCTCCATATTTAGTGCTTCCTTCAGGAGCTCTTGCAAGGCAGGCCTGGTGGTGATGAATTCCCTCAGTGTTTTCTTGTCTGAAAAGGATTTTATTTCTCTTTCACTTATGAAACTTAGTTTGGCTGGCTATGAAATTCTGGCTTGGAAATTCTTTGAATATTGGCCCCCAATGTCTTCTGGCTTTTAGGGCTTCTGCAGAGAAGTTTGCTGTTAGTCTGATGGGCTTCCCTTTGTAGGTCACCTGGACTTTCTCTCTGGCTGCCCTTAACATTTTTTCCTTCATTTTTACCTTGGAGAACCTGAGGATTATGTGTCTTGGGGTTGATCTTCTCATGGAGTATCTTACTGGGGTTCTCTGGATTTCCTGAACTGGAATGTTGGCCTTGTTTTGCTAGGTTGGGGAAGTTCTCCTGGGTGATATCCTGAAGTATGTTTTCCAAGGTGGTTCTATACTCATCTCTTTCAGGTACCCCGATCAATCATAGGTTCGGTCTTTTTACATAATTTCATAGTTCTCAGAGGTTTTGTTCATTCCTTTCATTCTTTGTTCTCTAATCTTGTCTGCCTTATTTCAGCAAGATAGTCTTCAAACTCTAAAATTCTTTCCTCCACTTGGTCCATTCAGCTATTGATACTTGTTGCATTGTGAAGTTCTCGTGTTGTGTTTTTCAGCTCCATCAGGTCATTTACATTCCTTTCTAAACTGGTTATTCTGGTTAACGGATCCTGTAATGTTTTATCCTGGTTCTTGGCGTCTTTGCATTGGTTTAGAACATGTTCCTTTAGCTCAGCGAACTTCATTATTACCCACTTTCTGAAGCCTACTTCTTTCAATTCATCAATCCTAGCCTCTGCCCAATTCTGTGCTTTTCCTGGAGAAGTGTTGCAATCATTTGGATGAGAAGAGGAACTCTGGCTTTTTGAGTTTTCAGTGTTTTCTTCATTGATTTTTTTTCTCATCTTCCTGAGTTCTCCAGTTTTGATCTTTGAGGTTGCTGACCTTTAGATGAGGCTTTTGTGAGGGCTTTTTTGTTGATGGCTGTTGTTGTTGTTGCTGCTTTCTCTTTGTTTTTCTTTTAACAGTCAGGCCCCTCTTTTGTAGGGCTGCTGTGGTTTGCTGGGGGTCCACTCCAGACCCTATTTGCCTGGGTCGCACCTGCACCTGAAGGTGTTACCAGCGGACGCTGCAGAACAGCAAAGATGGCTGCCTGCTCTTTCCTCTGGGAGCTCTGTCCCAGAGGGGCACTGACCTGATGCTAGCAGGAACACCCTTGTATAAGGTGTCTGGTGACCCCTGTTGTGGGGGGGTCTCATCCGTGACCCCTGTTGTGGGGGGGTCTCATCCCAATCAGGAGGCATGGGATCAGGGACTCGCTTAACAAAGCGCTCTAGCTGCCCCTTGGCAGAGCAGGTAAACTGTGCTGTGGGGAATCCCACTAGTCCAGCCTGCCTGGATTCCTCAGAGCCAGCAGGGGAAGGACTAAGCCTGCTGATCTGTGGAGACCATGGCCACATGGAGCCCCAGGGGCTCCATCTCAGGGAGATCAGAGGTCTGTTCATAAACCCCTGGCTGGAGTTGCTGAAATTCCCGCAGGGAGGTCCTGCTTAGCGAGGAGGAAGGAGTCAGGGTCCAGCCTAAAGAGGCAGTCTGGCCACGATCTGTCACAGCTGCTGTGCTGCACTATGGGGAATTCCTCCTCTGTCCAAATTGCCCAGTCTCCCTGGCACCAGCAGGGAAAAAAAAATGGTAGACTGGAGCTGCAGTGATGGTGGCCGCCTCTTCCCCCAGAAGCTCAGTCATCTTAGGCAGCAGGCAGCCACAGTGACAGTGGCTGTTCCTCCCTCCGATAACTCAGTAGTCTTAGGCAGTTTTCAGCTGAGTGGCCGCCAAGAATCTACACAGCTCTGTGCTTGGGACCTAAGGCCCTGGTGGCGTGGGCTCATGAGGGGGATCTCCTGATCTGCAGGTTGCACAGATCCATGGAAAAAGTGTGGTTTCCTGAGTGGGGTAGCACAATCACTCACCACCTCCTTTGGCTGGGGGTGGGAGCTCTGCTTGCCCCATGTGGCTCCCAGGTGGGCCGTTGTACCACCTTGCTTTTTCTCGCTTTCTGTGGATTGCGCCAACTGCCTAGTCAGTCCCAATGAGAGAACCTGGATACCTCAGTTGCCGGTGCAGGATTCACTCACTGTTTTTGTTCTTCTCGGTGGGAGGCTCCGGCCACAGCTGTTTCTAGTTGGCCATCTTGAACCCCTCCCCGCAAAATAAACATTCTAATACTGCAATAAGCTGCTAGCTGAAAATTCAGGGACTTGGGCTGTTGTGTATATCTTCCTATTAGGAAATATTGCTAATATGCACCAATTCACTTATTCTTCAAATCTATAAGAAATCTATAATAACTACAAGAAAGATATAATTGAGACTCTTAACAAATGACAGCCCTCAGACTCAGAGAAGTAAGGCACTAGCATAAGTTTAGAGTTAAACATTTTGAGGACAGAATTCAAACTCAGGTCTTTCTGATTCCAGAATCCCCATGACCTTCACAGGCATATTTCTTATCTCATTAAGTGGCGTGCAAGTGTACTGAAGATGAAGACCATTGTAGGCATGATACATTCTTACACTATGCAGCCTTGTGCCTTGCCTCTGGTCGGACTCAATGAATATGTTAATTGATTACTGTAGAGGTAGTAGCTTGGACAACAAATGAGCCTGGAGGGCAGGATGCTGGCAGGGGGATTTTTATTTTTATTTAGTTTTTGAGATGTAGTCTTGCTCTGTCTCCCAGGCTGGAGTGCAGCAGTGGTGCGATCTTGGCTCATTGCAACCTCCACCTTCCAGGTTCAAGAGATTTTCCTACCGCAGCCGCCTGAGTAGCTGGGATTACAGGTGTGTGCCACCACACCCAGCTAATTTTTGTATTTTTAGTAGAGACAGGGTTTTGCCATGTTGGCTGGGCTGGTCTTGAACTCCTGACCTCAGGTGATCCACCCACCTCAGCCTCCCACAGTGCTGGGATTACAGGTGTGAGCCACCGCACCCAGCTGGCAGTGAGATGTTTTAAATGGAGTTAAAAAGTGTGCGTTAAAAAACGTTGCGTTATCACAAGGCTGAAAAAGATGCCTCCAGATTGCATAAATGGAGTAACAAAGCGCTAACCTATAGTGCTGGTGCTAGCAACGTAGTGCTTGCTAGTGGTTCTCAGATTGTTTTTTCTGGGCCAGCAGCATCCTCATCAGCAACATCTAGAAATGTGTTTTAACAGGTTCTCTAGGTGGTTCTGATGCAGGCTCAAGTTTGAGAACCACTGTGGAATAATTTTTCTGTTGCAAAACATTCATAGTCTGTTAAAGGATAGTTTGGGGACTCTGACAGTGTGGAGAAAAATTTGTATTTTGAATTTAATACCTTGCTCATTCTTAGAGGAGCACATTTTGAAAATCTGTTCAGGTGGGTTTTAGTTTAGTTCTGGAAAGCTTTTTTTAAAATGTTTGAAATTCAAAGATTAAAAGAAATTTACAAACATTAATGAGGAAGATGATAACTGTGATAGCACAGAGATCTAAGTATCTACAACTAAGTGACTTGATTGAAAACAACCTCACAGGGATGGGAAAACATTTCGCACTAGCGGCATGAACTGGCTTCCGCCTGCTGACTTACTTTCACATTTGGCGCTTGTCTGTGTCCACGTCTCGTCGGGGTTGCAGGTAATGATGCCGTGGCCCTGCAGCAGAAAACCTTCCCTACATTTGATGGACACATTCTGATCAACATAAAACTCCTTTTCAGACAGCAGAGCATTCTCGGGAATCACAAAAGGAACAGGGCATGGATTTGCTGTCAAAAAGAAAAGAAAATGCTTACTGATATTTCCCCTCTTTTCCTAATGTATTTCTTTGAAGGTGGAGTAGTAGTCCTATAAGAGATGGGTTCTCAATAATGATCATATAAGGTTTAAAAATATGGAACTCCAAACATTAGACACAGACTTGTTTTGCATCCTCATGAAATTATGTGTAAAGATAAAGCCAGATAAGATCAGAAAACATGAAGTTATTCAACCACTAATGCAAGGTCCTAAAAGTTGAAGATGACAATTTATGCCTGAAATTATGGGCCACAACATTATTTTAGACTGAGTTTTTGATCAGCATTGTGAAAACAAAAGGCATACTAGAAATCAAGGGGTATATCAAATATTCCCTTATTTGAAGAATATCAAATGCTTCTCATTGTCACCTTACTTTCTTTTATTGAACATCCTTCAGGAGGATGGAACCAGGAAACCATCAGACATTTCTATGTGAGCTGAATGTGACTTTAGACTCATACTGCTATGGGCAGGATATTAGAACTAGTGGAGTTTGCATGTTTTATTGATAAAGATGGATTCATTGTTATAGGCCCGAGGGAAACACAGGAAATGATGATGGCATTATGCGTGCTTAGCGCAAGTGTGTGACACACATGTCAACACATATTTCAAGCAATTTCAGATTTTTAAATGGGCATAAAAGTATTTGAGTGAGGTACACTTCCGCTGTTACTACATTATGATGATACTTGAAACAGTTAACAAGAGCAGTCTCAACTTCTACGTTGCTTGTGAATATTGTTTTCATTCGAATGGCTATAACTCATTATCTTAATTTATCATATTTATATATACTTCATTATATTAACATCACATATTAAATGTATTTTCTTTCATTTCTTTCCCTATCCCCAGTAGAATTCATGATACATCTTTCATTTCTTTCCTATCCCCAGTAGAATTCATGATACATGTATGTCAAAATTTTTTCATTAAGTTGCATTTTCTCTTAGTAATCACTCATGGAATCTGACAAAAGCTGATTCTCAGACAGGACTTAGATAACACAAACATATTTTTAAAATATCCCAGAGAATTCAGCTTGGATAGGCATTAATTGCTTTCTCTGGGCCCATATCCCTTATGAGTGGAGCTTCCTCTATGTTTTGGATATGCGGGAAGCTAATCGTGAAACTGAATCTGATTAAAATTTCTCCTAAAGGCAACACACACGTTTGCAGAGAGGGACTGGGTGGCTCCAGGTTCCATTTTCTGTGCAGTGTGCCTCAGATGGCCCTTCAAGACTGTAGCCTCTGTTGCAGGAATATACCACGTTGGGTCCAGTCGTCCTGTTTTCAATGTCAGCTTTCCCATTGAGAAATTCAAGTGGAGTTTCACACCTGGTCTCTAAAAACAAGAATAAAAGCCTCATATTAATTGCTTCCCCAATTCCTCTTTCCTTCTTTTCCTATGATTGCCAAAGATATTTCATGGAATATATAAAATATTATGGCCTACTCATGTGTGAAGCACAGTGATATTCATTGAAGGAGAAAAATATAGCATACCTAAGTATTGGATTAATACATGCATGCAATTAAAGATTGGGAGTTAGTCTTATTGACTCCAGCTGTCTTTATGTATTATTAATAATGCTGGGGACAGGGAGTATGGATGAGCAGGTGGGTAAAATAAAACAATCTCATTGTAAGTTGCTAACAATGGCCAAGAACTTTTCAAACAATACTAAATTTATTTCTTACAACACTTAAGTTGTAAGCCCAAATAAAATAGAGGATGCCCTGTTAAATTTCAGTATCAGATAAATAACAAATACATTTTTAGTATAAGCGTGTCTCCGATATTGCATATTTATAAGTTTACATTTAAATTATTTTTCATCTGAAATTTAAATATAACTGCATGTCCTGTATTTTTGTTTCTTCTAAATCTGGCAACCTTACTTATAGCAACTCTGAGATTATCTCATGTAACAGTTGGCAAAAAGTGAGGCTTAGAGAAGTTAAATAATTTGGTCAAGGTCATACTGCTTGTAAGAAGAGATAAAATATAAAATTATCAGAAGGTAAAAGACAATAAGAAAGTATAAAGAACAGGGACCCAAGAGCTTGTGGGGAATAGAATAAATGACATTTTATATGGCTTTTGAGGAATATGCTGACTTCATAAACTGGTGAGTATTATAGTAAAGTTATAAAGAATGATTTTGCATTATTGTGAGAAATGTTATTAACAGGGATGCTATGAGGAAAATAGGATCACCCTTTCAAGAATCTCAAAAAATGGGCTTGAGTCTTAATTTTATAATTTTTGTGAAGGCAGAGAAGGTGGTTCTAGACTAGTGCTTCTCAAGTTTGGCCGTACCTTAGAGAACCTGGGAAGCATTTATGGCCTATCACAGACCAAATGAGTCCAAATCTTTATACTGAGGGCTACTTTTCAGTATTATATTAAAAATTCCCCAAACAATTCAAATGTGAACTCAGAGTTGAGTCCCTGGACCAGATGCTAATGGACTTCTTTCAGCCCAAAGTTGAGTATGCTGAGATCACAGATCTTAACCTTGGCTGCACTTTGAAACCACATAGGGAGCTTTAAAATGCTATTGATGCTGTGCCGGGCATGGTGGCTCATGCCTATAATCCCAGCACTTTGGGAGGCTGAGGAGCATGGATTGCTTGAAGCCGGGAGTTCGAGACCAGCCAGGCCAACATGGTGAAACCCCGTCTCTACTGAAATACAAAAAATTACCCGGGCATGGTGGAGCATGCCTGTAGCCCCAGCTACTCGGGAGGCTGAGGCATGAGAGTCCCTTGAGCCCGGGAAGTGGAGGTTGCAGTGAGCTGAGGTTGCACTACTGCACTCCACCCTGGGTGACAGAGTGAGACTCTATTTAAAAATAAAAATAAAAATACATAAATACATACATACATTGTCCTTTGGCAGAGAAGGGAATACTGGGGATAAAGTTATGTGCATTAACCCACATTTTGCCAAATAAACTTGGTTGTTCTCATAAAATGAGTTAAATTCCATGCAAAATATTAATATTAATTGATTTGACAGATGGACCAACAGCACGTTAAAAGTATTGGCTAGTACTGTCACCAAAAAACAACAGCTCTTAGCCTTCTAATTTATAATTATTTGAGAAAACCCCCCCAAAATGCTAATAAACTCAATAATTAACTAGTTTTTAAACAAACTGTTTGCCATTCCAGAGTCAGTAATCTTGTGTCCTATTGCAGTTAATTGTTAATCCCTACTACAGTTTTTGACCCTTTTATTGGTTTACTGCCCTTGAGAAAAAGCCCATTAAAAGGTTCTCATATGGCTTATGGAGTTGGCTTACATTTTAATTACAAAACTAACCTATAAAGAAAATGTAGCCACACTGTTATTTTGTGTCCTCAGTGTCATTTTGGGGGCTGCTAAGTGTCATTCAACTCACCTTTGCATATTGCCACCCCTCCACTCCACTGTCTGTTCTCCTGGCAGACACGTTCCCTGTTCCCCTGTGAAACAATGGAGAAAGGTCATCAAGATCATAACTCTACAATAGAAAGATAATAAGGAAATGCAAAGTAATCTTAGCTATGGCCTTGAATCGCTCAGCACTGGAATGCTAAATAAACATGTTAAAAACATTTTTGAAAGTCTAAATCTACTCCTTAAACTGTATTTATTTATCAAATTGCTTCAAAATTCACACTCTGGCAGACCGGTATAATTAAGGTACAGACTTTGCTTCACCTTTTATTTTAAACGGCAACTAATTATAATCTGTAGCTAAGACTGACAAAGAATGCATTAGAAGTAGTCAAATAGTAGTATTCTTAGAAATATATGAATCATAGTGTATCATAATATATGTATATACACACACATACACAATAGAGTACTATTTGGCCATAAAAACACATGTGATGTATACACATAAGTGTGTGTGTGTGTGTATATATATATAAGTATATATACACGTATATATATAAGTATATATATATACGTGTATATATACACATACATACTTATATAAGTATATATACATACATACTTATATAAGTATATATACAAGTATATACATACATACTTATATAAGTATGTATGTATATATACACTTATATAAGTATGTATGTATATACTTGTATATATACTTATATAAGTATGTGTATATATACTTATATAAGTATGTATATATATACTTATATATATACATACTTATATATACTTATATAAGTATGTGTATATATACTTATATATACACATACTTATATACACTTATATATATATACTTATATCTACTTATATATATATATACTTATATCTCACATTTTCTTTATCCATTCATCCATCGATGACACCCAACACTTAGGTTGACTCCATATATATCTTGGTAATTGTGTATCCCAAAATGTATACAATTATGATTTGACAATCAGAAATAATATTAAGCATACAATCTAAAAATGCAAACCCCCAGAAACTATTTGGTTCACATGATCTTGGTCTAGCAATATATACTCTTTTCTTTTTACAACTTCTCAGGTGATTCTCAAGCAGATGGTAGTGAACTCCACTGATTATAAGAGCAGCAATTTGTCAGTGATTCTCAGTCCTGGCTGCACACACGAATCACCAAGGGAACTCTGAAAAGGGTACTGCTGCCCCAGACTCAACCCACAGAAATATTGAATTAATTAGTCTGATGTGAGAACAGGTATTTGCATTAAAAAAAAATCCTGTCTGATGGAAAAATTCAAACATATGAGAAATACCAACAGTAGAAAGAACAGTATAAGAAACTTCTGTGTAGACATCACCCAGTTTACCCAATTAACTCAGGGCCAACCTTGTTTCATGTAAGCCCCACCCCTTCCATGAACTCCTATTATTTTGAAGCAAATTCTAGACTTCAAATCATTTAACAATAATTATTTCAGTATGAATCTCTAAAAGATAAGAGCTCTTAAAAATTATAACCATAACATTATCACAACTTAAAAAGTAACAATTCCTTAATATTAATAAAATGTCGTTTTCAAATTTCCAATTGTTGCATAAATTTCATAATTTATTCTTTAAATAATTCTGTTGAATCAGTACCAAATAAGATCCATACACTGAGACTAGTTTATGTTTCTGTGATGATTCATTTTATGAACAAATGTACAGCAACCTGATGGGTCATTACTTTTTGTCTTTTTTTTTTTTTTTTTGAGACAGAGTTTTGCTCTGTTGCCCAGGCTGGAATGCAGTGGTGCAATCTCGGCTCTCTGCAACCTCCACCTCCTGTGTTGAAGTGATTCTCCTGCCTCAGCTCCCCAAGTAGCTGAGACTACAGGTGCCTGCCACCACACCCCGCTAATTTTTGTATTTTTTAGTAGAGATGGAGTTTCACCATGTTGGACAGGCTGGTCTCAAACTCCTGACCTCAGGTGACCTACCCGCCTCAGCCTCCCAAAGTGCTGAGGTTATAGGCGTGAGCCACCATGCCCGGCCTTGATGTGTCATTACATTTGAAGAAGTATTAATAGATAATTAACCTTTAAACTTTTGGAAACATCCTGGTATTAACTACAAAATTGAGAGAGCGATAATAGTGATTGCTCTCACTCTGAGCTCCATGTTAGAATCACCTAAGAAACTCTTTACAAATACTGATGTGCAGCAACTTGAGTGGGCCATGAGGTGCCCAGCTTAAACACTGCTTCTGGATGTGTCTGTGAGGATGTTTCTGGATGAGATTAGCATTTAAATTAGTAGATCATGTAAAGTAGATTGCCCTCGCCAATGTGGAGGGTGGGGGGCATCTTCCAAAACACTGAGGGACCAAATAGAACAAAACATGGAAGGAGGAAATGGCCCTCTTTTTCTTCCTCACCACTTGAGTTGGGACTCATCTCCTCCTCTATCTTCAGACAGGGTTTTACATCATCAGCTCACCTAGTTCTCAGACCTTTGGACTTGGACTGAATTACACCACCAGCTTCTCAGGGTCTCCAGTTTGCAGAGAGAAGATCCTGGGATTTAGCCTCCATTAACTTGTGACCCAATTCCTCATTATATATATATATATATATATCTCTTCTCTCTCTCTCCTATTGGTTCTCTTTCTTTGGAGACTCATGACTAATGCAATGTCTCTTATATCTCTCTAAACTTAGGTTCCTTCTCTATTTACTCCCCTCTGCCCTGTCAATTTATTTGTCTTGGACACTGAAAAACTGGGTCATTGGTCCTGTATCTGTTCCCACAGATAGAATTTTGCCACTTGCTTCACTGTGGTGTCTCTGACACTGTTTGTTGGATTTAGAGGCTTGATAATTTCCGTATTCATTTTGTGTGTGTGTGGTGGAGGTGGGAGAGCACAAAATGTTTTCATAGATGGGGTTGTTCACCCATCCAGAGACACATAATGTCTGGTTGTCTCCATTTTTTGTGACTTCAGCAGCCATGGATGATCATAACTTAAATCCATTAATTCTTAGGAGTTGTGAATTCTGCTATTTAAATTCTATTTTATCACTATTAACTGTAACTTCCCCTCATCTACTGTTTGGTTATCTAGTCAAACAGGTAGCACTGGAAAGACAATTCTTCCTCTTGAGTTGTCTGTTTTTAAAATAATGAGTTTGTTCATAAGCATCCTTTAAGAGATTCTAATTTTTTTAAAAGTATCATTATAAGCCTAGTGTCATTTATGACCTATTTGATGTGTTTCAGTCCATTGAAGTTATTACCCTTGTTAATGCTAAAATGGTCTCATCTTGACCTGTGGGAGCCTTGTCCAGTGGCTTCTGAATACTTTCGATGTGTAGTCTTTGTTAGGTTCCCTGCTATTTTGTGTGACAAGTTTCCAGGCAATATTTTACATTTCTTGTCCGAGACCTGGAGTTGGTAATTTCTCCAAGTAACTGAACATCAATATTTTAAAAACTTTCTCAAGTGATTCTAACATGTATAATAGCTTGGAGTGAGAGCAATCACTATTGCACCTTTCTCAATTTTTCAGTTAACATATATTTCCACAAATTTTTAAATTATCTGCTTCAAATTTAATGACAGTTTGCTCTACATTTGTTCATAATTTTATATTACTTTTCTTCTTAATAAATTGCAAGATTAATATTCTTGCATGAAGAACGAGGTTTCAAAAACAGGAAAACACTCCGAATGTAATCACCATTATATTATCATCTTTTTTGAGGAAAGAAGATATATATAAGCCTGGTCCCAGACTGCATATACCTATCATATGATAATTCTTGTACTGCATGGTCAGAAAATAATGAGACATGCAAAACATTTAACAGAAAAGTGGCGATGAGATGGCCAAATAGGAACAGCTCCAGTCTACAGCTCCCAGCGTGAGCGACGCAGAAGACGGGTGATTTCTGCATTTCCAACTGAGGTACCGGGTTCATCTCACTGGGGAGTGCCAGACAGTGGGTGCAGTGCACTGTGCACAAGCCAAAGCAGAATGAGGCATCGCCTCACCCGGGAAGCACAAGGGGTCAGGGAATTCCCTTTCCTAGTCAAAGAAAGGGGTGACAGATGGCACCTGGAAAATCGGGTCACTCCCACTCTAATACTGTGTTTTTCCAACAGGCTTAAAAAACAGCAAACCAGGAGATTATATCCCGCACCTGGCTCAGAGGGTCCTATGCCCACAGAGTCTCACTCATTGCTAGAACAGCAGTCTGACATCAAACTGCAAGGCAGCAGCGAGGCTGGGGGAGGGGTGCCCACCATTGCCGAGACTTGATTAGGTAAACAAAGCAGCCAGGAAGCTTGAACTGGGTGGAGCCCACCACAGCTCAAGGAGGCATGCCTGCCTCTGTAGGCTCCACCTCTGGGGGCAGGGCACAGACAAACAAAAAGACGGCAGTAACTCTGAAGACTTAAATGTCCCTGTCTGACAGCTTTGAAGAGAATAATGGTTCTCCCAGCACGCAGCTTGAGATCTGACAACAGGCAGACTGCCTCCTCAAGTGGGTCCCTGACCCCCGAGTAGCCTAACTGGGAGGCACCCCCCAGTAGGGGCGGACTGACACCTCACATGGCCGGGTATTCCTCTGAGACAAAACTTCCAGAGGAATGATCAGGCAGCAGCATTTGCGGTTCACCAATATCCGCTGTTCTGCACCCTCTGCTGCTGATACCCAGGCAAACAGGGTCTGGATTGGACCTCTAGCCAACTCCGACCTGCAGCTGAGGGTCCTGTCTGTTGAAGGAAAACTAACAAACAGAAAGGACATCCACACCAAAAACCCATCTGTACGTCACCATCATCAAAGACCAAAGGTAGATATAACCACAAAGATGGGAAAAAAACAGAGCAGAATAACTGGAAACTCTAAAAATCAGAGCGCCTCTCCTCCTCCAAAGGAACGCAGCTCCTCACCAGCAACAGAACAAAGCTGGACAGAGAATGACTTTGACGAGTTGAGAGAAGAAGGCTTCAGATGATCAAACTACTCTCAGCTACAGGAGGAAGTTCAAACGAATGGCAAAGAAGTTAACAACTTTGAAAAAAAATTAGACGAATGGATAACTAGAATAACCAATGCAGAGAAGTCCTTAAAGGACCTGATGGAGCTGAAAACCAAGGCACGAGAACTACGTGACCAGTGCAGAAGCCTCAATAGCTGATGCAATCAACTGGAAGAAAGGGTATCAGTGATGGAAGATCAAATGAATGAAATGAAGCAAGAAGAGAAGTTTAGAGAAAAAAGAATAAAAAGAAATGAACAAAGCCTCCAAGAAATATGGGACTATGTGAAAAGACCAAATCTACGTCTGATTGGTGTACCTGAAAGTGATGGGGAGAATGGAACCAAGTTGGAAAACACTCTGCAGGATATTATCCCGGAGAACTTCCCCAATCTAGCAAGGCAGGCCAGCATTCAAATTCAAGAAATACAGAGACCACCACAAAGATACTCCTTGAGAAGAGCAACTCCAAGACACATAATTGTCAGATTCACCAAAGTTGAAATGAAGGAAAAACTGTTAAGAGCAGCCAGAGAGAAAGGTCAGGTTACCCACAAAGGGAAGCCCAGCAGACTAACAGCTGATCTCTCAGCAGAAACTCTACAAGCCAGAAGAGAGTGGGGGCCAATATTCAACATTCTTAAAGAAAAGAATTTTCAACCCAGAATTTCATATCCAGCCAAACTATGCTTCATAAGTGAAGGAGAAATAAAATCCTTTACAGACAAGCAAATGCTGAGAGATTTTGTCACCACCAGGCCTGCCCTAAAAGAGCTCCTGAAGGAAGCACTAAACATGGAAAGGAACAACCAGTACCACCCACTGCAAAAACATGCCAAATTGTAAAGACCATCAAGGCTAGGAAGAAACTGCATCAACTAACAAGCAAAATAGCCAGCTGACATCATAATGACAGGATCAAATTCACACATAACAATATTAACCTTAAATGTAAATGGGCTAAATGCTCCAATTAAAAGACACAGACTGGCAAAATGGATAAAGAGTCAAGACCCATCAGTGTGCTATATTCAGGAAACCCATCTCACGTGCAGAGACACACATAGGCTCAAAATAAAAGGATGGAGGAAGATCTACCAAGCAAATGGAAAACAAAAAAAGGCAGGGGTTGCAATCCTAGTCTCTGATAAAACAGACTTTAAACCAACAAAGATCAAAAGAGACAAAGAAGGCCATTACATAATGGTAAAGGGATCAATTCAACAAGAAGAGCTAACTATCCTAAATATATATGCACCCAATACAGGAGCACCCAGATTCATGAAGCAAGTCCTTAGTGACCTACAAAGAGACTTAGACTCCCACACAATAATAATGGGAGACTTTAACACCCCACTGTCAACATTAGACAGATCAACGAGACAGAAAGTTAACAAGGATACCCAGGAATTGAACTCAGCTCTGCACCAAGCAGACCTAATAGACATCTACAGAACTGTCCACCCCAAATCAACAGAATATACATTCTTTTCAGCACCACACCTATTCCAAAACTGACGACACAGTTGGAAATAAAGCACTCCTCAGCAAATGTAAAAGAACAGAAATTATAACAAACTGTCTCTCAGACCACAGTGCAATCAAACTAGAACTCAGTATTAAGAAACTCACTCAAAACCGCTCAACTACATGGAAACTGAACAACCTGCTCCTGAATGACTACTGGGTACATAACGAAATGAAGGCAGAAATAAAGATGTTCTTTGAAACCAATGAGAACAAAGACACAACATACCAGAATCTCTGGGACACATTCAAAGCAGTGTGTAGAGGGAAATTTATAGCACTAAATGCCCACAAGAGAAAGTAGGAAAGATCTAAAATTGACACCCTAACATCACAACTAAAAGAACTAGAGAAGCAAGAGCAAACACATTCAAAAGCTAGCAGAAGGCAAGAAATAACTAAGATCAGAGCAGAACTGAAGGAAATAGAGACACAAAAAACTCTTCAAAAAATTAATGAATCCAGGAGCTGGCTTTTTGAAAAGATCAACAAAATTGATAGACCGCTAGCAAGACTAATAAGAAAAGAGAGAAGAATCAAATAGACACAATAAAAAATGATAGAGGGGATATCACCACTGATCCCACAGAAATACAAACTACCATCAGAATACTATAAACACCTCTAGGCAAATAAACTAGAAAATCTAGAAGAAATGGATAAATTCCTCGACACATACATCCTCCCAAGACTAAACCAGGAAGTAGTTGAATCTCTGAATAGACCAATAACAGGCTCTGAAATTGAGGCAATAATCAATAGCTTACCAACCAAGAAAAGTCCAGGACCAGATGGATTCACAGCCAAATTCTACCAGAGGTACAAGGAGGAGCTGGTACCATTCCTTCTGAAACTATTCCAATCAACAGAAAAAGAGGGAATCCTCCCTAACTCATTTTATGAGGCCAGCATCATCCTGATACCAAAGCCTGGCAGAGACACAACCAAAAAAGAGAATTTTAGATGAATATCCTTGATGAACATTGATGCAAAAATCCTCAGTAAAATACTGGCAAACCGAATCCAGAAGCACATCAAAAAGCTTATCCACCATGATCAAGTGGGCTTCATCCCTGGGATGCAAGGCTGGTTCAACATACACAAATCAATAAATGTAATCCAGCATATAAACAGAACCAAAGACAAAAACCACATGATTATCTCAATAGATGCAGAAAAGGCCTTTGACAAAATTCAACAACACTTCATGCTAAAAACTCTGAATAAATTAGGTATTGATGGGACGTATCTCAAAATAATAAGAGCTATCTATGACAAACCCACAGCCAATATCATACTGAATGGGCAAAAACTGGAAGCATTCCCCTTGAAAACTGGCATAAGACAGGGATGCCCTCTCTCACCACTCCTATTCAACATAGTGTTGGAAGTTCTGGCCAGGGCAATCAGGCAGGAGAAGGAAATAAAGGATATTCAATTAGGAAAAGAGGAAGTCAAATTGTCCCTGTTTGCAGATGACATGATTGTATACCTAGAAAACCCCATTGTCTCAGCCCAAAATCTCCTTAAGTGGATAAGCAACTTCAGCAAAGTCTCAGGATACAAAATCAATGTGCAAAAATCACAAGCATTCTTATACACCAATAAGAGAAACAGAGAGCCAAATCATGAGTGAACTCCCATTCACAATTGCTTCAAAGGGAATAAAATACCTAGGAATCCAACTTACAAGGGATGTGAAGGGCCTCTTCAAGGAGAACTACAAACCACTGCTCAATGAAATAAAAGAGGATACAAAGAAATGGAAGAACATTCCATGCTCATGGGTAGGAAGAATCAATATCATGAAAATGGCCATGCTGCCCAAGGTAATTTATAGATTCAATGCCATCCCCATCGAGCAACCAATGACTTTCTTCACAGAATTGGAAAAAACTACTTTAAAGTTCATATGGAACCAAAAAAGAGCTGCGTCACCAAGTCAATCCTAAGCCAAAAGAACAAAGCTGGAGGCATCACGCTACCTGACTTCAAACCATACTACAAGGCTACAGTAACCAAAACAGCATGGTACTGATACCAAAACAGAGATATAGACCAATGGAACAGAACAGAGCCCTCAGAAATTATGCTGCATATCTACAACTATCTGATCTTTGACAAACCTGACAAAAACAAGAAATGGGGAAAGGATTCCCTATTTAATAAGTGGTGTTGGGAAAACTGGCTAGCCATATGTAGAAAGCTGAAACTGGATCCCTTCCTTACACCTTACACAAAAAATTAATTCAAGATGGATTAAAGACTTAAATGTTAGACCTAAAACCATAAAATCCCTAGAAGAAAACTTAGGCAATACCATTCAGGACATAGGCATGGGCAAGGACTTCATGCTAAAACACCAAAAGCAATGGCAACAAAAGCCAAAATTGACAAATGGGATCTAATTAAACTAAAGAGCTTCTGCACAGCAAAAGAAACTATCATTAGAGTGAACAGGCAACCTACAGAATGGGAGAAAATTTTTCCAGCCTACTCATCTGACAAAGGGCTAATACCCAGAATCTACAATGAACACAAACAAATTTATAAGAAAAAAACAAACAACCCCATCAAAAAGTGGGAGAAGGATATGAACAGACAGTTCTCAAAAGAAGACGTTTATGCAGCCAAAAAACACTCATGAAAAAATGCTCATCATCACTGGCCATCAGAGAAATGCAAATCAAAACCACAATGAGATGCCATCTCACACCAGTTAGAATGGCAATCATTAAAAAGTCAGGAAACAACAGGTGCTAGAGAGGATGTGGAGAAATAGGAACACTTTTACACTGTTGGTGAGACTGTAAACTAGTTCAACCACTGTGGAAGTCAGTGTGGCGATTCTTCAGGGATCTAGAACTAGAAATACCACTTGACCCAGCCATCCCATTACTGGGTATATACCCAAAGGATTATAAATCATGCTGCTATAAAGACACATGCACATGTATGTTTATTGCGGCACTATTCACAATAGCAAAAACTTGGAACCAACCCAAATGTCCAACAATGATAGACTGGATTAAGAAAATGTGGCATATATACACCATGGAATACTATGCAGCCATGAAAAATGATGAGTTCATGTCCCTTGTAGGGACATGGATGAAACTAGAAACCATTATTCTCAGCAAACTATCCCAAGGATAAAAAACCAAACACTGCATGTTCTCACTCATAGGTGAGAATTGAACAATGAGAACACATGGACACAGGAAGGGGAACATCACACACTGGGTCCTGTTGTGGGGTCGGGGGAGGGATAGCATTAGGAGATATACCTAATGCTAAATGACGAATTAATGGGTGCACCACACCAACATGGCACATGTATACATATGTAACAAACCTGCACATTGTGCACATGTACCCTAAAACTTAAAGTATAATAATAATAAAATTAAAAAGAAAAAAGAAAACTGGTGATGAATACTTTTTTTGTTTTTGTTTTTGAGACAGGGTTTCACTCCTGTCACCCAGGCTGGAGTGCAATGGTGCGATCTTGGCTCACTGCAACCTCTGCCTCCTGGGCTTAAGTGATCCTCCTCCCTCAGCCTCCTGAGTCGCTGGGACTACAGGCACATTCCATCACGCCTGGCCATTTTCTGTATTTTTTGTGGAGACTGGGTCTTACTATGTTGCCCAGCCTGGTCTTGAACTCCTGAGCTCAAGTGATCCACCCTCCTTGGCTTTCCAAAGTGCTGGGATTACAGGTGTGAGTCACGACACCCAGCCAAAACCTACCTTTAAATACCATTGTAACAATAAAAATAAAAAAGAGTTTCCTGAATAACTAAATGACAACATGGTGTAATGTAAAATAGGCCTCTTAAATTTCAAATTTAGTGATACGGTAATGCTTTCAGCAAAACTGATTGATCTAGCTCTCCCACTAAAGTAAACAGAGACCTAGGTGCTGCGGAAGGGATTTTAATATTACAAAGCAACAGCTGTCTCAGGAATGAAGTTGGTATTAGTTAAAACTGTTCTGTGGTGTTTTCAAGCCAGATTTGCTTATGGGAACTTGGCATCTCAATGCCAAGGTATATGAGCCCATTGTTTGAGGAAATCCTGGCTTTGCATACCTAAATCCTTGTGGTTACCTCTCCATGGTGACCGGTGGACTTCCCTGTTGCAGAATATGATTACCAGCAAGCCGAAACACAGTTTAAATGGTCAGTTGAAGTCACAGCATCTGTCTTGTGGTTTGCGAACTTACTTTTTTCCTTCCTTATCATGGCTTTCATGTTTTTTATTTGAGACTTATTTTGCTTTTTTTTTTTCTTTGAGATGGTCTCACTCTTGCCTCCCAGGCTGGAGTGCAGTGGCATGATTTCAGCTCACTGAAACCTATGCCTCACGGGTTCAAGCGATTCTCCTGCCTCAGTCTCCCAAGTAGCTGGAATTACAGGTGCCTGCCACCATGAACAGCTAATTTTTGTATTTTTAGTAGAGACGGGGTTTCACCATGTTGGCCAGACTGGTCTTGAACTTCTGACCTCAAGTGATCTGCCCACCTCGGCCTCCCAAAGTGCTCGGATTACAGGCATGAGCCACCGCACCCAGTTTATTTTACTTTTTAAAACTCTAAGTTGCCTTAAATATTTCTTGGAAAATGTTAGAGTATAAGGGAACAAAGTATAATAGAATCTTTTGAGACCAAAGTCAGTAAAACAAATTTGTGCTAATACTGAAAGTATCCCCAAGTATATTGGAAAAACAAATTATTTCTAGTTAAACAATTTGTTCGCTTACCTCTAGTTCATAGCCAGGCTCACACTGATAAATAATTGTGCTTTCAAAGGTGTATTTACTGCCAACCACAAATCCATGTTCTGGACTTTCAGGTTTCCCACAAGAAACTGGACTGCAAGATTCATCGGAGAATGGTGGCTCCCAGGTTCCATCAAGCTAAGTGACAAATAACAAAATGTAAGTTATGTTTAGAAGTTAATACATATGAATGAAGAAATTTGCAAATATTGGTTATTTGCAGAATAATCTCCAAAATGATAGTCAAAAGCACCCAGGGTTTGGTCCTACTTTTGCTACTTATTATATGTGGGCTTAAAAAACACACTTTAATTATTAGATGGTCTTAATAGTCACCCACAGACAATTTTAGACATTTCTTAAGCCCATAAAACAGGCATTTTCTTCCTAATAGAATCTATTCAAAAATCACGAGCAACAAGAAATATATTTTCATTATAATGCACGAGAACTGGAGGTTAATACAAATATTCTATAACTTACACTAATGCACTCTTAAATTTCAAGATTCTATATTTTATAATAAAGTTTATGAGAAACAGTAAATTTTAGGCATACTACTCAAAGTTTAAGAAAATCAGCTTCCTTTTCTCCATTCCAACGAGAACACCTAAAAACATTTTATCACATATTTTTGAAGGGGTCATGTAGAAAAAAATTTATATATATATATATAATTTTGTATCTATAAAGAAATCAATAATGATTAAAATAAATTTTATAAAGAAATCCTCAATAAATGATTAAAATAAAAATAACCAAAATAAATTCCAGATATAGCAAAAGAAAACAATAATATGTAGCTTTTAACAGTTATTAGTGTTTTCATTACCCAGAAAGATTTCTGCAAAAAAAAATTATTAAGGCACTACCTACACTATTGAAAAATTAAATGCAACAAATATACTAGGAAAATGGTTAATCTGTTGGGTAAGGTGAGGCACACACAGATATATCTCTTGAAGATTGTTATTCTATTGCTAATATTTTTCTGTTTTCTTTGTGGAAATATATATGAATTGGATAACAGTGTTAAACAGGATTTGCGGCTAAACCCTCATTCTACATATGAACCAAAAGTAATTTTGTATATATGACTGCATCATGATTAACCATTTTCCTAGTATATACATTGCATTTAATTTTTCAATATTGTAAGTAATGCCTTAATAATTTTTTATTTTGCAGAAATCTTTCTGGGTATTATAACACCAGTAACTGTTAAAAGCTACATATTATTGTTTTCTTTTGCTATATGTGAAATTTATTTTGGTTATTTTTATTTTAATCATTTATTAATGATTTATTTTCTCCAGAGACTTGTGATGACTCCTTTATCAGAATCAGCTTCTGACTCATTACTTCTGTTCCATTTATTTTTACTCCTATGTAATTTTACATGAATACTACACTAAGAGTTTTGTAACTCTGTGATATGTTTTAGTTTCTGGAGAGACTGGTCCTCTTTCAGTATTCATTTTTCAAAATTTGTATTGATCTCCTTATCCATGTATTTATTTTATGAACTACAGAATCATTTTGTCACATTACACAATACTCCTAGGTGCTGAACATAGTTTTACACAGTTTACACCTTAAAAAGGGTCTATTCTACTTTTCAGACCAAAAATTTAAACCAAAACCCAGTTGAGCAAAAAAGGGGGGTCATACTATGTGTGAAGAAACTAATGAAGGTTGTGAAAAATAAATTATTGACTTAAAAAAAAAAGAGCTTAGTATCTTTTTTAGCCAGTATCACAGAGTTCTCCAGGGCTTACAAGGGGACCCAGTTGTCTACACACCCAACCTGGAGAACAACAATTTGATTCCCTTAATTATGGCAGAACTCTGTCAGACAGCTCAGAGTCTTAGACAAAGTTTCCTCTAAAACTTCTTCAGCTCTATATCTAAAAGGGACCATCTGGAACCATACAAAATTTGAAGGCAAGTTAATAATTTGGCAATTATTTAACTTGTTCCCCCTAATGTTTCTGCTTTTAGGTTTGACATTGACCAATCATTGAGTATGCATGATTTATAAATGGAAAACTGGGAGAAGGGAATGGTTCTTGAGTCCCTACTATATGTCAGGCAAGTACTAGCAATTTTATATCACATTAGGTAATTTAATCCTTTCAATTATCACAGATTTACAAATAAAAAAATAAGCTGAAGGAATATAAGGTCATAGAACCTACAAATATTTGAGATGGAATTTAAACAAAAAAGTATGCTTGAAGTGAAAGTCTGCTATACTCTGCCACATTCCTCTGCTTTTAATCCCCTGACACCAACCCCAACTCCAGCAAGAGTCTATCAGTGACACATTTTTTCTTCTCCTGGTATATCTTATGGAAGTTAGGAGAAGGGGATGGGCTAGGAAAGTCTGCTGTCTACGGTGATGATTCCTTCCCCGCCACCGCCGTTTTTTTTTTTTTTTTTTTTTTTTTTTGACACGGAGTATTGCTCTGTTGCCAGGCTGGAGTGCAGTGGCGCAATCTCGGTTCACTGCAACCTCCGCATCCTGGGTTCAAGCAATTCTCCTGTCTCAGCCTCCCGAGTAGCTGGGACTATAGGCATGCGCCACTATGCCCGGCTAATTTTTGTATTTTTAGTAGAGACGGGGTTTCACTGTGTTGTCCAGGATGGTCTCAATCTCTTGACCTTGTGATCCATCCACCTCGGCCTCCCAAAGTGCTGGGATTACAGGCGTGAGCCACCGTGCCCGGCCCGATTCCCATTTTCAAACTAAAAGTGCCAAAATTAGGTAAAAAAAATGTGAAAATATCTATAATAAGATTTCATGACAAATTAATCATAAATCTTATGTGCAAAAGAATGTCTATGCATAGAAATCAGCCATGGGTTATGCCCAATATGTTTCTAGATTTAGTGGAAAGACCAAGGTTGTAGAAGCAGGCACTTTCCTCCATTATTTATCTCATTTCTCACCAACAATACAAGATACGTGTAATAATACACTTTTTTTTTTTTTTTTACAAATAAGGAAACCAAAGTTCAGAAATTTTAAGCAACTTTCTCTACTGCTTACAAGCAGCAAATAGCAGAGAAGAGGATTTGACACCAATTATCTGTCTGCTTCTGCAAACTTTTGTCTTTCCACTAAAACTGGAAACATATTGGGCATAGCCCATGGCTGATTTCTACACAAGGACCCTCTTTTAATAAGATTTGTGGTTAATTTGTTATAAATATCTTGTTATAGAAATCTTAATATTTTACCTAACCCTGGCACTTTCTTAGTTTAAAGTGGGAATACTGCAGAAAAAAGATACATTTTACTATATTTTCTACCAAGAAACTTTTCAAATCCTTTGAAATGAGTGAAAACTTCAGACTTTTTTTTCTTTTTGGGATTACTATTATAGATACTGCTTGCTTGGCAATATATGTATATGTAGGCATTACACATTCTAATTAAGACAGAATCTTACCTGACATACTGATATGTTAACTCCCTCAAAGGTATACCCTTCTGCACATGACACAGAAACTTGCCTATTCACACTGAAATCGTCCCCATGTACAAGTATATGTGTTATGTTTTCCGGGAGAGGACATTTTTTAGGACTGCAGGAGATTCTCTCAGGGAACCAGCGACCATCTTTCTGACAGGTGAATGTATCTGTATCTGTATCCATCGTATAACCTTCCAGACATCTGCAATGGAAATGCAAAAATGAGTGCCTTAAATGAAGTACAATATAGTTTCTGATCTATCCTTGGATTTAGGAAGCTGTTACAAGGCTCAGTAGATATTTTGTGCAACATATTGATTGTTGCACAATCAATATGTCAGGCGGATGGCATTGCCATGCAAAAACACCAACATAACAATAACAACCAGTTGAGCTGGGTGCGGTGGCTCATGCCTGTAATCCCTGCACTTTGGAAGGCTGAGGCAGGAGGACCACTTGAGTCCAGGAGCTTGAGACTAGGCTGGGAAACATAGTGAGACTTCATCTCTATAAAAAATAAACAAAATTAGCTGGGCACGGTGGCACATGCCTGTAGTCTCAGCTACTTGGGAGGCAGAGGTGGGAGGACTGCTTGAACTAAGGAGGTTGAGGCTGCAGTGAGCCAAGAACATGCCACTGCACTCCAGCCTGGGTGACAGAGCAAGACGTTGTCTCAAAAAACCAAAAAACAAAAAACCGGTAATAACCAGATCAGTTCTCAGTTATCCACATGAAAAGTTAATCAAGACTAAAATTACTTTAAGTGTTTTTGATGTTATTTACCTTATTGTGGATATTATTATTATTGAATTCATTTTTATTCTATAAACAGCTAACAGTTCAGGAAATTCTAGACAGTCCAAAATGGACTCAGATACTAGTAGGAATACAGCATAATTAATATGTATTATGAATACCTACATGGACTCAGATACTAGTAGGAATACAGCATAATTCATATGTATTATGAATACCTACATGGACTCAGATACTAGTAGGAATACAGCATAATTCATATGTATTATGAATACCTACATGGACTCAGATACTAGTAGGAATACAGCATAATTCATTTGTATTATGAATACCTACGTGGACTCAGATACTAGTAGGAATACAGCATAATTCATATGTATTATGAATACCTACGTGGACTCAGATACTAGTAGGAATACAGCATAATTAATATGTATTATGAATACCTACGTGGACTCAGATACTAGTAGGAATACAGCATAATTCATATGTATTATGAATACCTACATGGACTCAGATACTAGTAGGAATACAGCATAATTCATATGTATTATGAATACCTACTTTGTGCCAAGTGCTGCTCTAGGTCCTTTACATAAGATATTTCTTTTAATCCTGATTATTTGGCATGATCATGGCCTGAATTCTTCAGTTTTTTGCCTTATGTCCCCAATATTTGCATGTGTCAATATAATCACAAAGTTATAATCATAAAGAAATTTACTATCCTGATGTTTAAAAAACAGCTTCACGATTCCGGAGCTTTTCAAGCTAGCTAGAGGATCTTGCTGTTTGTTTCACGAAGCTCAACAGAATATGATAGTCATGATAATTATATTAGAAACATGTCTGAAAAAAGTATCGATTTATTTTTATACTCAGTGGATTTCTACATAATTGTAGGTAGAATAAAGCCAAGTGTTAAAAGCACCAGTGTTTGGAGAGCAGTTCAGAGATGATGTTTTCTTCCCAATCAGCAAAATTTTTGATCGATCACATTTCATTTCATAATCCTGCCCGCACCCCTTGGAGACCCTAGAGCCATGATCTTACCTGAGTTTCACTTCACTTTCATAGGTGTGTGCCTCTCCAGTTGCCACTGCATTGGCGACAGACGGTGGGGACCCACAGGACAAGGGCTCACAGACTGGATAAGGCTGGCTCCATACCCCTTTCTCTGTACAAATCAGATCTGAACTGCCTTGTATGACATATCCAGACCTGCAGCTGTAAGTTATCACATTTTCCTTCCAAGAGCTGGTCTCACTGATGAACGCATTTGGTATCATTGGAAGAGAACCACAAGAAGTGTGTTCACAGTGGGGGAACCCAGAGCTCCACTGGCCATCGGCTTCACAGGTGATTTCAGAAAGTCCTAGGAGCTTGAAGCCTTTGAAGCACTGAATCCGGGCTGCCTTTCCACAGTCAAAATCTGTCCCATTGACAGTTCCATATTCAATTACTGGTGTGGAACATCTGCAAGGCAGGCAGGAAGGTGAGCTGCCACTCCAGGAGCCATTGGAGAGGCACCTTCTTGATGAATTTCCATGGAGCTTATAACCAGGAAAGCACTGATACTGTATATGGCCCCCATGAATAAAGGAAAAACCATTAGGGAAACCATGGGCAAGATCTTCAGGAGGTCCACAGTTGACTGGTTTACAGAGAGGAATCTCTGCATCCCAGTTGCCATCTGACTGACAGGTGAGTTTTGGAGCACCGTGCAAGATGTAGCCCTCGTGACAGTGGAATGTTACTTCCTTCATGAAGCCATAGTCCAGGCCTTCCGTCACCCCATTGGCCAGTTGTGGCGGGGTGGCACATCTGACAGGCACACAGTCGGGAGTGGCTCCACTCCAACTTCCATTGGCAAGACAAACCCGACTCCTGGCTCCCTCAAGCAAGAACCCTTCATTGCAAGTGTATTCAATCTCTTTTTGGAATGTGTACTCGTCTCCTCTCACCTGGCCATTGGCTGAGACTGGGGGTGAACTGCAGTCCACAGGAATGCAAATGGGCTCATCCTCATCCCAGTTTTTGTCATCCTGGCATGTTCTCCTCTCAGTGCCATTCAGCACATATCCGGGGTCACACTCATAGTACAACGTGCTCAGGTATGTGTAGTTGCTTCCTTTGATGGATCCATTCATGACTGGATTTGGCTTTTTGCATGAAATGGCTTCACAGCGTGGGGAGGCACCACTCCACTTTCTATTCTCTAGACAAAGCCTTAAGTCAGAGCCTGCTAGAATGTGTCCAGGTTTACAGCTATACTGCACAGCACTTCCCATGCTAGTCTCTGTAAAACGCAAAAAGCCATTTTCAGGAGCAGTAGGCAAGTCACATTCAATTGAAATGCAGGATGGTGCACTGCCATTCCAAGTTCCATCTTCCTGGCAGATCAGCACAGGGTTCCCCAGAAGTTCATATCCTGGATTACAGGTGTATGAAACCATGGTACCATACAGAAAGTTTGATGAATGTGTAGCAGGAGACTCCTTTGTATTTTCCCAGGTTTTAGCCACTGCTCCCAAATGATAAGGAGGGTGAGGAGTCACATATGGAACTTCCATCATGTCGTCTTCTTGCTCAAAATATCCCTGGTCATCTTTGAGTTTAGTACAGTCTCCAAAATCTATATGAGGAGGGAGGCCACAGTCTATTGGCATACATGTTGGGATGGAACTTGACCATCCTGACTCTTCACAGGTCTGCATGGCATGACCAGCCACCTGAAACCCAGGGAAGCAACTGTAGATGATTATGGCACCATAGCTGTAATCTGCACCTTCTACAAAACCATTTTCAATGGGTTGTGGGGAATCACAGTGGATGGCATTGCAAGATGGGGCATCTACATCCCAATCACCTGTCTCTAAACAGGTCAAGGCACTGGGACCTTCGAGCCGAAAGCCTCGGTTGCAAGAGTAGGTAACGGTCTGTCCATAGTGTAGGTCCGTGTAAGAGAATTTGCCATTCAAAATCTCCTTGGGTTTCAGGCACTCAATGGCTTTACATGTTGGTTTTCCTCCAAGCCAGTGACCATTTTCTCCACAAAGGGTGGTAGTATTTCCCACCAATTCAAAGCCTGGCTTGCAGGTATAGAGAGCTGTGCTGAGATAGGCAAGGCCTTGCACATCAATGATTCCATTGGGGATTTCCTCAGGTTGGGGACATTCTACTGGAACACATTCTGGCAGTGGAGAGCTCCAGGTGCCATCAGGTTGGCAGAGGGTGGTAGAATTTCCTCTTAGGAAAAACCCACCTACACAAGAATACTTGACAGTACTTCCAAAATGAAGAGCAGAAGAAGGAATGGGGACACCAAAGGAAATTAGGGGAGGTGGGGTACAAAGAACAATCTTACAAACAGGGAAAGAGTCATTCCATTGCTGGGATGGCAAGCATTTCAGGACAGAGGGGCCTTGCAGGACATGCCCTTCTTTACAGGAAAATGTCACAACTCCTACCTCGGTGGTCAACTCCTTTAATACTAGCTGGTTTTCCAAGAGGGGCGGCTCTGGGCACTTGGCAGGCATGCACTTTGGATTTGACTTCTTATTCCATTTGCCAGATTTCTGACATGTCCAAGAACTGTCACCAACAAGCTCATAACCCTCATTACAGAAAAACTGAACCTTGGACCCTACTTCAAAGTTTTCTCCTTTCATGAAGCCATTCTGGATCGGGGGAGGTTTTCCACAGTCGAGAGGAACACACATCAGAGGGGATTCACTGTGCCAGTGGCGATTGGCTTGGCAGACAAATACAGGACTTCCGACTGACTTATAGCCCGGGTTACACTGATACCTCACTTCACTCTCAAAGATCCTGCCAGTTGTATGCTGTGCAACAGGAAGAAAGCAAGTGAGTGCGATTTGTATAACAGATGATAGCATTAACTAAATCCTTGGATAGTGAAAAAAACTAAAAGGTCTATGTTAAAATGAATCAATTAGGAAGTAAGCAAATAATGATTTATGGTTTTTCCAATAGATCCATTCTATTTTTTTAAATAAGTGAAAATGATAGTAGAAAGTCAACTTAGGCTCGGCATGACGATTCATGCCTACAATCCCAGCACTTTGGGAGGCCGAGGCAGGAGGAACACTTGAGGTTAGGAGTTCGAGACCAGCCTGGCCAACATGGTGAAACCTGTACAAAAATTAGCTAGGCATGGTGGTATGTGCCTGTAATCTCAGCCATTTGGGAAGCTGAGGCAGGAGAATCACTTGAACCCAGGAGGCAGAGGTTGCAGTGAGCTGAGATTGTGCCACTGCACTCCAGCCTGGGAGACAGAGCAAGACTCTGTCTAAAGGGAAGAAAGAAAAGAAAGAAAAAAAGAAAATCAAATTAAGTAATCCCCACTGCAGAAATCCTTACTACAGTTTTGAGCCCATAACAAGTAAAAGATCAGTAATCTATATATTGATTGGTGAACTGATGAGGCAACGCTAAAAATGATAAATTACTCAGTTCAAAAAAACTTTCTGCCCAAAGAAATGCTAGTAAAGAAGCACATAAACAATTAACATGTATTTGTTAATGTTGTTAGATCATAAATAGTCAAATAAAATGTTTTTATGGGTATGTCTTAAGAATACTATCAAAATTTTGTTTATATTAACATATTTCTTAAAAATTACTGCTGTAACAATAGAAAATAATATCCTATCTTTTAAAACAAAAAATTAATATTCGTGATCTCAAAATTCAAACACATGTAATATAACAGGTCATAAACAAATAAACAAAATTACTCATTTTGTTTATGCATTGCTTGTGTGTCTCCCATGCATGTAAGCACCATGCCATTACACATCTAATCTGTGTTGTTAAATGCTAGGTCGCTGATTCTCAGAACTGTACCTGGTGCCAAGCAGGAGCTCTAGAAATATTTATTAAATTTATAAATGAACACCTCTCTACTTATACTCTATACCCTCTTCCAATTAATAAATGAACACCTCTCTACTTATACTCTGTACCCTCTTCCAATGAAAAGCTACTAAATCTAAGCAAAAGCCTTAAATAAAAGGCTTTTACTGTTTTGTTATTTTGAATGTAAAGGAGAAAAGGTTGTACTGTGTATATATGTGGGTTTTAAAAAAGTGTTTAATTAGAATATGGTCAATTTCAAATGGCCCTTGATTTGGGGGAATAGATTCTCATTCCTATTTTCTTGGTAGGCTTATTGAGAAGACACACATTAGCGTGAAAGCAGGACATATTTGGGTTGGACTGAACTCTTTTGTCCATCACAGTGAAATTACCTTTAGGTTTACCAAAACAGAATTGTAAAAACTACATTATTTGGTTTACCCTATCTTTTGTCTAAGCATTTAAAATTATAATATATTTCTCTAGGTTCCATTTAGACCTTGCCTTCTATAAAATAAAGCATATATCCATCCTGAAAAACCTCTGTAAAACAAAATATTATATTAAAATTGGTTTATTCTAACTTCCTATTTAGGGCTAAGCTGTTGCCACAAAGCACTTGAAATGCCTATACACTAGTAAAATGCAGAAAGTTATATACTAAAGATTCATAATCATCTTCATTAATTTTTTTTCCAGTCTTCACTACCTGTAGATTTTAGCCATTTCTGTTTTTCAATAATTAATTTGTTCATTGCCCCGCTTCTGAATAGTGGGTTCATCACAGTGGGCTGGCCCTGTAAGTGATGAAAGCCACAGAGCATTTGCTAATTAGTCTCTTACCTCCAGAAAGTGATTCACAACCTTAGGCAGATGAATTAATTCATCAAGAGATGAATTAATTATGAAAATGTTAAAAAGATTATCATGATTCTTTGTTAGTGATAATAGTAAATTCCAGTTTCCATGCCTTAGTGAACTTGGCAGTGTTTGGACTCAATTATTTGTTTTGTTTATTTATTTATTATGGGCCCTGTGACAAAAGCCACAGACCATTTGCTAATTGGTCTCTTACCTCCAGAAAGCCATTCTCAACCTTAGGTGGTTCACCACAAGATACCGGGTGGCACGTCGGTATAGGACTACTCCACTGCCCTGTGGCTTCGCAGGTGCTCTTCTTTTCCCCTTTGATGTAGAACCCCTTGTTGCAGCTGTAAGCCACCATGGCTCCAAAACTGTAGTTTGATCCACTTGCATAGCCATTCATGATGCTTGGTGGCTCTCCACACCGCACAGGGATGCACTGGATGGACATGGGGGAAGGGTTCCACTGCCCACCTCTCATACATTCAATCTTTGCTGAGGTGTTCAGTACAAAGCCTTCCATGCATTTAAAGCTCACAACTGAGCCAGCTGCAAATTTTGCTTTGCTCACAGATTCCAAGATGCTATAGGAAACCGATGGAGGTTTTTCACAGAAATGAGCTATACAACGGGGCATGTCTTGACCTTCTGGGGGTACCCACTTGCCCTGGGCATTGCAGAGAAGCTGGGAATTGTCTGCTAGGCTGTAACCATCAGAGCAGTAGTAGAATGCAA
Organism: Homo sapiens; assembly: GCF_000001405.40. NCBI lineage: Eukaryota > Metazoa > Chordata > Mammalia > Primates > Hominidae > Homo > Homo sapiens. Next base: position 110,411,587 of record NC_000009.12, read on the forward strand.
TGTCTCCAAAGAGCCGATGGGCAGTCTCTGGAGAGGCGTGGTCCACAATGGGTGGCTCATCACAGGAGACAGCCAGGCACTGCTGGTCACTTCTACTCCACTTGCCGTCGGCCAGGCATTCAATGGTGTCAAGACCAGCAAGAGTATAGCTGTGAGGTTGGGAAGAAAGAAAGAATAACTAAGCATAATATTTGAGAAAAAGTGTTTGTGTCTTCTTCTATTTTTTAAATCTTTCCCACAATGACTTTAAATTTATCTTTAAAATAATATTTCCTCTTTGAATACTGAGCTTATTGATCAAATGACTTTCACTTGAGATATGTCAATACATTGTGATATTGTTTGTTCAGAAACATGTATTTAAATCTTCCCAACGACTTTATCTTTAAAATAATATTGACTCTTTGAATATTGAGCTTATTGATCAAATGACTTGCATTTGAGATATATCAATACATTGTGATATTAATATTTGCTCAGAAAGGGAAATGGATTTAAGATTTTTTTGCTACTTAAGGAACTCTAATAATTGCTATACATTTAAAAAATAAAATCAAGGAGTAAGCTGTATAGTGCTATTTGACTCAAATATGGAATTCTATCTGCCTTTAGATGGTTTTAACTTGATTTTGGCATTTGTCTTTATTGTTTGTTCTTAAGCTACAATGTACAATGCCATATTTAGCCTACATATAGCTCATTGTTATGTACTGACACCTAGAGAACTTTAAAACAGTGATTATAATTTCAGTCTCCAATGTCTCCTAAGCCTTTACCCCATGTGGCTAGAGTTGAAAGGTGTCAATTCAAGATGGATTAAAGACTTAAACGTTAAACCTAAAACCATAAAAACCCTAGAAGAAAACCTAGGCAATACCATTCAGGACATAGGCATGGGCAAGGACTTCATGTCTAAAACACCAAAAGCAATGGCAACAAAAGACAAAATTGACAAATGGGATCTAATTAAACTAAAGAGCTTCTGCACAGCAAAAGAAACTACCATCAGAGTGAACAGGCAACCTACAAAATGGGAGAAAATTTTCACAACCTACTCATCTGACAAAGGGCTAATATCCAGAATCTACAATGAACTTAAACAAATTTACAAGAAAAAACAAACCCCATCAAAAAGTGGGCAAAGGACATGAACAGACACTTCTCAAAAGAAGACATTTATGCAGCCAAAAAACACATGAAGAAATGCTCATCATCACTGGCCATCAGAGGAATGCAAATCAAAACCACAATGAGATACCATCTCACGGCAGTTAGAATGGCAATCATTAAAAAGTCAGGAAACAACAGGTGCTGGAGAGGATGTGGAGAAATAGGAACACTTTTACACTGTTGGTGGGACTGTAAACTAGTTCAACCATTGTGGAAGTCAGTGTGGCAATTCCTCAGGGATCTAGAACTAGAAATACCATTTGACCCAGCAATCCCATTACTGGGTATATACCCAAAGGACTATAAATCATGCTGCTATAAAGACACATGCACACGTATGTTTATTGCGGCACTATTCACAATAGCAAAGACTTGGAACCAACCCAAATGTCCAACAATGATAGACTGGATTAAGAAAATGTGGCACATATACACCATGGAATACTATGCAGCCATAAAAAATGATGAGTTCATGTCCTTTGTAGGGACATGGATGAAATTGGAAATCATCATTCTCAGTAAACTATCACAAGAACAAAAAACCAAACACCGCATATTCTCACTTATAGGTGGGAATTGAACAATGAGATCACATGGACACAGGAAGGGGAGCATCACACTCTGGGGACTGTTGTGGGGTGGGGGGAGGGGGGAGGGATAGCTTTGGGAGATATACCTAATGCTAGATGACGAGTTAGTGGGTGCAGTGCACCAGCATGGCACATGTATACATATGTAACTAACCTGCACAATGTGCACATGTACCCTAAAACTTAAAGTATAATAATAAAATAAAATAAAATAAAAGGTGTCTTCTGCATATGGCTCTGCTATTCAATCAGTATGAATAAATTTTTCTTAGTAATTCCCAGTCGTTATGCACAGATGTTGGCCCACATATAATGATGGATTGATGACTTACAAAAATCTAAAATTACTCTCAAGTGTTCTGTCAATGAGATAGAACAAAAGATTAGGATATACAGTATTAGAATAATTATATTTGAGTCATGCTTATTTTCATCACTGATCTCTTACTGAACAGAAAATTGATGGAGTTTTGAAAAAATCTCTAATACCTGATTAGCCTGTCATTTTGCTACTAATGAAGGGTAAGGGAAATAAAATAATTGAGTACCTAGTTTAATCCTGCTTAGATGTAATGATTTCTTCATTGTAAGGAAATAAAGTGAATGGTGGTTCAGACAGGCTTAGAAACTTGCCTGAAGTCACACAGCTGTAAGCAGCAGAATTGGGATCAGAATTTGGTTGATCAGTTTCCAACACCTACACCTTTTCCATAACACTGCTCTCTGTCTCTCTGTTTTGAAAGTGAAGAAGGTTAGATCATACTTTCTGGGTGTCCTGGGCAAACTGTATTGCAGTGTCACTAATACAAATTATTTGACCCACCCATTAGCAAAGATTAATTCATTAGTTATCAAATATTTCTCCTGAGATCTCTTTTAGTTTTATAAAGCATCAGCTATTATAGAGAGGTTGAAATTCCTTCATCCTAACTGACAATATTTATGAAATCTATAAGAGACAGAGAAATCAGGAAAAAAATAACAGTGTATCAGCAGAGCTATATGCAGCCACCTTACCTAAGTTCACACATCATGCTATGGATGGAAGTGGTCTCAAAATGAATACTCAGACATTCCCAATAGTTGAGTACAGCCCCCAGTTAGGGCCTGCTGCATTTCGTTGCTTTAGATAGGCTCAGTTCTTTGTATGAAGATCTGAACTTAGCTTGGAATAATAGCCTATCAATATCACAGTGATGCTTTAGAAGAACACATCTTAGGATAAACTGGCTGGAACAAATTTGCATTTTTCTGGAATCGTAACAAAAAATCCTTTGAAAATGGGCAGAATAATTTTCAGATGCAATTTGCAATGATTTGATTGACACACTGGGTAGAAGCTTACTAATGAGCATGTGCCTGGAGAGCTTTATGACAGAGCTCCCAAATGCATTATTAGCTCTTCTGTCTTAGCAAAAAAGCCTTAAAAGAGCAGCCTACTAGATATTTAAACGGCTGCAATTTAATAAGAACAACAGGAAGCATAAATCAGCATCAATAATTATGTTTTCAATCATAAAGATTTTTGTCTGAACATATCTAATAATTGCATTTAGAAGTTTATATCTGAGAAGAATCAAAAGGAAAAATTTAATTAGGATTTTAGGGTGGCAATAACCCTTTCTTCCCTCTGCGTTTCTCACCAAGGAGTATAAACATGAGCATGAAAAGGAAAATGAGAAACAAATGACCACTTACGTATTTGAGCAAACAACTGAAAACCCCCTACGTTTGAGGGTTTTGATAAAAGGTTTAAAAAAGATAAATGTTTTGATAAAAGTTGAATTTGGAAGGCCAAGTTTAGGGTAGGACACAGAAATGAGACTTCTTGCTTCTTTCTTTCCCTGGCATTCATTATATCACTTAAGTCTCTTAAAGTCTCTGCATTTTTGTCCTAAGCTTAAGAGTGGATCTTGCCCTTATAATTCAAGGAAAGGCCAATGAAAAGCACAACACCAGTATAGGAGGAAAACTCGGTGAGACAGATGCAAAAATGTGTGTATGTACACATGGTAAGCATGTGGCTTATATAAGGCCCAGGAGGCTTACATTGTGTGCAGGGCAATGGTCTGTGCTAGGCAGCCCCAAGGGAGGAGACAGTTAAGAGGGACTGGAGAAGGAAATAAACTTTAATACACTAATAAGGCCAGCAGCATCTTGAGAAGTGGAAGAAGACGGTAAGACAGGTCATATTTTACAAAGGCCATGACTTGAACAGAGCGATGCCATCCTTGACTGGAACAAGACACAGGGCATGTAGATCTATGCCAATCAACTCCTTGGGGAAAAGAAATAGAAAATAAGTAAAGAGAGATAAGATGAGTGCTGACTTCTTGTTCTGCTCTACAACAGTCTGAAAACCCTCCCTCTATAATACTTGACGAATTACAACACAAATTATTTTAAATGCATAGCTGAGCTGACAAGAAAGGAAATTTCCATGTGCCAGAAATGAAGAGGAAATTACAAACAGAAAAGTAAACTTGTGAATGGATGCTATGGTTGACCTTGGATTAGACAAAGAAGGGAAGTCGAGAGGATAGAAAATATAGCTTCGGAGTTAAAATAGCAATAGTGGAGTCTGTACCTCATGTGGATTGGAGTTTAGAATTTACACCATTCACTTTGTATGGAAAATCTTCAAATTGATAAATTAATGTAAAATTAGGTTCTTGGCTGGTGATACTCCCGAAACACCTGGTAGAAAAAAAATCTACATACTCAGAAAATAAGGGGTTACCATAGATAAAACAAGCCCTGTTTACTATAAGGGCACAATCTGAATTTATAACACACACAAACATATTTTCCATCACAAATGGGTTGGCAGACAGAAAAAACTGCAAGGGTAGAGCACCAATAAGTGAGATAATAGAAAAAAAGCTCTAAAATATAAAAAATAGTATGAAATAAGTATGTTGAAATAAGGACAAAAGAAAGACTCAAAATTCTATTAAAAGTGACTATGAAAAAATGTTTGAAAAATAAATAGAAATTCTGGAAATAAAAATGTGGAACATAAAAATTAAAAACAATGGACATATTCAAAAACAGGCTACAGATATTAGAAGAAAAATCAGTGAACTGGAAGAAATATATGAGGAAATTATCCAAATGTAATAGGTTTTGAAAGAGATGAAAAGTGTGACAGATTAATTAACATGAAAAATAGAATGAAAAGGCCCAACATATATCTAGTAAGACATCCATAAAGATATAAAAGAGAAAGTGAGAAACAGAAAATATTTGCAGTGAAAATGACTGAGAATATTCTAAAATAGGTGAAAGATATAAATTCTCAGATGTAAGAAGTACAATGAGTCCCAAACAAGATGAATGACAATAAATACACCATAGTCATCTCATAGCAAAACACTAAAACAACAAAGACAAGTTTTTAAAAAGTAACCAAAGAGAAAACATATTACTTATACAGCAACAAGAATTTGACCAGAGTTTCTCAATTTCAGCACTACTGACATTGTGGACCAGATACTTCTTAGTTGTGGAGGACTGTTCTGTACATTGTAGGATATTTAGCATTTTTCCTAGATTCTAACTATTAGATGCTAGTAGCATCTTCCCCCCAGTTGTGACAACCAAAAATGTCTCCAGACATTGCCAGATGTCCTTGGAGGGCAATATTGTCCTTGATTGAGGATCACTAAATTAGACTCATAAAGGAATTCTGAATAGCAACATTAGAATCATAAGGCAACGGAATAATAGCTTCAAAATACTTATGGAAAAATTGGAGGAGGAGGAGCCAAGATGGCCGAATAGGAACAGCTCCGGTCTACAGCTCCCAGCGTGAGCGACGCAGAAGACGGGTGATTTCTGCATTTCCATCTGAGGTACCGGGTTCATCTCACTAGGGAGTGCCAGACGGTGGGCGCAGGCCAGTGTGTGTGCGCACCGTGCGCGAGCCGAAGCAGGGCGAGGCATTGCCTCACCTGGGAAGCGCAAGGGGTCAGGGAGTTCCCTTTCCCAGTCAAAGAAAGGGGTGACGGACGCACCTGGAAAATCGGGTCACTCCCACCCGAATATTGCGCTTTTCAGACCGGCTTAAGAAACGGCGCACCACGAGACTATATCCCACACCTGGCTCAGAGGGTCCTACGCCCACGGAATCTCGCTGATTGCTAGCACAGCAGTCTGAGATCAAACTGCAAGGCGGCAACGAGGCTGGGGGAGGGGCGCCCGCCATTGCCCAGGCTTGCTTAGGTAAACAAAGCAGCCGGGAAGCTCGAACTGGGTGGAGCCCACCACAGCTCAAGGAGGCCTGCCTGCCTCTGTAGGCTCCACCTCTGGGGGCAGGGCACAGACAAACAAAAAGACAGCAGTAACCTCTGCAGACTTAAGTGTCCCTGTCTGACAGCTTTGAAGAGAGCAGTGGTTCTCCCAGCACGCAGCTGGAGATCTGAGAACGGGCAGACTGCCTCCTCAAGTGGGTCCCTGACCCCTGACCCCCGAGCAGCCTAACTGGGAGGCACCCCCCAGCAGGGGCACACTGACACCTAACACGGCAGGGTATTCCAACAGACCTGCAGCTGAGGGTCCTGTCTGTTAGAAGGAAAACTAACAACCAGAAAGGACATCTACACCGAAAACCCATCTGTACATCACCATCATCAAAGACCAAAAGTAGATAAAACCACAAAGATGGGGAAAAAACAGAACAGAAAAACTGGAAACTCTAAAACGCAGAGCGCCTCTCCTCCTCCAAAGGAACGCAGTTCCTCACCAGCAACAGAACAAAGCTGGATGGAGAATGATTTTGACGAGCTGAGAGAAGAAGGCTTCAGACGATCAAATTACTCTGAGCTACGGGAGGACATTCAAACCAAAGGCAAAGAAGTTGAAAACTTTGAAAAAAATTTAGAAGAATGTATAACTAGAATAACCAATACAGAGAAGTGCTTAAAGGAGCTGATGGAGCTGAAAACCAAGGCTCGAGAACTACGTGAAGAATGCAGAAGCCTCAGGAGCCGATGCGATCAACTGGAAGAAAGGGTATCAGCAATGGAAGATGAAATGAATGAAATGAAGCGAGAAGGGAAGTTTAGAGAAAAAAGAATAAAAAGAAATGAGCAAAGCCTCCAAGAAATATGGGACTATGTGAAAAGACCAAATCTACGTCTGATTGGTGTACCTGAAAGTGATGTGGAGAATGGAACCAAGTTGGAAAACACTCTGCAGGATATTATCCAGGAGAACTTCCCCAATCTAGCAAGGCAGGCCAACGTTCAGATTCAGGAAATACAGAGAATGCCACAAAGATACTCCTCGAGAAGAGCAACTCCAAGACACATAATTGTCAGATTCACCAAAGTTGAAATGAAGGAAAAAATGTTAAGGGCAGCCAGAGAGAAAGGTCGGGTTACCCTCAAAGGAAAGCCCATCAGACTAACAGCGGATCTCTCGGCAGAAACCCTACAAGCCAGAAGAGAGTGGGGGCCAATATTCAACATTCTTAAAGAAAAGAATTTTCAACCCAGAATTTCGTATCAGCCAAACTAAGCTTCATAAGTGAAGGAGAAATAAAATACTTTATAGACAAGCAAATGCTGAGAGATTTTGTCACCACCAGGCCTGCCCTAAAAGAGCTCCTGAAGGAAGCGCTAAACATGGAAAGGAACAACCGGTACCAGCCGCTGCAAAATCATGCCAAAATGTAAAGACCATCGAGACTAGGAAGAAACTGCATCAACTAATGAGCAAAATCACCAGCTAACATCATAATGACAGGATCAAATTCACACATAACAATATTAACTTTAAATATAAATGGACTAAATTCTGCAATTAAAAGACACAGACTGGCAAGTTGGATAAAGAGTCAAGACCCATCAGTGTGCTGTATTCAGGAAACCCATCTCACGTGCAGAGACACACATAGGCTCAAAATAAAAGGATGGAGGAAGATCTACCAAGCCAATGGAAAACAAAAAAAGGCAGAGGTTGCAATCCTAGTCTCTGATAAAACAGACTTTAAACCAACAAAGATCAAAAGAGACAAAGAAGGCCATTACATAATGATAAAGGGATCAATTCAACAAGAGGAGCTAACTATCCTAAATATTTATGCACCCAATACAGGAGCACCCAGATTCATAAAGCAAGTCCTCAGTGACCTACAAAGAGACTTAGACTCCCACACATTAATAATGGGAGACTTTAACACCCCACTGTCAACATTAGACAGATCAACGAGACAGAAAGTCAACAAGGATACCCAGGAATTGAACTCAGCTCTGCACCAAGCAGACCTAATAGACATCTACAGAACTCTCCACCCCAAATCAACAGAATATACATTTTTTTCAGCACCACACCACACCTATTCCAAAATTGACCACATAGTTGGAAGTAAAGCTCTCCTCAGCAAATGTAAAAGAACAGAAATTATAACAAACTATCTCTCAGACCACAGTGCAATCAAACTAGAACTCAGGATTAAAAATCTCACTCAAAGCCGCTCAACTACATGGAAACTGAACAACCTGCTCCTGAATGACTACTGGGTACAGAACGAAATGAAGGCAGAAATAAAGATGTTCTTTGAAACCAACGAGAACAAAGACACCACATACCAGAATCTCTGGGACGCATTCAAAGCAGTGTGTAGAGGGAAATTTATAGCACTAAATGCCTACAAGAGAAAGCAGGAAAGATCCAAAATTGACACCCTAACATCACAATTAAAAGAACTAGAAAAGCAAGAGCAAACACATTCAAAAGCTAGCAGAAGGCAAGAAATAACTAAGATCAGAGCAGAACTGAAGGAAATAGAGACACAAAAAACTCTTCAAAAAATCAATGAATCCAGGAGCTGGTTTTTTGAAAGGATCAACAAAATTGATAGACCGCTAGCAAGACTAATAAAGAAAAAAAGAGAGAAGAATCAAATAGACACAATAAAAAATGATAAAGGGGATATCACCACCGATCCCACAGAAATACAAACTACCATCAGAGAATACTACAAACACCTCTAGGCAAATAAACTAGAAAATCTAGAAGAAATGGATACATTCCTCGACACATACACTCTCCCAAGACTAAACCAGGAAGAAGTTGAATCTCTGAATAGACCAATAACAGGCTCTGAAATTGTGGCAATAATCAATAGTTTACCAACCAAAAAGAGTCCAGGACCAGATGGATTCACAGCCGAATTCTACCAGAGGTACAAGGAGGAACTGGTACCATTCCTTCTGAAACTATTCCAATCAATAGAAAAAGAGGGAATCCTCCCTAACTCATTTTATGAGGCCAGCATCATTCTGATACCAAAGCCGGGCAGAGACACAACCAAAAAAGAGAATTTTAGACCAATATCCTTGATGAACATTGATGCAAAAATCCTCAATAAAATACTGGCAAACCGAATCCAGCAGCACATCAAAAAGCTTATCCACCATGATCAAGTGGGCTTCATCCCTGGGATGCAAGGCTGGTTCAATATACGCAAATCAATAAATGTAATCCAGCATATAAACAGAGCCAAAGACAAAAACCACATGATTATCTCAATAGATGCAGAAAAAGCCTTTGACAAAATTCAACAACCCTTCATGCTAAAAACTCTCAATAAATTAGGTATTGATGGGACGTATTTCAAAATAATAAGAGCTATCTATGACAAACCCACAGCCAATATCATACTGAATGGGCAAAAACTGGAAGCATTCCCTTTGAAAACTGGCACAAGACAGGGATGCCCTCTCTCACCACTCCTATTCAACATAGTGTTGGAAGTTCTGGCCAGGGCAATCAGGCAGGAGAAGGAAATAAAGGGTATTCAATTAGGAAAAGAGGAAGTCAAATTGTCCCTGTTTGCAGACGACATGATTGTTTATCTAGAAAACCCCATCGTCTCAGCCCAAAATCTCCTTAAGCTGATAAGCAACTTCAGCAAAGTCTCAGGATACAAAATCAATGTACAAAAATCACAAGCATTCTTATACACCAACAACAGACAAACAGAGAGCCAAATCATGGGTGAACTCCCATTCACAATTGCTTCAAAGAGAATAAAATACCTAGGAATCCAACTTACAAGGGATGTGAAGGACCTCTTCAAGGAGAACTACAAACCACTGCTCAAGGAAATAAAAGAGGACACAAACAAATGGAAGAACATTCCATGCTCATGGGTAGGAAGAATCAATATCGTGAAAATGGCCATACTGCCCAAGGTAATTTACAGATTCAATGCCATCCCCATCAAGCTACCAATGACTTTCTTCACAGAATTGGAAAAAACTACTTTAAAGTTCATATGGAACCAAAAAAGAGCCCACATTGCCAAGTCAATCCTAAGCCAAAAGAACAAAGCTGGAGGCATCACACTACCTGACTTCAAACTATACTACAAGGCTACAGTAACCAAAACAGCATGGTACTGGTACCAAAACAGAGATATAGATCAATGGAACAGAACAGAGCCCTCAGAAATAATGCCGCATATCTACAACTATCTGATCTTTGACAAACCTGAGAAAAACAAGCAATGGGGAAAGGATTCCCTATTTAATAAATGGTGCTGGGAAAACTGGCTAGCCATATGTAGAAAGCTGAAACTGGATCCCTTCCCTACACCTTATACAAAAATCAATTCAAGATGGATTAAAGATTTAAACGTTAGACCTAAAACCATAAAAACCCTAGAAGAAAACCTAGGCATTACCATTCAGGACATAGGCGTGGGCAAGGACTTCATGTCCAAAACACCAAAAGCAATGGCAACAAAAGCCAAAATTGACAAATGGGATCTAATTAAACTAAAGAGCTTCTGCACAGCAAAAGAAACTACCATCAGAGTGAACAGGCAACCTACAACATGGGAGAAAATTTTCGCAACCTACTCATCTGACAAAGGGCTAATATCCAGAATCTACAATGAACTCAAACAAATTTACAAGAAAAAAACAAACAACCCCATCAAAAAGTGGGCGAAGGACATGAACAGACACTTCTCAAAAGAAGACATTTATGCAGCCAAAAAACACATGAAGAAATGCTCATCATCACTGGCCATCAGAGAAATGCAAATCAAAACCACTATGAGATATCATCTCACACCAGTTAGAATGGCAATCATTAAAAAGTCAGGAAACAACAGGTGCTGGAGAGGATGTGGAGAAACAGGAACACTTTTACACTGTTGGTGGGACTGTAAACTAGTTCAACCATTGTGGAAGTCAGTGTGGCGATTCCTCAGGGATCTAGAACTAGAAATACCATTTGACCCAGCCATCCCATTACTGGGTATATACCCAAAGGACTATAAATCATGCTGCTATAAAGACACATGCACACGTATGTTTATAGCGGCACTATTCACAATAGCAAAGACTTGGAACCAATCCAAATGTCCAACAATGATAGACTGGATTAAGAAAATGTGGCACATATACACCATGGAATACTATGCAGCCATAAAAAATGATGAGTTCATATCCTTTGTAGGGACATGGATGAAATTGGAAACCATCATTCTCAGTAAACTATCGCAAGAACAAAAAACCAAACACCGCATATTCTCACTCATAGGTGGGAATTGAACAATGAGATCACATGGACACAGGAAGGGGAATATCACACTCTGGGGACTGTGGTGGGGTCGGGGGAGCGGGGAGGGATAGCATTGGGAGATATACCTAATGCTAGATGACACATTAGTGGGTGCAGCGCACCAGCATGGCACATGTATACATATGTAACTAACCTGCACAATGTGCACGTGTACCCTAAAACTTAGAGTATAATAAAAAATAATAATAATAAAAAAAAAATAAAAAAATAAAAAAATAAAGTAAAAAAAAAAAAAAAGAAAAAAAAAAGAAAAATTGTCAATGTAGATTTGTATATTCAGCTAAACTACAATTCAAGAGCAAGGGCAAAATACTATTAGTTTCTGACCAAGACTGTGTAATTCATGACTCTTGCTGGAAAAGATGCAAAGAACATCTTCAGGAAGTAGAAACATGAAACTCAAATGGAAGGAGTGTGATGCAAAAAGAAATAGTGGTGAAAAAATTAATAGACATGTAAATAAATATACATAAGCAGTGACTGCAGTTAAAAAATGACTGATTTGGAAAGCTGTAAGATAAAAGGGAAGTAAAAAGGTACATAGTGATAAGACATTTAAGATGGGAGTGCTGACAGAAGTTAATGCTTTCTAAAGTCTTCAAGTTGTTCAGGAAGAAGGCAGAAACATTAAGTATGATCTTAGGATATGGAAAAATGTCTTAAGCCTGACAAAAAAAATCCCTAAAGGACTCTAAAGGAAACAACTGATAAATATGGGTATATTAAAATAAAAAATTCTATAACAAAAGGCACCATAGAGTAAAAACGAAGCCACAGATAAGCAGAATATCTTTGCAACTCATGTAATAAAAAAGGGATTGGTTTCCTGAAAATATAAGTCAATATGAAAAACAAAATGGGAAAGAGACACAAACAATTCATCCCTAGAATAAGAAATATGCACTTTCAATAACCCTTTGGAAGGTTGTATACCCAGTTAAACTACAATTTGAGAAGTGTTTATAGTCTTAAAGTAATTTCTGGGAAGAAACAATGGGAAAACCTTAAACAATGATGAAATTGGAAAGAAGAATCAACTGTGATAAACACTATTGTAGGCAAAGTTGTGGAGCTAGGGAAGCTATCTCACATATTATTGTTTAGAGTGTTAACTGGTATGGTCACTCCTGGGAGCATTTGGTACTATCTTGCAAAGTTAAAAATGTGCATCTTCCATGACTGGACAATTCCAACTCTTCGTGTCTAGGTCAGAGATGTTCTTTTACATGTGTGCCAGGAAACATGCAAGAATATTTACTTCAGCACTTGTATTCAAACGAAGTAAATAAATTAACCCTCTACCAGTAAGATGGTAATTTAGAGATAGCTCGTTCTGACAAGAAAATACTGTCTATCAGTGAAAATAAATTCAGTTGATTTACATGTATTGAGAGGGATAAATGTAAAAAAAATAAGGTTAAGTGAAAAATCAAAGCTTCAAAAGGATGCTTAGAATATGAAGCAACAGATACAAAAATTAAAATATATAAATTAATAGGATATTTGTTTATGGGGGAATATGTATTTAATAAAGACAAATATCCATGTTTGTTACTTTGAGGAGCATAGATGAGTGATGAGAATGGCTTCTAATTATATCTGTAATATTGTGTTTCTTTTATAAATAGAGATCTAAGGTAATGATGACAAGAATTTAACATGCACTTTTATTTCAGCAATGGATACATGGGTGATTTTAAATAGAGAGAATTTTATTTTTTGGCATTTTTGTTTTGTTTTGTTTTTAGACAGAGTTTCGCTCTTGTTGCCTAGGCTGGAGTGCAATGGCGCGATCTCAGCTCACTGCAACCTCCGCCTCTGAGGTTCAAGCAAGTCTCCCGCCTCAGCCTCCCGAGTAGCTGGGATTATAGGCATGCACCACCACACCCAGCTAATTTTGTCTTTCTAGTGGAGACAGGGTTTCACCATGTTGGTCAGGCTGGTCTTGAACTCCTGACCTCAAGTGATCCACCTGCCTTGGCCTCCCAAAGTGTTGGGATTACAGGCGTGAGCCACCACGTCCAGCCTAATTTTTGCATTTCTATTTATTTCAAATGTTTTGTTAAAAATTTGGCCAGAAGAAATGAACAAGAGAGAGGCTTTCCTTCCAGTCTGGCCACTTTCAGAGCACCCCTAAAAGGGCAAAATGCATATTAAAGGGGCATCATTTTTCTTCTCATCAAGAGTTTTAATTTCAGAAAAATAAAACTGTCTCCTAACAGTTATTTTTTTTTCCTTTCAGAAAAAGACTACACGTGGTAGTGATTTGGGACTATGTGTACTTCATATTAATTTGATTAGCTAGCTCAGATAGCTTCCCCATATATTATTGAAATGTCATCACTTTATATGCTAATAATGATACAGAAAACAATAAAGCCATATTTACATCATACTTCATATATATAACACACTTTTATAAAAATGGTCTCATACCCTTTAACAATTACATAATTTAGATGGGCAGATCTGATTCAATCTTTTCAATGACAGAAAAAGTTTCCACAGACTATGATCTTGCATAGAACAAATGGGCCTGTAAGAGAATGTGGCCCAACACCTTCATGTCTTAGCTATAAAGTGGGAATAATACTTCTTCTGCCAAACTCCATCTTTGTAGAAGGAAGTACATGAGATGATTCACATAGAATTCCTCTAAATAAAAAATCCTCTTCAAATGAATAGATTTTTTAATCGTTTTCATAATTGTCTTAATTGATTCTTTAAATCACTTTTAGATAAACGTTAGGCAGACATAAAACTCATCTTACTATATCTTCTAAGTGAACAATTTGTGAGGATGTGTATGATTTGTGAAGAGGAAAAGGTATAAATCTGTACATGTAGCATCATCTTTAATATTCAAATATACATGCAAAGACAAAATTCTAGGAAGAAATGAAGTAAAATATTACCAATATTTGTCTTTGGGTAATAAAATCATGGATGACTTTTAAATATAGATTTTGTGTTTTCTAGTTGTATATGGTGATCATGCATTACTTTTTAAATCAGAAAAAGCCCCAGCAATAGTCAATATCTAGATATTGTTTGGAACATGTATATTTGCTAAGATTTCACAAACATTTAAATGACTAATTTTAAATAGTCCTATCAGTTCATTAGGGGTAGTTTCTTATGTGAGTGAGTCCACAGGGGATAGATGGGACAATCAAAAGCCATTCCTGCATTGACATTTTAATATTAAAGATTCCTTGTTCACTTAAGAAGATGTTAAGATTTGGGCTTCAGTTATTTATGCAAGTCTTTAACTCTTATTATCTTTTCGCAAGAAAATATTGTTGCCACCTGCTGGCAGTCATGTATTAGTGGAATGGTTTTCTACTCCTGTGAAGTAAAATCCAACTTCCATGAAAATACAGAAACTGCACCAATCATCATAATAATGGCTAAGTTTGTTGGGTTCATTGATTTTTTTTTTCTGGTTAGGCCATGTATTATATCATTTTATTTCTCACAATATCCATAAGTATGAACTCATTTTATGCAGGAGGACCATCAAGGCAGAGCGGTCACACTATTTCCCTAAGGCCCCACAGTTAGTGAACAACAGAGTTGAGATACAAATCCAGAAAATGGCAACTTTTCTGCTGTGTCAGCTTGTGAAGAACAACTGTAGTAAATCTGGAGTGTGAAAGCCCTATTGATGAAAATATTTATTGAGGATGCATAGAGAAAAAACAATGATTGCAATGAAATGAAACTCAGATGACCTGAGATTTAGCCACCCCTCCATACTTTATTGGTTGCATTGAGACCCTAAACTGATCATCCCAAAGGGAGTCTTTCCCTTCACTGTCCCTCACAGGGCTTTTGCTAAGATCAAATGAGACAATGAGTCTGAAAGCCCTTCGTAATTTGTTACCTGGTTTCCAGAGGTGATCTCTGAATTAAATAAGATCCTTAGAAATGTAAAAACCTGAACTTTATTATCTTTTTTCCTCCCTGTAGATATGTCATCTTTATGTTATGACTTAAGTCTTGCCTTTGGTTTTGCAGAATATAAATACACGAACGCTCACTTAAAGGTACTTTTTGCATCTTAGTAGTACAATATAAGGCTGGGTGCAGTGGCTCATGTCTGTAATCTCAGGCTGAGGCAAGTGGATCACCTGAGGTCAGGAGTTCAAGACTAGCCTGGGCAACATGGTGAAACCCTGTCTCTACTAAAAATACAAAAAGTAGCCGGGTGTGGTGGCAGGCGCCTGTAGTCCCAGCTACTTGGGAGGCTGAGGCATGAGAATTGCTTGCACCTGGGAGGTGGAGATTGCAGTAAGCCAAGTTCATACCAATGCACTCCAGCCTGGGCAAGGTGATAGAGCAAGACTCTGTCTCAAAAAAAAAAAAAAAAAAAAAAAGTATAATATGAAGATATTTTTTCACTGCATTGCCCAATGTCCATTATTGAGGGTCTAATTTGATATACTACTCAAATTCCAGGAAAATATTATTTCCACAGGAGAATATACTCCGTCTCTGCAGGTAGGAAATAAAAGCATAAGGCTCTCTTTGTCTTTGGCTGCCAGGAAATTAAATTTCGTGTCCAATGGAGCCCATCTCTGCAGTCAGGAGCATCCACTTCCTTGGCTCTCAATGATCCTTTCCTTCACAGGCCCTACTCACCCTTCTTTGCAAGTGTAAGTGACGGTGTTCCTGAAAGTGAAGTTATTCCCCGTAATGACAGCATCTTTGATGGCAGGTGGTTCTCCACAGAAGACGAGGTGACAGGCAGGTGGCGCTCTGTCCCAGATGCCAGAAGCCGTGCATTCAATAATGGAAGGGCCCTGTAAGCTGCGGGAAAGAATGATGTTACTCTTTCATTGGCTATGGATTTGCTGCTATGGAGATAAAACAGGAAGAACTCTGGAGAAAATAAGGGACATTTGAGGAATTTGAGTACACAAAAATAGCATTTCTTCATATTAGATTGCTTTATATGAAAGCAAGAGAAATCTAAACAAGCTATACACCATTTGAAACAATGAATGGGTGAAAACAATATAACAACAGTAATCACTTGGTGCATAGTAAAATATTGAATCTGCTTATGGGCAGTGGTGTAAGGCACTCCAGACCTGTGAAGAGCAGATTACTTGGATGAGAAGGGGTTCATTAGACTGGTTAGAATCCAGCAGGAAGAAAGACACTCACCTAAGTAGCCAGGAAATCAGGGCAACTAAGGTCAAAGGGAACTGTCCAGGCCATGAGCCTGGGCATTTGAACCATGCTGCCCCTGACTCTGACCTCTGGTCTTCCTTTGACTTAAACCTCACATCCCTATGCCATGGCTTATCTGCCTTTCTTCTCAACTTGATTCTGATAGCATGCTTTAATTCACTCCACTTTCTCTTCACTCGATCTGTTCCACTTCAGATCCTGTTGATCATGTTTCTGATCACAGTCTGACTTTCTCCACTGTCCCCTCTGTTTAAACACACACACACACACACACACACACACACCATTAATCTCCTACAGTGTTAAGAACCTAGCCCCTTATCTTGACATGCTTTTTCATAACATTCCATGCAATGTTGAGTACGTTTGGTAAGCTGTTTATAAAGAAATCCATCACAAAAGCATTTATCGGGTATTCTGTTTATGCTTCATAAACTATTTTTGCTTTCATGTTTAAAGTCTGAATGCTTACAGCAATTGAACTAGGACTCTCAGAGTCATAGTTAGATAGAATATTTTCTTGGGCATTTACCATTAGCTAGGTAGGCCTCGGGAAGCATACAGATTTGAGAACATCCTCATATTTATAAATTTGTTTTTAGAGTCAGCCAGTCACGTACAAATGAAACCTATTGAGTAAAGAATACAGGCACGGTGGCTCACACCTGTAATTCCAGCACTTTGGGAGGTTGAGGCAGGTGGATTGCTTGAGCTCAAGAGTTCGAGACTAGTCTGGACAAAATGGCGAAACCCACATCTGTACAAAATACAAAAATTAGCTGGGCATAGTGACGCACACCTGTAGTCCCTGCACTCAGGAGGCTGAAGTGGGAGGATCGCTTGAGCCTGGGAGGCAGAGATTGCAGTGAGCTGAGATTGCGCCACTGCACTCTAGCCTGAGTGTCACAGTGAGACCATGTCTCAAAAAAATTAAAATAAAATAGGGAGCGAGTAACACAGTATTGTAGAAAGCTTGGTTGGTGTCTACAAATGTTACCTGTATCCTGTATCGCATGAATATGATGCAGTAGAAAGGTAGGTAAGCCCACTCAAAATATATTTTCCATTATTTATATTTTCCGGACTAGAACACTTCACTGGTTCACACACAGGAGGGGAATGACTCCAAGAACTGTTAGCAAGACAGGATGATTCTTTATCACCGGCCAGAGTATATCCTTTATTACACCTAAAGAAGATAGAGGAAAATTACAGGATATAATTTGCTTTATTTTGCATGCCGTTATCTGTGCCAAAAACCTCTAAAAATATTAAGAATTTATACATATTGGAAAAGTTGATTTTTTTTCCTACTGAAATAATGCTTTTAAATTAATTTTTTTTTTCAAGATTGAATACTGTATATCTTCCCCATAGGGAAGTAGGATAGATTTAAGAATTTGGCTTGCCTTCAGTTTGTGTCATGGATTAGTA
The DNA here is from genome assembly GCF_000001405.40 of Homo sapiens. NCBI lineage: Eukaryota > Metazoa > Chordata > Mammalia > Primates > Hominidae > Homo > Homo sapiens. The sequence continues at coordinate 110,429,580 of NC_000009.12, forward strand.
ACTACAAACAGGGAATCCTTGGCTTGAGAGTGGTGTGGTCTAGTCTGTTTCTGAGACATCAAGAGTATTCATTAGCTAGGAGCATCCACTCTCAGGGTGCCTCAAGGGGGCACTGGAGGTAATGATAGATTATTGGTCAGGGGATTTAAGGATTCTAGATATAACTACCATTAAATTATTGGATTAAGATTTGTTCACACTATGTATCATTCGATTAATTACATATTAATTCAAAAATGTCCTCTGCAATTATTTTCCCACCCCCTTTCTTTCAGTGTTATATCACTACCAGTATGCCATCAACATCTTCTACAATATAGTTTTAATCTTAGATACTTACCTATATGTCACTTTGCTGCCAAAAGTAAATGCTAACTCCTCAATGCAACCATTTTCTGGAATAGCCGGTTTACCACATGAAACAGCTTAACAAAGGAAAAACAAACACGTGACTTTTTTGAGACTGTGTGCAAAAATCTTTGAAATTTCAAGGGGCAGCTCAAGATCTTTTTTTGTTTGTTTGTTTTCTTTTTTTTTTTTTTTGGTGTGTGTGTGTGGGGTCATGTTTAAACATGAGCCTAATACCTCAGTTCAAATACAAAGAACATTGATACAACATAACACTTCATATGTCTACGCCTTACCTTTCTAGGATTGCCAAACATAAGAAACGTGGTAAATTTACTAAACATACCTTTACAATATGGTATTAGATGATTCCATTCTCCAGACTCCAAACATGTGATTTTGGTTACTCCCATCAACTGGTATCCTTCCTGACACGAAAATGTGACTTCGGCACCTACTGTATAAATCTCACCTGAGGAGTGGCCATTTTCCGGATTTCCTGGAGCCTTACATTTTATAGGTTCTAGAAACAGACAGTTTTGGTGGAATAATAAGTGGCTTTCACACAACCATGCAAAGTCTCACAGCAAAAGAATTCCACTATAGTTAAGAAACCTGTTAAAATCGCAAGAGAAAACCTCGTGAAGGGAAATGCATGAGGGCCCAGAGACACATTGGACATTAGACCAGAACATACATTTAATAAGCATTTAAGCAATAATAGTTTGAAACAGCAATTCCTAACAACAATATACATAATTTTTCTGGCTGCAAAGGTAGGCGCTCATTGGGAAAGTAGTGGTGGTGCTAGAGAGTGGCTTAGAAGGGCATTAGCCTCTTTCATCTGTTCCCTCTTCATACCCAGTTTTTCAGAGCAACTGACTTGGTGTCAGGCTGATGGAAAGGCTGAATAAAGCAGATTCAGGAAAGTTTCCAGCCTCCCTTCCCAAATAGAGTATGGGCTCTGGGCTCTCCCTATCTACAGATTCAGGGTCGGTCTCCACTGCTATAATAGGAAGGAGAAAAAGCTAAAGCAAGGTTTGGGCCAGTGTTGAGCAAGAAAAGTGAATATAATACTTGAATTCTCAAAACGGGAGGATATATTGCATCAATCTTTTCAAAGGCCATTTGAGCTATATAAGTCAAGGAGTTTAAACAAATTCTTAAAGTAAATGCAATTATGAGCTGATTTTGAGGAAAACAGCCAGAGGTAAGCATAAAGATGTATGTCCAAAGATGCTTATTAAACTGTTTTCCATAGTGAATATCACCTAATATTAACATACAGAGAAAAGTTACTTATGGAAAATCCATAAAGTGAATTATAAAACAGGAATTAAAATCCTGCTCTCAAACTATTTTGTGACACCAAAAATGTGCCTGATATAATATTACATGAAATAACTAAAATAAAGAACTGTTTATATGGTGTGTTCATATAGACATCTTATTGTTTTCCAGGAGTTACTCTTCACAACAAATGAAGAAATACAACAACGGGTTGAGAGATGATCTGGTATTATCAAAGCTATTTCAAAATATTGTAGTGCAAGATGTCTTGGGGAGGCAAGATGTCTATTTTTTTTCAATGATATAATTTTATGTGACTGAGGCAGAGGAAAGATATTGATAGTGAAGATGTGATAAAGCATCTTCCTTGCTCTGATTGAGGCAGGGATGTCACTGATTATATTTCTATATCCACTCTATTATTCTTGTACTATGTAGACGTTTCAACATTGTAGAATCATAGTTGGCTGTCAGTTTTGTTTCTGAGAAATTGGGAAGTTGGGGGAGGCACAATGCTACTTTAAAGCACTTTTAGTTGTTACTGATGTGTCTTTTGTAAGAACTTTATCTTATCTGCCTACCTGTATGCCCTTTGAAGTTGAAACAATTATCTCACTTAGAAATAACATACACTTAAAATATGTACTTGAATAAAAGAATGGAATTAGGAACTTTTAGTTCTACATATATTGGTTACCTGCACAGTTTTTCCCATCTCCTGTGTACGGTGGGACACATGAACATATGTAGGATCCATCTACGTTCAGGCAAGAAGCATGCTCACTACAATCTGATCCAACTGCACACTCATCGACATCTAAAATGAAGACAGCTTATAAATATTAAAGTTGATTCCTTTTCCGTATGTATCAAACATCTGTTTTTACTTTTAAATCATTACATATCACGTAATGCACAACACTTCATATATTTGTATAGAATTTAAATATAACAGTCATAATCACATTGCAGATATACAATAAAAGCTATTATTTCCCTAGTTTATAGGTGGGCAAGTATAAGACAGGGATATATAAATATAGTCTTAATATGGAGCCTGATAAAAATTTAAAACATTTCTGGCACCTCTACATACAGCTGCTTTGTCACTATGGCTTGGCCAGAGCTTACTGGGATGAGATAAAGTTAACAAAGCAATGCCTCAAGAACCTCAGGAATTTGGGATGACTGTCATCTACAGAGCTAGAATAATCTCATATAGTAGTTGCCAACATTTATCTCACCAAGGCAGGATGGTGAAACGCCGTTCCAGCTCCCATTATCTGTACAGAACATCCTTGAGTCACCCAATAGATAGTAGCCATTGTTGCACTGGTAGGTTACTGTGCTGCCAGCATAGAAGTCATCGGCTGAATGGAAGCCATTCTCCAAAGGAGGTGGCACCCCACAGCTAATGCCTGTAAGGTGACCAGGAAGAAGACAACGACATTAAGAGCAAAATACTCCAAGAACACTTTATTTGTATTAAACTAGCAGTTCAGTTAAGCATGACATTTTTACTGAATGCAAACATCAGACTGAGGGTGTCCTAGGGATAGCAGCAGCCTGAACCCTCAGCGTCTAGCACATTGCCTGGCTCACAGTAGGCATGCAATTCATTTATTCAAAAAACATTTACCCACTAGACGCTGATAAAGTTTGGATATTTGTCCCTGCCCAAATCTCATGTTGAAATGTGATCCCCAATGTTGGAATTGGGGTCTTGTGGGAGGTGTTTGGGTCATAGGGGCAGATCCCTCATGGCTTGGTGCTGTCCTTGCAATGGTGAGTGAGTTCTCGTGAGATCTGGTTAAGTGTGTGGCACCTCTCCCTCCACTGTCTCTCTTGCTCCTGCTTCTGTCATGTGATGTGCCTACTCTTGATGCCTTCTGCCATGAGTAAAATCTCCTTGAGGCCTCCCCAGAAGCTGAGCAGGTGCCAGCACCATGCTTCCTGTACAGCCGGCAGAACTGTGAGCCAATTAAATCTCCTTTCTTTATACATTACCTAGTCTCAGGTATTTCTTTATAGCAATGCAAAATGGCCTAACACATAGACACTGTTCTAGGTGCTGGAGTTACAGCAGTGAGCCAAACAAACAAAATCCCTGCCTTATGGAGCTTATTATCTAGTGGGGTAGATAGGCCAAAAAAAAAAAAAAAAAAAAAAACGGTGAATATATCAGGTGGTAACAGGTGCTTATCTAAAATAGCAGTCTAGCCTCCACCTAACCCTCATTTTGTATTACTTTTTTTTTTTTTTTTTTTTTAAGATAGGGTCTAGTTCTGTCACCTAAGCTGGAGTGCAGTGGTGCAATCTCAATTCACTGCAACCTCTGCCTGCCTCCTGGGCTCAGCGATCCTCCCATTTCAGCCTACTGAGTAGCTGGAATTACTGGCACACACCACTACGCCTGGCCAATTTTTGTATTTTTTGTGGAGATAGGGTTTCATCATGTGCCTAGGCTGGTCTTGAACTCTTGGGCTCAAGCGATCCGCCCGTCTTGGCCTCCCAAAGTGCTGGGATTACAAATGTGAGCCACCACACCTGGCCACACTTTGTATTTTCCTAGCCTCTTTTATTTTTCTTTACAGCTCTTGCTTCTAGCCCTTACCTTTATTATTTACTATAAATAAATATTATATTTACTTATTTTTCTGTCTCTCCTATTAGAATGTAAACTACATAAGAATAGGAGCTTTTTCCCCTGAACTGCTGCATCTCCAGGACCTAGATCAGTGCCTAGCACATAATAGGTACTTTAAAAGTTGCTGAATAAATGAATGAATGAATGCACTCGACTGAAGATGGCTCTCCCTGTTTCCCCCTCCAGCAATGACCCATCTATCTCTGGGCCTCTACCTGTAGGGTGTGTCTTTCCAACCCTTTCAGTTCCTTGCATCACCTTGGATGCATGCACAAATGGTCCCTCTGGATCCTAATCACCCATCTCCTTCATGATGCCCAGCACAGTTCATTAAACAAAGAAAAGGTTCAATGAATATTTGGTATATTTGCTACTGTGAAGTATTCACTCTTTGTCTAGCATTCCTGAAAAGAGTTATGTTTTCAATATTTTTCAAAAGTCACTGAAATGGCTTCAAGAAAGGCAGCTCACGTTCACAGTGAGGAAGTGGTTGTGTCCACTGTCCTTGATTCAGACAGTACTGCACAGGGTTCCCGACCAGCTGGAAGCCTGGATCACAGAACAGATTGACTTTGGAACCTGGCTTTAAATCTTCAGATGCAGTTCTCAGATGAGGCACTGACCCTCCTAAGCGTGGGCAATCTGAGGGCAAAGAACACAGGTGCAGAGCTTGTCAGCGGCATAGTGGTAGCATCACCAAGTCAATGATTTCAAACTGTATTCTGTATCAGCATTTGAGAGCCACCTTACTGATGTGAAAACAAGTTAACATGTAACCAGATCACTGGCAAGCAAAATCACTAAAAAAAAAAAAAAAAAAAAGCATTTAAGTCAATAACTCTCCCTCTTTCAAAATATTTTAGGAATGTCAATGAAATGTTCTTGTAAGTTATCAAAAGCCATAAATTCTAGGACAGTCTAAGAAACTCATTTAAATAAATTTGATTTTATGATACAGTTTTGATCATTCAGTTTTAGTGTGCAGATTGCAACATCCATCGCTTTTCTCCCTGTGCTACCTGTTCCTAGATACCTTCTACAAATTATAGAACCAAAAGAGTACCCCATCTCAAACAGGTGCATAGTATGTCGGTGGGCCTTGAAAAAAATAACCTCATTTCTTCTCTAATTTTCCTGATATTATTTTACTTTCATCCAAATTTCCTAATTATATTTTGTTATACAGAATATATTTTTGCATTAAAAAAACAAATCCTTTGGATGAAAATAGGGTAAATATGAATTACTAGTTACAAAAAGTAGATTGACAGTCACATACGATTGGACCGATAGAGAATTCTGAACTGTCTTCTTTTGCTAGACAGTCCCAGGGTGGTCAAGAGATAGTGGAGTCTATGAAAGAAGGAAATTCTCACCAGAACAAAATATGCTCTTAGAATCGATCTTCACTTTCCCCACAATTCCTGACAAGAAATCAGGCCATGCTAACACGTTTCCTTTACTGAGTTCCTCTGGGCAGGAGGTAGCCAGTGACTTCACCTGAAAGTTTAATAACACTTTAGATAAGCCTTACTTGTTCCATTAAGATGGAGTTATTACACATTAATTTAGTCCTATTGAAAACATTCACAGATTTTTTAGAGATGGGGGTGGAGGGAAGCAGGTATGATTTCAGGGGCAGCAGGAGATTCTCTTCTGTTTCCCTCTCTCCCAGCTCTATCATTCCCTCTCCCAGCTACTTCTCCCACTAGACTCGTTGTTGCCTGAAATTTTGGAATCCTACACCTAGAATTCCCTATGTAAAGCCATGTGGTTTGTTAAGGGGTTGTAGAGGCTCTCCCCTTCTTCATTCTATGTCTTTGACCTCTGACACAGAATTGAGGAAGCTGAGGCTTAGAGATTCTTAGAGGCTCAGCCTCTGTAGTAATAAGAGCAAACATTTATTAAGCCTTTACTATGGGCCAAATAATACCACAAATGTATATGTAGTATTTTGTTCAATCTTGTCAAAACTCTGCTATGTAGTTCTATTTATCTTTTATAGATAAGAAAACTGAAACTCAGTGAGATGGAATAACATGTTCAAAATCATCACAGTGAGTTTGGGGTAAGACTGGGATTTGAACCCCAGCTGTTTGACTCTAGGCTGGTTTTAGCCACTAGGTCGTATGTTGCTCTCTATGGATGATCTCGTGCCAGCCTTAAATTTCTGCATCTTCAGTCAGAGGGATTTGAAGCATTATTCTTTATGATTTTCTCCTGCTTCTTTGGTGATATTCTTAAATTTTATTGGAGAACATTATTTTGCAAAATCTAAAATAATGTTTTCCAATAAAATTTAAGAATATCACCAAGAAACTAAAAAGGGTGTTCACTGAAAATTACTGTAACTTCTGCCTAACTTCATCTATAACCACAGCATCAAATGATACTGGTGATAAATTCTGATAACCAAGAGCTTACAATAAGTTATGTCATCATTAGGCTGTTCACATTTTTACTAGGTTTGTACCTTTGCATCTCATTACTGTCATACACTGAAAATGGAATTGACCTGCTGTGGAGACAGGACATAGTCCCAGAGGTTGAGCTGGCTTATGGAGCCCACAAAAGACTCAGCTGGGCTGAATCCCTCTCCTTTTTTGTCTTGCTCTTGCCCCAGAACTAACGCACCACCACCTAAGGAGAGAGAAAGAGAAAGAAAAGGAGGAAAACTGGCCTGATGGTCTGTTATTCCTAAAATCCAAATTTAATGAAAGCACGACTGATACAAATAAATGAAAGAAAATTACTGAAAAGCAAAATTCTGTAAATTTACTGCAGGTTTTATCAATAAGAACAAATTCAATGTTTTATATAGCAACTTAAAAATAGACAGGATTTAGAATGTTGATTTATAAACCTGTAACTACAAAAACTGTATTCAATACATATATATGCATATAATATTTTATGTTGACAAATTAGGTGTTATTTTGCTTACTTTCTTGTAGAAAATCACCCTCCATGGAAGTGACTGCTCTTTATCTTTCTTATTCCTTAAGCTACAATGATATAATTTCTATCACCAAATCCAGAGAACTTTCTAAAGTTGCCAGGAGTCTCGTAATTGCCAAATTCAATAAAAATTTCAGTATTCATCTCTGTAACTTCTCTGTATCAGCTGTTTCTGTTAAGCATTTCATCCTATTCAACTTGCCTTTCTGGGTGTGCTGGACAGTCTGTGTCTGCACTGCCAGAACTGCCCTCCACCCTTCTCCACTCAGCTTTGTGTCCCAAAGGTTGTCCCCGTGAGCTGCATCACCCAGCTTCCTTGCCCCGTCTTCTCTTTGTTTCTGGCCAATGAAGAGCCAGCATGAGATAAGAAAAAGGGATGAGAGAGAACTTGAAACTCCTGTATCCCTTCCTGCCAGGCAACCAACTAGGAGTGGCTTTTTCTATTTCTGAAGAGATCAGAGGATTCTCTCCAGCACTACAGGTTCCTAAATTCTGGCAACAATGCCTAACCCTTGTCATTTCAGGCCCATCCCTTACAACCATCTGTTGTTGCTAGTCATATGTGTTTTACTGTCATATTTTGGTCTTCTTAACCATGCTCACACCTTTGAAAACAGCCCTTCGTTAAACTCACTTTAGTGATGCTACCTGTTTCCTGCCAGGAGCCTGACTTGATTACACTACGCTTGATTTCTATCAGAGCATTCTCTCCTGGTTTTCTTTGAACCTTTCTGCTCATTCTCAGTCTCCCTTCTCTGCCTGCCTCTTAGAAGTGATCCCAAGATTCTACCCTGTGACTTTCTTCCTTTAACTACTCTTTTTTTTTTATTTCAATAGTTTTTGGGGAATGGGTGGTTTTGGGTTACATGGATAACTTCTTTAGTGGTGATTTCTGAGATTTTGATGCACCCATCACCTGAGCTGTGTAAACTGTACCCAATGTGTAGTCTTTTATCCCTCACCCACTTCTCACCCTTCCCTCAAGTCCCCAAAGTCAACTACTCTTTCAATTTGATCTCCCTTGTTGGTCAATCTATGTCCAAAGATCCCTCCTTCATGATTTCCCAATCTACGTGTTTTTAAATTGTATTAATAATTTTAAAGTTAATACATGCACAGAAGAAAATTTTTAAAATAAATTATAAAGAACTCCTCTTACCTAGAAATAATTATTTAATAGTTTTTTGTATTTCTTTCCAGTTTTTATTTTGTTTTAGTGTATGTGTATGTATGTGTGAGGTATTTTAAAACACATAACTCAGTATCATACTATACAGAATGTTTGAATATTGTTGAAGGTGTTGTGAGACCATCTTGAACGCGTTCTCATTTCATGAGTTTTAGTAGTTATGCTATTTTTTTTTTTTTTTTTTTTTTTTTTTGAGACAGAGTCTTACTCCTTCACCCAGGCTAGAGTGCAGTGGTGCGATCTCAGCTCAATGCAACCTCTACCTCCCAGATTCAGGTGATTCTCACGCCTCAGCCTCCCAAATAGATAGCTGGGATTACAGGTATGCACCACCATATCCGGCTAATTTTTGTATTTTTAGGAGAGATGGGGTTTCGCCCACCCTCACCACGCATGTTGATCAGGCTGGTCTCCAACTCCTGGTCTCAAGTGATCCAGCCACCTCAGCCTCCCAAAGTACTGGGATTACAGATGTGAGCTACCACGCCTGGTCTAGCTATGCTATTTTAACACATGAATGGACAACAAAGCATAATTTGCTTCATTAATTAAACGGCCCCTTATTACTGGATGTTGGCCTTGTTTCTAAGTTTAATACTAAAATGACACTGAGATAAACCTGTTTATTTATACATAATTATACGTATGTTTGAATTATTGATTATTTCCATTAGATTGATTTCTGGTAGTTAAACTGATGGTTGCAGGCAAAGAATTTCTCTAAGGCTTTTGATACGAGTTTCTAAATTGTTTCCCAGAAAGACTGTATCAACTTACATACTTGCCAGCGCTCTATACACAGGTTTGCTATGCTGAATCCTAGCCAGTTTTATGGTGTCACTAAAAACAACTTTGCCAATTTGATATAAAGCAGTATCACACCTATATCTTTAGCTGTATTTTCGTGACTAGAAATTCAACATAGACCTTAAACTCAGTATGTCGAAAACCATATACACAATCTTTTCCCCTCTCACCAACTCCGTTTTTTAGAATTCTTACTTTAGCTAACAGACTCTTCAATAAACTTGGTCACTCAAACTGAAGCCAGTCATTCACTGCTATGCACTGAACTGTGTCCCCGCCAAATTTATATGTTGAAGCCCTAACTCCCACCATGGTGATATTTAGAGATGGAGCCTTTGGGAGGTGATTGGATTTAGATGAGTTCATGAGGGTAGGGCCCACGTGATGGGACAAATGCCTGCATAAGAAGAGACACCAGAAAGCTTGCTCTCTCTCTCCCTGCCATGTGAGGATACAGTGAGAAGGTGGCTGTCTACAAGCCAGGAAGGGGGCTCTCACCAGGAACCAACCATACTGCTACCCTGATCTCAGACTTCTAGCCTGCAGGACTACAAGAACATTAATTTCGGGTATTTTTATTTTTTTTATTTTTGAGGCAGAGTGTCACTCTTGTTGCCCAGGCTGGAGTGCAGTGGCGCAATCTCACCTCACTGCGACCTCTGCCTCCTGGGTTCAAGCAATTCTCCTGCCTCAGCCTCCCGAGTAGCTGGGATTACAGGCACCTGCCACCACGCCCGGCTAATTTTTTTTTTTGTATTTTTAGTAGAGACGGGGTTTCACCATGTTGGCCAAGCTGGTCTTGAACTCCTGACCCCAGGTGATCCACTTGTCTCAGCGTCCCAAAGTGCTGGGACTACAGGTGTGAGCCACTGCGCCCGGCCAATGTTGGTTATTTAAGCCACTTTGTGTATGGTATTTCTTTATGGTAACCCAAGCAGACTAAGACAGCCACGAAGGGTGTCAATTGGAACTCTGCAATATTTATGGATTCTCAAACATCCTGGCCATCCTTATGCCTCTGGTCAGCAAGCTATTTCCTTAGGTGGTTACTGTAAGAGTTTCTTGGTTTTATTTTCCTGTTCCTTCAATCTACTTTTTACTCTTCCATCATTGTTTATATTTTAAAGATAAAAATGCTTTTTTTAACCAGAAAATAAATATACGTTCATTATGAAAATAACATAAAATGAAGTCAATAAAAATCACCTGTAATCGCACCACTTAGAGAAGAGATAGTTGAAAACAAGAACACACTAAATGAAATGAACACAAACCACTGCCCCACCTCACTTGATAATGCCATTTCCTTTTGAAATACCTTTAATGTCTGTTAATTCACTGAAGGAGAAAATGTGCATTTCTTGGGGAACATAAACAGGCTCATTACAGCCCAACACTATGTTATGTTTCAGCTTCTTTATCACGTCTTCCTTTTCTTCTCTTCTATATACACTATGCTACTACTTTGGGGATCAGCCAACCATTCTTCCTCACACAAACCCCATTCATGGCTCCCTGCCTCTGCACGCAGAGCTCCTTCTGTCTGAGCTGCCTTTCCCTGTTCTTCTGACTCATCCTTCAAGACACAGGCTGGTTAAATTCAGCAGATGTTTATGAAGCTACCAATAATGTGCTGTCGACAATACCAGGCACTGGACTTAGACAGATGAAAAAACATTTCTTCTTCTAAGAGATGATAATTCTAAGGGAAAATTCATGCATAAATACTTTCCGATACAGTGTGGTTAATGCAGCAATGGAGGCATGCAGAGTCAAAGAAGAACTGAAAGAAAAAGCTCAGTGAGAAAGGGCTGGGCTCAGGGAAATCTTTCAGACCTGGATCTTGAGGATTAAGAGTTAATCTCATGCAGAAGGAAGATATAGAGAGTTTCTAGGCAAAGGAGTGGGTAGAATGCCAGAAAGAATTGTCTAGCGTGATGTGTATGGTAGATACTGAGGGTGTCCATCCACATCCCCTGAGGTCCCCTCTTCCATTCTGAGTGCTACAGCTTCTAATGGTCCCACACCTGCTCCACCTGTGGGCATGTATCAATAAGCTAATCTAAGTGGTGAAGGCAGAAGGGGCCATGAAAAGGGCACAGCCATAAATTAAAAGAGTTAGGCCATAGGAATGCAATTTGAGAGACTCATTTTAACTCGTCCGGAATTCTCTGTTTCTTCATTTCTAAAATAGTAGCATAACTACTCTATTAAACTCACATGATCATTGTGACAAAAATATTGTGTAAATTTTGTAAAAATATTTGGGTAATTAGGCATAAATGGTATTACAAGGAAGTTTTGGTTTTGGCACTGGCTTCCTGTTCAAGCATATTTTACAAAGAAGCAAAGGATGATAGACCACGTTTTAAATTTATCAAGAGTGATTTCATCAAAATTATCTTATTAGATATTGCCCTAGTATTATGAAATAATTATATGATTTTCAAAAGCAGCCTCTATATTAATCTCCCAATACTCCCATCTTACAACAACCTAATGTTTCTAGTTTGTCTGTGTTTCTCTTTCCTTCCCCTCCAAATTAATCTCCCCAATCCATTTCTTTATAAATCACCCTTGCTCCCTAAATTCATTAAACATCCTGAGCCTCCTTCTCTGCCCTCTCCTCATAACAAAATTCATGTGTCCTTGACTCTACAGCTCTGTCCTTTGGGTCTTCCATTTCTGGAACCTCAACACTCAGATGTTGCCTTACTGGCTGGATTGGCGCTTGGCAAATGCTCAGTGTGTGGATACACATCCAGGGATCTGTCTGTATGTTTCATTCCTCTCTTCAGTGATTCTGGGGTTTAAGGAAGAGTGGCTTTCTCTTTTATTTTTCATTTGTCCCAAGTTTCCCTCCCAGGAGAAGCATAATAAATGCTTCTTAGAGTTCAGATATTAACTCTCAGTGCTGTCCCTGCACTGGGGAGTCCTTTTGTCCTCTGGTTGGAAACCTCTTTGTTGTTTAGGAATTTTCACATACACCCTATTACTTCTTTCTGCTCGTGACAGAACCACCTAAGCTACCCTTCCTGCCATCTCCCCCATCCATCTTAAAATGCTTCAGTAACTCCCTATTGATTTTAGGGTGAAAACCTCAATCCTTAACCTACACCACATGGCTTTACGTGATTTGGCCATGTCCGCCCTCTCTACCTGCATGCCTTGCCTTCCCTCTTTCAGCCTGCATTTCAGATACATCAATCTTTTTCTAGCGCTTTCAACAAGGCCCAGGCTCCTTCACTAAATTAGTGCCTGATCACCCTGGAGAGTTAGGGACATATCCACAAGCCTCGATGGACTCCCCATTCTACATCAGCTCCTTGGGTACAGGCTTTCATAGAATGATGTTCCTTTCCACCATAGTGCTTGCCTCAGTGTGAAATTACACAGCATTTAGTGTGATTATGTGATGAACACCTCACTCTCTGACCACAATAAAAGCATCTGGAGAGCAGGGACCACACGACTTTTGCCCACCATTGGGTTTCCAGTGCCTTGCATAGGTGCCTGGCTTTCCTAGTGAGTGCTTAGGACGTATTCTTTACATTCACAAGTAGATCAATTTTGGTTTGATCCGCATGGATCTTCGTAGTATTAAAGTGAAACAATACATGGACAATAATTTCTTTCTTTTTTCTTTTTTTTTTTTTTTTTGAGACAGAGCCTCTCTCCATTGCCCAGGCTGGAGTGCAGTGGCATGATCTCGGCTCACGGCAATCTTCGCCTCCTGGGTTCAAGCGATTCTCCTGCCTCAGCCTCCTGAGTAGCTGGAATTACAGGCATCTACCACCATGCCTGGCTAATTTTTCTGTGCGTTTTTAGTAGAGATAGGGCTTCACCATATTGTCCAGGGCGGTCTCCAACTCCTGACCTCGTGATCCACCCTCCTCAGCCTTCCAAAGTGCTGGGATTACAGGCGTGAGCCACCGTACCTGGCCAATAATTTCTAATAAATAAAATAAGTATTGTATTTGAGGCTTCGCAAGGGTCATCTCACCGCATTTTTATGAAGTTTAGTATTTTTGTGCTATATTTATTAGTATACGTATCCTAGTTTCATACAACTTACTTCTAGAATGTATTAGTCAGTTTCTAATACTTTAATTCATTTTTGTCTATTTAATTTTCTTTTAGTATACCTGAAACAAATGAGCAAAGTAAAAAATAATGTCATATGCATATACTTCTATAGATGTATCCAGATAGAACAAGCTTATTGCCATGTACAATGCTGAGAACCTGGGTCACCTAATGAAATTTAGTTTGCAATTCTTCAAACTAAAACTCCTGGGATATTTATTAAAAAGTATTTTTTAGAAGACAAGCCAAGATCTATTTGAAAAGGGCCATAAAAGATGGATAGCAGTGGTCCTGCTTATATACTGATTACAAAACAAAACAATCCTTAAAATAAACAAAAAATACCAGTAATTAATCTCCTTAGAAGACAGTTTAGCAACCAGCTGCTAATTCAGCATGCTTCTTGGTAGTCTTAATGTAGATCTTCAAAGGCATTTCTCACACAGAGAGGCAAACAGCTTACTTAGGAAAAAAGCTTCTAATAACCCACAGTTAGGATAATCAGGGAGTAGGAAATAAGAGAGATAGCTGTTAATCTTTGTTTGAAACCAAGAACAACAATGCTAGCAAACCTGATGTCCATTTAAGCAGCATCACCTCTAGAGTCCAACAGAATTATACTCATTTTGTTAAAACATACCAGGTATGGGCAAACCAACAGAGAGGCCAGCACCACCGTCAGATAATTTCCCATCGATATAGACTTTCCAGATGCCATTGGCACTTGTCCAAGTGATTGCAATATGATGCCATCTGCCATCATTCACCGAGGGACAGTTTGTTATCTTTTCCCTGCCATTCACATAAAGAACCCAGCTGTAGAGAGAAAGATTCCAGGGAATGTAGTCATTAGCCATATGTTGCAATCCTTACTGTGGGGCATGCTACAATTTTTCTTCTTTTTCTTTTTTTGTGGGTAAAGTACTTTGTGTAAATCCATTACTCTTTTTTTTTCTCCATTTGGTCACATTTTGTAGAAGCAGATTTGATTTACTAATTATACTTTATTGTAGCTCACTGAAAATTGGTTTGTGTTTCTTAAACACTGAGGGGTAGGAAAAAGTCTTAGGATGAGCCAAGAGAAGTTGCTCCAATTTGAGAGAATTTACCAACTGGCTGTTTTGGAGAGAATGAGTCAAGAATGGAAAGGGTGAGAATTGTGTAAATGTCAAACTGACATCCTTCTTCCAGAATGTAAGTTTCTTAAGACCAAGAACAAATTTCAGATGTTTCATAGATACTTCATCAAACAAACAATTAGTCTGTTTGATGGTTGCTGCTATGGTTTGAATATTTGTATGCTCTCAGAATTTATATATTGAAATGTAATCACCAATGTGATTAGGAGGTGGAGTCTTTGGGAAGTGATTAGGTCATGAAGGCTCTGAAGAGACCACTTGCACCTTCGCCATGTGAAGACAGAGTAAGAAGGTGCCATCGTGGACAGGAAAGTAGGGCCTCCCCAGACACTAACTATGCTGGCACCTTGATCTTGAAGCCTCCAGAACTGTGAGAAATATATTTCTGTTCTTTACAAGCCACCAAGTCTATGCTATTTATTATAGCAGCCTGAATGGACTAAGACAGTTGCTCATGTAGTCATATGTCAGACAAAGTATGCTGATCCAAAGAAAAGAATAATTGAAACAACAAGGATGGCCAGCCAGAAGATATTTCCAATAACTGTGTCATTCAGGGAAATGACAAAGCTAATAAGCAGTTTAAAGTAAAAAGTCTTCAAAATCAAATGGAGAAAAAGAAACGATTAGAGAAAGTTGATAATGAAGATAAAAATTCATTGACCACTTCTCCCAGCATCTTATCAGATCCTGTTTACAGAGGTTTATGAAAAAATAATATTTTTGCAATATTAATGGTTTCCTTTCTGCATTTTTCCAGTTTCTCTCCTTATTCAAGGAGGCGACAGATTCTCTCTTTATATATATTTTGTCTCAAAGGAGGGTTTTTGCAAACTTCTTGGATTTTTGTTTTTGACAGATCAAGTACATTAAGAAGAATAGTATTTGAGGATGGGAGACTTCTACCAGAATAGTGAGATTCCCTTGGATTGGGGATAGAAAAAAAAGCTCAGTGGGTTTTGAACACCAACAACCTGCTCATAAGTAGGCCAACGATTTCAGTGGATCTGAGAGGAAAAGGCCATGTGGTGCACCACAGAATCTAACCACACGGAAGTTATGAACCTGAAGTTTTGCCAAGGATTTCACATGTTTAAAAAAGCAGTGGTTTTAAAGGGACCACAAACGCTGGGTCAGTGGACAGCTCAGTGATAAATAATGTGGACAGTTGGCCAACGATGGAAGTCCTGCTCAAGTCCGTGGCTCTTTGGCAAGACTCTGGGTACAACTAAGGTTGGCTCTCCTGACAACCCATGGCGATGGGGCCCTGGAGTTGGAATTAGTGGATTCTAAAAAAAATATGCACACTGAGTTTGTATACTGATTTGTATGCAATACACTTGTCTCCCAAGGTCAATGATGTCACTGAAATCCCTTAACTTTTAGAGATCCTATTATATAAAAGAAAGAGCATCAGTATTTGAGTCAGAGTTTGAGACTTAGCCCTGCTACTCCCAAGGTGTGAGATCTGGGGCAAGTCATTTAGACTTTCTGAAACTTTATTCTACTGTCTATAAAATGGGCACAGCTCCTCAGGTCATTGTGACTATCAGATGAAGTAATACATATGAAAAGACTTAGTAAACAGCAAAACACAATACATGTTTGAGGTATTATCACTAAAAATTTACGTTCTTAAAGAACTTGTTCAGATGCTCCATTTGATTATTGACACCCTGCTGTTTTCTGGGAACACCTGACCCTCTACTTTCCCATTTCCCATCCTCAATGTCAGTTCTAATTCGGTTCCAAGATAAGATCTTAAGCATAGCCTTCCCGACACTTCTGCTTACCCGTTATAATCAGTCAGGAGCAAGGTATTGTCGCTGCCGTTATCAACTGCATAGGAGATTGGTGTTCCATAGTTCATGTCGTCAGAGGATTTCATCCAGAAGGTACAGGTTAGAGCATGGAGAGATGGGAGCATGCCATCTAGCATGACATATCCATAGATGCCAGAAACTTCAAAATCCAGGTTAAAGCCTGTAGACTGTTCTGCAATGAATAAGAAAAGTGTGCAGACTGTGGCACTTGAAAGACATTTCCAATTGTCAGAGGAAGCAGTGCTATTGTCAAAGAAGCTCATTTCAGTGAATATGATTATCTAAGAAGCAGTTTCAAAATTAAATACATATTATTTACAAAATACATAGTGCATTCTTTTAAATAAAATAACCAGTGAGTATATAAGATAGGAAAAGCATTCAATAGTGAAAGGAAGCAGAGAAACAGGAAGTAGTTGGAAGGAGAGGTGAAACTGAAATGCTACTAAAGCCAGGAGATACTAAAGCATGTCTGTATGCTGATGAGAATGACTCAGTAGAGAGGAAGTAATTGATGTCACAGGAGAGAAGGAGGAGGTGCTGCAAGGGCAACATGCTGCCCTACTCAAGGCTCTGGCTTTTCCCTATTTCATGAGCAATTCAGCTCTGCCCCAAACCTGCACAGACCACTCAATAAAACAAGTCTTACAGCTAAAAGACTCCAGTCTCCTGAGAAAGTATTTAGATTTGATCTGCTGATTCTCAAACATGTCCATGGAGTCTCACCTCTGAAGTCAAGCGGCTTATCAAAGTATCATTTCTATTATAAATAAGTAGAACATGAAGAGTTCTACTAAATTCAATTTTCTCTATTTCCCCCCTAAATTTTTAAGCTTTAATTTCATCATCTGTGCCACTGAGGATAATAGTAGTAGTACCTAGTTTGTTGGATGGCTGTGAAGATTAAATGAGTACAAAGTGCTTGGCATCGTTTTTGGCCTACGGACACTGCTTGGTGCAGGCAAAATTGGTATTATTGTTATTATATTACTATTGTTAGTATTGTTATTAATAACACTGAGTTGATACATACCTGTTTCACACCTTTTGCCTGAAAATCCTGGCTGACATTTACAACTGTATGAATTTAATTCATCCACACAGGTGGCCTGATTTCTACATGGATTAGACTGACATTCATTGATGTTCAATTCACAGTGTGATCCTGTGAAGCCAGCTGCACACAGGCATCTGAAAGAAAACAAAATGTTGTAACAATTAGAACAGTTGTAGGAAGTCTCCCATTTATGATAATCTTATCTCGAAAGACTTTGAAAATTGAAATGCTGGAACACATTTTCTACACCAAAACAGTGCTTTAATTGCAGGTTACTTTTTCCAGTTCACTTGATTAAATCTATGTAAGACAAGATGTATTAGAAATGTGCAGTAGCAAAAATAAAGTAGAAAGTAGTTCTGGTACAGGTGAAATATAATTCATACATTGTGGTTTCTCTCCTCATAGGAGTTCTCAGAAAAATATGAAAAGTTCAAATGCTGTTCTAAAGGCTTTTATATGTTAAGCCAATTTTCATAACAATGAGGTAATACTAGTATTATTCCCATTTTACAGATAAGCTAAACTGTGGCTCAGAAAGATTAAAGAATTTACCCAAGTTCTATTGCTACCAAGTGGTGGAGTGGGGTTTTGAATCAACCTATACTCTTTTTCTTAATCAGGATGCTATATAGTTTCTGTGCTATGCAACAAACCATTTTAAACTCATCAGAATGGAAAGTATATCTGGTAATGTCAAATGTTGACAAGAGTGTCATAAAATAGGAAGTCCCATATAGTGAGTAAGACTACAATTTGGCAATGTCATGAGAAGTTGAGAGTTTGTGTTCCCAGAGCCCTATAAATCCATTTCTTGTTTTCTGCTCTAGGAGATAATTGCACAAGGTGCACAGGGACCCATATAACAAATGTTCATAGCAGGATCATTCTAAATGTCTATGGAGAGGAGAATGAGAAAATGAATCATGGTGTAGTTAATTCCATCATGTAATGGAATACTAAGGAGCAATTGAAATGAACAAACCAAAGCCAAATGTAACCTCCTTGATAATACTTGAAAATATCATGCTGAGTGGAAAAAAAAACCGAATTGCAAAAAGAATATGTATGTTATGATACCACTTATGTAACATGTAACTTATATACTGTTTATAGAAGTCATATATGTAGCAAAATATAAAACCTGAATAAGAAAGATATATTCAGACTGCAGGACGGTGATTACTGCTGGGGGAAGAAAGTGAATGTGTGTGTGTGTGTGTGTGCGCGTGTGTGTGTGCGCGCGCTCGCGCGTGTGTATGCATGTGTCTATGTTGGAGGGAATCCAGCCCTACCTTTAAAACTTACGTCTTTAAAACAGAAGATGTGAATCAAATATGGCAAAATATTAAGGTTTGATAATCACAGTGATCAGTACATGACTTTTATTATTGTAATTTTCCGTGTGACTGAAATATTTTGTAATTTAAAAGGACTGGTCCAATAAATGCGAGTTAATGTTATTGTTACTAGCATGTCATACGAAGACCTCTTTGATATTGACCTAACAGTGTCTAATAGGAATAACTGGTGTTTGGAGGATGTAAACAAAATCTCAGTTGGAATTGAGGGATCTTTACTGGGTCTCTGCATTTGACGGTAAATCTATTTTGACTATAATTTCACTCACCTTTATCCTCCTGTGTTTGGTGTCATTACAACACTATCATATCCTCATCTATGAAATAGATTCACTTTGTCAACAACCTATGTTCCTTCTGAATTGGGAGCGTGTACCTTCACCTTTCTTCTAGTTAGGATTTAGACAACTTTGGTATTCATCAATCGTTTTAAACCCAGGAAAGAGTTTAGAACTCTTGTTGTTCATCTGGAAATTTCTCATTGTCTACAGTTATGTACTATATGCCAGAAAATGTCAAACACCCATGAGAAAGTGATGCTACATGATAAGACCTCATTTCCACATTGTAGGTGAAAGTCTCATTGGCAGAGTTGCCTTCTTATTTCTTCTGGATAGCGCCTTGGCTGTTTGTGGGAGGATGGTAATGGAAGGGGGCTGAACTAGAAGAAAGGGGATTGGGAAATGTTGCAATTGGGCTAGATCTTTTTTTTCTTTTTGGTTTTTACTTTTGCAAACTTATAAAACCAGCAGCATCTTGAGGACAATACAGTTTTCTAAAATTTTGCAAGCAAGAGAAATCTATCTTGTATACTACAGATGTGCTGTCTTCTGTACTTCCCTGCAAAGAGTGGGGGATGGAATGGGATAGTCTTGATAATGACAACAGGAGAGGGTTGTTTTTCAAACTGTATTCTACTGGCACCTAAGAGCTGCCTCAGGGAGACATAGTCTTTCTGCCCCTCAAATACTACTATTTTCAGCCACAAAAGCTTAGCTTTGATTATTTTACTTTTTTACATTCATGTTAGATTTCTTTTGAACCAAAGGTTACTAAACTAAAAAAAAAAGTTTGAAAATCATGGACATAGAATAAAGATGAGCACTATCACAGTATGATTGCAGATTCCATTTTGATTTTATCTGGTATAAAAACTTTAGCTAAAGCACATGTGGCTCATCTGAGGCCAGGAGTTCAAGACCAGCCTGGCCAACATGGTGAAACCCCGTCTCTACTAAAAATACAAAAGTTAGCCAGGCGTGGTGGCAGGCACCTGTAATCCCAGCTACTTGGGAGGTTGAGGCAGGAGAATCGCTTTAAACCGGGAGAAAGAGGTTACAGTGAGCCGAGATCGTGCTATTGCACTCCAGCCTGGGAGACAAGAGCAAAATTCCATCTCAGAAAATAAAAAAATAAAAATAAATAAATAATTAAAATATGGGCTTTGTCTAGTACTACTGTATTTGCTTCTGAGTAATTATATTTCATCTTTTATGACTTCCCAAGTATAGAACGTTAGTTCCCAAACATGGCTGTGCATCAGAATCATTGGGAAACTTAAGCCATAACAGGTTGCCTATTTTAAAATGATAGGCTCTACTTCAGGCTTAGTGAAGCAGAAATGGCGGTGGGAATATTCAGCTGTAGCCTATCCTCGGGCCAGCATTTGAGAATGACTGACTTGAGACTCAAAGCAATACTCCATAAAGGCTGCAGAATCACTGAATAGTTTAAAAAATAAAAACAGTGAAAAGAATCAGACTTAGCCTTTTACCTGAAGCTATTGGCACCGTCTTTACAGGTAGCTCCATTTTTGCATGGCTGACTGAGACACTCATCGACGTTCTTTCCACATCGGGTACCCAAAAATCCAGGTGGGCATTTGCACAAGAATCCCCCAACCTGGTCTTCACAGACTGCATTATTTAAGCATGGGTTTGACTGGCATTCATTGACTTCTGTTTCACAATGCAGGCCTGAGGATGGAGAAGGAAGAGAAACAGCCCAAATGATTAACTCCCTGGGAACACTGTAACTAAAGTGTTGACTCCCTGGAGGATGCTGCTTCTAGAGGATTGGAATGGAGGCTGTGGAGCCCATCAAACTGGTTTGAGATCCATTCTGTAATGGGCTCTGGCTTTTGTAAGTCATTTTTTTGTGGACTCTGAGTTTTTGATAATCTGTTTTTTTTTTTTTTTTTTTTGAGACAGAGTCTTGCTCTCTCTCCCAGTCTGGAGTACAGTGGCGCGATCTCGGCTCACTGCAACTTTCACCTCCTAGGTTCAAGCGATTCTCCTGCCTCAGCCTCCTGAGTAGCTGAGACTACAGGCACCCACCACCACACCTGGCTAATTTTTGTATTTTTTTTTTAGTAGAGACAGGGTTTCACCATGTTGGCCGAGGTGGTCTTGAAATCCTGAGCTCAAGTAATCCACCTGCCTCGGCCTCCCAAAATGCTGGGATTACAGGCGTGAACCACCATGCCCAGCCGATAATCTGCTTTTTTAAATCTTACTTTTTGTTGAAATTAAGTTTGGTAATAGACATCTAATTGAGATAATGTTAAGAAATAAAGCTAGTAAATTCCATTCAAAACTTGCCTGTTTCTTTGATCTTGCCTTTTTCCTTCACTGGACACTTTCTTGGATTTACTCTTTAGAAATTAAGCATACACTTTTAAACCATATTATTGTACATCTGTTTGCAATATGATATTACATGATTTGTCTCCAGTTCCTTCTTGAAAGTTTGCCTTTACACACACACACCACATACACAAATTATTTTTTGCTGAACCATTTGAGAGTAAATTGCAGACCTGCATGCCCTTTTACCCCAAACCCCTCAGTGTGTATTTCCTCAGAAAATGAGGACTTTCTCTTACATAATCACCATACAGTAATAAAATCCAAAAATTCACATTAATATATATGTTAAGAAATGTACTAATTTGTGGTGGTTTACAAGATTTTAAGACAACATAGGAAGACTGGAAACATCTTACCTACAAATCCTTTCACACATGTGCAACGATAGCCAGCCACACCATCAACACAGATTCCTTTATTTAAACAAGGACTGGAGCTACACTCATTTATATTTTCTTCACACCGCTGACCTGCAAAGAATCATTCATCTTTGAGCTGGAGAAAACTTGACAGAACTTTAAGACCAATAGTTTCCAAGCAAGTTGTTCAGGCATTGGAATAGGGAAATTGGAAATCATGGCTAACATGTTTGTGACAAACATGTTGAAATAAAATGTTTCTTCTATTCTGTGAACTGCAAAATTTTTCTAGCAAGAAACCTAACATATTCAGCATGCAATGGAAAATGATAACCACGAATATCTGACCATATTTTTTTTAGTGAAAAAGATGTGTGATTTTGTTTTAAATTTTTTCTCCTTATTTGTTTGCTAGTTGTTCTCTTTTTGAGTTTATTCCCTTTAGAGTTAAGTGGTAACAGTTACAGCATTACAGTTACAAAGTTGGCAAAAATTATGGGAGAAATATATTGAATGAAGAAAATAACTCATTTTCTTCTGCAAATTAGGGAAACACAGCCAAATTTCTGTGCAGCTGTCCCATGTTTTGTGTGAACATAATTTGGGAACAACTAATGTTATTCATAGCCTTTATTTTACACATCTAGAAACAGATCCAAAGAGGTCTGTGACATTGCCAAGGACAGGCACAGAAATGAGCCTAGAACCATAAATCTTCATGTTCAAGAAAAGACGTACAAAGACTCGTTGGGTTGAAGAGTTCAAGGATGCTTAAATTTATAACTCATGGCATTATGTAACACATATCTAATAATTTATGTACCTTGACATTAAAATATGCTAAAAGGAAATTTCATAATAAAGGTTGTTTTTTGAGAACAGTAAATCTAACATAAAATCTACACTTTCATACAGACCATTATGAACACTTGTTTTTTCACAGTAAACCCACAAAATAAATTTAATGTCTAATAAATAACATACATAATACATTTCACATCTAGTAAATGTATATTTATTTTATTTAGAAACTTGGTTCTACTTTTCTCATAGTATGTGTCTGCCATTCTTGTCACAAGTTTTTACTATGATTCAACACCAGGTGTCGCTAATATGAGATTTGGAATTTTAAATAAAGAATTGTAGGATACAGGTGCATAATTTTAATACTGTCTAAGGAAATGCAACCATAGGCAGACGGTGGAGAGGAAAGAGCATGAGAAAGAAAATGGAAACCAGGCAAGCAATCTGGATGTGGTTCCAGCTGTTGAATACACACCCTTGGTTAGGGGTGATGAGT
The DNA here is from genome assembly GCF_000001405.40 of Homo sapiens. Lineage (NCBI taxonomy): Eukaryota > Metazoa > Chordata > Mammalia > Primates > Hominidae > Homo > Homo sapiens. Next base: position 110,452,592 of record NC_000009.12, read on the forward strand.
CTGCTGGTCTGCAGTTGGTCTCACAGCATGTGGACCTCTTAGAATATAAGCTGAGAGAAATTTGTTTCAAGATATGTGTGATGTGGCCCCTAAATGCAAGCCACACGCTTTGGTGTTCATAAGATAAAAATGATTTCTTCTGTTGTTGAGGTAAAATAGGCATATTTCTAAACAGCATGCCTGTCCACTATAATTGATAGAGTATGCTATCACTTTATCAAGTGCAATATCAAGTCCACTCTACTTGATGGCTTATTTGAAGGATTTTCAAGGCAACTTTGACTATTTAAAATGTCTCCCTATATATAAACTTTCAAATTACACTTCCAGATGAAATGCAATTTTACTGTATAAACTCAATATATCTTTTCATAAGCCTGGGACTACCAGTGTTGCATGGATGTGAAATAGAGAAAATATATGAGTTGTTCCAAATGATTACTACTGTAAGTTATGTTAAACATTTTTATGTCTTTATGGAAGTTGTTTTTAGATACACAATAAAATTATTAGAATCTGGTTCCTTTGAAATGTTATCAGGATTTTACTAAACTTTTTAAAATATAGAAAATTATATACCCACACATATTAAAATATATATTCAGATATCTTTTTAGTATAATAATGATGAGTTAGGTACAATGCTGGATGATTTAGATGATCTCAGTACTCTCCATAATAATATTATGGGGTCATTACTATTTATAAAGTAGTAAATCCTAGTCTATTTTATTAGAATATATCATCAATATTATAATAATTATAATGTGGGTTAACAAGGGAATTGAGAATAAGATCACTGTTTCTGAACTATTTTTGTGAGAAGGTGCTGGAAGCTGCGACTCTTAAGATATACACTTAGAGAAATCTCCAAACTGCTTTCCAGAGTGGCTGAACTAATTTACATTCCTAAAAAAGTATATAAGTGATCCATGTTTTTCTATAACTTGCCAGCATGTGTTATTTTTTGACTCTTTAATAATAGCCATTCTGGCCAGGGGCGGGGTGGCTCAGGCCTGTAATCCCAGCACTTTGGGAGGCTGGAGTGGGTGGATCACTTGAGGTCAGGAGTTCAAGACCAGCCTGACCAATATGGTGAAACCCCATCTCTACTAAAAATACAAAAAATTAGCCGGGCATGGTGGCATGCGCCTGTAGTCTCAGCTACTTGGGAGGCTAAGACAGGAGAATTGTTTGAACTTGGGAGGCAGAGGTTGTAGTGAGCCGAGATCATGCCACTGCACTCCAGCCTGGGCGACACAGCGAGACTCCATCTCAAAAAATACAAAAATTAAAAAAAAAAAAAAGCCATTCTGACTGGTGTGAGATGGTATCTCACTGTCGTTTTGATTGGCCTTTTCTGATGATTAGCGATGATGAGCTTTTTTTCATGTTTGTTGGTTGCTTATGTGTCTTCTTAGAGAAGTGTCTGTTCATGTCCTTTGCCCACTATTTAATGAGGTTATTTGTATTTTGCTTGTTGATTTGTTTAAGCTCCTTATAGATTCTGAATACTAGGCCTTTGTCAGATGCATAGTTTTCAAATATTTTCTCCCATTCTGTAGGTTTTCTGTTTACTCCATTGATGCTTTCTTTTGCAGTGCAGAAGCTCTTCGATTTAATTAGATCCCACTTGTTAATTTTTGTTTTTGTTGCAATTGCTTTTGGGGACTCAGCCATACATCCTTTGCCAAGGCCAATGTCAAGAAGGGTATTCCCTAGGTTTTCTTCTAGGATTTTTATAGTTTGAAGTTTTACATTTAAATCTTTAATCCAAGTTAATTTTTGTATATGGTGAAAGGCTGGGGTTCAGTTTCATTCTTCTGCGTATGGTTGGCCAGTAATCCCAGCAATCCCATTACTGGGTATACATCCAAAGGAAAATAAATTGTTCTACCAAAAAGACACATGCACTTGTAAGTTCATCCCAGTGCTATTTACAATAGCAAAGACATGGAATACACCTAGGTGCCCATCAATGGTGGATTAGATAAAGAAAATGTGGTACTTATACATCATCGAATATTATGTAGTCATAAAAACTCCACAAAATCATGTCGTTTGCAGCAACATGGATGCAGCTGCAGGCCATTATTCTAAGTGAATTAAAGCAGGAACAGAAAGCCAAATACTGCATGTTCTCACTTAAAATGGGAGCTAAACATTGAGTACACATGGAATAAAAATAGGAACAATAGATGCTGGATACTATTAGAGGGGAGAAGAAAGGTGGTGTGGGCTGCAAAACTACATATTAGGTACTATTCTCACTACCTGGGTGATGGAATTATCTGTACTCCAAACCTCAGCATCATGCAATATATCCATGTAACAAACCTGCACTTGTACTCTCTGAATTTAAAATAAAAGTTGAAATTATTTAAGTCATAAATAAAGACAAAGATTTTGAATGCTAAAAAATAAGATAACACTTAAATATGTATTTATTTAAGTTAAAAGGAGAGGCATAGTGGTCCATAACAATTTCAAGGATACATGCGCCTGAAGTCCACAGTTAGTAATAATTATACACACACATATTCACACACACACATGAACATCCACAGAAATTGGCATATACACTTCATAAATTCAGTAAAATACTAGTAAAAAGCTTGGGGATGACCTTGTATTTGTAGTAGGCTTTACATATTTTCTGTCATTTCCTCACCTCCATTTTTACTAATGAAGAAACAGGTTCAGTGAAGTTAAATGTCTTGTCCAAGGTCACACATCTAGCTGGCAAAGATGGGAACACGCCTGCTTGTTTTATAAAGCAATTACATACTGCCATATTGATATCTTGTTCTCCTTACATAACCGGAAAAGGACAAGAACACTTTCCCAATGCAAATAAGTAATATTAGAAAATATGCTTCTTCAATATGTTTATAATATTCTATAAATGTATCTTTGACACATTCCAAATTTATCTCAGTGATGAAATGTTAATGATTCAAAGATTTATATTGTTGAAAACAGGAGACCTTCCCCTTACCTGTGTAACCTGATGGGCACTCACAAATGAATTCCCCAACTAGGTCTTTACAAACTCCATTGTTGAGGCAAGGCAGTGGGCTGCACTCATCGATGTCTGTTTCACACTTTAAGCCTACAATGTAAACCAAATGCTGAGGGACAATCCAAGGATGGGATTAACCGAAATAGAACTATGATCATTTAAAGGTAATTATCTCAATAATCAGAATTTTTAAATGGGTAGTGGTAAAGGGTAATATTCATTAAGTGCTACCATCTATTAAGTATTTAATGAAGGTAATACCTCTTTCTAAACAAATTTAAGATATTCTTATAAAGATACATAGGAGATAGCAAAAGATCCCAAATTAGAAGTGGGGTAGGAGCACTTGGAAGCATAAAATGGAGCCAGGAATTATGCTAATTTCAAAGTGAAAGTTACAATATCATCTGTATGTGCTACCAAGGTCACCTGGCTTAGGGGTGGAGGTGGGGCTAAAGCCTGCCAGATCACAGCTCACATGCCAGGTGTCCCAGAGTGGCTGCATCTTCCCACAGGGTGCACACAGGCTTTCTATGGGCTAGCTGTGCTGGAAACCCATATTCTTTCTCAGGGTCCTCCTCACTAGCATCAGCATTACCTGGGAATGCAATAAAAATACAAATTCTCAGGCTGTACTCCAGACCCACTGAATTAGAAATTCTGGGGCTGGAGTCCAGCAATCTGTGTTTTTAACAAGCCTTCCAGATGATTCTGATGCACACGACTGTTTGAGAACCACTGTCCTATATTATACCCTTTCTCAACCACCACTCATTTACAGAATTCCCAAACAAGATCCTTTATTTCTTATGGAACGTCAAGGTAAATATTTTTATAAAAATCCACAGAGACACACATGCACACAACACGAGCCAGCTATAATAAATGGGATGCCAATATTCTAGATAGATCTTGGCTATACTTTGTTTTTTGACTTTCCTTTTGCTTATTTTGTGGTGAATTCCTTTACTTAAATACCACTTCTCATGAAAAACTTTCAAGTTGGTTGTATAACATTGAAAAAAACTGTCTAGAAGAAAATGATTATTTTAAATTAATTGCAATTTTAAGGTATAGTTCATTTCCCCTCAAAAATTATGTTTCTGGACTTAAGTCAAATGTGAACCAAACTGTTAAAAACCCCCATAATTCATACGTAATTCCTACATAATAAAGCCCAAAGCCAAATTGTTTTCTAAGCACAGCTTCCAGAAAGATAGAAACAAAGCATAGCTATTCATAAGAACTTCTATTAGTGTGTAGCAAATCAGAGAAGCTGCCAGTTCATTTAAAAATGTTTATACTGGACAATCTGTTCTATGTTGAGTATCATGCATATAATTTTTGATAGAATGAAACTTTGAACATGACCCCTGTATTTCAATTTAAATTGTGGGTTATGACAAAGACTCATAGGGAAGATGAGTCTTTATTCTTTATCCAAAATAGGCAAAGAAAACTGTCATTTGTGAAGTATGTATAATTTTTTCACCTATTGTTTATCTTGTTCAACAAATTTTGGCACATTTACATGGTCTAATGTATCTTATCGGATATAGTTAATGTACTAAAGTTTGATACTGCAAGTCATAATGATTTCATATAAAATATATTAAAATCTACATTCCTCTTGGTTATTTACCTGTATATCCAAGTGGACAGAGACAAACATAACCACGCCCAAGTTGCTGGCAGGTTCCACTATTGTGGCAAGGGTTAAAGAAGCATTCATGGAAAACCTACCAGTAGCATAAAAAAATCAATCAGAGACAAAGCACTCTATTTATTTCAAAGCAGTCCTGATTAGAGTCAGGTTTGCAACATTAGACAGCTCGTTCCTCCTGTTTCCAGGTAAGTTCACTCAAGCTAGGTGGCTTGCTGCCTGAATAACACTGGTGCCTGCCATATAGGGGAGCAAATGATATATATCATTCTTGGGTGATGTTCTGGTAAACCTAAGGAGTGTTTCTAAATGTTGGCTGCATGCTAGAATACAATTGATATTTTGAAGGCATACTAAGGTCAGGGCGTCAACCCAGATTAGCTAAATCAGAATCTCTGGGAGTGAAGTCTGTACATTACTGTCTTAAAAACTTGGCCAGGATTCTAATACACCTCCATGTGACAGCCACTGCTTTAGGGGATCCTACAAATTCCTATGTCCACTAGGCTCAGTTTGAAATATGATTTATAGAGTCCTAACAAGTCATTATGTTTGGACTAGGCTGTAGGAAGTTGTAATCAGAAAAATATCCCCATTATCCATGAAAATACTAAAAGGCAAGGAATTCATGACATTGGACAAGGTGAGTTCAGAGTAATGACTGAATCTATTAAAGTAACCAAGACTTAACAACTAGTCTTGTAAAAAATATAAAGCATTTGGTTTAGCTATATTCTTAATTTATGTTTCTTAATTTTTAAGGACTCATACTTTTCCCCAAGAAATCTTTTCTTTTCTGGCAAAGAAATTTAAATAATTTTCATGAAAGTTGGGTAACTCTGCCTGCCAATTAGAAAAGGCCTTTCCTTAAACCAAATTCTCTTACTCAAATGATGGGTTGTGCTTGTGGTAAGTGCTTATAGTGAATCAAAAGGCTCCCCCTGGATCTACTCATTCTTATTGCCAGGCATTTCTGGGAAAAACTCTCATTTTTGGTACTTAGAACATCTAATGTTGCATTTTGGGAATGTTCTAAACAGGAGTCATTGTAAATACAATTATTCATTTATAAAATTCATACATCTTGATTACTTAAAGTTTCAATCCTGGTCCTTTTCCTGTGTGTGATGTGTAAAATGACAAATTGCTTTCCAAGCATTCCACTAGAGAACAGTTTATGCAAAATGAACTTGCCTGACTGCTGATTTCATGCCTCTTTTTAATATGTCCAAGAGAGGCAGGGGGCACCACACTTTCCTCTGCCGCTGAGAAAGTTGAACTAAAACCTAATCAATTAATAGAAAAACATGTCAGTGTGGCAAATATGCCAGTAAGTGGACTATATCTAACACTATGGTCAAGATTCTGGTTGTCAGAGTGGGTAAAGCCACATATATTTTGTTTCACTTATATTTTAAAAAAGAAAACAGAGATGGATGGCATACATCATTACATCCTAGACTCTTAGAAAGAAATTTAGAAGTTATCAAGTTCAGTGTTTCCAAAACAAGACTCTTTGTGTCATGGTCATCAAAAATACCTCAGAAGGACAATTTAACAACTCCAGATGCCCAAATCCACCGAAAATAGTAATATTCAGAACTGAAGCTACAACAGAGACAGGGAAAAGTAAATGTCCAACATAGGATTACATAAGAAATGAAGTTCATCTTACTTGAACATTCTGTGATGGATCTGGAACCAGCGAATGGGGTAGTTCCATAAAAGGGACAGGCCAGGCAGAAGGCCTTCCCTGCATTAGGTTGGTAATAGTCACGAGGACATGGGTGACAGGGCATTAACCCAGAACGCGAGAATTTTCCTTCTGGACAAGGAACTGCAGAGGTAAAAACAAATCATATGTGCATATAAAGTAACACACCCTACATTTGAAAGAAGTGATTTAATCTGTGCATATAAGAAACCTACTGAATTATCTATATAATCTCTTCCATATATTTAATACCCATACCATCTTATCACCCAGGTAAATGTTTTGTTGGGTCTCCTTCCTATCTTTAGTAACACATGTTAACTTAATAAAGTTTAGAATTGGCCATATAATTGTATTCTGATTTTTCCACCTAACATGGTATCATAAGTGTTTCCCAAATCATTCCCCCAGATTATTGAATAGTATAGATTTTAATAAAATAAAAATGTTGCATCTCATTGACAGACCATGATTGAGCTAACTTTTCTACTATTGGATATTTAGATTGTTTTCATTTGTTTGCTATTATAAATAATGCTGAAGTAAATTTTTTGCATAAATCTTTGTATTTAGCTCTGATTATTTCCTTGGGATAATAGTTGACTTTGGGTAGTTGAATTAGAATAATTGGATTTGAGTAGTTGAATAGTTAGGTCTAAAGATTTGAAAAGATTAAAGCCATTGATATATAGTGCCAAATCATTAAAAAAATAAGTAGTTCCAATTTATACTCCCATTAGTAGTGTATGAAATCACTCTTTTCACTACATGCTCTTCAGCATTGGTATTATTAAATTTTTTTTCCAATTTGAGGGTGAAAACGGAATTAGTTATTTTAATTTGCATCTTGATGATAAATGAAGTTGCTTTCTTCTGCTTATTAGAAATTTTATTTCTCCTGAATAGTCTTTTATGGAGGTTTTTTATGATTATTTTATATATTAAGAATATGAATCATTTGACACACTTAGACTAATTATTTTTGCCAGTTTGTGCTTTGCCTGTTAATTTTAACTGCTTTCATGACCAAGTAATTATGACTCCTCCTTATTTAATACTACAATAATATAAGGTAATATATTTACCTATGAGACGTTCAGCAAAATCAGTAGTTTTATCGTTAGTATTTTTATTGGCTATTTTCTAAGTAATATGAATTGTAATTTGATTTTTTGACACAATTATTTTTCAGAAAGATGGTTTAAAATGTATAAATATTTGGAATATGCTTTAATTAATTTCTGTTTTTAATCATCTTATGGTCAGATAATTTACGTTGCATAACTAATTGCTACCTTTTGAATTTTGAGTTTTTTTGTTCATTATATCTAAAGATAAAAATAAATACTTCATTAAAAGTGTTATCACAGTAGAGTAAAAAGTATAACGTGTATTATTAGTTCAGCCTTATCAATCATGTACTATAAGTTTTCTGTGTCCTTACTGATTGCCTACATGATCTTTATAAATTCAAAGGAGTGGTGGGGTATGGTGGCTCATGCCTGTAACCCCAGCACTTTGGGAAGCTGAGGTGGGCGAATCACTTGAGGTCAGGAGTTCCAGACTAGCCTGGCCAAAATGGCGAAACACCGTCTCTACTAAAAGTACAAAAATTAGCCAGTGTGGTGTCAGGTACCTGTAATCCCAGCTACTTAAGAGGCTAAGGCAGGAGAATTGCTTGAACCCAGGAGGCAGAGGTTGCAGTGAGATGAGATGGCACCCACTGCACTCCAGCCTGAGCAACGGAGTGAGACTCCGTCTCAAAAGAAAAAAAAAAAAGAAAATTCAAGGAAGGTATTAAAATCTTCCATGAAAATTTTATTTTTACAATTTACCATTGTGAGACATACAGATTTTGTTGTATTTTACTGCTGTTATTTGATGACAAAGCTTTATTATGACTAACTTATACTGCTTGTGAATTACGTAAAAATAACTCTTTTCTTCCTCATGTGATGCTACTGGGCTTTGAATTGAACTTTTTCATAAATTCCCTTTACCACCCCTACTTGCTTGTTTTTTGTATTCGTCGGTCTGGAAATCTTATTATTTTTAACCTTTCACTGTCATTTGTGTTAGGCTTTTTGTAAATAACATTCATTTGAGAATTGTCATTTAACCAAATCTGAAATTCTCTTGCCATTAACGAGTGGAATATTAACAAAACTAAAAATGGCCTCAAACATAAAACAAGCTCGGGTTTTCCTCCATGATGTTTTGTTGCATTTAGCAGAGGGCAGGGGGACAGAGTACTCATGACTTAACTCTTTGGTTGGGGTTTTAGACAGCAACCCAAGTATGAATTCAGGTTGGGTATGTCCTTTCCTTGGATAAACTGGCATCATCTGGATAGCTTTAAAGCCATTATAAACTGAGAAAACTATTAAAAATACTAAGACTTGTCTGCATAAATGTAAGTATGGAAGACAGAACACAAAAAGTAGCTACTCAGGATGTCAACATCCTTATCATTTAGGGTTTGGTGTCCTTACAATAAAAATAGTACAGCAGAGATAATTAGTAGTACGGTTGAAAAATTTAGAGATGGACTGAGGTTCAAAGGAGCAGGGTATGCCATGTCATAGCATCTTTTTTTAATTGATTTGAGAAAAAACAAAGCATTTGTGATAATCTCAAGACATGTAGATCAAAATTTTAAAACAAAAATAGCCAAATTTTTTGCTAAAGAGCTCTTTTACCCAATTAACAAAAGAGCTCAATGAAGAGATGGTAATTCAATCAAGAGATGGCAGAAAATATCATAGATTTTTATGCAAATTTAGAAAAAATATTTCTTGCAGGTTTGGTCTTTACATGCATAAAATTTACATTTTTAAACTGTATCTTTATTTCACTAAGAACAAGCTAATTTACTCTTTGATTGATAGATCTCAGAGTGCTAGGTAGAGCTCTGTTATTCGCACAAACTGTAAACTTGCTTAGCTTAAAATGGGTTTCCTCAATCTCAAGTTTCCGAGAGTGACTGCCTATTTGGAAAAGGTAACTTACACACAGCTAATTAGTTAACAGAAAGCATCAATCTTCTGCTGGTAAAAGTATAAAACTTTTGTTTGAGAGAATATCTCTGAGTATGTATGAAATGCTGAAAAGATAAATTCCATCAGTAAAACTCAAGATGCTATAATGAATTAAACTTTTTTTACATATAATTTTCAGCACAAAGATGCTCAAAAAGAAAAGATGTTTTTGCCCCTAGAAACTAACAGAAGGTAAAAAATTGTACTAAGATGTAATAGTAATAAAATACTAACATTAAAAATAAATCTATTAGCTTCTAAAAATACCCAACTCATCATTGTAATGTCTATACTTTTTAGCATAGAAAATATAAAATAAATTTGCATGTGCAATTTTATTAGTTTAAGTTATTGTCCAAGGGCAGACAGTTGTCTTCAGAAATATATTTTCCTGCAGTGGTCAATTAGCATTTAATAGAGTATTTATATATGTAGTAAACATATATACACACACACGCATATATATGTATATATAAACATACACATATACATAATAGTGGCACTATCTAGTATGTAATACAATACTAAACATGTACATGTACACACACACATAAATACGCAATTCCTAATGAACTAGTGTCATGAGAAAAGAGGGGTGAATGTTTCATTTTGATTCTTGGCCAAAGAAACTAGTCTCCCGGTCAAGAAAAATGCAACAAAACCCTCTTTTCACCTCCTCTATTGTAGACAGAGAGACAGAGAGAGAGAGAGAAATAATCTAAGTATGCCAAAATGATATTAAAATCAAATGACAAACAGTGCATGGAAATGACCAGGAAAAAAATGTCATATCACTTGTGCTGTTCTCTGACAGTGTTAAGGGCAACACATATAGACCTGGAGCCAAGTGGATTTTGCCTTTTCAATGGGTTTTCTGACTATGATTAATAATACTATATTGTATACTAGAAATTTGCTAAGAGAATTTCAGGTTCTCTTACCACACACACCCAAAGAAGGGCAACTATGTGAGATGATGTATATGTGCATAAGAATATCATAACATCATTTTGTACACCTTAATTATAGATCATTTTAAATAAATAAATCAGTTTCCTAAGATGAGGTCAGAGGTCAATGACTTCCTGAGCCTCCTTTTAACTTCATCCTGGAGAGTCAGGGTAAAAGGTGGTGTCATCCTAGTCTAAACATCATCTTTTCTTCTCCTATAGATCATATATTAACAACAACAACAACAACAACAACAAGTACCTGTCGAACTTATTCTTCTGATAAAAATCATTTTTAATGAATGAAAAATTTCAGACTCTTGAGTGTGTACCTACAAACCCAAGAATATGTAATAACCTAACAAGTTATAAAAAGTAAAATGTACAAAGAATATATTACTTTAACAAACTAATATACTTTGTGATACTTAAATATGATTGCTATCTTGAATAATAATATTTTAAGTGCCACATGATAGAGAAATGCAAAAGCAATGTCTTAGCACAAAATAAAACAGTACACTATAAAAATAAATCAATACTGATAGAAAATAAATCAGTAATAAAAATAGTAAATCAATACCAAAAGAGAAAATAAAGAAAAAGGAAGGAAAGAAAGAAAGGAAGAAAAAGGAAGGAAAGAAAGAAAGGAAGAAAAAGAAAGAAAGAAAGGCTGATGAAAGAAAGAAAGGCAGGCGAAAGAAAGGCAGGTGAAAGAAAAAGAAAGGCAAAAGAGAGAAAGAGAAAGAAAGACAAAAGCAAGCAAGCAAGAGAAAGTGAGAAAGGAGTTAAAAACTAACAAAAAATATATATAAGGGACCGTTTTAGAACTTGCACACATTTAAGTTTAAAATAAAATGTTTATCCAGCACCGCAGAAGAATGTTAACTTTTGTCATTCCTAATTCCCACTCATGACAAGCAGAGTGTGGTTAAACTTATGCTAGGAATATTAGGAGAGTAGGGCCAAAAATTTAGAGACTTTTTGGGAATTATAACTCCTTAATTATAATAATTTAGTATTAGACAAACCTCAAGGTTTATTTAGAAAGCTAAAAAAAAATTGTCAAATGTGAACTTGTTTCACTATAAAAATCCTAGTTGCTTTTGTGGTTGGAGGAAGTGGGCAGGAAGAGAGAATTTTTTACTGTGGACTTTCTGCCAAAATTATTTCTTATATTGACAAAAGAGTCTCTAGCAGATCTATTTCAATCAGAATGTGAAGGCTTGTGAGACTTTTAATTAAAAGATCCAAAGCTGGTATTATCCAACAGACATGGTTTATGCGTTTCAGTTAGGCCCTAAATTTTCTTCTCAACTCTTCAGTGAAACTATTAGGTTGATGAATATTACTTGCCCAATGCCTCAGGTCTCAGACTTATATCTACCTTGATCCTACTAGACTGAGATAATTTAAACAGATGGAGTATATATAAACCTATAATTCAGAGTGTGTTTTGCCTGTTTCCTTTTCTCCCAATGCACTTATGAGGACTACAACTTCCAAGATGCAATGCTGGAAACGCCCCTTCCTGCCCTTGCACATTAACTTTTCCTACCTCTTGTTTACTGGTGATCTCTCTCTAACTGGATGAAGTTAAGCATGGCTGGGTGCAGTGATAGTAGGAAGTGTGCCTATGTGTCTCTGTGTAGCCTGAGAGAAGTAGGGAACCAGTAGGTTGGCTTCTTAAAAACATCATTCAATGTGGGAACAGCTTCTTCATTTCTCAGTTGCCATAGACCTTAGGTTTTTAAATAAAACTATAGAGGTAGGATACACAATTAAAAAAGAAATCTTTCATCAAGGAATGTTTGTTCAGTTCCCAGTGAGTAGCAGAGGTAGGCCAACAACAACCTTTTTAGTCCAGTTCTATTGACTTTGCAAATTACAGTAGTTGCAATTTTTTGGAATTTCTGGAAGTAGGCTGACCTTGACTGTCAGTCCTAATTTCATTGTCATTCTAAGTTTTCATCTTTTGTTTCTGTTTACATGTTCATGAGTATTTTGCTGGAAAACATCCCTCAGTAGGGATGTTAGTCAGAAATACTTAAAAATTGGAACTCTAATCTTTTTTTTTCTATTTAAACCAGTGGTTCTCAATGTGTGGTCCCTGGACCAGTAGAATCAGCATTACTTGAAACCATTTGTTAACAGAAATATGAATTCTCAGACCCCTCCCCAGACCTACCGAATCAAAGACCCTGGAGGTAAGGCCTCACAATCTGTCTTAAAAAGCTCTCCATGCTGACATTTGAGAACCAAAATTAGTGGCTCTCAGATTTTCCTAATCACTTCAAATAATCACCTGGGGAAACTTAAAAAAAAAAAAAGAAAACCAATTCCCAGCCTCTACTCAGACAAGTTAAATCAGAATCTCTGGGAGAGAGGATCAGGTTTCAGTATTTTAAAAATACTCATGTAAATGTGAAGATGATTCTAATGTGCTGCCTGACTGAATAACTACTCACGAAAACCTTCAACTCGTAAGGAATGAAATTCATAATCCACAGAATAAAATATTTTTAGAGTTTCAAGAAACACTAGACAGAACTTCACTTTATAAAGGAGGGAATGAAGTTCCTAGTTTAGATATATTTCTACCATATCACGAAGCCACATGTTTATTACTGTATGAGGCCTGGGACCAAGTCTTGTACTTCTTTTGTGTTCCTAACCCAGCCCGGTGTTTACACGGCAGGTATTTATACCTAAGTGTTAACTGGCTGAGAAAAGAAACTAAACAAACAAAAAAACCTCTTTATGAAGAGACAGTTATTTCCATTCTGTGCATAGAGTAGATGTATGTTTTTGCAGAAAATATGCCACTCCTTCATGCATAGAACCTAGTAGGTTTAAAGAAATATCAATGTCTAAGGCTTTGATAACCTCCACATGCAGAAATGTTCACGGCTCCTCTTTTCACAGTTGAGGTGTTTTCTGGACACGAGAGGCAGCTCCGGGAACCAAATTTTGGCTGATAAGTGCCCAGTGGACACGATTCACAAGTCTCAAGTCCACTGTATGAGTAGGTGCCTTGTTTACACTGAGCTGAAAAGAAAAAGGTAATATTACTATCAATAATGATATTAAGCTGCATAAAATTAGTACTGTGCGGGATAGGGTTTTCTGCATTTTAGTTTAGGACAGAAGGACAGAATGAGGGACCCAGAGAGCTCTTTCTCCTGTTAGCTAAGCATACGCATATTGTGGCACCACCATGCTTCTCTATACTAAGTTTTAGACTGTTTCCATTTACTTCCATTATGACCTTTTACAGTGTTTGACGCATAGAACACGTTCAATAAATAGTTGTCGAATGAAGTTAGAAATACATAGCACAGAAGGACACTATGATAGGAACAAGTTGTACACTGGGAATTTGTTCATGTAGAAGTTCTCAATACGTACACTGTTATCCTGCGTGGCAGAAACAAAACCCCAAACCTAGCTAGAGCCTTATAAACTACTCTGAAATCTCTGCTTTAAAAAAGAACTGGCGGCCGGGCACGGTGGCTCACGCCTGTAATCCCAGCACTTTGGGAGGCCGAGGCGGGCGGATCACGAGGTCAGGAGATCGAGACCATCCCGGCTAAAACGGTGAAACCCCGTCTCTACTAAAAAAATACAAAAAAATTAGCCGGGCGTAGTGGCGGGCGCCTGTAGTCCCAGCTACTTGGGAGGCTGAGGCAGGAGAATGGCGTGAACCCGGGAGGCGGAGCTTGCAGTGAGCCGAGATCCCGCCACTGCACTCCAGCCTGGGCGACAGAGCGAGACTCCATCTCAAAAAAAAAAAAAAAAAAGAACTGGCTGCTCTAAATAAGAACCGGCTCTGCTACCTCCTCCTACCTAGACACGCCATTTCATCCAAGGACCAGTGGGGAGTAGAACATAAAAGCAGACATACCTTCATGCCCAGAGAGGTGAAGCAACTTGCTATAATTCATAAGGATGATTTGTAGAAGAACAGGACTTTGGCCAGATGCCCTGACTCCCAGAGTACTGGCCTTTCTTTCTGCTTTTGACCTCCAAACAACTCTCCTTTTCACCATTGCTAACATGTTTAGCGCATTTCCAATTACGTAGCACTGCTCTAGAGTTTATATCAGTCATTAAACACCCACACCTGCATGCAGAACTATGGCAAAGAAGCACACTTTTGAAATTCCTTATTTTAGGCATGTCTTGCTGGTAGCCTTAATTATGAGAGAAAACGTTTCCATCAGGAACTCTTACTGAGAATAATAGTGAAAATATTTTGAAAATATTGAATATTTTAGCAGCAAGAATATGTGCACATGTGCCTGTAGTTATTCATTTCCAAGTAAACTGAGAACTGATCTCATCACATCAGACACTATTCTAACAAAAAGCAATCCAATAACTGCAAAGTGTCATGAGACTTCTTTCCATTAATTGATGTGAGATTCAAGAACAGAATCCAGCTGATAGATATAGTTTGGATGTGTGTCTCTGCCCAAATCTCATGTTGAAATATAATCCCCAGTGTTGGAAGTGGGGCCTGGTGGGAGGTGATTGGATCACGGGGGTGGATTTCTCATGGATGGTTTAGTATCGTACCCCTGGGGCTGTTCTAGTGATAGAGTTCTCGTGATACCTCGTTGGATAAAAGTATGTGGCATCTCCCCTGTCTTTTTTACTTTTTTTTTTTTTTTTTGAGATAGGGTCTTGCTCTGTCCCTCAGGCTGGAGTGCAGTGGTGCGGTCATAGCTCACTGCAGCCTCCACCTCCCGGGCTCAAGCAATCCTCCCACCTCATTCTCCTGAGTAACTGGGACTACAGGTGTGCACCACCATGCCTGGCTAATTTTTGTATTTTTTGTAGAGACAGGATTTTGCCATGTTGCCCAGGCTGGCCTTGAACTCCTTGGCTCAAACAAACTGCCTGCCTCAGCCTCCCAAAGTGCTGGGATTACAGGTGTGAGCCACCATATATTCCCCCCTCCCACCCCAACCCCCTGCCTTGCTCCTACTTTCTCCACGTGACATGCCTGCTCCTTATTTGCCTTCTGCCATGATTGGAAGCTAAGGCCACCCCAGAAGCAGATGCTGCTATGCTTCCTGCATAGCCTGCAAAACCATGAGCCAATTAAAACTCTTTTCTTTATAAATTACTCAGTCTCAAGTAATCCTTTATAGCAATGCCAGAATGGCCTAACACACCAGGCTAACTGATGAATGTGGATTGGAGTTTGACTTAGAGACAGCAATGGAATATTTCCAAAAGGAAAGCTAAATGGACTTCTTTAAAGTGGGGGAAACAGGTAATATTTTATGTTTAAAAGAAAGAAAAAATAAATAAAATTGCTTTCTGTATACTATTGTTTCATTTTATTTGCCATTTAGATTTCAGGACTGTGATGGGGCTTAGAACACCCTACCCCTAAATATCATACCTTGCCTTGGCATACTGAATATTTCAAGCCGAAGGAAATTTGAGAAAACCATAGAAGCAGGAAAGTGTCTCTGAACTTCTGCCTTTCTTTCCTTTAGGAGATCATAAAACCTAGAAATAATTCTTGGACCTTCCCCTTTGAAGCAGACTGTAAAACCCTCATGTGAGAAATGCCCACCCTATACTCAGAGGAAAAGAATATTCTTAGCCCTGAAGATACAGGGATACATTGAAGAATCTGAACAAACAAGACTTGCTAAGCTCCACCTAGCTTATTCCCAATAGGTCATTCTACTCCACAACTATCCTCTTCTTTATCCAATTTAGCATAAAAATATACAGGTTTCCCTGATTCATTTCTGGAGGCTCCTATGTCACCTAAAACTTATATTGAATAAATGTGTATGCTTTTCTCTTGCAAATCTATCTTTTGCCACAGGGGCCTCAGACAAGAGCCGAGTGTTGGGTGAAGAAAATAAATCTTTCTTTCCCCCAAAAGGGAAACAAAAATTGGGCTGCTTCTAGTTGAAATGTCCAGTAAGCCTCTACCTTTACAATCAGAGATGTTTCTTGAATGGATATATTCCGTGTACATCCCAGAGGGGCAAAGCTTGCACTCAAGTTGCCCTTCTTCATCTTGATAGGATCCGATCCGGCAGCTTTCACAGGTGAAATGTTCCAGATTATAATAGGTTCCCAAAGGGCAATTGACTACAGAAAAAGCAAACAGGAAACACTGAATAAACTACAACGGTGGAACACACTGGGCTTTTTTTTCCTAAGACATGAAAGTAATAAAGCATGCTTGAAGGTGCTATTGTTTATGGGTTAAATTTTATGGCCAGAGGCTTATTCACAAGGTAAACCTTTCAGAAATATATTCCCAGAAACCAACAGTAAGACATTCGTTTATTTTTTAAAGATAAAGCAAATTCTTATTGACCAAGCTTAAGGCTTATATAATGGGGGTTTAAAAGTGTGGGTTAAAGCTGTGATAAGCCAGATCATCACGGGAAAGACAGTTAACAAAGAAAAAGCTGATGGAGAAAAAAGGAAAAAACAGTTAGTTAGGTTCCTTTGAGGATTTCAGATACTACAAACATTTTCTTAGTTGTTTCTCTGAATGCTTCCCCATTGAAACTGACTGCTTGTCAGTTAGCACCCTCCTTTTCTTGAGATTTGGTAGGTTTGGGGTGGCTCAGAAATTCTGAGACCAAAATACAACATTAAACTGAAAAGCCTGCTACCAAAGTTAATATCCTTAATGGGGAAGACACTTGAGATTAGTACCTAGGTGATTCTGAGATGTTAAAAAGTGTGTAATAATTACCCATGTACTTGTTAAACACGCAGATTTCAAGACCCCAACTCCAAATGCATTAGTCCTAGGATGGGGCCTGAGTCAAGATGCACTTTACAAGCATTTTATGTGATGCAAGATCACACTGAGAAATGAGAAACACCGCTCAACGTGATTCCTAATTTTTACTCACAAGGTGGGGAGGAAACAAATGCAGGCTTAGAACAACAATTTTAATGTGCTTTTGATTGGCTGAATTTGTCACACTATAAAAAACCCAACGGAGCTCTTGGACTAGCAATAAGAACTGTGGAAGAAGGGCACAAGAACCCACGTTTATGGAGAGATGAACGTAAGATTCATGCCATTCGGTTCAGCTGAGTGTACACAGTTCCATTACAGGAGATTTCCTTATCTATAAATGATGATTTCTTTGGGGAACAGGCTGGAATTGACCCAGATCATGGCAGTCTAGAATCGGGCTTAAAAGTTAAGGGGTTTGGAGTGGGGAGGGAGAATAGGGAGTGACTTTAATGGGCATAGAGTCTCCTTTGAGGGTGATGAAAATGTTTTGGGAAGAGAGGTGATGGTTGCACACCATTGTGAATGTACTTCATGCCATTGAATTATACACTTTAAAATGGTTAATTTTATGTTACGTGAACTTCACCTCAATTAAAAAAAAAGCTAAGACTCGTGTTGGCTGCCTGGATGGGAATTTTTGCCACACTACTTACTGTCTTATTTTATTTTTATTTTTGAGAGAGTATCTCACTCTGTTGCCCAGGCTGGAGTGCAGTGGCGCAATCATAGCTCACTGCAGCCTTGACTTCTGGGGCTCAAGTAATCCTCCCACCTCAGCCTCCCGAGTTGCTGGGACTACAGGCATGTGCCATCATGCTTGGCTAATTTTTGGGGTATTTTTTGTAGACAAAGGGTTTTGCCATGTTGCCCAGGCTGGTCTCGAACTCCTGGGCTCAAGTGATCCTCCCGCCTTGGCCTCCCAAAGTGCTGGGATTACAGGCATGAGCTACCGAGCCTGGCCTCCACTTACTGTCTTCATATATATATATATAGAAAAATAAATATATATATATATTTATTATACTTTAAGTTCTAGGGTACCTGTGCACAACGTGCAGGTTTCTTATGTATGTATACATGTGCCATGTTGGTGTGCTGCACCCATTAACTTGTCATTTACATTAGGTATATCTCCTAATGCTATCCCTCCCCACTTACTGTCTTAATGGGTAAGTCTTAGGGGCAAATTCGTAGCCTCTCTGGCTTCAGTTTTCTCATCCGTAAAATGTGTTTAATAATAATGGTACCTCACAGAGGTGCTAAACAGGATTAAACATGACTGGTGCTCAGCTGGAATACAGAAGTGGTCAAAAAGTATTCATTATTATTATTGGAGCTGTTACTGAAAGCTGTGAGGTCTAAAGATCTTTAAATAAAAATCAGATTTGAGTCCCTCCCTGAACTAGATTTCCTGTCCCTACCAACAGTAGTTCCTTAGACTCTTGAGACAAAATAGTAATAATAACAACCACACAACAAGAGCAAAATATGTTTCATTTCAATATCCCTTTATAGTTGTAAAATGGCTACACCCATCTCATTTGACCCAGTATGCACCAAATATTTTTGATCACAGGGAACAGTCTTACCACACATACGCCCTCTCAGCACTGAGCCTGGTCTGCAGAAGGGGGAAGCCTTTTTTGTTTCTAATGAATTGCTGTCGGCTATAAGTATTTCTGATGCAAGCTGAAAGGAATACATGGGGTCTTTGTTGAGAGTCCTTTTCAGTTTATTTGTGATAGTTTCCAATGTCTGAAGGAGTCGTTGCTGATTTTCCCATTCAAGGGTATCATTTCTTTCATCGGGTAATGGCACACTAGCTGAGATAAAAACAAAATAAAACACAACACAAACACATGGTGTTTCAGAAAGTCATTTGTAGTTAATTTTTTACCAAACAGAAATACTTAAAATCTTTTAGTACTAATAAGTGGTCTATAGAAAAAAAATAAAAATCTTTCAGGAAAAATTAATTCAAAATAAATTTAACCACTATTTAGTGAACAATTAAGTTAAGTACATGGATAAGACTAAGAACTATACAATTTGTTTCAGTCCTCTCAGATGCTAAATCTATATCACCTTTTTTGGGAGTTCTTTATTATAACATAATAAATTCCTGTAAATTCTTGCATTTTAAAAGCGCACCTTAATCATGCCAAGATGAGAACGAAGTAGGGTGCTTTTCGCCGTGAGACCTACAAAAGACATCTATGATACTGACAGCAAAAGATGACAAGGCTTAGTTAACTGTGCTTTCCCTAATTCTCAATTCCAGAGTCATTTCCTAATAATGATAACAAATGGAAGATTTGAGAAGCAGGTTTCCAACCAAGAATTTTCCATTATATTGCTTTTTCAAATAGACAGTTTATCCTTACCTGTGATGTTAAAAATTAACTTAATTTTATAGTCAGATAATGGGGCACTTCTTTTAATCCGTGAGGACTTGGCATTGCCGATGCTTGTGGCTGTTTCTTGCACAGTGTCCAGGAAGTCATCGTAAGAGTAATCCAGCCTATTAGCTGCACCCCAGCCACCTGGTCCTGGATAGTCGGGGCAGAGACACAAATGATCACACAGTTGCTTTTTCGTCAGCGTTCAGGTTCTAATGTTAAGCCACAAGTGAAATTACACTTGACCATTTCCTCAAATGCCCATAACATACTGCATACAGGGTTTGGTCTACAATGTTATATATATTGTAATTTTTGATCACTTCATATTTAATACAGATTACCAATGAATAATACTAAAAGAAGAAAGAAAAGTCTCTATGGAACTACTAGGGCATTTATACCACTCTATCTTTGAGTTAATAGTTAATTATTTTAGCTTTAGAGGTAAATTTTAGAGGTAAATAAGAGCTGGGTGCAAAATTCTAGTCAATTTCTATTTCTTTGCAAGGCTTTCTCCAATCCTTTTTTCTTTTTTTAAAATTGACCTTAAAACTATTAATATACATAAATAGATCTCCTCTCATGAAGATTACTCAAGATGCTTTCATCATATTTTAAAGGTAAGGGTAGTTTTCAAAGGCAGCACATAAGTTAAATGATTCTATCATACAACCACACTGGAGGCAACAAGGGTACATGGAATTCTCTAGATGCCCTTGATATCACTGTGATTAACTGCATGGGTTCAGATTGTGGCTTCTCGATGTAGGCTGCTGTATAATCTTAGTCAAGTTACTTTCATCTTTCTGAGCCTCAGTTTCTTGATTTATAAATTGAGATGATTCTTACCTGATA
Organism: Homo sapiens; assembly: GCF_000001405.40. Lineage (NCBI taxonomy): Eukaryota > Metazoa > Chordata > Mammalia > Primates > Hominidae > Homo > Homo sapiens. The sequence goes on from NC_000009.12 coordinate 110,473,032, forward strand.
GATTTGTCTGTGGATTAAATGAGACAAAATATATAAGCTGTCAAACTCAGTATTTGACTTATTATAAAACTATATGAATATTATTCTGGCCATTCTATTGTTATGTACTTTAGACAATAATTTATATTTATATAGGCCTCTCTACTTAAGTAAATTGTTTTGTGAACTTTTTGGCTTTATTTATGCTTTGGCTATTAAAATTAACTGGGATTAATATCATCTTTTTACTTAAACATTTTCTCCACAAGCATTAAGTAGCTGTTATAAAAAAAATGAGCAAAGAGAAATGTATTAAAAATTACTACAATGCTACCACATAGAAATAATCACCATGAACATTTTAGGCAAGCTTTTTTCCCACTGTGAATGTATAAATATACACACAGATATACATTTATGCATATGTGCATACATACATATACATACACACACACAAACCTGGAATAAAAACAAACAACACACTTTTAACAAAACAAGATTATGCTATGTATGTATTATTTAGTAATCTTTTTCAAATTTTATGGCATTTCTATGTGAAATGGCCACATAATACTCTCTTGTATGGTACAACACAAACAACCTACAGTTTCTATTTTTAGACTTTTAGGTTATTTCAAATGTTTAGAATATCCTTGCACATACGGTATTTAATCAAATCTAAGATACCATCGGTTAGAAGATACATCCCAATTTCAGGTCTAAAGGAAAAATATGCATCTCAAAATTTATGAAATGTAGTACATATTTGCACAATGGCATGATTTTTACCTTGAGAAATATTCTTAGAAATGAAATTTCTGGGTCTAAGTGCATGGGCATTTAAAATCCTTTAGATACATATTGTCAAATGCCCTCTTAATTTCTTTCTATACAATGTATGAATATGATTTTTTCCCCTACATTCTTGCCAACTGTGGGTATTATAATTCTTGTTTGTTAATCTGACAGGTCAAAAATTGCATTCCACTTTAGTTATTTTATTTTTTGAGATGGAGTTTTGCTCTTTTTGCCCAGGCTAGAGTACAATGGCATGATCTCGGCCCACTGCCACTTCCCCCTCCCGGGTTCAAGTGACTCTCCTGCCTCAGCCTCCCGAGTAGCTGGGATTACAAGCACGTGCCACCATGCTCTGCTAATTTTGTATTTTTAGTAGAGATGGGGTTTTACCATGTTGGCCAAGTTGGTCTCTAACTCCTGACCTCAGGTGATCTGCCCACCTCAGCCTCCCAACGTGCTGGGATTACAGGTGTGAGCCATCTTGCCTGGCCTAGTTTTAATTTTATATTACATGATTATTATGAAGTCAACTTGATTTTATTATATTTACTGGTTGCTTATTTTTCATACATTATGACCTTCCAAGGCATGGTTATAAATGTTACACCGATCTTGTGACTTTCTACTGGGAATACATTTGGGGAGCAATGCTTGTTTTTAGGATCACAGGATCACATGTGCCACCTGCCCATGCTTTTTTCTCAAGAATTGCCATTTGGACCCTTATTAGGTGACAAATATCGCTCATCTCATAGACTTGTGATGACAACTGACTCTCTCTAGGTGTAACCTTGTGCCCCCAAAACCTACCGCAACAATCTGGGAGGGGAAACCTGGATCGTGTTTAACAGAAGAGGGTTGATTATTCTAGATATGTTACTGACAATGCCACCTTACTTTTTCCTATCTAAAACCTTAATTTCCAAAATGTTCACTAAAGTGCTGTACATAATAGTAAACAACCGAAAATAACCCAAAATCTACCAATAGGAAACTATTTCTATAAATTATGGTAAACTGATCGATGGGATAATATTCAAACTGTACTGAAGTAGGATATTTAGTGAATAAAAATGTCCTCAATACAATGTTAACTAAGAATTTGTGTTCAAAATAGCATCAGTATATACACAATAAGCAGTTTTATATATATAATAATATGTATATATCATAGTATGGTATATATACAGTATATATAGTATGGTATATATATGTGTATCTACATACATATATACTTATAAATATATACATGTATTAACAGTCTTATTTCTGGGGTTGTGGATTATCTTGATTTCATTTTTTGTTTTTAAGCATTTTAAAAATTGTATAATAAACATATGCACAAATGATATTTAAAAAAATTTAAAAATCAAAAGCAACAGTCAACATCACTCTTAATGCTAAATCACCAAAAATATTACAGACATGACTAGTATTCGAAATGGAAAAGATGTCTGCCGTAATGCGAATTAATACTTACCATCTCATAACCTTCTAAACACATGACTTGAACTTATTCATTTGATGCTTAAAATGGTCACATGAGGTGAATACTCTTATATACCCATTTTATAGGTGAGGAAACTGAGGCACAGAGTGTGTTGATAGCTTGCTCAAGATCACACAGCTAGTAGGTAGTGAGGCTAGGATTTAGACTTAAGTAGTTGGTTGTAGAGTCCACGTGTTTAACCATTACACTACTTTGATAACAATATCATTATTATTATTATCTTTTTTTTTTTTTTGATACAAAGTCTCACTTTGTTGCCCAGGCTGGAGTGCAGTGGCATAATCATGGCTCACTGCAGCCTCGAACTCCTGGGCTCAAGGGATCCTCCCACCTCATCCCCCTAAGTAGCTGGGACTACAGGTGTGTGCCACCATGCCTGGCAAAAAATAATCTTAATAAAAATGTTCAGAGTATACATAGAGAAAACATCAAAATTCCACTTAAAGATATATTAGACTCGAATAAATGGAATCTTAACATATTTTTGGTGAGGAATCTGAATATTTTACATGTGTAACTGTTTTATGTTAATGACTTCATTGTAACTTACACTGAATGCCATATAAAAGTTGCTGTTAGGACTTTATTACTATTCTCTTTTAGGATACATCAACATTTGAATTTTACCAGCATATGTGACTTAGTTTTCTTAGTTTTTGTCATTTTTAAGAATCCTGGCAAATAATTTTAAATAATTTATTTGTTACTAAAATTTGATATAACCTTAATGATCTTTCAGCACATTATCAAATTATTTAGCCATCCTAAAATACTTGATGAATAAATTAATAGAAGTTAATGTTTCTAGTTTGCCTCACTTTTCTGGAATTATTCTTATTTTGCAGATTAGTCTTGCCAACTACCGATGCCACAGAATTTAATTACCAATTGCAAAGCCATTTTCATAGTCATAATTATATTCTAGGCAATATTTTTTGGTCAGGTTCTCCTCCAGTCTGCAGTCAATGTCCTCTGCATCACTACAAAATGATGGGACCTGCAAGTAAAAAATGAAGAGGATAAAGTGTAAATCACTTTTCTGCATGCCTTGGATAAACACTTTGCTCCCCTGGCCTTCACGTCTCCATCAGCAGGAGGGAAGGGAGGGCCCCAGAGCTCTGCACATTCCTCAAAGGGATTCTGACCCTCCTCCCCTACAGCCTCTAACTGTCTGTTGGTCACCAGGATTAGTTTCACACCTTTTATCTCTGTTTATGTCACTCACCATGAGAAGCCCAGCGCTCCTGGAATATCTCCTGTCTCTAAACTTTCGCTATATGGCTCTTTGGAACCCTTTCTCTGACCCCATCTCCCACTCCTCTTCCCCAATCCCCCAAGCCTTCCTCTATGCCCTCTGAAGCTCAGTCAGTAATCAGCAAATCTGTTATTTTCTACCTCCTCTCTTTATGTTCTCTTCACCTTTGCCCTAAAACCTTTCCAATTTTCTGGAACATCTCCCAGAAAATATTCTAGAAATACTAGAAATTCCAGAATTCTGGAATTGGGGGCAGGCCTGAAGGTGGAGGAAGGTCCTTCTCACTCTTCGTTGCTGTTTCCAGATCAAACTCCCTCATATCCCCTTAAAGGCTCACAGTTCTGAAGCTCATGCTGTCAACTCTACCACTCACTGACCCTTCTGGTGACAGTCACCTGCAGCATTTCCCCTCTGCGTCACTCCCTCATTCCAAGAACATTTGGTAACTGTCCCTGTTATAGTTCTTGGTGATTTCTATAGTCACCTAGCAAACTCTTCCATCTCCTTGGATTCTCAGTTCCTTTCCCTCTTCTCTCTTGTATTCCAGCCTTACTCTGTCACTCACTCCTGTAGTCATACCCTCAGACCTTGTCATTGTCAGAAACTGCACCTTCTCCTCTTCTCAGGAATCCAACAGTTCCTTGACTTCATCAGAATGTATAATCCATCGACCCTAGTGCCTCTCCTTTAGCCACTCATGTCTTCATGTCCTTGTTTACCCATCTAAGATTCCACGATCCATCACCATGGAATGTCTCCTCCCTTGCATGCCTCTTCCTCAATTTGTTTGCCTGGACAACACTTAACCTTGGTTAAATTAATCGTTCTGCTTCCCCACACCTGTACTACACAGTCAACTAAGGCTTGAGAAAAAATGTAACCCTGCTGGCTGCCAATCTTACTACATTTCTTTAGCATACTTATTCATCCTTTCTTAGAAAATTATTTTACACCACCTCTCTCTTCTGAAGCCTCCAACAACTCCTCCCCATTCTTACTCTCAGATGATCATTTTTTTTACGCCGATCAAAATTGAACTCAGAAAAGAGCCTCCGTTCACACACTTCCATCCCCATGAGTACCCAGTACCTGGACCTATGCCCTTGTATGCTCTGCCTCCTTGACTCTTCTCTTTATCCCACAATCTACTTCCAATGTATCAGCAAGTCCTACTGAATCTACTTTCAGAAGATATAAAAAAAATCCATTCACTTCTCACCACCTCCAGTGCCACCCAAGCCACCATCATCTCTTGCTTTCATTTCCTATGTGGTCTTCTTACTCTCTCCTACCCTCTCCTCCTAGAGCCCAAAGTCATCAGTAAGTTGTTCCCTCAAATGGCTTTCCATTTAATTAGAGTAAAAGGCAAAGATTTATAGTGACTTTCAAGGCTCTCCACAGTCTGATTTCTCTTCTTACCCCCATCTCCTCTTCCACATGTAATCTTTTTGACCATCTATCACTCAGCCTGTCATCTTCTCTACCTTTGCCACTCTGACATCTTTACGGTGGTTCAAACTCTGAAACACACTCCTGCCTCAGGGACTTTGCACTTGCTACTCCCTCTGCCTGGAACGCTCTTCCCCTAGATATGCTCGTGGCTCACTGCCTCATTCTTTCAGGTCTCCTCTCAAACAGGAACCTAGTGAGGCTTTCCCATCTTCTGCTTTATTTTATTCCATAGCATACGCCATCTGACATGCTACATATTTTCCTTGTAATTTGTTTATTGTTGGTCTATTCATTAACATGTAAATTCTATAAGCACAGGGAGTTTTGCCTGTTTATTCAGATCTAAATCCCTAGTGTCTAGAATAGGACATACTTACTAAATATTTATTAAATGAATACATAAGCATTTAACAGCACATCCTATTCCCTTATAGCACCTTTAACCTGCTACAATTTAGTGTCTGATAGACACTGAGTCTAACACACACAAAAATATTTAACATTTTAAAGATTTCTTCACCACTTTGGGGTGGAGTATAATTAGTATGAGTGTATTGTTGCCTTTCGAGTATAGGTCTATAGTAACAGAGGCCTAATGGGCGCAATATTTTCTTGGTTTGCTAGTAACAGTGACAACATTATTTCTCTTTTTGGAATTTGGTTTTATTGAATAGATTTAAATATAACGTTTTTACCAAGTGTTTTTGAATGGACATTCGTTAATATGTTAGGTGTACTTGTAACGTGCTTGGCATACAGTAAGCAGCACAATAAAATGTTAGCAAATAAATAAAGTGCTACCGAGTCTGCAGGGCATACAAATATGTATCTAGCATGGTTCCTGCCTTGAAGATGTTCAATACAGTTACATATATTGCTGTATTTTCTTTTCTTTCTTCTTCTTTTTTTTTTTAGACGGAGTCTTTCTCTGTTGCCCAGGCTGGAGTGCATGGCGCGATCTGGTTCACTGCAACCTCCACCTCCCAGGTTCAAGTGATTCTCCTGCCTCAGCCTCCTGAGTAGCTGGGATTACAGGCACACATCACCATGCCTGGCTAGTTTTTTTGTATTTTTACTAGAGACGGGGTTTCACCATGTTGGCCAGGCTGGTCTCGAACTCCTGATCTCATGATCCACTCTCCTTGGCCTCCCAAAGTGCTGGGATTACAGGCGTGAGCCACCGCGCCTGGTCTGTTTTTTTTATAATTGTTGTAAGAGTCCTTTCTAAACAAAAATGCATCTTTTAAATCTTTTAAATGTACAATTATCTTTTAAGTGTCCAATTATCTTCTTATCATAAACAAAATACCACCTACAATGTTTGGCATTTTTGTCAAACTTTAAATAATAAAGGCATTCTCCAACCATCCAGACCTTAAGCTTCTCTGACTTCCTAAGGATGTTTTTAAAGATTCAAAAATGTTTTAATGCATATTTACTTCTAAGTCATTTTAGAAGTTCAAAATCTATGAATAATTTTAAATATTAGGTACATGTCTGGATCACAAAGAAGAGGGAAATAGGATGAGAAATCGCAGTTGTAAATGACTCAGAAAGGTTATGAAAGCCTTATAAAAGAACACACAATAAATGACCACTATTGATGTACCATTTTTCCCAGGGTCGTCTCAAATGCTTCAGAAAACTTCTTCATCAGATCTGTGTCATCACAACGAGCTGCTTTGTAGAACATCTCAAAGGACTTGAACCCGTGGTTTGCAAAACGTTTTTCTAGAAAATGTTGGACAAAACAGCTTCAGTTGGTTAGTGTTTTTAAAACAAAGATTTGACTTTCTATGAAATAATTGAAACAATGTTTTAATTCTAACATAATTTGTGGGATTGTTATAAAAACAAGAGATGACAGTTAAGGAGAGTTTCTAGGCATTAAATGATCATAATAAACCATGCACCAAGCAGCACTGGACTCAGTTATCCAGTGAAGAGTTTGCTTTTGATATATGATTCTTTATCTTCCATTCATACAAAAAGTGAGTATTTAAGGGAAGAAGATACATAAAAATTGTTTTCATTATATTCCTGGGAATTTTTGAAAAATCCTGGCTGGCTCAAAGTTGTTATATCTTATATAGCACATATAATAATTTTAAAAAATAGGCATTGAAACATTTCTAAATATTATTTTTGTGCAATCATATTCCTTGAAAGTGTAATTGTCATAAAGACAAATTTCTCCCTGGATCAAAAGCTTGCATGGTAGACTTTGCAAAATGCCCCTGAAGAATTCAGGGACAGTCTCCTACTAGCATCCCACCGTCTCAATCTGTGAAAGAGGTGAATGGTATTGTTTCTATTTACTACTGCAGTTTGGGGGGAAAATAGCTCTGTTAAGTGGGTTTCACATTTTTTTCCAAGACACTGGTATTTAAATTCCATTTATGGTAGTGGATCAAAGATTCACTTCAGAGAATATTTATTTACACTAAATGAATACATTAGGTTATTTTTATAACAATGTATATTTAAGATTATAGAATAGTTTAAAATCTAAATCAAATATGAAGAGACTATGATTGATGTATTTTATTCCATCATGTATGTTAGATTTTATTTTAAAGTAGCTCTTCTGCACACTATGAGAGTTTTTTCTCTATTTTTTTTGTGCAACAGGGTCTCATTCTGTCACCCAAGCTGAAGTACAGTGATGTGATCAAAGTTCCCTGCAGTCTGAAACTCCAGGGCTCAAGCGACTTTCCCAACTTAGCCTCCTAAATAACTGGGACCACAGGAGCACACCACCAGGCCCAACTAATTTTTTTTTTTTAATATTTTTGTAGAGATGGTAGGCTGGTCTCGAACTCTTGGGCTCAAGTGATCCACCCGCCTCAGCCTTCCAAAATGCTGGGATTACGGGTATACGTCACCATGCCTGGCCACTATGAGACTTGAAATTCATATTTACAGGTTCAGAATTACATATTGTCAAGTCTCCAGATATTTCTGATAAATAATGAGAGGGCTCAGATGGTTCTGCCTTAAACTGAATCTTGTCCTACAGCAATACAATCTATAATAAGACTTTAGTGACTAATATTTTAAATCCAGGAAAGAGTAATTCTCTTATTCACAAACATTTCAAATTCATGGCACCATTTTCCATTAATTCCTATCGTAAGGCAATTTTCCTCTTTAACACTTAGAAATGTACACACATTCACACACATTAAAGAAGTCTAGAATAAAATTAAAACTTACTGGCACAGTCTGGCCATTCAGTGGTATATGTTGGTTTCCAGACGCCATCTTCATAAGCACAATAATACTTGTCAGTAGACCCTTCTGTGAAATCATAGCCCTCCAAGCAAGTTAATGTACAGTTGACTCCAGTATTATCTGGAGTGCATATAAAATCCCCATTTACAGGTGTGAATGGAATTTCACAGGGAGAACCTGTGTAAAAAAAATTGTACTATTCATATATAGTGGTACAAGAAGCATAAATTAAATTCCAGGAGCTTAAGCAGAATTTTGAAAAGGACTCCTCCTGTCTATCGCTATTTCTAGAAAAGCTTTTACCATATGTCTTTAGTGCAGGAGAAGGACAACACATGCTTTTTGGTTCCTAGATTGACATACATTGAAAAGCTGTACCTACGTGTAATTAGAGGTTGTGCATATTTTTATAAAAAAGTTAAAGTACTTCTGACTTGGAGTTATTATTATTATTATTATTACTACTACTTTGAGACAGAGTCTTGCTCTGTCACCCAGGCTCGAATGCAGTGGTGCTATCTCGACTCACTGCAGCCTCTGCCTCCTGGATTCAAGCAATTCTTGTGCCTTGACCTCCTGAGTAGCTGGGACCACAGTCACATGCCACCATGCCTGGCTAATTTTTTTATTTTTAGTAGAGACAGGGTTTCACTACATTGGCCAGGCTGGTCTCAAACTCCTGATCTCAAGTGATCCACCCGCCTCGGCCTCCCAAAACACTGGGATTACAGGCGTGAGTCACCATGCCCTGCCCTTATTTTTGACATTCCTTTAATAAAAACAAAAACTGGATAACATTGTGCAGCAAATATGTTTTCAGAATCTGTCTTCTCAAACATTTAAAATAGGATAATGTCAATAATACATTGTAACCTTAGAGAAAATGTTAACAAAATGTTAACTAAAGACTGTTCTGGGAGAAAACATTTATATCTATCACAAGGTCAAGGAATGACAATGGAAAACCTAAATAAAACCTGTCAGTCTTCTAACTGTAAAAATCTAATGCTCATAGCCTATTTTCTTTCATAAAACAGAGCACTATAGCAATGACATGTGTCAAATGTCAACTAGAATTCTGGGGACTTATGAAGACAATACCTTTTATGACAATATGGATATCACATGTCCTGTTATTGCCTGAGGGGTCAGTGGCTGTATACTGTACTATAGTCTCCCCTTGAGGGAAAAGGTCTCCTTGTGTATGACTTCTGGTAATGACCAATTCAGCCCCTGGAAAGGAAAGAAGGCAGCCAATTTTTGGGTTGTATTCACAATATTTTTTTTGAAACAGTCTTACTCTGTTGCCCAGGCTGGAGTGCAATGGCATGATCTCGGCTCACTGCAACCTCCACCTCCCAGGCTCAAGCGATTCTCCTGCCTCAGTCTCCCAAGTAGCTGGGATTACAGGCATTTGCCACCACGCCCAGCTAATTTTTGTATTTTTAGTTAGAGACAGGGTTTCACCATGTTGGCCAGGCTGGTCTTGAACTCCTGACCTCAGGTTATCTGCCCACCTTGGCCTCTCAAAGTGCTGAGATTACAGGTGTGAGTCACCGCGCCCAGCCTATAGTCACTTTATTAGTCTCTTATTTAATTTGAAGTTTCATGTCCTACTTATGCAAATCAGTTGGGCATTCCATGTTGCTTAGCCCACTAGTAGAAAATAAAAGATTTAATTTTATGCAGTAACATAGAAATAGTAGATTCAACAACCCCATTAAATTAAGGCTTTTTTTGACAAACAACTGATTTTCTCAAAGTCCTTTGAGATGTCCTACAAAGCAACTAGGCAATAGGTAAGTCTGCTACGACATTGGGACTTAAATTAAGAAATTACTTAATTTGCATTTTTTGTTGTTTTCTGAGTTCTACTGAAACCCTTAAAATAAACTTCAATTGTATTTGCTTAGTTTTTTTCTACTTTCTTATGACCTTTTATAATTTTATTTGTCAAGTATTTAAGAACTGAGTCTGAATATATAGATGTGCAGTAGAGATGCCGATAAAATGCATGGTTTATACCTCTAGAGCAACATAAGCTTGGAGACTAAAGAAATTCATTAGCACCCTGCTAGGTACAACACCTAGTGCAGGTTCAACAAATGCCCATGAAATACTGAATTAGGAAAACTCTCATTGATAGGTAAGATTGATAATGTTAAATTATAATTATTCTAGCATTAAAACATGTTAACTTATATAATTATTCATTCTCCCTAGACAGTTGTTATTTGCTTTTTCTCTTTTATCCCATTAAAAAGCTTTTTAAAATAAAAAAGAATTCATTGCTACTATGCTGACAACAAAGTCCTTGTCACCTCACCTGAGTTGTCTGAGAACTGAGGCTCATCCCAGCTTGCGGCATGTACCTTCTCCGAGACCTGGACGGGAGGTGGAGATCTGCACCAGTCTATGACAGGTGGTTCTGCATCTGAAGAACATGAAATCAGACAAAGAAGTCACAGCTGATATTCACAAACGATGAGGAGGTTTTCAAAAGAGAACTGAAGTCGGCTTGTGCTGGCAGACAGCCTTGAGCTTGCAAGAAACAAGGCTGACTCTGTGGCTCCTGTGATATCTTTTCCCTGATCCCCAACACCAAAGGAAAGAGCTGCTTTTGCTATACTTCCCCCATCTGTTGAAGAAAAAAATGCCACCTTTCTAAAATCACCTTGGTCACAAGTGTGTGAAAGGCAATTCCTGATGTGGTGGGCATTTGAATTGTGGGTTCTGTCCACGGTCGTTGAGCTGACCCAACTGGAAGGGAAGAGAACCATTCCAGACAAGCTGAAGGAATGAAATGACCACATCTGTCATTCCCATGATGTTCCTCTTATCTGAAGAGTCAAGACAAGGGCTAATAGATGGCTAAATAGAAGGACCATGGGCCAGAGATCTGAGTTATGTTGCAGAATAAGCAAGATGTTAGTGTGAGTGGCCTATTGCTGGGAGGCTAGGAGGTTATGTCCAGAGGTGGAACGCTGGAGCTAAAGATTTCTAAGGTTGACAAATTCTAGATGAAGACAAAGAAAAGAGTGGGAACCCGCAAGTGAGGAAAGGAGAGAGAGTATGAAAGCCACAGCAGAAGTTAAAGCACTGGGAGTCTGTGTTGCTGAGCACTGGAATTCTGGCTGAAGGGTGGATGTGAGGTGGGGTGAGTGAGCCAGGTTTCAAAGCCATGATTGAATGTGGTGGAGTTTTTAGGATGTCAGTAAAGAACAATAAAGTGGGTGTATAATCTAGGCAATACCATTCAGGACATAGGCAGAGGCAAAGATTTTATGACGAAAACATCAAAAGCAATTGCAACAAAAGCAAAAATTGACAAATGGGATCTAATTAAACTAAACAGCTTCTGCACAACAAAAGAAACTATTATCAGAGTGAACAGACAACCTACAGAATGAGAGAACACTTTTGCAATCTATCCATCTGACAAAGGTCTAATATCCAGAATCTACAAAGAACTTAGATTTACAAGAAAAAAAAAACCATTAAAAAGTGGGCAAAGGACATGAACAGACACTTTTCAAAAGAAGATATTTATGCGGCCAACAAACATATGAAAAAAAGCTCATTATCACTGATCATTAGAGAAATGCAAATCAAAACCACAATGAGATACCATCTCACGTCAGTCAGAATTGTGATTATTAAAAAGTCAAGAAACAACAGATGCTAACAAGGCTGTGAAGAAATAGGAATGCTTTTACACTGTTGGTGGGAATGTAAATTAGTTCAACCGTTGTGGATGACAATGTGGTGATTCCTCAAAGACCTAGAACCAGAAATACCATTTGACCCAGCAATCCCATTACTGGGTATATACCCAAAGGAACATAAATCATTCTGTTACAAAGATACATGCACGTGTATGTTCATTGCAGCATTATTCACAATAGCAAAGACATGGAATCAACCCAAATGCCCACCAATGATAAACTGGATAAAGAAATTGTGGTACATAGACACCATGGAATACTATGCAGTCATAAAAAGGAACAAGATCAGATCCTTTGCAGGGACACGGATGGAGCTGGAAGCCATTATCCTCAGCAAACTAATGCAGGAAGAAAACCAAACACCGTATGTTCTCACTTATAAGTGGGAGTTGAACAATGAGAACACATGGAAACAGGGAGGGGAACAACACACACTGTGGCCTTTCAGGGGTTGGGGGAGAAGGGGAGCATCAGGATAAACAGCTAATTCATGCAGGGCTCAATACCTAGGTGATGGGTTGATAGGTGCAGCAAACCAACATGGTACACATTTACCTATGTAACAAACTTGCACATCCTGCACTTGTATCCTGGAACTTAAAATTAAATTAAATTAAAAAGAGGGTGTATAGAAAGTAACTTTAATTTAATTATACATTTTATACATCTGAAGTGTTCTTATTACATGCCTTTGAGGTTTGAGGGAGATAGCAAAAACATTATTTTTCTGATTTTGTAGGTGAGGAATGTTAGTTAGACAAGGCAAACTTAAGAAACTTGCTTGAGGTCAGTAAGCTATTAAATTGTAGCCACAAGCATTAAGACCAAGTATTCCTATCCAAGATATATGCAAATACATACTCTGAAATTAACTGAACTGCACCTGTGAGAATATATGGATTCCCATTTTAAGCCAAGTCTCATGAACATATGTTCAATTTTTGTCTTTTCCTCATGTTTGTTATTAGTGCAGACCTTAGGTTTATTATTTCACTGTAGACCAGTGATGCAGTTTATTATTTCACTGTAGACCAGTAAACTCTGTAGACCAGTGATGCAGTCTCTTTTGCTCATGTTTGGATCTCCACTAGATAGCACAGCATCTGGCCTATAACAGGTGCTCAAACAAGTTGCTGGATAAAGGATAAAGCAATGCTCATAGCAGGTCAGTGTACTTTGAGAATGCTGAATCAAGTCAATTCATAGCTAAATTTACAAATCCAGCAGTATTTACTATTTTGCCAAAAGAAATGACAATTGAATATTCAAAGATTTTCTGGGCATATCTGATTTTATTCAGACATTTTAAAGTTAAATCACAGGTGCAAGAGGGCAGTAAGGCTCAGTCAATTACTGTCAAAAGAATTGGAGGCGACAGCAGATGTACTGTCTCCAAAGGAGAGGCACAGCCCACTTCAAAGCAAGTGAGGCAATACTCTGTGGCAGCCAAGGAGAAGCATTCCTGGCTTGACTCTCATTTATCATAAGGGTGACACCAACACCCTGAAGAAAATAAGAAAAATGTAAGCTTTGGTGTATTTTCTTTCTCTCTCTCTCTCTGTCCCTTTCTGTCTGTCTCTCTCACTCCCTACATCCCTCTCTGCTTCTCCTTCCTTCTTTCTCTGCTTCATCTTCCTTCTCCTTCCTTCTCTTTCTCTCTCTCTCTCTCTCTTTTTTTTTTTAGATGGAGTCTCTCTCTGTCACCCAGGCTGGAGTGCAGTGGCATGATCTTGGCTTACTGCAACCTCCGTCTCCCGGATTAAAGCAATTCTGCTTCATTCTCCTGAATAGCTGAGAATACAGGTGTGCGCCACCACACACAGCTAATTTTTGTATTTTTAGTAGAGACAGGGTTTCAACATGTTGGCCAGGCTGGTCTCGAGCTCCTGACCTCAGGTGATTCATCTGCCTCGGCCTCCCAATGTGCTGGGATTACAGGTGTGAGCCACCACACCTGGACCTTCTCTCTCTCTCTCTGTCTCTCTCTTTGAGACGGAGTTTTGCTCTTGTTGCCCAGGCTGGAGTGCAATGGTGCGATCTCAGCTCACCGCAACCTCTGCCTCCCAGGTTTAAGCAATTCTCCTGCCTCAGTCTCCCGAGTAGCTGGGATTACAGGCATGTGCCACCACACCTGGCTAATTTTGTATTTTTAGTAGAGATGGGGTTTCTTCACATTGGTCAGGCTGGTCTGGAACTCTCCACCTCAGGTGATCTGCCTGCCTTGGCCTCCCAAAGTGCTGGTATTACAGGATGAGCCATCACACCTGGCCCTCTCTCTTTTATAATTTGGGAATTCAGTTAAAGTCTAGTAGTCACTCAAGTACACATTTCACATTTCACTATGCTGACTCTTCATTATGAAAAATTAAAACTTGGCAAACTCCTGAACCACATTTCCAAGTCTAAAATCACTGTGTCAGATTTTTGAGAATCCAACATATTTTTCATGCAAATGGTAAAGCTCATGTTTAAAACAACACTGAAAAAGGAATTTTTAAAAACTAAGCATTGTGAAATAGTCTGATTTTTACTGGATTTCTTTCATCTACTTTTACCAAAACCTGTAATGTATAGGGTAAGGAACCAGTTTAATATATGTTAGTTATTTCAATAAGTTATGTAACATTTTTAAAACAAAATGAATTTAACATAGTGAATTTTAAAATAAACATATGAAAAATAGACCTGAGATAAATGTTGCAAAATGTCAGTATGTTGTCATCTAGCTTTCACACAGAGCTTAAAGTATGGTAGGCACTAGATCAAGTGGTTTATATATTATCACAAATTAAAAATCTCACAATGAGGTAATACATTCATTACTTTTACTTTTGGATAAAGAAATTGAGGTATAGAGCAGGAACTGGTCCCCTTGACTTTAAGCGGTGGAGATGAACATGAACCCAACCAGCTTGGGTTCAGAGTCCATGCTCTTGTCCACTACAGATTGCTATGTAGCCTACCTCTCCATGTATTTTATTTTGGTAATGAGCAGAAGACCAATTGAGAGATGATACGGTAAACCAGGCTCAAAAGATTTCAAAGGACTGATCCGCAGCGGTGGTTCTGAGGATGGAGAGAATGGGACAAACTTCAGCGATATCAAGTAGGTGAAACCAACAGCACCTGATACCTTCTTGGATATTGGTGAGAGGGCAGGGAGTCAAGCATGATTCCAAGGTTTTCGCTTGGTAGCTAGGTGGTTGGCTGTGTCCTTTTCTGAGCTAGGAAATAATTTAGGTTTAGGTGAGTTTGAAATGCCTGTGAGACATTAATATGGGGAAAGTCCAGGAGGCTTTCAGAGTCCAGTTTGGATTCCAGAAAAGAGATTCGAACTGGAAATAGGAATATGGGAGTTGTTGGTTAACAAAATCACTCAGGAAAACTACAGAGAGAGATAGAGAAGACCAGGGCTGAAACCCTAGAGAAGATCAGCATTTGAGAATTAGCCTGAGGAAGAGAAGCCTACAAAAGAGATAAAGAAGGTTAGGTAAAAATAATGGAGGGAAAAAAAAGACGGGAAAGACTAACATCAAGGAAGCTAAGGGAAGGAAAAAGTTTTGGTAACAAGTGTGTGGTTAATAATGTAAAACGTAGCTGGGTGTGGTGGCTCACACCTATAATCCCAGCATTTTGGGAGGCCAACGTGAGAGGATCACTTGAGGCCAGGAGTTTGAGATCAGTCTGGGAACACAGTGAGACCTTGTCTCTACAAAAAAATTAAAAAAAAACAAAACAAATTAGCTGGGTGTGGTGGCACATGCCTGTAGTCCCAGCTATTTGGAAGGCTAAGGCAGGAGGATTGCTTGAGCCTAGGAATTTGAGGCTGCAGTGAGCTATGATTGTGGCACAGCACTCACTCCAGTCTGGAGGACGGAGTGAGACCCTGTCTCTGAAAAAAATTAAATAAATGTAAAATATGAGGAAAGATTATGTAAAATTAGGACCAAAAAGTATGCAGAGTAACACCAGAGATCATTGGTGACTTTGATGACAGTAGTTTATACGAGTGAAGGGGATAGAAGCCAGATTTGGGTGACTCCGAATAAATGGCAATTAAGCAGAAAGACATGGCAAGCATTGGGAACTTTCATGTGGGCTCATATGGGAAGAAATCAAAGAGAAGTGGTAATAGTTAAAGGGTTTGTAGGTTTCAAACAGGGAGTGCTTTGAGCAAGTTTCAATGCCAGTTGGAAGAATCAGTGACAAGGGAGTTGTTGATCATAAAGGAGAAGTGGTCTCTGGGGTTCTGGATTGCTTTCATAAACCTGCCCAAATGATTCAATGAAGACTTACTGTATTAGTCTGTTCTCATGCTGCTAATAAAGACATACCCGAGACTGAGTAATTTATAAAGGAAAGAGTTTTAATGGACTCACAGTTCCATATGGCTGGGGAGGCCTCACAATCACGGCAGAAAGCAAAGAAGGAGCAAAGCCACGTCTTACATGGTGGCAGGCAAGAGAGCACGTGCAGGGGAACTCCCCCTTATAAAACCATCAGATCTTCTGAGACTTATTCACTATCATGAGGACAGCATGGGAAAGACCCACCTCTATGATTCAATTACCTCCCACTGGGTCCTTCCCACGACACATGGGAATTATGGGAGCCACAGTTCAAGATGACGTTTGGATGGGGAAACAACCAAACTATATCACTTACCAATAACCTTGATATGGAAAATGCAGCTGGCCTGGTTGCCGGATAGGTCAGTTGCCGTGTATACGATAGCAACATCTCCAATTGGGAAAAGGTAAGGTGGGGTGAAAGCTGGATGAACGTGGACTGACACCTATTGGAGATACACAAATATTTTGAAAGTTAATGTCAAAAGTGCGTTTATTCTTTTCTGATTTATATATTATTAGTAATGTTAACAATGATACAATATTTCACAAAGAGGAAAGGAAAAAGGCACAGCTTTCTGGCATATTTCTTTCCAGATTATTCTATTTACATGATTTATAGAATTGGCACACATATGAAATATTTCTCCTTGTTTTTTAAACATAATACCTTCAAACATCTTTTATGCTCTTATGTAGTCCTTAAAACTTAAGATGACTCTTAAATGTTTCCATAATGTTCTGTAGAATAAATATAAGATAATTTAAGAAAAATCTGTTGAAGGACATTAGTTTGACCCAAACATTTCCATTGTAAACAGTTTTGAACAGATAATTTAAACATATTTTTTCTTCTTCTTTTCTTTACTGATGCATAATAGATGTACATAGTTTCAAGGTACATGTAATAATTTCACACATTCATATAGTTTATAAAGATCAAATCAGTGCACTTCAGATATCCATCACCTTAAATATTTATCTTTTCTTTATGCTGGAACCTTTAAAATTCTTCTCTTCCAGCTATTTTGGAATATATGATCGATTATCGTAAACTATGGTCACCCTACTGATCTATGTAAGACAAGGTCTTATGACTTCTATCAAAACATGTATTCCTACCCACTAATTCTCTTCTCTTATCTCTCCCTCCCCCACCTTTCTTGGCTTCGGATAACAACCAGTCTACTCTCTATCTTAATGAGATCTACTTTTTTTTAGCTCTCACCTGAGATATTTGTCTTTCTGTGCTTGGCTTATTTTGCTTATTTATTATTTCCTTGTAATAGAGTTCCATGAACAGAATTATTAAACCCAATCATTAACATTTTATTAGTAGATAATATAAAACTTATTTCCAAATGCATGGTAACAATTCATATTCCCACTGTCAACCACATTTTCTGATCTATATTAAATATCATCAATTTTTGGTAAGTCAAAAATCTGGCACCAGGTCATTGTTTTAATGAACTGTTTTTTAATGCCATATGCTAAGATTAAATTCTCAAGTTTGCATGTATTATATTTTTTACTTCTTGAATTGTATGTTTATTTTCTTCATCCATTGAAAATTGATAAATTTCCTTTTCACTGTAGTTTTAAAAATATTTCAAATAAGATTAGAAAGCTACTCATGAAATGATTTGATAAGCATCCAAAAATATTTGATGGTAGTTTTTTTTATGATTTAAACTATAATTTGGAAATATATTTTCTGTGTGGTATGATTTGAGAGTATAACTTTACATCTTAAAAATCACTCACTGATTCCCCTTTATGATATTTTAAAATCCATCTATTATGAAATAGTACTGCATCATTCTGTTTATTTTTATTTTATTAAATATTTTGATTTCTGATAGAACCAGTTGTTTCTTATTATTCTTTTCAATACTTTAATCTAGGTATTCTTCTACTTTCCGTTACAGAATCACTTTTCATGCTCAAAAATATATTAACAGTACTTTTGAAATACATTTATTCTATAAATATTTTGCTTTTTAAATTTTTTCTTTCAGAAAAACTAGAATGAAACATTTTGTTTTTTAATCTACAAATATGGCATCTATTTCTGTTTGATTTCATTATTTCACCTGCCAATGTTTTATATTTTCCTTTAAGGTGCCATTTACCCTTCTTTTTAAATAGAAACCTAAATATTTTACATTTTATCTTGCATTGTAAGTAGAATCCCTTTTTAACCTATTTTAGTAACCTATTACTATATATAGCATTACATATTTTATAGAATGGGGTGTGTGTGTGTGTGTGTGTGTGTGTGCAAATTTATCTGTATCTTGGTAGTCAAATAGTTATTTTGCTCCAGGAAATTACATCAGGGATACAAAGAGTAAGTTTAAAAGTCTCATTCAGGACACAGAGGAAAACTTAAGAGTATAAATCATGGAATAGATAATAGACATACAGAATAGAAATTAGAGATATAACTTACGAATCATCAGTGTTCCTAAAAAAACAGAATGAATGGAATAAGAAAAATGTTCTAAGATATAGAAGAAAACTTTGATTTGAAGAAAGCTATGACTGTACATAAAAAGGACTCTTGATGTACCAAAGTTGATAAAGAACAATCATCACTTAAACAAATCCCAGATAACTTAATGTACAACAAAAAATTCCCACAGCACTCAGGAAGAAAAAAAGCAGATTATCTAAAAAAAGATAATAATCAGCATATATTATCTTTCTCTTAGTCATTAAATGCTAGTCTGGAAATAAAAGATGTTCTTGTACATGCAAAGGCTTAATAAATATACCACCTGTATATACTTTTTCTGAAAGAATGGATTTTGAACCTACCAAATGAGATGAATCACAACAAATCCCTCATAAGAGAGAAAAGTCATGGTGTGAAGAACTGTCAGCAAACACCAAAACTATGTAAACACATACTCAGTGTGAAAAATTGTGGTCGTTAGGATTCAGGTGTTATCAAAGATTTTTGAAGGGATGTAAAAAAAACTATATTAATTAATCTATAATAAATTAGAATAAGAATCCCAGATTATATCAATAAACTATAAGCGGCTGAAAAGTTAAACTGATAATTTACTCCTTTTACTTGGGCGAAATGCAATAGATACTCTTATTTTTTTTGCCACAGATAATTGGGTAATGAAAGGCTTATGCATGTTTTTAAAACTTTATTAAAAAGACTATATTCCTTCCATATATAATTGCAGCTACAGTCCTAAAGCTCCTAAGAATGGAAAAATCGCCAGGAGGCTGACACAGCAGTGGCTGGATATATATATTTCATATATATATATATGAAATAGGAGAATTGACTTGGGTAGAGTGTTGGGATATTTCCCCTGTCTTCTCCATGGGGCAAGGAATGGGGAGGAATACTGCCTTAAACCAAGTGGCAGGGCTTCAGACAACCACTCATAGAACATTGGCAGGGGGAAGGGGGTGCCTACAGAAAAGGAGACCAGCATCCCATTCCCAGGCTGGATGCTTGCTGGGCAGAAGAAATCCATAGATTCACCCCAATGTGAGGAGTGCTGGGTGAGGCCGACACCCATGCCTTGGAGTTTAGGGGCACATATGAATGTAGACAGGTGGCTGCATCTCTCCTGGTGAATTTTGAAGGCAGGAGGCTTATTTGAGCAATATGGACAGACTGGGAGGAAGGCTGTTCTGAAAATGTGTCAGCCTGCACTCCCAGTTGTTGGCATGGTGAAGTGACATAGGCTGAAAGGGGAGATGGTAGTACTTGAGTTGTTCTGCCCTACACTCTGCTCTAGGGGTTTTGAGAGGTTGTGGGATGTATGACAGTGCTTGGAGCTAAGGGGAAGGGCAGCAGAGGTCCTGCCAGAATGCACCTTCATGGCAGGGAACTGTAAGGGGTTGGGGAGGGGGTGGTGCTTCTACAGGGCCTCCTGCAGAATGTGCACATGGACTACACAAGAGAGATAATTTTTTTTTTGCTTCTCAGAGTGCATCAGCAATACAAAGAGGGCCACACAGCCTTAAACAAATGAAAGACTTTTGAACCTTTCCTCAAAAATACTCCTTTCCCAGCTGTGTTCATTTCCTATTGTTTCCATAGCAAATTCCTAAAAATGTGGCAGCTTAAAACAACAAAAATGGGCCAGGCACGGTTGGCTCATGCCTGTAATCCCAGCACTTTGGGAGGCTAAGGCAGGAGATCACTGGGTCAGGAGTTCGAGACCAGGCTGGCCAACATGGTGAAAACCCGTCTCTACTAAAAATACAAAAAATAGCTTGACATGGTGGCACTTGCCTGTAATCCCAGCTACTTGGGAGGCTGAGGTAGAAGAATCGCTTGAACCTGGGAGGTGGAGGCTGCAGTGAGCCGAGATCATGCCACTGCACTCCAGCCTGGGGACAGAGCAAGACTCTGTCTCAAACAAACAAACAATCAAAAAGCAAAAAACAAACAAAAACAACAAGAATGTATTATCCTGTGGTCTTATAGGTTAGAGACACTGATGGGTCTTACAGGGTTGAAATGAAAGTGTTAGTAGGGCTGAGTTCCTTTCTGGAGGCTCTGAGGGAGAATCTGTTTCCTTGCCTCTTCTAGCTTTTAGAGGCTGCCTGCATGGTCCTCCTCCTCTAGCTTCAAAGCCACTGATGGCAGATTGAGTCCTTCTCTCTGCACATCTCTCAAATCCTTCTGTTATAGCATCGCTCTGTAACCACAGCTGGGAAAGGTACTTCTCTTATTTTAAGGACTCATGTGATTAAGTTGGATTCACCTGGATAACCCACGCTAATCCTCCCATCTCACAGTCCTTACTTTCATCACATCTACAAAGTTCCTTTGCTATGTAAGGAAACATATTTGCAGGTTCTAGGGATTAGGACAAGGATATCTTTGAGGTAGCCATTTTTCTGTTTATCCCACCAGCCCTGACCCTAGAGAGGCCAGAGACAGAGACGGGGAGGCATAGAAGGGGGAAAATAGCATCAATTGCTCCTCTTTCCTCAAGTCAGTCAGGCCTCCTCTGAGCCGCAAGAGGAAAAAGCTTTGAAGTGGATACAAGATTCAAGCTTTTATTTAGACAGCAAGACTCTTCTTTTTAATCCTTGAAAGTGGTTTTTAATTATGGAAAGAACTATTGGTATACCCTAGAGCAACCAAAGCTTGTGACTGTAGAATAATGGTTATTTTCTATTGGTGCCTTTCCTAGTTCAGACTATTCAATATCAGTTACACAATTATAGTTTTGATTGCACTGTACATATAATTTAGCATCTTACTTTTCTACCAAGAAATTTCTTTTTTTGGAAATTTTCTGAGGGAATAATCAGAGACAAAAGACAAAGACTTAGTACAAGGATGTTCATGACAGCATCGTGAGTTCTTTCTTTTTATTCTTTCTTACCCTGCTTTGAGTTCATGTTCTATTATTACAATAAATATAGTGGGGTTTTTTTCCCCAATTGTCTAAACTGCCTTCTCTGTCTTTTTTTTTTCTTTCAAACCTCTACATTATAAAGAAACCCAATTATTTACTTTTTTCATGCCTGCGCTAGAGAATCACATCAATTTTGGAGAAATTCACACAGTAGTGCAGATTAATCTCTCTATAAGTTTATGATCACAAAACTCAAATGGACCCCCAACTGTAGCCAAATAATCCTAGTATATTTCTCTGGTCTGTTCACTCTCCTTCTCAGAATGAGTTTTTCAAAACTTCTCAATTCTCCTAAAACTTCAAAACTCTCTTACTTATTCCCTTTAGTTACGCTTCAGGTTTGATCACTTTCTGAACAGAAGCCATTCACAATGAATTGCCCCCTCTTTTCCTTGTATATTCAACTTCTCCATCTCAATTGGTTCTCTCCATTTCTATTTTTATTCTTTTAAGCACATTCAAGTTCTTCCCCCATGTAGTAGGCTGAATAACGGCCCCCCCAAAGATCATCCATGTTCTAATCCCTGGAACCTGTGAACACGTTGCCTTACATGGTAAAAGGGACTTAGCAGACACGACTAAATTAAGAATCTTAAAATTAGGAGATTCTCCTGAGTTATCCAGATGGGTTCAATGTAATCTCAAGGGTCCTTATAAGGGGAAGGCAGGAGGGTCAGAGTGAAAAGAAAAAGATGTGGTGGAAATATCACACATGAGAGACTGTTCAACACACAAACCACCTAAAGTGCATTCAGCCCTAGAAATCACATTTGCCCTTTTCAAATCAGATTTAAAAGCTACCTTGATTGTAAGTATATTCAACACAATGATCGGAACAGCTATTTTTTCTATGTTGCGCTCTGCATCCCCCCCGCCGCCCCCAGTGTATCCTGATTGGTCCAACTTATATATATTTACAGGTAAGTGTAGAAATAACATAATATTTAAGTGCATCTTAATGTATATGAATACTAACCATGTACATATAAGAGGAAGTAAAATTCCTAAATGAACTATTTTTCTAACATCTGATGGATTATTTCAAGCTACTATACAAAGAAAATTAAAATACTGTGTTCTGAATAATGCTGGATTCAGACAAGCTTGAAGAAGAAACACCAGTGCTATCTCTTTCTGACTGAAAAATACACAATCATTTTGGGCCCATATTTTAAAAGATAGGTTCATAAATAGCAATTAGGATTGAGTCCACATCTTTTCTTTTCTTAAAAGATCCTCAGAACCTAGTAAAGGGCAAAGAATTCTTCGTCAAGTAATCTTAGTGGCTACAATAATACAACAAATCCATAGAATGAAAAGTTTCTGGTTTTGAGGATTTTATCTGAGATTTCTAATTAAAAATTCAAGGTTGATCATTATTCTGTCAGATGCCGCATTCACATTTACGAGTAGAGTTCATACACAAAGAGTATTGTGATGGTTAATATTGAGCGTCAACTTGATTGGATTGAAGGATACGAAGTATTGTTCCTGGGTGTGTCTGTGAGGATGTTGCCAAAGATTAACATTTGAGGAGGACTGGGAGAGGCAGACCCACCCTCAGTCTGGGTGGGCACCATCTAATCAGCTGCCACCTTGGCTAGAATAAAGCAGGCAGAGGAAGGTGAGAAGAGCAGACCTGCTGAGTCTTCCAGCCTTCATCTTTCTCCCGTGCTGGCTGCTTCCTGCCCTTGAACATCAGACTCCAAGTTCTTCAGCTTTTGGACTTTTGTACTTATATCAGTGGTTTGCCAGGAGTTCTTGTGCCTTTGGCCACTAACTGAAGGCTGCACTATCGGCTTCCCCACTTCTGAGGTTTTGGGACTTGGACTGACTTCCTTGCTCCTCACCTTGCAGATGGCCTATTGTGGAACTTCACCTTGTGATGGTGTGAGTCAATAGTCCTTAATAAACTCACTTTCATATATACATCTATCCTATTAGTTCTGTCCCTCTAGAGAACCCTAATACAAGTATTACCATGAGCATATTAGTAAGTCTTCAACACACATATCTGCAGTATATTTAGAATTCATTTGAAAAGGATGCACATAATTGCACAAACCTTACCTTTTCACCAGAGTTGTCTTTAGCTGTTGGAATCTGCCAGGTAACATTGGCAGAATCTTGCTGTTCCAGAGTCTTAGCCTCTATGTCCTTAGGACAGTTGATTTGAGGAGCCTCCACGTCTAACTCAGAAAAATACACAAGTAGATTAATACACTGATATGTGGTCCTAGATCATTTAAGGAAGAGGTACAAATCTAGTTATATTAATACACTGTGACACATTTGTACATCCCAGTTACTGATTGTTCGGAATCTGCACCCACCTGCTTTCCTGATCATTTATCTCAGCATGGCTTACGAGCCCAATCTTGAACTAGTACCTATTAACCTCTTAGCCTCATTTCTTCCTTTTCTCCTACAGGAATTCACTCTCCACATTGAGTTACTGTCAGGCCATTGCCTTTCTTTTACCTGGGCCCTTACCTATGTTCTTTTATTTGCCTGAATTAGTGCCCTCTTCTCCCTTTACCTGGATGTCTAGTACTTGCTCTTGAACAGGCTTAGACACAGCTCCTCAGGAAGCTCTTGCTGATTCTCCAGGCCCATTTGAGGTCCCCACTCCACAAGTTCCCATAGCCCTCTGGATTTCCCAACCATAAAACTCAACAAGCTATTTTGAAATTGAATTTTCTCCCCCAATAGAATTTAAGTTATTTGAAGGTCAGGATGTCTTGCCCCACTGTCTTATATGGTACCTGACATATCATAGGAGCTTGAGAAATATTTTTTGAATGAACTAAATTAAAAAATGTTGACTGTGACAGGAAGAAACTACACTTGAAAATGAGGCTGTCAACTAGAATTAACTAGCAGAAACTGAAACGTACTGTCAAAGCAAGCAACAAATTAAAGCCAATGATATTTTTTACTTTATACTATGGTGCTGAATTAGACGTGCTAACGTTACACAGATGCACGCCAGTTATGGTAGTGCTTAAGCTTTTGTTATATGATAAAATACATCTTTTATTTTAATTTATGTTAAATTAGGTCTTCTGTAACTTCTGGCTGAATATATCTGAATTGATCTCATTGTGTCTCACGTCTTCTTGTTTCTTCAAAATTTAATTCAATTTATATTTTCTCTTTCTCAAAGGGGCTTATACTTGGACAACTCTCTCCCACAGGAAGACATAATAGCATATTAACTCTGAAAAAATTTTTAAAAAGTATTTGATTTTTCATTCATGCTTAAACAATAGCTTGACTGGACCTGGAATCTAAAGTTTATATTTATTTGCTCTCCATATCCTGTACACATTGCTACATTTCCTTGTGGCATTTAAAGTTGTAAATGAAATAGGTAACGTGAGTCTAATTCTTGTTTCTTTTGTGCAATTTCTTTCTTTCTCCATGAAAAGTTATTTAAGATTTTTCCATTAACTCTGCAACTCAGAAATTTCACTAGGAGTAGTCAAAGTATGCCAACCCAACACTCAGGAGTTATTTGTGGTCTAAAGGATTAAGCCATTCTCTAGCTCAGAGAAATTTTCTTCTCTTGGTAGAGAAATTTTTCTCCATCTCCTCTCCTCTCTCCTTCTGGAACTCCTTATTAAATGGACATTGGGGTTTTTCCTTCTGCCACTGGCATCCCTCAACTTCCATCTTTTTGGTTTGATCAATTGGGAAATTCAAGCACTTTCTTTGTTTACTCATTCAGTTCTCCATTGTGAGGAAACTCTCAGTTTGGTCTTTTAAATTACTAATATAGTTTTCAACAGCATTCCTTCCATTCATCTGCCCTTGTCCTTCTCTTAGAGATAGGACATTTTTTACTTCTAAGAACTCTTTTCTGTTTTCAGTAACTCCTTTTTCATAGCGGTCTGCTCTTGTTGCAGAGAAAATGGCAATGTCCTCTTGTGAATGGAATGTGATGCCAGGTTTCAAAGTGCTGATAGCTTCTTTTTGAAAATCAATTCAGTCTCACCTGCTTTATATAGACCAAGACTTCCCTAAAGATTTTAGTCTTATGGAAAACTTACCTGATTTTCAGCTCTACTATTTTCCTTATTTGTGTATTTCTTCTGTCATTGTCTGGCATTTTGTAATCAGATTTTGTAAATTCACCACTTTCAACCAGAAATCCTCATAGAGGATATTGGGGTAGCACCTAACCATATTATCATGGGTTTGCAGCAAAAGTTGCAAAGAAGGATTGTCCTATACTGCACCCATATGGCAATATTAAAAAATTTGATTTTTAGCCTGACTAGTGTAGAGACCTACCTTTACACACAGCTGCCTGAACTCCGACATTCCATTTTCCAGAAGTGGTACATCTCAGCATTTCTTTGACTCCAGATAAAATGAACCCTTGGCGGCAACTTACATAGCAGATCGTCCCAAATTTGGCTGGCTGCTTGCCACAGTTGTGGGGGGATATGATGACATCTTTGGGCATCTGAAAGGTGGAACAGTGGCGCTCTACGGTAGGGAAACAGAGAGAATGTTATTTGTGTTCCCACAAATTGGAAATGCCATGGATTCTTTTTACTCAAGAAAAATACAATTATGCTGCCTTAGGATTTACGTAAATTGCTAAATGATAACTATATATGACATTGAATGTATAATATATTGTAAATAATGCTAACCTATACCTCTTTAGTTATCTTTTGCTATTTTTGCCAGTGCATCATCAAAACTTTCAAAAACTTCTGATATTTTAATTAACACTGATTTTGACTTTTATCATTTGCTTGGAGCACATTCATTTAGTTAGCAGAATATTATTTTATGGCTTAGAAGTAGAAAGTCATAAATCGAATTCCATATTTCATGGATTAAGTGATATATTCAGCAATCTCTATTTTATGAGCTTTTTGGTGCTATTTTTAAGCAAGCATATAATGAGAAAAGTTTCTAATAGCCTTCCTAAAATCACTGTTATATTTAGGGCCTTGACCTTGAATGCTATATTTAGCACAGAAAAAGAATAGCAGATGAATTAGGCAGAATGCAGATGGAATGGAAAATCAAGGCTAGGACTTAATACAGGGAGTGCATGTGAGGGGGCAGCGTGTGCACACACCCATAGGCACATTTGTTTTTTGTAGTAGAGAATCTACTGGCAGCATTACTCACATTTTTAGTCTCTATTTTCCATGTTATTGGAATAGCTGAATAAATAGCTAACATTTATTCAGTACCTACTATGTGCCAGGCATTATTCTAAGCACTTTGCATGTATTATTTAATCATATGCTGTAAGAAGTATTCCAACTTACAAATGAAAACTGAGCACACTAGTAACTTTCCTAAAGTCACCATGCAAGTAAGTGGCAAAATCTGTGTGCTACTAAACACTCCACTATCATACTTCCTCCATGAAATAATTTCTTTCCAAACTGTGCCAGCAAAAGCCATTTTTTTTCCAAGAAATGGTTTGTCTCTTTATTTCTGCACGGTGTGAACTGCATGCCATCCCAGACCTCCTAGTCTACTTTGATCAACAGGAAAATCAAAGCCAAATTTGTGGTTCGACGATAATGACAATGTGGGACTCAGTATCCTTTATTTACAGCTGGGCCTATATAAAGTAAGAAAATTATCCTTTTGGCTGTCAAAGTTGTTGAAAATTTTATTCTTTTTTTATTGTTTGTTTATGGTACTTACGGTGAGCGTGTCTTTAACTTTTATATAGTCTAATCTACTGAGTGTTTTTCTTTTTGAAGTATTCCTTTGCTTTTATGCTTAGTAAGTTCTGAGACTGGTTAGCATTCACTTACATATGTTAAATACATTCTCTTCCAGGTTGTAATGGTTTTATCTTTTACCTTATCTTTAAAATCTATGAAGAATTTATTTCTGTGTTCAGTGTGAATTGAAAACATACAGGAAACTTTATTTTGTTTTGTTTTTCACAAGGAGCTAGTCAATTTTCCCCTATGATCAGTTAAATAAATTTTTTTTCCCTCAACTGACCTGTGATACTTCCTTAATTGTAATCTGTATGGCAATCCTTGCATATTCTTAATCTTTGCAGATTAAAAAAGATTTGAAAACCTGATAGAGCTACTTTCTATTTACTATTCCTATTGCTCTTCCTTTTCAAACTGATTTTAGTGATTGTTCATTACAATATTTTTCTAGATGAACCCTAGAATCATTCCCTAATTCCAAAAGAAGGGCAAAAAAGAAAATCCCTTTTAAGCTATTGAATGAGTTTGCATTCAGTGTAGTACATATATATGTAATGCATATATATGTAATGTGTTAAGTTCTTTCCTTAGGTTAATTTGGAAAGAACTTAACATAAATATATGTACTATATATTAATATAATTAATATACATATATAAATTATAAAATAATACATATATAAATTATGTAGTAATATAATATATACAAATTAATATAAATAATTTATATATAAATACATAATTTGGAAAGAACTTAACATTTTGAAAACATTTTATATAAATATTAAAATGTTCTTTTCATCTCTCGGTAACATTTTTCTGGTTTGCTTAATACAGGTTCCACACGTTTCTATTTAAGGTTATTCTGACATATTTTATATTTTCCATAGATCTTTTGAATGTCATATTTTACCACATGTTCTGTTTATCATTGTATATAGAAAAGCTGTCTATTTTTCTTTATTTTTTCTAATGTCTGCTGGCAGATATATTTGCTATTTTAATGACTTTAATGAGCTCTCGTTGATTAGTAGATTCATTCTATTTTGTTGTGGGGGGGGCAGGCTTGTAGTCTACAAATGATGATGATTTTCAATCCCAATATCTCTAATCTCATAATTTCTTACAAGAGCTAAAGCTTAGAGAATAGTACTAAACAATGTGAGCATATTTTTCTTTTGCCAAATTTGATAAGACTGTCTATATTGTTTCTCCATAAGTGGCTGCAGATTTCAGATTGATATTTTTTATTGAGTTATATCAATATGAGTTTTAAAACATTTTACTGAAAATGTGTTTTAAATGATAATGAATGAATTTTTATCTTCTACTAAGCAACCATACAATTTTCTTCCAATTTGCTATAATGAAGTAATTTATTATATTGATAGATTACTTAATTTTAACTCCCTTTTGCAATCCTAGAATAAACTCTACTTGATTGGCAGATTATTTTCTTTTTTCAGTGTGGGTTGCTAGTATATTTGCTTTTACAGCTTTTACAGACCAACGTAATGTTGGTCTATAATTTTCTATCTTTTTTGGTAATAATTGTCAGGTTGACAATTAAATAATAATACCTCAAGAATATGAATTGGCTGGCTTTCCATTATTTAGGCCAAACTATATGGTATGGAAAGTTCTTAGAATTTTTTTTTTTTTTTTTTGGACAGAGTTTTGCACTGTCGCTGGGGCTAGAGTGCAGTGCTGTGATCTCGGCTCACTGAAACCTCTGCCTCCTGGGTTCAAGAGATTCTCCTGTCTCAGCCTCCTGAGTAGCTGGGATTACAGGCATCTGCCACCACACCTAGCTATTTTTTTAGTATTTTTAGTAGAGACAGCGTTTCACCATGTTAGCCAGGCTGGTCTGCAGCTCTGACCTCATGATTTGTTCACCTCAGCCTCCCAAAGTGCTGAGATTACAGGCGTGAGCCACCTTGCCCGGCCAGAAAAATTCTATTTTTGAATTTTTCTTACTTATATTTTAAATTCTATTTTATTACTTTATTTAAAGCTTTGCTTCTTAACCATTCTCCTGCATCCATTCTCCCTTTATAGTTCTTTTTCATTTACTTAAACAATTCTGGTTATATCCTTCTTTCAATTTGCCTTGCAGTTGTTTTATTTTCCTAACTTTTCAGTTGAATGTTCAGTTATTTTTATTTGTTCTTGTTTAATAATAAAGCAATTTTTAAGATTCACTGGTTCCTAATTTTGTCCTTCCATTAATAAGGTAAATGTAAAACATGTTTAACAAAGCAAGGGTATTATGAGGCATTTGCATTTTAAAAAAAAATCCATCCAAATTGGCCTCAATTAAAACTAAGAAAAAAGGCATGGTCATTTGAAGGTATAAACCTCTGTGAGTTAGAAAACAGAATTCATTGTAGAAGTTCCTTTACTAGTGGAGAGGAGTAAGACAACACATCTGTTTTTGTATCTGTAACACCTGCACCTGTACATGTGGATATGTATTTATACTCATTACCAGCTAGTGTTTAGTTTTAGGTCTTCACAGAATACTGGAGAAATCAGAGCAGAGGAAATGAATCACTCAAGGCATTACACCTTCTAGAAACTTACCCACACACCGGGGTTCTGGCCCATCCCACTGGCTGTTTCCTTGACAAGTAAGCTTATCACTGCCTTCTAGTCTGTACCCTTCATCACAGGCAACCAAACATGTTGTCTTATATAACATTTCCCTTGTAGAACAGCTGATGTGGCCATGTTTCGGCTGGCGGAGATGAGGACATGTTCTTACTATGTAAAATGAAAGCAATTAGATCACATTTTGCTAAATAAGGATAAAAATAATAATTACAAGTTTAGCAATGCCTGCACATTGCAAGCAAGACAATTTTCTTTTCTTAAAATAGCAAACGACACATAATACACCACCATTTTTTGAGTTCTTATGGGACAATTGAAAGTTCATGTTTTACCAAATGCATTGCCTAAATAATATCATCGCATGCAGCCCTCTGCCCATAGGTGGGAAACTTAACCTGTCTAAGAGGCCTGGCCCTACATGGAAGATGGTAACTGTAGATTAGAGGTGATCACAAAAGGGAGGTACCTGATGCTCTCAGCTGGGCCTTTCCTGTGATTTTTCAGGCTACATTACAACAAAAGGAAGTGGTATTTTCCAGGACAGAGTTTTCAGGTTCATGATCGACTTGGTTCTTAGACCTCATGGGCATATCCTAGGCCTTCTAATAGTGTTAGCCTCTGCAAAGCTACCCAACTTCTGCCATCTTCGGTTGTGGTATTCTACTGTCCAACCCCAGTTCTTGTTCTTCCAGCTTTTTCACTTCTCCTTCCCACAAATATTCCTGCCAATCATAGCTCATGATACGAATCTTGACTTATGCATTAACATCAGTTTATTTTTGCTGCTGTGGTAGAGGCTTATAGTTGCCCACCCAATAGCCATTCTCACCAGTTTTATTAAGCATAGTAATATGCCCAGCTAAAAGATTACAACTCTCCACCTCTACCTCAACTAATGAGAGCCCATAATATATAGCTGAGATTGAGCAGGACTTCTGGAAAGCTTTTTATTTTTTTATTTTATTTTATTTTATTTTATTTTATTTTGTTTTGTTTTTTGTTTTTGAGATGGAGTCTCACTCTGCTGCCCAGGCTGAAGTGCAGTGGCGTGATCTCAGCTTACTGCAAGCTCCACCTCCTGGGTTCACGCCATTCTCCTGCCTCAGCCTCCCGAGTAGCTGGGACTACAGGCGCCCTCTACCACGCCCGGCTATTTTTTTTTTTGAATTTTTTTATTAGAGATGGGGTTTAATTGTGTTAGCCAGGATGGTCTTGATCTCCTGACCTTGTGATCCGCCAGCCTCGGCCTCCCAAAGTGCTGGGATTACAGGCGTGAGCCACCGCACCCGCCCTTGGAAAGCTTTTTAAAGGGGGCTGTCTCAATTGAGAGAGTACTTCTTTCCCTTCCCTGCTTCCTTCTCCTTTTCTTCCACAATACAGACATGAGGAATGGTAGCCCAGCATACTAGAGTATAAGTATATGATACTGTGGGAACATATCATGCACCATGATGGTATAGCAAAAAACATAGGAAGTCTGGCTCTCTGATGACAGTGGAGCTATTACACCAACTTTGGATTACCTACTTCTGTCCTTGTTTTAGTTAAAAGAAAAATGAAGCCTTAATTGGCTTAACACATTGTTATTTGGGTCCCTGATACCAGCTATACACAATTTCTAATTCCTTCTGCCCAGCATTTGGGTCCTTGATACCAGCTATACACAATTTCTAATTCCTTCTGCCCAGCATTTGGGTCCTTGATACCAGCTATACACAATTTCTAATTCCATCTGCCCAGCATCCATTAACTCTTCCTTTGTTAATTTTTTAGGGAAAGATCTTCCCCCTTTCTTGGATCATGGGATGTGTGTGTGCTCCAAACGTGCTCGGGGTAGAGCATGTTATCTAGGAGCACATTTCCCCGGCCAGAGAAGTGAGCAGGCACAACTTGTGACATGGTTTTCTTCATCTTCTTTGAATTCACCATGAGAAAGCAGTAGGAAGGATATTCACTAAACTGCGGATGCTGAAAACGCCCCCGTACCTCAGCCAGCCTCAACATCACCATCAGAAAAAGTGCCACGAGTTATCCAGAGAAACCTGCATTTCCGCGGTTCTGCCACCTTTGAGTCTCTGTCCTCAACATTACATCAGAGAAGCTACCAGAGAGCACTCACACTGTTCCAGCCTCTGCAGGTTCCCCAACGATGTCTGTGTTCTGAGTTTTCCTGGTAAGAGTCTCCAACTGCCCACTCAAACCCAACAATGTATGTTAGAGTCCATTTCCATTGATTTCATCATGCCCTCTATTCCTGTTGATGGCAATCACTTAGAAAGTCCAAGGCTCTATAGTTATCCCTCATCCACCAGGGTTATCCACATGTAGCTGTGTTCCAAATCTATCCCCATAGACCCTTGGACCTGCCCCCTAGAATAACGATGGTTTCAGTTAATCCCCTCATATCCTAAACTTCCTTTTGAGCAACTTTTCCTTCACTTGATTGCCCTAATAAAAATTATATTGTCTTCTGTAACAGGGACTGGAGGTGAGGAGGTGTCTCTGTTGCTCCTGATTGTCTTCCCAGATCATTCTCTCTCCTTCCTTCCTAAAAACTTCCAGCTCCTTTGAAGTATCATATTATATATCCAATAACCTTTTTTAAATTCTCTCTCTCTCTCCTTTCTCTTTTTTCTCTCTCTCTTTCTCTCACACACACATATACCCACACCTTAGTGACTTCCTTATCTATGTAAATGATCATTCCAGTATCCTGGAGTTATATTCCTGATCTCTTATTTTCTTTTCTCTCTTTTTTTTTTTATTATACTTTTAAGTTCTGGGGTACAGGTGCAGAACATGCAGGTGTGTTACATAGGTATACACATGTTATGGTGGTTTGCTGTACCCATCAACCTGTCATCTACATTAAGTATTTCTCCTAATGTTATCCCTCCCCTAGTCCCCAACCCTCTGACAGGCTCCAGTGTGTGATGTTCCCCTCCCTGTGTCCATATATTCTCATTGTTTAACTCCCTCTTATGAGTGAGAACATGCAGTGTTTGGTTTTCTGTTCTTGTGTTAGTTTGCTGAGAATGATGGTTTCCAGCTTCATCCATGTCCCTGCAAAGGACATGAACTCATCCTTTTCTATGGCTGCATAGTATTTCATGGTGCATATGTGCCACAATTTCTGTATCCAGTCTATCATTAATGGGCATTTGGGTTGGTTCCAAGTCTTTGCTATCGTGAACCCTAGAAGAAAACCTAGGCAGTACCACTCAGGACATAGGCATGGGCAAAGACCTCATGACTAAAACACCAAAAGCAATGGCAACAAAAGCCAAAATTGACAAATGGGACCTAATTAAACTAAAGAGCTTCTGCACAGCAAAAGAAACTTTCATCAGAGTAAACAGGCAACCTACAGAATGATCTCTTCTTTTCTAATGATCATATCCTTCACCTTATCTCAGCTTCTACCATTGCCATGCCCTCTAGACCTCGCTGTCACCAATCCAAGTTTCCTAGTCTCTGACAATCACCTCTTACCTTCTGGGATCACTCCTTCAAGTGCTTCAATCCATCAGTTCCCACACCCTCCAGGAGCCTCTGATCTATCATCTTCCGTAGTCTCCTCTTTAGAGAAAACCCTCTTGAAAGAGTTTATAATCTTGTCCTACACTTCTTGTCCTCTAGTTCTAACTTAGACTCTCTCCAATCAGGGTTTCCAAGCAGGGGAAGGAGGGAGGAGCGTAAAGGAGAAAGGAAAAGTCGTGAAGAAGGGAGGGGAGAAGAAAGGAAAGAGAAAGGGAGGGGAAACATAGGTGGAGGAGATGAAGAGGAGAGGAGAGGAGAAGAGGAAGAGCAGGGTGAGGGGAAGGGGAAGTCAGAGCAGGAAAGGAGTAGGGGTAGGGGAAAGAATAAATAGGGAAAAGAAAGAGGAAGATGGGGAAGCTGTCAAGACCCATGGAAAATGCACTCTCAGTCAGAAGGCATGCACATTCCATTCACGAACAGAGATTGGAGAGGAAAAAAGAGTCGGTGCCTGTTAAATATGCCAAATGATGGGGACGTATATTCATCTTGATAGATTATAGATAGAACCTACAAGCATTGGACATCGTACAAAAGACAGAAATAACCCCTACAAAAGAATAAAGTTCAGTTTCCTCTCAGAGAGCTCTTATAACAATCTCTAAAGATTTTTGAACAAAACATTTGGGACTCAAGAATTTTGTTGAGACTCCGGGTGGGATATATTTTTTCTTCTTCTACTTTTCTGCATTTGCCAATTGTTCATACCATGCATACATTTAGTTACGTCAAAGACAACCTTAAAATACCAGGAAAGGAAGCTGGGGGCAAAATGTTCAAGTGCATATTCAATTGAAGTCACTGTTTGAATTTATTCTACAATGAACCCATTCAAATTATATTAATCAGCAGAGCATAAGTATTGTGTGCATTAAATAAAAGTTTAGGATCCATTACTCCTTAGAGAAAATGCAAGAGTTAGATTAGAGATTAGATCATAAACCCTAGCCTCTTTTATCCCTGGAATGGCTTGGACCAAAGTCAAGTATTAATAAAAAATGATCCGAAACATTTTGCCTTCCGTGTTTTAATTTTTCCTGAATGTGCCCATTTATGCAAATAGAATCTTTATTGTGTCTATCAAGTGCATGAAACATCTTGTCTTCTGCATTTTGACTTTTATTGAGTGTGTCCTTCATGTGTATCCCAAGGCAAAGTATGAGGTGGGATTAAAAGGTGAATCAGATAAATTCTGATGTATAAAATTTGGAAAACCATATTAAACAATGTTTTGGCTTCAACAAACTGCCAAGATGACTCCAGCTTTCCTAACCTGAGACAAAATGGATTTATTACTGATAATAAATTAGAGTCGGTGCCTCATATAGATGCAAATTATACTGCTTCTCAGATGTTGGTATTAATAAACTTCCATTGCTCCCCACTGAAAACAAAACATATGCAATAATTCCTATTTATTCCTTAAACATTTCACTCAAGAATGAACACTTAATACCATTTTAATAGGTACACACTTCTTAAAGAATTTTCAACTTATATTTTTTTCATTTCAACATGCCGAAAAATCCTGCAATTAATATTTCTTGACTTACATTTATGTTATCACAATTCCTAAATATTTATTTGGTCTTTTTAGAAAATAGCAACTTAGACTTTTAAGAGAAAAGTCTACTTGTAGTAGACAATATAAGAAGCTACTCTGGTTCCCATCTTAAAGACTAATCAGATTTTTTTTTTTCCAGGCACGTGCTTCCTATTAGTCTCCAAATTGTGATATCTATTACTGAAAATAAAATAAATCTGATGTTAAATGTAAGGTTCTCATTGGTTGAACCTTTTTACTCAGGTTTAGTTAGTTAAGATTGAGAAACCACAAAAGAATCCTTTCCTGTTTAGAAAGAAATGCAGAATTCTGGCCGGGTGCGGTGGCTCACGCCTGTAATCCCGGCACTTTGGGAGGCTGAGGCGGGTGGATCATGAGGTCAGGAGATTGAGACCATCCTGGCGAACATGGTGAAACCCCGTCTCTACTAAAAATACAAAAAATTAGCCGGGCATGGTGGCGGGTGCCTGTAGTCCCAGCTACTCGGGAGGCTGAGGCAGGAGAATGGCGTGAACCCAGGAGACGGAGCTTGCAGTGAGCCGAGATCGTGCCACTGCACTCCAGCCTAGGTAACAGAGCGAGACTCCATCTCAAAAAAAAAAAAAAAAAAAAAAAGAAAGAAAGAAATGCAGAATTCAGATAAAACTGAAAATGAGTATAAGTGCTTTATGAAAAGTGCATAGGAGAAGTGAGAATCAAGTTTACCAATTATTAGTCAACATCCACAAAAACATTAACAATGTAACATGATATTTGTAAAAGGCTTTAGATTTTATGCAGGTCTTTCATTTCTGCCTCAATCTTACACATATTTTTGAGAAAGTATAATATAACTAAAATTATTCACTGTTCTTATAATTAAATCTGTAAAAATATACTACTTTCTCCATACTACCCACCATGAAACAGACATGAAATCCTACCCAACGGCCATATTTCATTGAATCCCCATTGTAAGACACAACATTATTTTATGTGCCACTAACAAAGAAACAATAATGCCAATTAAAGGGTTTGCTGCAACTGATTTTAAGATGCATCTCCATTTTAGAGATGTTAAAATGTTTTAAAAAATGTGTTTCAGATTTAGTGAAATATGGCATGTGTTTCAGATTTAGTGAAATATGGTATGCGTTTCATAGAACAATATCTGATGTAACTAAATACACTGAGCATTAGTGAAAGTGTAAGGGCCTGGGTAAGTACCTTCATTCAGTACAACTTTGTATACTGGTAAGTTAGCTGTAGCTTTGGTGGTGAAGTTGAATTGTAGCATCTCTCCTTACTCTGCTTTAAATTATTTTATTTATATTGGAATTGCAATTGAAATTACATAAAAGAGAACAAGCATGCTTTTTTGTAGTCAAGGTCTCAATCTATCACCCACGCTGGAGTACAGTTGTGTGATGATGGCTCACTGCAGCCTCCAACTCCTGTGTTCAAGTGACCCTGCTGCCTCAGTCTCCTAAGTAGCTGGGATTACAAGCTTGTGCCATCACACCCATGCATGGTTTTTAATATGAAGTGACAGAAGCAGGTCATCAATGTATATACTGTAGTTATCAATGTACATCAACGTATACATTTATCGATATGTGTATTTGTTAACTTCAAGTTTCCATTCATTCACCAGAGATATCATCAATGATTGAGGGGCAGAAATAAATTCTGTGCTCATAATGAATTTGGTTTAGCAGAGGAGGTAGACAAGTTAATTACCAATAAAAGTGTGATGCTTTGTATTGTGACAAGTTAGTTACATTGGGAAATATGTTTGCCAGAATCCCTTTATTGTGGTTCCAAGTTAGGGTTGATCAAAAGAGGAACTTGCACTTGATTTTGGAAGGCAGAAGTGAGGAAGTGGTCATTGTCATCAGAGTCAGTGATAGAAAAATGCAGTGATGCCCAGGGGGTTCCAGCTTGCCCTTGCTTGCCTCCATTCCACGTCCTCACTGCTGATCCCATGACCAGTGGTGGCCCCATGTTCATTGCAAGGTTCTTGGCTGCAGAGCCACAGGGGCATAACTACACAGAGGTAAAGCTTCTCTTAGACCTTCCATGAGTTTCTCCTTAGCAATTCCACTTCAAAAGCTGGGTAGCCTCTCAAGTTGACTTGTCAAGAACTCCTCTGATCCTCCCACTCCTCTTCTGTTTCCAAGCTCCTTCTAAAATTGTGTAAGCTCTATTCCCTGAAATAAATCCTTCATCCCATAACATGCATGGTGACTGTGCTTCCTTGACTGACCCTGACACATAGCATAAGAAACATAATGAGGGGTGGGGGCAGGTCTGCAGATGCACAGATGCACGTGTAGAGGTCACCCCATTCAGGAGGAGGAAGTTGGCAACAGTGGAGGGTTGAGAGGACCCAGAGCAAAGGCAGAGCCAGGCTGTGGGAACAGCTTCAAAGGGCCGGCTTCCTGAGAGAGCATGGCTATTTCTTACAGCTTTAGGATCAGACGCGAGGCTTGATTATGGAGGGTGCAGGCTTGAGAGGCAGGGGCCAGACCTTATCCTGAAAGGGCAGTCTTCTCTGATTTTCTCACTCCTCTTTGGAAGGCTACTGAGTGGCAAGTTAAAATGTAATATTTCCCATCCTCTACCGTAAGGTATTTGGAAGAAGGGGTAAAGATTTTACACAGAACTTAGAACTATTGACTTCACGAAAATATATTTTACAAGCTTTCAAGGATTCATTTTTTCAGTAATGGTATGTGGCTTTTTACCACTTGAGGCTGCATGACTGAAAATGTCTTTCCTTTGCCTTCACACATGAACAGTAGCTTGCCTGAGTTTAGAAATCTAGGGTCTATTCTTTTCCCTCAGAATCCTGGCAACACAGTCTTATTTTCTAACATTGAGAATGGCCAACAAAGGGGCCTAAGGCTAATCTGATTCTTTCTCCTTGGTAGGTAGTGTTGTTTCTAACTATGAAATGGACACAGTTTTCTGTTTTTCTAGGGCATTCAGAAAATTCACTAAGATTATTTCCCGACATAAATCTGTTTTTAATATTTTTTTTGTGGCACTTACTAAGTGATTTTAAACTGAATATCCAAGATTTGGGTTGTGAGTATTTTCAAAATTTCAGCTCAGGGATATATCTTTAGATCTTCTACTGGTGCATCTCCTCCATTCTGTTCTCTCTCTGGATTCCTCACGTGAAAAGAGTCTATTTCCTGTGACTATTCTCATGTTACTTTATTCTTTCATATTTTTATTTTTGGATTTTTTTGATTGACCTTCAAATGAATTTCTTGAGTTAGTTTTCTAATTTATTAATTTGACTTCTAACTAGGTCCATTCATTGTGTCAGTACCTTTTTTTTTTTTTTTTTTTTTTTTTTTTTTTTTTTTTTACTTCTAATACATATTTTTCCTCTCAAATTTCTTTCATTGCTTGGAATCCTGGCCTTATTTTAGCAATGTAGTTGCCTTTGAATCTCAGTGATTCCATTTTTCTTTCTTTTCTGTCAGGTCTCTTTTGTTCAATCTGCTGATCGTTTTCAGTTTTCCTTGTCTTTTGGGGATACCATGTAGGCCAATTTACATTTATAGATGAGTTCAGTATTGGTACCTAATAAATTGGTACCAACATAGATGTCTCCTGGGATTCACAAATGATCTTGGAGTCATGAGTAGGTGGTTCTCCCTTATGGATATGGATGCCAAGAAAAGACCAGAAGACAGAACTAATCTTTAACCAGTGGTCCAGCTGATTTGTGGGGTTTTGGAGTAGTCAAATCCTCAGCAAAGTGTTCTGCCAAAAAATGACTAGTGGATGTGGTGGGAGTAAAGTTGCCAGATTTAGCAACAAACAAACCAATGAACCAGCACGCCCAGTTAAATTTAAATTTCAGAAAATCAACAAATAATTTTTTAGTATAAGGAGGTTCCAAATCTTGCAGGGGACCCACATATACTAAAATATTATTTATCAAAAATTCAAATTTAACTGGCATCCTGTGTTTCAACTGGCAACCGTAGGTAGGGAGCAGGTACTGTACTGAGAAGCTTTGTGGGCAGGGATTCTGATGGAGGTCCTCAAGTCCCTTTGCTCGCCCCCCTTTTACCTTTTCTTAAATATCCTCCTCTTCTAACCCTACTTGTAAAACCCTAGGAAGTTGGTTGTGTGACAGTTGTAAGAAGTAGGAAAGTAGGTCCTGGAGTTGGCAAGTTGAGGCAGATTGAGGCACTATTTTTTTTTTTTTATTGCTTCTCTGTATTTGACATGGGAGCCTCAGATTCCATTGGTGGTGCCCACTTTCTATTGGCCTGAATAGGCTCCTTGGACTCTCGCTTTGACAAATTCTCTACTTTCTATAACGGGTCGACTAGCCGAAGTAAAGGCTGGAGATTACAAGTTGGCTAACTGCTCTTGTTGCAGGATACTTGTGTGATTCCTTAAGTCCTACAATTCCAAGAGGCATCAGTCTCCACTCTGATTATTCTAAACTCTCCTTTATATCATGTCTTAGAGGCTTGAAATTTGAGGTTTGGGGTAACCTGTCCATTTACTTCCCAGGCAAACTTTTTCTTTGCTTGTTCATAAAAGGGCTATAAAAGGCGTAGTTTACAATTATGTGGTCAATTGAACTTGGTAATTCTGATTTCAAATTTCCTATAATTTTTCTCTTTCTGTAGTATGGGGTCTATGAAATCCAAAAAGAAATGAAGAACTGACTGGTTTACTAGAGTTTAAATCAAGGAAATCAGGCAAGACAGTAAATAAACAATGTAAATTGGCAGTTTGCATACCTCTGCAGTAGCTCTCTGAACCGGACCACAAACCATTGGGTAGACATAAGATGATGCTGCTTCCCACAAGATCAAATCCAGGGTGACATCGGACCCCACAGGCTGCATTGAAGTGGTTGTTGCAAGTGTTTTGGATAAAGTAACCATTTTCGGGAGGCTTCAGGGCAGGGCAGTGGACAACTAACATTTACAAAAATAAAATTGAAAAGCAAAGTTAGCCTTTTGTCTATGACATATCCTTTTTTTTTTTTCTTTCAAGGGGGCATTTATGCATATGTGTCAATTGCCTACAGCATTTCCATTTACCGCATTTGGATTTTCAAGTACATATTTGGAAGAAGAACCCTTATATCTGACTCCTATTAGGTACTAACTTCCAATTAAATTTTAAATACAAACTAAATATTATTTGTTAAGCTTTAAAAAATTTATTTTGATATCTATATGGATATGAGATTTTATAGTTCTTGACCTTTATATGTCATTAGATATTTTCCCTCTTGACTAAGGTAGAATAAAACAAAGAACAAATAAGGCTAGCAAAGTATATTTGCTACAAACCCCAAGAGCCACAGCTTCTTGCACATGGTATATGCTATTTAAATATTTGTAATTTTTGACATGAATAATACTGAGACCCTTTACTTATAAAAATATATTATTTCAAAGATAAATGTGACTATCTCCAGAGCCAAGATGAGCTCATTTTTATTCAAATTTGTTGTTAAAATTGTGGCTTTTCTTTTTTTGATTCATTTTAAATGTTTTCCAAGTACTAAGCCTTTCTGATTTCAAGGTGATGTTATTCCCAGCATCTCAGTTCCCCTTTCTCTGGAGCAGGATAGAGATATGTTCCGTGATAAGAATGTTATAAAAGCAAATCATCCCACTCCCCCAAAAAATATGATTAGAGAAAAGAACATTAAAGATCATTCTAAATGAATTAGGTGCAAACACAAGCACTATTTCTCTCAGAGAAATCAGCTTTTATATTTCCCATTTTCCAACAGTGGGAGACTCACGTTCACAGGTCTGGCCAGATGCCCTGTATCCCTCTCTGCAGACACAGTCTTCAGGGGATGTGCTTCCAGGTGGAGAGGTGTGATTTTCATCAGGACATGGAATGCAACTGCTGATTCCTCCTGGTGAGCCTTCAGGTTTGTATGTCCCCGATGGGCAAGCTGTGGGCAGACAAGCCGGAGAAGTCCATGTTATGTGGCACATCAGCTGGTAGTTAACAAAACATTTGAAATTAATATGGGAGAGAAAGCCAAACAATAGTTTTCCATAGAAATGGTGATGTAGGCTGGGTGTGGTGGCTCACGCCTGTAATCCCTGTACTTTGGGAAGCAGAGGCGGGTGGATCACCTGAGGTCAGGAGTTTGAGACCAGCCTGGCCAACATGATGAAACCCTGTCTCTACTAAAAATACAAAAAATTAGCTGGGTGTGGTGGCGTGTGCCTGTAATCCTAGCTAATCAGGAGGCCAAGGCAGGAGAATCGCTTGAACCTGGGAGCTGGAGGTTGCGGTGAGCTGAGATAGCACCACTGCACTCCAGCCTGGGCAACAAGAGCAAAACTCCATCTCAAAAAAAAAAAAAAAAGAAAGAAAGAAAAAGAAATCGTAATATAATTTAAGCAAAGAGAGAAACCAACATTTTTGTTTTCTAAAGAATGATGTAATTTGTTATTTGCAAGGTATGAAGTGGCCTCTTATGTCCCACAATTAGTTTCAAATACAACACAACACAGCATGAAATGTCTGGGCTGATTTGTGGGAAAATTCAAAATAGCAATTTATATTAAGTCACCAGGAGGAATCAATGATCCTCAATAGATAAAAAAAACTTTGATAAGTATGATGTCCCCTATAGCCCAACTCCCCCATCCTGTGCACCTCATCTCTAGCACTGAGCCCCAGCTCCTCTCTTAGCAAAGGAGAATAACTGCAGATACGCAAAAAGCACTTAGCCCATTGTTTCTGTTCACAGATCTTGAGAAAGGATGAGGAGAAAGTGAAGAGCTTGAGGGACATAATCCAACCGACAGGAACTAGGCCCTTTGAAGAAAAAAGAATTAAAGACACTGCTTTTCCCAGGCTCATGGAAAAAAAAGATTAAAAGCAGAATCTAATTGACCTTGCTTCAAATCTTTCCTCTGCACAGACAATGTAGCTTTGAATTTGTAACTTAATCCCTCTGGAGTTATGCATCTGTAAAATAATTTAAATTTCAGAAATTCAATAATAGAGCAATTGTGGAATCAAGAGACTTGCAATGCTCAGTTAAGCCAATTAAATGTGGCATAGTCCCAGGTTGCATTTCATTATTAAATAACAGTTGCAACCAAGCAATGTGCATTTATGTGGGGATTTTTTTTTTTTTTTTTTTTTTGAGACGGAGTCTCGCTCTGTCCCCCAGGCTGGAGTGCAGTGGTGCGGTCTCGGCTCACTGCAACCTCTGCCTCCCTGGTTCGTGCCATTCTCCTGCCTCAGCCTCCCAAGTAGCTGGGACTACAGGCACCCGCCACCACGCCTGGCTAATTTTTTGTATTTTTAGTAGAGACGGGGTTTCACCGTGTTAGCCAGGATGGTCTCAATCTCCTGACCTCATGATCCGCCCGCCTCAGCCTCCCAAAGTGCTGGGATTACAGGCGTGAGCCACCGCGCCCGGCCTATGTGGGGATATTTTACATAAATTATCTCATTTAATCCTCACAGTATTAATAAGCAGCATTACAAGATTAATACTATCAATATTTGCATTAATTTCATTAGTATTATTATATCCATTTTAAACATCAGAAAATGGAGGCTTAGAGAGATTCAATGACGACTATAGTTACTCAGTTAGTGGGTGACAGAGATAGAATTTTAAAGCAAATATTTATATACCATTCACTATGTCCTAGGGACTGTTCTATATATTTTATAAATATTAACTTGTTAACTTCCTAATACCTTATGAAGCACCTAATATTATTAATCCCATTTGCAGATGGGAAGACAAAGGCACTAAGAGTTTAAATAACTTGTCATAGTTACACAGTGAGTTAAGTGGCAGAGCTAGGATTTGAATCCAGACAATTCAGAACCAGAGTCCATGTTCTTTACCACTACACGTGCTGTGAGTCAAACCCAGGCCCCTTGGATGCTAAAGCTAAATCATTATAATATACTAAATCATTATAATATACTAAATCATTATAATATACTAAAACTAAAATATAATATACTAAAACTAAATCATATAATAAACTAAAACTAAAATATAAAATAAAAATATAATATACTAAAACATTATAATAAACTAAAACTAAAACATTACAATATACTAAAAAAATCATATTGAAAGGTGGGATTCATAATATGTCATTATTTGAAAAGCCATGCTTCTAAAATTCTTGACTTTGTTTAAAAACAAAAGATACCATTTTCTCATGATATATAGTAGCAAATTCCAGATCTGGAGAGATTTGTGACTATGAATGAAGGAAACACTTAAAAATAGTAATAATGATATAAGACATGATAAATAATTTAGCATAAAGGAAACACTACTTTGAAGCACTGTATTAGCGATATTGAACTACTGAATTATTTATATTACTGAATATTAATATTGTAATATTTCTTTCTATAAAATATCAGTAAATATCTGATCAGGATCCTCAAAGAGATAAAGGACAACGTGGTTTCCTTTAAACAGGAGTCAGCAGCTGTAGAAGAAAATGATCAAGATAAATAGAGAGATAGAAAAGAAAGTTTAAAATGTAAATGAAAAATTAGAATTGTCATTGGGCCAGTAAAAAGAAGCCATATAACTCCAGAACAAGAGAATTGAGTAGAAGTAATGGTTGTGATATTAGTGCAAAGATACATTAATGCAAAGATATGAGAAGTAATGGTTATGATATTAATGCAGAGATATATTCCTAACCTGGAGCTTTAGTGCAAAAGTACTCATTAAGTTCCAGGAAAAATTAACAAAAGTCACATCCAGGATGAAAGAAAAATATTGCAAGCTTATAGGAAAGGAAATTAAGATACTCATAAAGG
Organism: Homo sapiens; assembly: GCF_000001405.40. Lineage (NCBI taxonomy): Eukaryota > Metazoa > Chordata > Mammalia > Primates > Hominidae > Homo > Homo sapiens. The sequence continues at coordinate 110,516,983 of NC_000009.12, forward strand.
GGAAAATCAGATTGATATTTCATTTTTTCTTTGCAAAAACAAATGCCAGGAAAAAACTGAATAAGATACATAGCTTTGTGAAAAAAATTATGAACCCCAAGTTTTATTATGTGGGCAAGCTATTGGTAAGTAGGTGGGAAGAGAAAGACATTCGAGGATGTGCATAGCTTAGAAAACAAAGCCATTTTATTTTATGTCCAGGCATGGTGGCTCACGGCTGTAATTCTAGCACTTTGGGAGGCTGAGGCAGGAGGATTACCTGAGCCCAAGAGTTTCAATACCAGCCTGGGCAACATAGCTACACCCATCTCTTAAAAATATTTTTAAAATTAGGCTGGGCATGGGTGGCTCATGCCTATAATCCCAGCAATTTGGGAGGTCGAGGTGGGTGGATCACCTGAGGTCAGGAGTTCAAGACTGCCCTGGCCAACATGGTGAAACCCCATCTCTATTAAAAATACAAAAGTTAGCTGGACATGGTGGCAGTTGTCTGTAATCCCAGCTACTTGGGAGGCTGAGGCAGGAGAATCACTTGAACTCGGGAAGCGGAGGTTGCAGTGAGCCAAGATCACACCACTGAACTCCAGCCTGGGTGGCTGAGCAAGACGCTATCTCAAAAAAAAAAAAAAAAATGTAAAAAATTAGGTGAGCATGGTGGTGCTTGACTGTAGCCTCAGCTGCTTGGGAGGCTAAGGCGCTGCAATGAGCTACAATTGCACCACTGCAATCCAGCCTGGGGCCTGGATGATAGACCAAGAACCTGGCTCTTAAAAAAAAAAAAAAAAAAAAAAAAAGCCATACTTCATTTACTGAGAAAGAAATTAAAAAAAGATTTCAAGAACGAGAAAAAAAGGTACTTAATTAATAGTTTGAGATTAGAAAACCTGTGGAACATATAGTAAATTGCTAACTAAAATAATTGTGGAAATGAAAACAAATACTAAAGAAAGTCTAAGAAAGCAAAAGATTCTATTTGGCTTATAAATACATATTTAATATATGAGACTTGAAGAAAATTATCTTTATGGTTTTACAAGGTATGTATTCATGAGAGAATTATCAGGCTTTCAGGTTTGTTTATTTTTGCTGATCTACATTTTCTAGTTTTGTTACAATGAATAGGTATTATGTGGGCAAAACCAAAAGTAAATGAAGTTAGGCCCAGCACGGTGGCTCACATCTGTAATCCCAGCACTTTGGGAGGATAAGGCGGGCCGATCACCTGAGGTCAGAAGTTCGAGACTAGCCTGGCCAACATGGTGAAACCCCGTCTCTACTAAAAATACAAAAATTAGCCGGGTATGGTGGTGCACACCTGTAATCCAGCTATTTGGGAGGCAGAGACAGGAGAATCACTTGAACCTGGGAGACGGAGGTTGCAGTGAGCCATGATAGCGCCATTGCACTCCAGCCTGGGTGACAGAGGAAGACTCCATCTCAAAAAAAAAAAAAGTAAATGCAGTTATATATAAAAGAGAGTATTGTCTCAAATCATATATTTTGTTTGTTTGTTTGTAGACACCATCTTGCTCTTTAACCAGGCTGCGCTCAAACTCTCAAACCTCCCACCTCAGCCTCCCAAATAGCTAGGACAACAGGCACATACCACCATGCCCAGCTTCAAATCATAGATTTCATTTCATGGTTATCGGCTCTCTGACCTTGGAGACCACTATGATTTCTCATTCCTCCTCTATCTCCTTCAATATCTAAATAAAACTTATGTTCTTTGGTTCTTATTCCCTAAAAATCTTCTACGTTACTTTTATCTTAGATGCGACCTCATCATCTCTCTTCTGGTTTTTACAACATCCTCCTTACTAGTCCCTTGGCCTTACCTCTACCCTTCAATCCATTTGTGATGTTGCGACCTGAACAATTTTCAAAACTATAAATTCAGTCAAATCATTTTCCACCTAAAGCCTGTACCAACCAGATAAGCCCCTCTCTCTTTAGCCTGGAATATAAAGATATCTTTGATCTGTCTGTAACCTTCCCACCTCTGCAGCTGCAATGAACCAGCATATCATAAGCTGGTTAGAACCTGCTTCAAGATCAACTAGTGCCTAGTTTTGTACTGTCCCCTTCCCCTGACTCCCACCACATTTTTGGGGAGTTTGAGCAATTTACTTCATTTCTCTGTGACTTGGTTTCTTCGTGTGTAATAGTAGTAGTACTTTCCTTGTATATTTTTGTTGTTGTTGTTAGGATTAATTGAGGTCATGTGAGTAAAGCAACAATGCCTGGCATGTTGTTGGCATTTGGGAAATGTTAGAATAATGTCTCCAACCCTTCATTTTCTCAACCATAAAATAGATGATTATACTGCTTTTATAGATTTGTTGTGCCAGATAGATGCTCTGGCGCTTGGTAAATATTACCTTCCTTTCTTTCCCTTTCCTATCTTCCACTTCTGCATTTCTGCCTTCCTGCTTCTGAGTGAATCTCCAGCATCCTTCAAGACTCTAACTCATTCTTTAAAGGTTCTCTAACTTCTTCAGACAAATTTTGTTGCCTTCTCGCGGAACCCACAGAGTACACTACCCATTCCTCTGCACTGGCACACATCACACTCTTTGTAACACACAGGTTTCTCATTCCTTCAGTGGGAAGTGTGCTCCTGTATATTCAAAGAGTCTTCCAATTACCTGACCTGGCCATTGTCCAGCCAATTGCCTGAGCTGGCAGTCACTCAATCAAAGGAGGGCAAAAGAAAACAAGCCCTGATGGAGAGTGGAGGGTGGGTTTGGTGTGCAAGGAGAGTAGTAAAGTCAGGAAGACTAACAACAGAATGAAGTGAAGGGACAGTAGACTTGGAGTCAAGACAACTGAGTTGCAATCTTGGCTCTTCCACTAACAAGCTATGGGGTCACTGGCAAGTGACTTTTTTTTTCTTTCACTATAATATACAGAAGTTACAAGTAAGGATGTCTATGATCTTTCCAAGGCTAACATAAGATGATTCCATAAATAGAATAATACTAAAAAGCAACTTAAAGAAATCCTCCATATGAATGGTCAGATTCTGGCTACAGATTTTATAAATTATTTTTTAAAATAATGCTGCATGAAAAGGACCTAATCTTATAGTATTACTCTCCAAAATCTTTTAAATAATCAAGAGTTTAAAACACTGGCGAACAGAGTTTTGAATAAAAATACCCAAAAGTACATTTGGAAATGTATTGTGAAATTCATAATGATAATGAAAAACAGACTTTAGGAGAACTATTTAAAGGCATTGCACAATTCTAGTGGGAGAGGTGTAATCAACTTCCTTGATTCCCAAGGGGGAAAATTCCTCATCCCAAACCAAGCAAAAGTTGAAAAAAATGAAATAAATCTTTGGTTTGAACAAGTTTCACAAGTCTCCGTAAAGGGCTATGAATTGTTTTCCCTTTTTAATATGCGATGTTTCCTTCCTGGAAATGTACCAAATATTATTTCTTAATTGTTCTTTTGTTGTTGTTAAAATAAGCACTTTCTCTTTTCAGAAACATCTTGGCGGTTATCAGCTACTATTACTGGAAGTGTGAATTCTTGAGGTTATCACGTTGTACTAACATTAGATTTTTCTTCAGCTGACCATGCAATTCTTTGACTGAAGTAAATAAAAACACCAACCAGTTTGGAATTTGTAAAACACAAAGAAATCTCTACTCTTTCTAATATATCTTACCCGTTAAATATCAATTCCTTAGATGACTATTTTACTATTAATAACATATATTAGACAGTGACTTACATTTTACAAAATTTCTCCTCATACATGTCTTAGATTAACTTCTAAAAATCCTGATAAATATTAGGAGCCTTTATTTCCTTGCACAATTCATCTTTAAAAGTTAACAAATCACTTTAAAGAGTTTTAGGGCAGTTGCATGAGCTGCATTTAGGCTGTGCACTCCACAACTTCAAGGGTGCCTGTTTATGTGAATAATAATGGCATCCCCTGGAGTTGTACAACACCAAGCCTCTACTTTCTGCTATAAATAGGTAAGAAACCAAGCAAAATCTGGGCCCGCATTCTCTTTTCGACTTTATGGATTTGATCTGAATGAGGAATCTGTTCCTACAAAGAGTTGTGCTAAGATTTTGAACATAGGAATACACTGCTCTAGAACAGAACGTGTTTTCTCCATGTTGAACCAATGTTTTCAAAAATAAGACAAGGACCCAGGTGTGCATATAGGGACTTTCTTTTTATGAGGCAGCCAAGATCCTTTCTATTTTCCTCAATGAATTAGACAAGGAGACTTTCAATTGCCCTGAATTCTATACATCTGTACCTCTGTAGAATGCATTAGCAGCCTGTCGTTCTCCCTGTGACTGGTGGTAGCTCATTTGGCCAGAGTACAGACTATTTGGACAAAGTTGTGAATCTGAACCCTGATGTGGTGCCATGGCAGGAAATGGCACCCTAACTACAGGATGCCATATTGCAAATGTAAGCACACGCTCAGACTTGCCAGGAGATTAGTGATGGATCAGGACAAGTCTATCAAAAAACAAAAACCTCAAAGGACTGTGTACAAAAGAGGTTGCATCAGCAAAGTAATTTTTATATGTTGGGGATCAATATATGTGTATGCACACATACACACTCAAAAATACACACATATATTCACACATCAATACAACCAGCTGTGTAGAGAACATTTAAATGAATCCTTTGTTGTTGAAAGCTCTGTATTCTTTATTGTCTTAAAGTGTTTACCATCTGGATGAGAAAGGTGACATCATCCTGATTTTTATAATTAAAATTTCATTGGCAAGTACTTTTAGGAGAGGCCCTCTGGAGATTTTTTAGAATTATCTTTAACGTTATTTTTCTTTTCTAAAATAGCTAATAACTCAGAATCATGTAAGAAAGAGAAAAAAATTGCTAAACAATTTTGGTTTAACTACTCTTTTAATGTTTGACACTTAGGTTGATTCTAATTTTTTACAAACTTGAACAGCTTTTCTCTAAACATTTTTTTCCCTTAAATATTTGATCCATTTTTTAAAAATTTTCTTAGGCAAAGGAATATTAAATTTTTAAACTCACGAGTCTCTTGTTAAACTACTTTATATTCCCATTATCAAGACTGAAAGTACATGACTTATTGTACTCTTCATTTTCACTGGGTATTAGCAGTTTTAAAAATTACCAATGGATAATTATTTAAATATGAAGGTCTGTGAACTTCAGTTGCAACAGGGTTTCAACTTGAACCTAGATTAGATCCATCCCTGGGATTCAGACTTGTGTAGGCCCAACAGAAGTTGATTTGTGTGAAGAATTTGAGAGCCTTCTGGGAGAAAACTCCATCCATGGTGGGGATAACATTAAAAAAATTACAATTTAGAATGGCATGATTGTTGATCACTTAGATCAGACATCCACTGTAGCAGCAAAGCAAGGTTCTGCATACCAACTTATCTGCCAGATGTTAACCTTTATAGATGCTGGATTGTGGGATAGGCCAGTGGGCCAGCAAAGGGGGTCAGATCAGCAAAGAGGCACTCAAGGCACTTGAACAATAGCAATTTACCACCCAGCACATAAGTATTTCAGGATTTTAACAGCTTTTACAACTGTATTGTTGCATACTTGCTGAATGTCCGCCTGTCCTAAAGAAAGAGAGAATCGGCATATGTCAGCCCTAATGACCCTTGATTTTAGCAGCTAGGAAGGAGGAAAGATTCTGAGTGTAGTTTGGTGTTTATTGTCAAATGTGTTTCCCTTTGGGTCCTATAAAGAGTGGTAACTTATGAGTAACATTCAGGCTGTAGTTGGCTTTGATATTTTTCTTTCTTCACTCCTCTACCTCACATTCAATAAGAAATTAGTCTGTAGTCGTTTGGAAATACGGATTATATCAGTTGTTATCCATTTCCATTATTGGTACACTAATTTAAAAGCCTTTTTATTTTAGGCCTTGATTGTCTCTAACCTCCATACATAGGTTGCCTTTTCTACTTTGCTTCACACTCAGTGACTTTTAGCCACAGGTGCCAAATTAAATTCCTATTGTTATACTGCTTTTATCATGCCACTTTTCTGCCCCAAGATCTTCAATCGCTCACTATTGCCAGTTTACCAAAGGCCATGTCTTCAGCCTGAAATTCAAGTCCCAGTACAATTTAGAATATAGTCCTTACTCTTACTTGTCTTGCCTTGAATCCCACTATATCCATAGATTTTTCCTACCTTCCCACCCATGCAAGCTACCTCCAGTCCCCATCACAGGCTTATACTTTTCATTCTCTGCAAGTCGTCTTCATTTCTAACTGTCCAAATCCTATCATTCAAACCAAGTTGAAATCCTGTCACCCCCACAACTAATGGGAAACATTTTTGAATGCCAATAGCATTTTGTATATGTTTGATGTCATATTACTTTTATTTTCATTCAATCATAAAATTCTAAAAAACATTCAATTTACCCACAGGAAGACAGAAAAAAATAAACAGAGAAATAAAAATCAGAGAGAATAAACAGAAAACAAAAAATTAACTGGCAGACTTAAGCCCTACCATATCAATAATTACATCAAATATAAGTAGTCTAACTATACCAATTAAGTGATAGGGATTAAAAACATGATCCAGCTACAGGCTGTCTACAAGAAATCACTTAAACATAATATAGGCAAGTTCAAAGTAAAATTATAGAAAAAGATACATTGTGCAAACATTAATGAAAGGAAAGAAGGAATGTATGTTATATCAGATGAAGCAAGTTGAAGGGGAAATTTATAGTGCTAAATGCGTGCATTAGAAAAGAAGTCTCAAATCGATAATCTAAGTTCCCACCTGAAGAAGCTTGAAAAAGAAGAGCAAAATAAACCCAAATTAGAGGGAAGGAAATAGTAAATATAAGAGCAGAAATCAATAAAATTAAAAACAGAAAAAAAAGAAAATATAGAATAAAGATTTTGAAAAGATAATAAAATGATTTAGGAAGACTAATACAGAGAAAAAGAGAGAAGGCACAAATTACCAATATCAGGTAAGCAGACTCCATGGACATGGAAAAGATACTATATACTATGCACAGCTCTACTTACATATCTGACAACTCAAATGAAACAGACCAATTCATCAAAAATTATAAACTATGATAATTCATACAGTATTAAAAATAATTTGAATAGCCCTATGGTTAAGAAAATTGAATTCATAATTTTAAAATGTCCAAAAAATATCCAGGTCCAAATGATTTCAGTGGAGAATTCTGCCAAACATTTGCCAAATATCTACCAAAAAAAATAAGCACCACTTCTACATAATTTCTTCCAAAAAACAGAAGAGAAGGGAACATGCCCAAATTCATTTTATCAAGCTAGTGTTACCCTGATACCTAAGTGAGATGCAGAGTATAAATAAACAAAAAACTGCAGAACAACATCTTAGAAATATAGACACAAAAAAATCTTAACAAAATGTTAGCAAATGGAATTCAGCAATATGTAAAAAGAATTATACATCATGATTAAGTCAGGTTTATTGTAGGGAGGCAAGGCTGGTTCAATATTTGGAAATCAATCAATGTAATCATGTTAACAATATTAACAGGCTAAAGAAGAAAATGCACAAGGTCACGTCAATTGATGAAGAAAAATATCTGCAAACAAAATTGTCACCAATTTATGATGAAAACTCTCAGAAAAGTAGTAACAGAAGAGAATTTACTCAACTCAATGAAGAGAAACCTCAAAATCATACAAATGTTATTATTATTATTACTTTTTTTTTTTTTAAGCAGGGTCTCACTCTGTCACCCATGCTGGAGTGCAGTGGCACAATCACAGCTCACTGCAACCTTAACCTCTCAGGCTCAAGTGACCCTCTTACCTTCGCTGCCCATGTAGCTGGGACTACCTGTGTGCACCACCATGCTTGACTAATTTTTGTACTTTTTGTAGAGATGGGGTTTTACCATGTTGCTCAGCCTGGTCTCAAACTCCTGGACTCTGGCAATCTGCCTGCCTCAGCTTCCCGAAGTGCTGGGACTTCAGGTGTGAGCCACAAATAATATTATTCTTAATAATGAAAGTCCAAATGTTTTCCCCTTATGATTGGAAATAAAGCAATTCTTTTTTAAAACAGTAGTGGAACTTCTAACCAGAACAGTAAGGGAAGAAAATGAAATAAAACGTATTCGGATTAGAAAGGAAGAAATACAACTAAACCTATTTATAAGTGATGTGATTCTCCTTATAAGAAATTTCAAGTACTCTACCAAAAGCAAAAAACCAAAACACTCCTAGAACAGGTAAGTTAAGCAAAGTTGCAGGACACAATGGAAACAAACACAAATCAATTGTTTCTATGTACTAGCAGTGAACATGTGGACAATGAAATTAAAAATATGTTTACAATTATTTACTATTGCTCAAAAATAATAAAGCAAGCATGTACAAAACTTATATACTATACAATGCTGAAAAGGAAATCAAATATCTAAATTAATATATCATGTTTGTGGATTGGAAAGTTCAACATGGTAAAAATGTTAATTCTTCCATCATTAATATGCAGATATAATACAACTCCGAGGAAAATCCCAAGAAGATTTTTTTAAATGTAGACAATATTCTAAAATTTGTATGGGAAGGCAAAGAAATTAAAATTAGCTAAGACAATTATAAAGAAGAATACAGTAGAAGGAATTAGTCTACTTGCTTTCAAGACTTATTATACAGCTATAATAATCAAGACTATGCAGTATTGATAGATCAACAGAACAGAAGAGCAATCCAGAAACAGAGCTACACTAATGTGCCTGGCTGATTTTTTTTTTTTACTTTTTTAAAAAAATTATACTTTAAGTTCTGGGATACATGTGCAGAATGTGCAGGTTTGTTACATAGGTATACGTGTACCATGGTGGCTTGCTGCACCCATCAACCTGTCATCTACACCTGGCTGATTTTTAACCAAAGTGCAAAAACAATTTAACAGAGGAAAGATAGCCTTTTCAAGAAATGGTTTTGAAACAATCAGACATCCGTAAGTACAATAATTAACCTTGACCTAAATCTCAAACCTTATACAAAAATTAAGTAAAAATATCATGGATTTAAGTATAAAATATAAAACTATAACACTTTTCGAAACATAGGAGAAAATCTTCAGGAACCAGTATTAGCCAAAGAGTTCTTAGACTTGACACCAAAAGCAGAATTCATAGAAATAAAATTGATAACTGGACTTTGAACTTAAAAATTTTTGCACTGTAAAAGCCTCTCATAGAAGAACTAAAAAGTCAACCCACAGAATGGAAGAAAATATTTTCAACCTACATATCTGACATAGGACTAGTATGTAGACTATATAAAGAACTCTCATAACTTAAAAGTAGAAAAACAAAAACAACAATTAGACAATGAACAAAAGACATGAAGAGACAGTTCACTGAAGAAAAGATATAGATGGCAAATAAACATATGAAAAGATGTTTAACATCATTAGTCACTGGGGACATGCAAATTAAACCAAAATGTGTCATCACAACACACCTATCAGAATAGCTAAAATGAAAAATAGTGACGACACCAAGTGCTATCAAGGAGGCAGAGAAACTGGATCACTCATACATTTCTGATGGAAATGTAAAGTAGTTCAGCCACTCTGGAAAACATTTTGGCAAGTTCTTAAACAAAAATATGCAACTACTGTGCAATCCCACAATTACATTCCTGGGCATTTAGCCTAGTGAATTAAAAACTTATGTTCACATTAAAACCTATACACAAATGTGTATAGCAGCTTTATTCATAAAAGCCAAAACCTGGAAACAATCCAGATGTCCTTCAACAGGCAAACAGTTAAACTGTGGTACATTTATACTATGAAATACTACTCAGCAATAAAAAGAAATGAATTATTGGTACACACAACCATCTGGAAAAATCTCTAGAGAATTATGCCATGTGAAAAAAGCCAGGCTCAATATGTCACATTCTGCATGGCTCCATTTATATAACATTTGTGAAATGACAAAATTATAGAAATAGAGAATACATTAGTGGTTACAATAGGTTAAAGGTGGAGGCGGTGGCTATGGGTTGGTGGGAAGTGACTGTGGCTCTAAAAGAGCAACAAAAGGATTATTGTGGTGGTAGAAATGTTCTGTATTGAAACCATATCGATGTCAATATCCTGTTTGAGATACTGTACTATAATATCTCAAGATGTTACCATTGGGGAAAATGATATAGAGGATATCCTTTAAAGTGGGAAAGGATATAGAGGATCTCTGTATATTACTTCTTAAAATTGCATGTGACTCTATAATTATTTCAAAAGAAAAAATGTAATAAAAATTTTTTTTTAAAAGCAGAAAACAGGGAAGGAAAATTTCAAGTTATATCCAGAAATATTCAAAGCAGAGAAACTGCATTTTTTAAAGGATTTTTATTTTTTCTTTAATGATCGATTCCTAAAAATTAATGAGGTGAATAGTATGTTTAATATTTTGATAAAAATGTAAAAATTGTGCTCCATAAAGGATTCACTAACTTATACTTCCATCATCATTGTATGAAACTTCCTATTTACCTACATCCTTAATTAGAGGAAAGTATCAATTAATGTTTGCCAATACTATGGCTCAGAAATATTTTCATTTTAATTTGTATTTGTCCATTATTAGTGAGATTGTGCATATTTACTTATGTTTATTGCCTATTTGTAATTTTCTTAAGTGAATTTCATAAAATTTTTTTTCAATAGCTTTAGGGGTGCAAGTGGTTTATGTTCCATGGATGAATTGTATAGTGATAAAGTCTAGGGTTTTAATGTACGCATCACTCAAATGGTATATATCATACACAATTATAAAAAACTACTAGGTAGGTTTTTTTATCCCTCACTCCCCTCCCACTCTCCCCACTTCTGAGTCTCCAATGTCCATTATACCATACTGTATGCTTTGGCATACCCACAGCTTAGCTCCCGCTTATAAGTGAGAACATGCAGTATTTGGTTTTCCATTCCTGAGTTACTTCACTTAGGATAATGGTCTCCAGCTCCATCAAAGTTGCTGCAAAAGACATTATTTCATTCATTTTATGGCTGAATAGTATTCCATGGTGTATGTATATATATATATACACACACACATACACACATATACATATATACATACATACACACGTGTGTGTGTGTGTGTGTGTGTGTGTATATATATATATATATATATATATATATATGCCACATTTTCTTTAGCCACTCATCAATTGATGGGCACTTAGGTTGATTCTGTATCTTTGCAATTGTGAATTGTGCTATGATAAACACACATGTTTATCTTCTTTATGTAATGGCTTTTCCTTTGTGTAGATACCCAGTAGTGGGATTGCTGGAATGAATGGCAGATCCACTTTTAGCTTTTTGATAAATCTCCATACTGTTTTCCATAGAGGTTTTACTACTTTACATTTCCAATAGCAGTATATAAGTGTTCCTTTTCACCATATCCGTGCCAACATATTTTATGTTTTGACTTTTTAATCATGGCCATTCTGGCTGGAGTAAACTGGTGTCTCATTGTGGTTTTAATCTGTATTTCCTTGATAATTAGTGATTTTGAGCATTTTTCATATGTTTGTTGGCCATTTATATATCTTCCTTGAGAAATGTCTAAGTTGATTGTCTACTTTTTAATGAGATTATTTATTTGTTTGTTTTCCTTGCTGATTTGTTTGAGTTCCTTGTGCATTCTGGATATTAGTCCTTTGTCAGGTCCATAGTTTGCAAATATTTTCTCCCATTCTGTAGGTTGTTTACTGTTGATTATTATTATTATTATGGCTATGCAGAAGCTTTAAAAATCAATTTATTAAAATAAATATATTTTAAATTAAAATTTAAATTACATTTATTAATTTTAAAACTGAATTTTAATTTTTAATTTATTAATTTTCATTTTTGTTGCATTTGCTTTTGGAGTCTTAGTCACAAATTCTTTGCCTAGGTCAATGTCCAGGACAGTTTTTCCTAGGTTTAGTTGTAGAATTTTCAGGGTTTTAGATCTTAGATTTAAGTCTTTCATCCATTTTGAGTTAATTTTTTTATACGGTGAGAGACAGGTATCCAGTTTCATTCTTCTACATGTGGCTATCCAATTTTCCCAGCACCAGCTATTGAATAGGGTGTCCTTTCCCCAGTGTGTATATTTTTGTCTGCTTTGCTGAACATCAGTTGGTTGTATTTAGCTTTATTCCTGTGTTCTCTATTCTGTTACATTGGTCTATATGTCTACTTTTACATCAGTACCATGCTGTTTTGGTTACTATAGCTTTGTAGTATAATTTGAAGTTGAGTAATGTGATGCCTCTATATTTGTTCTTTTTGCTTTGGCTCTTTGGGATCTTATTTGGCTCCATATGAATTTTAAGATTCTTTTTTTGTTCTGTGAAAAATGACATTGTTATTTTGATAGGAATTGCATTGAATCTGTACATTACATTGAGCAATATGGTCATTTTCCTTATATTGATTCTTCCAATTAATAAGCATCGGATGTTCTTCCATTTGTTTGTGTCATCTATGGTTTCTTTTATCAGTGTTTTGTAGTTCTCCTTGTAGAGATGGTTCACCTCCTTGGTTACGTATATTCCTAGGAAGTTTGTTTTTTTTTTGTTACTATTGTAAAAGAGATTGAGTTATTTATTTGATTTTCAGCTTGATTGTTGGTGGTGGTGTATAGCAGTGCTATTGATTTGTGTATATTGATTTTTGTAATCTGAGACTTTACTAAATTCATTGATCAAATCTAGGATTCTTTTGGAGGAGTCTTTAGAGTCTTTTAGGTATAAAATCATATCGTCAGCAGAGTTAGTTTGACTTTCACTTTTTCAGTTTGGATGCTCTTTAGTTCTTCTTTCTGATGGTTCTGGCGAGGACTTCCAGTACTATGCTGAATAAAGTGTTGAAAGTGAGCATCTTTGTCCTGCTCCAGTTCTTAAGGGGAAGGTTTTAAACTTTTTCCCACTTAGTATGTTGGCTGTAGGTTTATCACATATGGCTTTTATATTTTGTGTTATGTTCCTTTTATGCCTTGTTTGCTGAGGGTTATTATTATAAAGAGATGCTGGATTTTTATCAAATGCTTTTTCTCCATCTATTGAGATGATCACGTGGTTTTTGTATTTAGTTTTGTGTATGTACTGAATCATATTTATTGAATTATGTATGTTGAACCATCCCTGCATCCCTGGGATGAAACCCAGTTGATTAAAGTGAATTGTCTTTTTGATGCGCAGTTGGATTTGATTTGCTGGTATTTTGGTAAAGATTTTTGCATCTATGTTCATCAGAGATATTGGTCTGTAAGAAACTACATTTTGGAAATTGGTATATCCTGGTCACTACAGAGACATGCTTGGTTGGACGTTAGGGACATGTCTTCATGACTACCCATTGCTTTACGGACACTTTGATACATGGAATAGAATATGATGAAAAGTATACATAAGTATTATAATAACTGGAAAGGGCAATTCCTCCTGCATAAATTCATAAATTGGTATTCTTATTCATACATCAGTTTTTTGTTTTTGTTTCTATTTTGTTTTGAGACAGGGTCTTGCTCTGTTGCTCAGGTTGGAGTGCAGTGATATGGTCTTGGCTGGCTACAACCTCCACCTCCTGGGTTCAAGTGATTCTCCTGCCTCAGCCACCCATTTAGCTGGGACCACAGATGCACACCACAGTGACCAGCTAATTTTTGTATTTTTTGTAGAGACGGGGTCTCACCATGTTGCCCAGGCTGGTCTCAAACTCCTAGGCTCAAGCAATTCTCACACCTCAGCCTCCCAAACAGCTGAGATTACAGGTGTGAGCCACCGTGCCCAGTCTTTATTCATATATCAGGATCAGTAAAATTGTACAGCTTTTTACAGCTTCTCATGATGGTCACACAATTTTCTTTCAAATTATTCTTAGAAAATGTATTTTTTTCTTGTTAGTATAAATGGAACTTTATCACATTTTAAAAAGTGTAATGTTTCTCCATAACAAATTTTATTGATTTTAAACTATCTTGCCACCTTGCACATCTATTCTATTAATATTAGCATTTTTCAGTTGATTCCTTTGGATTTTCCAAGTGAATGATAATATGGCATGCAAATAATAAAGCAACTTTGTTTTGAATATTAAATTGTAGAATAGAGTACCCTTGCTTTATTGACATTTATGATTTTGTCTTAAATATTTCATATATAGTGATTTGATTTTTTTATAACTTGTTCTATAGCTCATGATTTACTTTCATTTAACTGCTTCCATATTTTGACATTTGTAAACCTCAAGTTTTATTGGAAAATATTATGCCATTAGTATGGTTTGGCTGTGTTCCCACCCAAATCTCATCTTGAACTGTAGTTCCCATAGTCCCCACATGTCATGGGAAGGACCCAGAGGAAGGTAATTTAATCCTGGGGGCAGTTACCCTCATGCTGTTCTCGTGACAGTGAGTGAGTTCTCATGAGATCTGATGGTTTTATAAGAGGATTTCCCTGCATTTGCTCAGCACTTCTCCTTGCTGCCACTACATGAAGGATATGTTTACTTCCCCTTCTGCCATGATTGTAAGTTTCCTGAGGCCTCCCCAGCCCTGCAGAACTGTGAGTCAATTAAACCTCTTTCCATTGTAAATTACCCAGTCTCAGGTATATCATCATTAGAAGTGTGAGAACAGACTAATACAGCCACCTATGGTAGAAATAGTTTGATTAATGGATTTGTTAAATAGCTCGTTTAGTAAAAATCCACAGTACCCTGAATGCTATGTCTTGCACTGTTGCATGAATTAAAACACTACCCCAAACCATCAATATATGCAAATAGCTTTAGACACACACATGTGCACTACTGTGGTTTTAGGAATAAATTTGGAAACAATCTTAGTAACCACATAACATAAAAGAGATAAATGTGTGATTAGCCACTTCCTATTGTTGAACTCAGCCTTCCAGATGGCTTATTTTGATACTAAGCCAGTGCTTCCCAGGGTCAGTAGACTTGTTCACCTTCACTTCTCCAAAAAAGGAATGGAAAATTCCCAGGAAGTTGGGAACCAAGCAGAGTTCCCATATGCTGTGTTCTAGTATCTAAACATGCATCTCACTTTATTTATTTACTCCTTCATTCATTCACCAAAAATTTATTAATGCTTACTCCAAGTCCATATGTTTTTTAGGAGAGGCTATAAAAAAATAAAGGAGGCATAATCTTGCCCCAGAGGAATTCATAGAATATTAGAGAAAAGAAAACCTACCAAACATTATAATACCATATGGTAAGTGTGAACAGAGAGAAGATATTTATGACCCTCAAATTTCAGGTCTAGCTGTGTCAGAGCTATAAATCTAAGGGAGAAGGGATGAGAGGAAAGGTGTCATAGAAGTTAGTTTGCTGTAAATCGAGAAGGACTAGTAAGAAATGAACGGACACACAAGGCATGAGGGTATTCTAGGCAAAGGGAACAAAACTGCACAAGTGGATTCATGAAAAGGCTTGAAGTGACTGAGGAGTCACTAGCAGCTTGGGGTATCTGGAGCATAAGATGCTGCAATGATCATACCCAAGAGATCATTCAACCCTAGTAGAATCACAGAATTTGATATTTCTTCTAAAAGTTTTTAAAAAGAATTACAGTAGTGTTTTTTGAATCATTTTAATGCACTAATCCAATCTGTTAATATGGAACAGGGTTTCTTAACGTCAATATTATTGATGTTTGTAGCCTCTCAGGGGCTGTCTGGGGCACTGTGGGATGTCTAGCAGCATCCCTGACTGCTATCTGCTAGGTAATAGTAGCTCTTTCCAGCTATGACAACCAAAGTTTCCTCCAGAAACTTTGCCGAATGTCCCCTGGGGAGGGGGCAAAATTGCTTCCTGTAGAGCAACAATCCCCAACATTTTTGGTACCAGGGACTGGTTTCATGGAAGATAATTTTTCCACTGACTAGGGTACGGGATGGTTTCAGGATGAAACTGTTCCACTTCAGATCATTTGGCATTAGATTCTCATAAGCAGCATGCAAACTAGATGCCTCACATGTGCAGTTCACAATAGGGTTCACTCTCCTATGAGAATCTAATGCTGCCGCTGATCTGACAGGAGGCAGAGCTCAGGCGGTAAGGCTTGCTCACCTGCCGCTCACCTCCTGCTATGCAGCCCTGTTCCTAACAGGCCACAGATCAGTACCGGTCCATGGCCCAGAGGTTGGGAACTCCTGCTGTAGAGAACTACCACTGATGGAGCACAGTAATTTATGCCAATCAGCACTTACTACATGCCTGGCCCTTTAGCAAGCTTTTATTCACATCTTATTTAATGTTTCTCACGAGCCTACTATTATTAACCACATTTCATAGACTAGGAAACTCATGTCATAGAGATGAAAAACTGCCCAGAAAAACACAGTAGGTGACAGAATCAGGATTCATCCCACTAACTGGTATCAATAACTATACATGATATGAGCACACAGTTGCATAATGACTGAATCATTCACAAACCACATGTAAGGGAACTGAGCATCCTTGAATTTTACTATCCTCAAACCAATCTATTGTGGATACCCGGGGTTACTATCTCTGTGTGTCTGTGTGTGTGTGTGCACGCACACGTGTGTGTGTATTTTGGCATCCCCAGCACTTAGCACACTATAAGGCACACCATGTTTTCAACGAGTTTGGAATGATGGGCAATTTGAACAAGCATAGCCCGATTTCCTCTAGCTTGGGCTATCATTTTCAAATTGCTAACATTGGCCATCATCTAAACTTGGCTAATCATGTAACATTTAGTGAACAATAACCCCATGCAGGCCCTGTGGAACCAAACACTGGGAATACTAAGCTACAATTTAGAAGCAACTGTTTATTGAAAATATAACCTGGAAATAGCAGCAAAATATTTCTGGATCATTTCTTTGATGGATAATGACTGAGCAATGAGTGCTATGGATGAATTGCAAGTAACAGCATGAACTCTAGGGTCAGAGATCTGGGTCTGCAGGCTAAGTCCACCACTTTTTTAAACTTTTACTTTAGATTCAGGGGTACATGTGCAGGTTTGTTATATAGGTAAACTCACATCATGGGGGTTTATTATACAGGTTATTTCATCACCCAGGTACTGAGCCTAGTACCCAATAGTTATTTTTTCTGATCCTCTCATTCCCCATACCCTCCACCCTCAAGTAGGCCCCAGTTTCTATTGTTTCCTTCTTTGTCTTCATGACGTCTCATCATTTAGCTCCCACTTACAAGTAAGAACATGTGGTGTTTGGTTTTCTGTTCCTGTGTTAGTTTGCTCAGGATAATGGCTTCCAACTCCATCTATGTTCCTGCAAAGGACATGATCTCATTCCTTTTCATGGCTGCATAGTATTCCATGGTGTACATGCACCACATTTTCTTTATCCAATGTCATTGATGGGCATTTATGTTAACTCCACGTTGTTGTTATTATGAATAGCGCTGCAATAAACATTTGCATGCATGTGTCTTTATGGTAGACTGATTTATATTCCGTTGGGTATGTGCCCAGTAACAGGATTGCTGGGTCCAGTGGTAGTTCTATTTTTAGCTCTTTGAGGAATCATCACACTGCTTTCCACAATGGTTGAACTAATTTACATTTCCACCCACAGTGTGTAAGTGTTCCCTTTTCTCAGCAATCTCATCAGTATCTGTTGTTTTTGACATTTTAATAATATCTATTCTGACTAGTATGAGGTAGTATCTCACTGTGGTTTGATTTGCATTTCTCTAATGATCAGTGGTATTGAGCATTTTTTCATATGCTCATTGGGTGCGTGTATGCCTTTGAAAACGGTCTGTTCATGTCCTTTGCCCATGTTTTAATGGGGTTGCTTTTTTTCTTGTAAATTTGTTTAAGTTCCTTATAGGTGCTGGATATTAGGCCTTTGTCAGATGCAGCATTTGCAAATATTTTCTCTCATTCTGTAGGCTGTCTGTTTAGTCTGTTGATAGTTTCCTTTGCTGTGTAGAAGCTCTTAAGTTTTACTAGATTCCATTTGACAGTTTTTGCTTTTGTTGAAATTGCTTTTGGTGTCTTGTCATAAAACCTTTGCCCATTCCTATGTCCAGAATGGTATTGTCTAGGTTGTCTTCCAGGGTTTTTATAGTTTTGGGTTTTACATTTAAGTCTTTAATCCTTCTTGAGTTGATTTTTTATATGGTATAAGAAAGGGATTCTGTTTCAATCTTCTGCATATGGCTAGCCAGTTATCCCAGCACAATTTATTGAAAAAGGAGTCCTTTCCCCATATCTTGTTTTTGTCCATTTTGTCAAAGATCAGATGGTTGTAGGTGTGTGACCTTATTTCTGGGCTGTCTATTCTGTTCCATTGGTCTATGTGTCTGTTTTTGTACCAGTACCATGCTATTTTGGTTACTGTAGGCCCATAGTATAGTTTGAAGTTGAGTAACATGATGCGTCCACCTTTTTTCTTTTTTCTTAGGATTGTCTTGGCTATTCTGGGTCTTTTTTGGTTTGAACTTAAAATTGTATTTTCTAGTTCTGTCATGAATGTTATTGGTAGTTTGATAGGAATAGCATTGAATCTGTAAATTGCTTTGGGAGGTATGGCCATAGTAATACTGATTCTTCCTACCCATGAGCATGGAAGGTTTTCCCATTTGTTTGTGTCATCTCTGATTTCTTTGAGCAGTGTGTTGTCATTCTCATTGTAGAGATCTTTCACCTCCCTGGTTAGCTGTATTCCTAGGTATTTTATTCTTTTTGTGGCAATTGTGAATGAAATTACATTCCTGGTTTTTTTGTACATTGATTTTATATTCTGAAACTTTGCTGGAGTTGTTTATCAGCTGAATGAGTTTTTGGACAGCGACTATAGGGTTTTCTAGATATGGAATCATGTCTTCTGCAAATTGAGATAGTTTGACTTCCTCTCTTCCTATTTGAATGTCCTTTATTTCTTTCTGTTGCCTGAATGCCCTGGCCAGGACTTCCAATACTATGTTTAATAGGAGTGGTGAGAGAAAGCATCCTTGTCTTAAGCCAGTTTTCAAGTATTGTCCTCATTCAGTATGATGCTGGCTGTGGATCTGTCACAGATGGCTCTTATTAGTTTGAGGTATGCTTCTTCAATATCAAGTTTATTAAGAGTTTTTAACATAAAGGAATGTTGAATTTCATCAAAAGCCATTTCTGCATCTATTGAGATAATCATGTGGTTTTTGTCTTTAATTCTGCTTATGTGATGCGTCACATTTATTGATTTGCTTATGTTGAACCAACCTTGCATCCCAGGGATGAAGCCTACTTGGTCACAGTGAACTCTACCTCTTTATAGTTGAATGACATTAGAAAAACTACTTAAATTATTCAAAACTGTTTCCTCTTCTGCAAATGAGAAATGTATGTAAGGCAAAGACTTTGCAAGTGGCATGTGAATGTCACATGCATCATTTTAAAAGAACCAATTTCCAGAACCTCAACATACATATATAACTAAATTAGTATGCTGGAGAAAGTGTCTATGGCACCTTTTCACAATTGCATTTCATTTTTCAAAAGAAATGTGAACTTCTCACCCCTTCAAATTTTACTAGGGTACATTGCCCCGAGGTGAAAAATCTTTAGCATGATTCAAAATCTTGACATTTGGAAACCCTTCTTTAATCAAGAAATAATAAGCAGGGTCTTTAAGAAGCTTTTCTTTTTTTTATTATACTTTAAGTTCTAGGGTACATGTGCATAACGTGTAGGTTTGTTACATATGTATACATGTGCCATGTTGGTGTGCTGCACCCATTAACTCGTCATTTACATTAGGTATCCTCCTTAACTCATTTTATAAGAAGTTTTTCTTAACTACAGGCACTGTTTTACAGCATATCTCCAGAACTTATTCATCTTGCATAACTAAAACTAACAGATAGTCATTTAACAGTCCTAGTAAAGTCTTTTTGGAGGGCATCCCAGAAATTGAGAAAGTGAATGATTGCGATGATTGTGTAACAACTCCTTTTGTACGTCAAAATGTTTCAAATTCTTCAATTTCAATAAAGATGTAAAGGACCTAAGGGACTTGTAAGCTAATAACTCATTTACGATACTTTTTTGATGATAGATAACCGATGTTATTTTTGGCATGCAACTCAGGAGGAACTCCAAGAATTGAGTGACATCAATTTAACACAACTTATTCAAGTCCCATGTACATATTTATATGAAGAAGGTTTTCAGCACTAAAATCCATAAAAGTGAAAAAAGGAAATAAAATTGATGTTGTATGCTCTCTTAACCTAACAATGAATAATAAAAATCCATGGATACATGAACTAATTAACAATGCATCTTATTAAGAAGTGAATTTTCAATAGTATTTTTATGTGTGAGAAAGTATCAAAATGTATAACATGCATGACAAATTATATACAAACAGCAATTGTGATAATAACTCAGTCTAGTAGCACCTTTGGTCACAGAACATTTAAAAATTAATTTCAATTTTTATCCACAATTTTTGTAGTGGAGAAGTACAATTCTGTGATCAACAGAAGGCTTTGGAAAAAAATATGTTACATTAGAATAGAATTATGTAGTGGAAGTAGAATAGAAGAGGACTAAGAAAATAAGAAGCCAGCAAAATTTCTGTAATGAAAAGGGTGCTTGTTAACAAATGGATACTCAAAACATTTGCTATAATATTTAGATTTTAGTAGGTATATTTGAAACTGATACAATAATTTTATTTTAAAATGTCAATACAGTATTATGAATTACCATCTTTTAAAGTCCTGCCAAAAAAATTTAGATGGCCATTTAAAAATCAACGAGGGATTTGTAAATTTTCCATTTTTTTTTTTAGGGGTTACATGAGCAAGTGTTTGAAGATCATGATTCAGTTAGTAGATGTTAAATGTTTTCCCTTTGTTCACGTATCATTTTTATTGGAGAGAGTCTCTTATAATGGGGCTAGGGAAAGGAAGAAGAGAAAGATAAGATCTTATAACAATAAGCAGATATTGATCACAATCCTTATCTTGAGAATTCTTGGCAACTGTATATATTTTTTGAGTATTTCTAAGGAACACAACACACTGACTTTGGGGGTTTGTGATGCTTCACACCAATAGTCTAATTTTATGTGTGTTACAATCATGATAGACTGGAAAATGCACTATCAGGGCTGAATACCTACCTCATTCAATAGAAATGGAACAAACTAGCCTGATTTAGGCAACAGTTACAAATTCTCCAGCTTAAGTTGATGGAACCAGTGTCAACATGCTAGCGATATTCCTTCATAAAAAGCAAATGGGAATACATTGTATAAATTCCTTATACCTTACAAATCCATTATTACATACCACTGAGGATATTTTTGGGGAAAAGAAATCAGCCAAGCTCTGCTTACAGAACAAGATTTCCAAATGTTTTGGTTTTCATTCAAGAATTTCTAGAGCTCTTTGTCCTCTCTCTTTCCAAAGAAATGATATAATATTTAGACAGGAAAGTGTGTATGTGTGCAGGGTAGGAGTGGAGATTTGTGTGCATATATTTACACGTATAATAAGATACTCCCAAATAAATATTCCAGTGTTTCTATTTCGATAGTGTTTCCTCCTTTTATGAAAATAATATAGCTGGAGCTTTGGCTCAAGTTATCTGGCCTTCAGCCTTGGCCTCTATCCAGCTATAATGTTCAATCTGCTAATCATGCCTAACTCATTGAAATATAGTCAATCTCTGCAAAAGAGCACTGTCCTCAAGATGCCTGTTGTCTCTATACTTTGTGTCTCTCAAATCCCTCCGGGGAAATTCAGAACAGCTGCAACTGCTTGGATTTACGACCAGAGTTCACTGACTACTCTCAATGTGATTTGATGATCTATCCATCTTAAAATGACTAATCTAGGATTTGATTTGTTGTTGGCAAAGGTTAATCAAATGTAAATATTTTGGTTTTAAATAAATTAAAAGCATTTTAAGAATTTCTTACCTAGTACCTTTGTGCTAGGAATCCTGTGGTGCTCAAGGCAAACATGAAAATCTTGCAATTGCCTAAGATTTCAGCAATGAGTTCTGTTCCACTTAAAATTCTGGTATTAAAGTTTACTTCTTACTGACATCCTTTTTCTTGAGCACTTACTTACTATAGGCTCTGAAGACAAGCAGTGGGGATACCAAACGAATTAGAAAGTCACTGCCTGTTAGCAACACTTATGAAGGAGGAACAAAGACAATAGTTAGGTGTGATGGGAAAGGGAGCCAGAAAATGCATGAATAAAGATCCAAGGAATGAAATAGCATACGAGCTGCAGAAAACTAGAATTAGTTCGAGCTTTCAGCTCAAAGAATAAAGGAGAGGTCAAGTCATGCTAAGCCTTTATACCATGTGAAGGTGCCTGAACTTTATTGTATGAGTGGGTCATAATTCGAAAACATTAAACAGAGTACAGTATGACCAGATTTGAATTTTATATAACTCATTCTGTTCTTTTCCTTCTGAGTATTAGGTTGAACAATATGAAGATGCTACTTTGTAAGTTTAAAATGATCAAATATTGATAATAAATATTGATAATATTATAAGGGACAAACTAATACTTAACAGATTTTTAAAGTATATATATACACATATATGTATGTGTTACATATATATGTATAATATATGTACATTACATATATATATGTATATTTAAATAAGAAATGCTTCATGAATTTGCTAGTCACCCTTGCACAGAGGGGCCATGCTAATTTTCTCTGTAACACTCCGATTTTAGTATATATGCTGCCAAAGCAAGCACAAAAATTATATTCTTAATTGTGAGTCTGTTTGTTAAATTTCTATCCCATAGAATAATAAAAATTGAAATTAATTTTTAAATGTTCTGTGACCAAAGTGGCTAGACTATAGACTGTGCAGCCAGAAAACTCGAGCTCATATCCCAGCTCTATTAGCTGTGTGACCCTGGACAAATTGCTTAAGTTCTCAGACTTTTAGTTTCCTTATCTATAAAATGAGAAAATGCTCCAGAGAGTTATTGTAAAGATTACGAGTTAATATAAACAATGCTTAGAAAATGGTCTGGTACATAGTAAGCACTATTTAATATTAGCTACTATTGTTATTATTATCAGTTATTGCTCTCATCACCATCATCATTATCATTATCATCATCATCATTCTCACTATCCAAATGCCTAGGTGAAAGGTAAAGGATGAAGACAGTCATACTAGTAACAGAGGTGGAAATGTAAGTAACACCTTCTTTTCATTAGATCCACAGTTTTGCAATACTGTTCCCTTAGCTGAAATTTAATAACTAAACCCAGAATAATATTTTCTCCATCCTCTAAATCTAATTATGTGGTGTTAAAATACCAGACCTACATTCCTGAGTCATCCAAAATATTTGCAGTAAATGAAACAGAGTTATGTAGGGTTTTTTAAAAAAACAACAACAACAACAGCAAAATACCAATGCTTTTGTAAAACATTGATTGATTTACCACAAGAAAAGTATTGATATCTGGGTATTCCTGTTTTTCTCCATTTCTGGTTTCTTAAGGAGTAATGTAACATCAAGAGAAAAGAACAAGAACGACAAGACCACTAGCTAAAAGCACATGATTAACTTGAAACTAATTCATTGAAGTTTTGAGTCAAGGGAAATTATAAACCAGTTCAAACATATCATATGCTATAAAACTGAACTCTTTGACAGACTATTACTTGTCAGTGATTTCTAACAAATACCTCTAACAAAGACTGGTATTCAAGTTAGGATTTTCATGACATGGAACAGATCTACAATTATTACAATATTTTTGTGCATCAGGATCTTGTCCATGAAGTAGCTGCTTACTGTGACAGTGGCGTTCATTTCAAGGGAAGCCACCGCCTTGGCTACAGATTTGAGAGGTCATTGTTTGAAGACTCAATTAACCCAGACCACCAATCTCCCACAACAACGAGGAAGAAAGAGAAGACCACAGTAATATCATGATGGTCAGCTATCTTTGGTCTCAAGGGTACCTGTGAGATAGCCTTGGCCTGGGAATTGGAATACCTTAATTCTACTTCAGCTCTGCCACAAATTTACTACATGATGATGGGATGGGATTTCCTCATCTTCCGAACGAATGATGAGGAAAAACCCTTATGGGCATTTCTAATATTCTACTTGTCTATGAAACTAACAAATATAACTCATCTCAGCATCTGTCCTTATCCTAATCAAGGTAAACAACCTCTACTTTTTGTCTGTTTTATTATTATTGTTTTTAAACTTGTCATTGACCTGAAGCTTAATAACATCTGCTTTCTTCAACATTCAATGGCACATTATTCCTCTGCTTTCTCCCATCTAATAGTCTTGCTTTTCACTGGATACTCATCAGATTAAAAGTGTATTCCACCTTTAGTAGGTGCAAGGGCTCTTTACTAGGTGCAAGGCCTGTGCGCCAGCATGCACTGGTGAATGCACAGGATAATACCCCTAGTCTAGCCTAGAACAGTAGAATTCATAAGATATACGGTTGTCACTTCATACTTGAAGTAATTATCTTAATGCTCATTCATTAGCTTTCTCATGACAATTATATTATCTCAAAATAATCGTTAATAATAAAATCCGCCCCTGGTTGAGAATTGATGTGCCACATACCATCTTATGTATTCTAAGTATATTCTCTATTAACCCAACTAGTTTTGCATACACATACACACATGCAATCTATATACATATCTACATACATCTATATACATAGATATCTATATATATCTATATACATAGATATCTATATATATCTATATACATAGATATCTATATATATCTATATACATAGATATCTATATATATCTATATACATAGATATCTATATATATCTATATACATAGATATCTATATATATCTATATACATAGATATCTACATATTACATTTATACATATCTATGTACATAGACATGCATATATATGCATGTAGATATGTATAAAATTATACTATAATTTAAGCCCATTTTACAGAAAAAACTCAGAACAGAAGAAATTAAGTTGCTCATAGCCATGCAGTTTGTAATTGGCAGAGGCTGAATTTAAGCCAGCTCTTTCTGTGTTGCGAAACATTTTGAACACAGTTCAGTGTCTGTTGTCTCTGAGAAGCAATGTATATAAGATGTTATTTTCAAACATGGGGGAAGACAGCAGTGTGATATCTTGGAAATAATATAGGACTTAGAGAAAAGTGTCTGGGGTTCTTCCCGGGGTTCTGCTGATGTTTGGGTATGTTATCTTGAGCAACATACTCATCTTTCCTGAGGCCTCAATTTCCTCTTGTAGAATGAGGGGTTTAGAGCAGATAATCTCTAGGGTTACTTCTGGATCTAAAAGGGAATGATTTCCTTCTGAAAGGCATTGTTTCTGCAGTGAGGATAAATACTCAGAATTCCAACTATTCAGAATGAAATTTAACATCCTCTCCTTAAGTAATAAAACAGCTATCGTCTAGTCATCCTTCAGATCTCAGCTGTCTGTCTAACTTGAAACTTCTGTGTTGTGTGTTCTTCATACTATGGACATTTAAAAATAAAATTTAATAACACATAACATTGTTGGCAATTACAAACTGATTTTTGCAGTTAGACTGTAAGTCCCAAGAAGGTAGTGACCATATCTGTCTGCTCACTATTGAATACCTACCTCATACCTAGCAGTGGGCTTGGTGTGGAGAACATCCTCAACATTTATTTACCAAATGGATTTTAAAGGGGCTCACTGATGATGAGCATTTTTTCATGTGTCTGTTGGCTGCACAAATGTCTTCTTTTGGGGAGGGGGGAGGGATAGCATTAGGAGATATACTTAATGTGAATGACGAGTTAATGGGTGCAGCATACCAACATGGCACATGTATACGTATGTAACAAACCTGCACGTTGTGCACATGTACCCTAGAACTTAAAGTATAATTAAAAAAAAATATATATATATATATATAAAATAAAAAAAATAAAGGGGCTCACTGCTTCCAGATTTTTGGTCCTGGATGACTTAGAGCTAAGATTTCTTTCTGCCTTTCTGAAAGGAGAGTCTGGTCATGAGTCCTTCATGCCATAGGAAGGATATAATTTCTTTTCTCTTAGCTCCTACTGTTCCAGAGAAGCCAGTGATCAGTACTGCCTCCTACAGCTACACAAAGACAGAGGCACCTCTTGGAGTTCCAGTTCCACATTTCCTAATCTCTTAGAAACAAATATTGAAGATGACCATATGAAAATTTGTGTTGATGCAACTCTATATAATTTAAATCTTGTATGTAAGAAAGCATCACTCAGTATCAGTAAGCTGAGGCTTACTAATTTAAGGGCAGGGATGGATAAACTAATCCTTATGTGCCTGGTGTTCTTGGCTAGAACCAACAGCAGAAGTGCTCCAGTCCCCTCTACCGATGCACTAATGACAGGCCCACCCAACTACATATATTTTACAGACTGCTGCGCCTTTCATCCTGGAATGTGTTATTGGTAGTAGACAAGGCTACTTGGGTAACTGGGGGCAGTGGTTTTGTGAACTGCCCCCTCTTTCTTCCTGCTGCTTGTCCCCTGGGATGCAAAATTCTAGTGCTGTGGAACAGCAAGAGTCGCAGCACAGAGTGGCTAAGGCTGTAGGCAGCCACAGGCCACTGGCTGTTTGGCAGGGAGCAGTTCAGTCTAGGACCACACGGAAAGCAGACATGCTGACTACAGCATCCAGCAAAGAAAATGAGCTCTTCTGCCTGGGTTTGGTGGGCTAGGATGGGGGAGTAAGGAATAGGGGTTGGAGAGAGTGCCAAGCTGGGCTGTTGATGAGAGTGTGGGAAGATTCAAAGGGAAGGAAAAACAAGGGGAGGCACTTTGCCAACTCAGAGGCAGTTGAGCTGATCTGCTCCCAACCCCCCACCTTTTTTCTGCTTAAGTGAGAAATCCTGCTGGGTGGGGTGGGAGCAGGGCCAAGAAAGGAGTGATTCTGCTGGGTGAGCATGGATGGTTGGACCCAGGAAGGGGGTTTCTGCCAGCTGGGATCAAGGCCAGAGGAAGCAGGAAAAATTAAGGGAAAGGAGATGAGAGGAGTAAAAGAAAGATGCAAGAGGAAATGTCCCAAGAGAAGGAAAGAAGAAGGAAAAAAGAAAGGAGAAAAGAAGAGAGAAACTTTCAGACAGACAAGAGAACCACATTTCTATGTGGAGAGCAGACCCATCTACAAAATGCCAGAATAAAATAATGTTCACACGAAACAAGCAATGAATGACCACATGGTACTAAATAAAGCAAACCCAGTGCTCCCAAATTTTCCTTGTGGGTGTTAATTTCCATGGGGATACAGTTTTCCAAAACAGCTAATCATGAAAGAGCTGCAAGCTATAAAAAAAAAAGTTGCTCTTTAGGTAAAAAACAAATCCAACAAATGCTATCCAATACAGAAAAACTATGTACTACTTTAAAATATTCGATTTTCTTAAAATATAATGTAGAGCACAAGATTCCTAAGTTTCCTTTCTTGCCTCTCTAATAAGATATAAAAATATAAAGATCTTCTTATAAGAAAACCTAGAGACGGAAAAATTACAAATGTCAATGAAATAAATCCCATTCATTATTATTTTTTAATTGACGTGTAACAACTATTCACACGCATGGGGCACAGTAAGATATTTTAAAAACATGTATATAATGTGTAATGATCACATTATGACAATTACCATATCTGTCACCTCAATTATCATTTATTCGTGTTGGGAACATTCGAATCCTCTCTTCTAGCTATTTGAAGATGTACAATAAATTATTTGTTAACTATAGTCACCCTACAGTGTTATGGAACATTAAAACTTATTCCTCCTATCTAGTAGTAATTTATATCTGTTACCCAACTTCTCTTCATCCCCCATACCTTCTACCCTTCCCAGCCTCTAGGAAGCACTCTTCTCCTTTCTAATTCTACGAGATCAAATCTTAAAAATTTCCACATATGAGTGAGAACATGTGGTGTTTGTCTTTCTGTGCCTGACTTGTTTCACTTAACAACTCCAGGCTCACCCACGTTGCCACGAATGATAGGATTTCATTCTTTTTTTATGGCTGAGTAGTCTTCCATTGTGTATATAGACCACATTTTCTTTATCTGTTCTTCCATTGAATAGACCCTGAGGTTGATTCCATATCTTGGCTATTATGAATGGTGGTACAAGAAACATGCATATGCAAATATCTCTTTGACATACTGAATTCCTTTCCTTTGAATATCTGCCCAGTAGTGGGATTGCTGGATCATATGGTAGTTCTCTTTTTAGTTTTTTGAGGAACCTCCATACTGTTTTCCATAATGGCTATGCTAATTCACATTCCCACCAACAGTGTTTAAGAGTGCCTCTTTCTCTCCATCCTTGCCATCATTTGTAATTTTTTGTCTTTTTGATAGTAGTCATTCCAATTCCATTTCGAAGTGATGGCAGTTTTAGAACTTTTCAATGCACTTTTGTGGAGGCTCCTGAAGAGTTTAAAAAGCCATCAAGTGAAGGATGCATTTTTTTATGTGTAAATCTTACCAGTTACATGTGGCCTGGGGACAAGAATTCCACTGGCTTCAATCTCATAGAGAGATTGAGGCACATTTTGGTTTACATGCCTAGAGGACAGATTTGGCTGTTTTATTAGACTAATTACAAAGACCCCAAATCTTTCTCCTCCCAGTTCTGAACCTAGGCTTCAAGGGGCCTTACAAGCTTCCATTCTTCTTCTTGGAACCCTGCCGTCCCCACCTGAACAAGCCTGGGCTAGCCTGATGGAGTATGAGAGGCCACATAAAGGACAGCCTTGTTGTCCTAGACAAAGCCATTTTAGGTCAGACTATTGTCAGACACCCAAACACATAAGAGAATCCAGCTGAGATCAGCCAGCAGCCTACTCAACTCACCGCTGATGGCAAATAAATGAGTCAGCACAGCTGAAGCCCCAAAGAGATGTGCCACTGACCCCACACACTAATGAGCAATAACAAGCATGTATTCCTTATAGCCATTGCATTTTAGAATCATTTGTTACACAGCAACAGACAACTGATATACACAGATTGGAGACTCACCTGTGCATTCATACTGCAGACCTTTCCCGTAATACCCCTTTTCACAGATGCACTCAAAATGGCCTGTGTGTGTCCCACATTTGCAGCTTCCCATTCGGTCACAGCAGTCCTTGCCTTCATCACAAAGATATGAGCAGTGGACCATATCATCTTGAATAAAACTCCCAGAAGGTAGATCTACAAATAACATATGACAGAGGGCGATAAAAATGAGTCACAGTTCAATGTTACATTCTCTGGTCATTAAAATTTAAGTGCAAGCTGGAGAAAATATCTTTCCATATCCCTCTAATTCCCAACTGCTTCCTGCTCCCACCCAAATACGAATGTGTGTTATTTGTACTAGCGCGCTCTGGGAATTCGTTGAAGCCAGTTAAGTTATTCCAGTCTGGGACCTCATCATAAGTTCTCAAGGCCATTCAGGGTCAGGCAGAAATTAAGTAGTGTAGTGAGGAATCTCCAGATGCTGCAGGAAACAGTGCAGTCAGTTCTGCAGGTCATTCCCCTGGCTTCCAAAGCAGCAGCATTCCACTGCCTCTGGGTGAGGTCAGGCCCCAGCAACGAGTCCCCAGATCCTTGTTCCAATGAGAAACAAAGCCACCATCCTGATCACTGCACAGAGATGTTAATTGTGAGCCACCAACTTTGGAATAAACACTGTCACTTCTATGGTATTTGAGTAGGTAAATAAAGACCATTCTTATTACTTGAGCCATGCTCTGAAGTGAGGCATGCTGGGAATGCAATAACTCAGGCAGACCTGTTTAGAAAGTGACTTGACAGGGTGGGTAAGGTTGAATATGATTGACCCAGAATGGATGGCCTAGAATCACACAAACAGTAAGTCCTTTATTCTTTTCAAGAAGTTTGAAAGTTTTAGACTAAATTCCAATACTAGGTCCATGGGGCTCTAAGCCCAGATATTGTGATGGGCTTATAGTAGGAATTCAAGTGGGTGAGTTCCAGCAAGACACACGGGCTGCAATTGGACACCTTGGAAGGAGATTGGTGGTAGACTCAAATATAGAACATCCATCTCCATGCATCTAGATAGGGGCAAAGCAAAGGGAAGATTCCAGCCCCAAGGGAAAGAAACCAGTGCAACCAGGTACCCTGGTAAGCTCCTTCCAATAGACTGTGGTGTGGGTAAAAGATCTGTAACACAGGCCCTTAGGACTCAGCTCTGAGACACTGGACCACAGGTTTATTTGGCAGTAAAGCAAGTTAGGGAGCAAGGAAAACCTACTTGTCCAGCCTGGGTAATGCAGTGAGACCCTGTCTCTACAAAAACAATAACAATTTTTAAAAAAATTAGCTGGGCATGGTGGTACATGCCTGTTGTCCCAGATACTTGGAAGACTGAGGTGGGAGGATCACTTGAGCCTGGGAGGTGGAGGCTGCAGCGAGGTGTGATCACACCACTGCACTATATAGCCTGTGTGACAGAATGAGACCCTGTATCAAAAAGGGTGAGAAGAAAAGAAAAGACAAACATAGCTGTCAAGACTAGTGTACCAGCATTCAGGTCTGGAAGAGAGATAAGTGGAGGAGGTACAAATGGGGAAAGCTATTATTCTGTAACCTATGTCTATCGAGAATGGCCAGAAACATGAACAGCAGTGAAACCCAAAGTGGATCCATCTAAATTGAAAGTAGCTGCAGAGAACACAGAGGCAGGGGAAATGAGGCTCATTTCCTTTGATCTGATCATGTCTTTCCAGTAAAAACAGGGTTTTACTTACTAAACCTAGAAACTCAACTAAAGTATTACACATTTTAGATATTAGTTTAGTGTAATAAATGTGGTGTCTCCTAAAACCCTATTGCATTATGATAACCAAAACCCTTTCCTTGTTGACTCTAGTTTCTGGGTCAACTTCCATCAGGACAGAAGTCTCCACTCCTAGAAGACAGAGGGATGACAGGAGCTGAAATTTGTTGATAGCACTCATAATTTCATAATCCCATCTGGCAACACCCAGTATCTCCAACTGCAACCACCCTGTTTTCCCTCTTAACATATCACTTTCCTTGGAGAAAAGGAGAAATAAAGGTAGCCAGTTGCTGAACTTCTTCCATGTGCTACATACTATATTGGTGATGTTTTAAATATCTTATTTAATCCTCCTGAAAACCTCTGTGATACATATAATAATAGTTTCCATTTTTAAAGGAGAGAAAACTGAGGTTCATAGTTGTTAAATAAATTGCCTAGGGGAATTAATAATGATAATTTGTTAATAAATAATAAATATCAGTAATAGTAGACAGTTATTGAGTGCTGAGTATAACAAGCCATCAGGAACTTTCTCATCCCTTTATATGTATTAACCCATTTAATCCTTGTAACAATTTTATGAAGTAGGTACTATTCTCATTTCCTATTCTATTTACAAGAAACCTAAGGAATATAAAAGATGAATGATATGTAAAAACAAAACAAACAAACAAAAAAACAGAAAACGTCAGCTAGTAGGTAACAAAATCGGGATTTAAATCCAGACATTCTGGATTTTTAAGGCTTAGCTCTTAAAAATTAGATTTCATTAAGTTGCAGGCCTGGAACTTAGATCCAAACCTGTTTAAACGCAAATCCATACTTTATTTCCCATACTCAGTTTCTTGCTGCTTCTAAGCCCTGTCCTAAGTCCTTGCTCACTTCACTAAAATCCCAGCCTCCAAAAACTTTGGCCAGCATCATCCCTCAGAGAGATAAATCTTTTTTGCTTTATGCATGGTGGCTCATGTCTGTAATTCTAGCACTTTGGGAGGCCCAGGTGGGAGAAATGCTTGAGCCCAGGAGTTTGAGACCAGCCTGAGCAACATAGCGAGACACCATCTTTATTTATTTATTTTTTTTAAAAAGAAACTCCAGTAGAGCTAACCCACTTATTATGAACATCACTAATTTCTTAGAACTCATGTTGCCATGGTTTTCCCCTCAAACTGAATCTTTCACATGGATATCTGCAAGGATCAAGCCTAATTTGCCATATCACTTTAATCTGAGGCTAGATTTCCTGTGATTTCTTCCTAGTCTGTATTTTCTTCTCCTAGCTCACTAAGACATAAACCTATATTCTGATAGGAAGTTTAATTTATATTACACAGCTAACTTATTATAATGTATAATTATGATTTAATTTTTAAATTATAATTTATAATTAAATTATAAGTGATGCACAGAAAGCTCTAATAATGATACATTTGCTGATTTCCTTCCCTTTTAGGGTTAATGCTCTTAAGCTTTTACATAAGCATATCTATCTTCAAATGGTCAGGGCAAGAAGTATGTGTTAAGTATTTATTGTTCCTGTATCTTCATGTGTATTTCTGGAAACATTCTGGTAAGTTTCACTGAGCATGTCTCTGAATGTTTACTTCCTCTGTCCAGATAACTGTAAAGAGATCTAAGTCAAGGCTTCCCACTCTGTGTGTGGCCTCAAAACACACCTAAATTCATTCCACTGATTCTAAGGTGGGAGCATATGGATATTTTAGTGAAAACACATAACAGCTGCTAAGAAAAAAAACAAAAGGAACTCTTGTTGCAAGGTCAGAATGTCATCTCTGTGAAGTTCAGCACATTTCATGATGCCCAAAGGACACATGGGCATCATATTCAGCAAAGACCTTGTGAGAGTTTGATATTACCCTCCCATGGGTTTCAAGCAGTGAGAGGCAAGGAAGCCTCATTTAAAAGTACCTTTGTGATGCCATTAGGTTTCCATTACCTTCATGCAATGCCCGGCGAGCTAAAGCCTCAAATTCTTCAAAACTGTGTAGCAGGTAACAGTGCTCCTCCTTTGGGGTGGAAGCCATGTCATTCAGCTCTCGAATGTTCCCTTGCCATATGCCAAAAGTGAAGATCTCCACTCCTGAATCTCGCAGTGACGCTGCAATTGGTCTAGGGTCTCCCCCATTGGAATATCCATCAGTGATGAGAAATACAACTTTTGTTGAGTTTTCTCTAGCATGAAGAAGAATTTGCTGTAATGAAATGGGGAAAGTTAATATGAGTGTGTACTGTCTTGCCTACTGTGTGCTTCTCTTCTTACGTAAGGCAGTACTTGCAAAGATCATTAGTATTTCACAGGCATGAGGGATGGAAGCCCTAGTCAGAGTAAAACAGAAATAGGCACAGATGAGAGCCTACAATGATCTTCTCACAGAGCCACAATAAACCTCAAAAGCATTTAAAAACTATCATCCTCATCAACATTGCTGATGGAGCTTGCTAATGAAGTACAACAAACACTTATGGAATGAATTTTTAATCAATATTATCACTTATTATTATATTATTTTTATTGATTCTCAGGCTCTCAAAATATGAACAAAATCTGAATCCAAATTCCACAAATTATCTATCTATCTATCTATCTATCTATCTATCTATCTATCTATCTATCTGTCTATCATCTCTATCCAAACCACTGCATGGTCATACACCAAAATCCTAATGGGAAGGAAATTTAACAGAACATGTCTTTTCCAGAGTCAATAATGGCTGACCTGCTTCCTATATTTGTTTTTCCACTTGCTCCTCCAAAAAATGTAGAATTGATTCAATACTTCATCTTTTTGGACCACCCGGTACTAGCATAAAAATAGCTAGTTTTGGTGGTATCCAGAAATACTGATTCACTAAATCTGACACTGGGACTTTATTATTTTAGGACAAGTGAATTCTGTTTTACAATGATATATGCTCTTCCTTCTCTACAGATAGAATTTTAAAAAATGAAACCTTTTAAAAAGACATTTATATATTGCCATTGATGCTTTGTAACACCAGACTATAAAGGCACAAGAACTCCAGTGGTGAATCTGGCATTTAATTCAATTTGCTGTTGTTGCTTTTCACTACAGATGAGTAGAAAAGATAAAGAAGCACCAGGGTATATTTTCTGGTAAGTTCTTAGAAGAAATTCCTATTAAAAAATAAATTAATTTTTAAAAAAGAACTTCATGTTTATTCCGCAAGAATTCAAGAAACACTACATGTTTTTCAGAAGGTAGGCAGGAAGAGTGACAACTGCATCCTATGTTGTGTTAAAGTGAAAAGGAGATATTGTGATTTTTAAAATGTTTGATACAATTCACTTTAGGGTGCAGACTCACTATAAGATCCAGATTCTCTCAGACTATGAGATCCAGATTCTCTCAGACTATGAGATTCATGTCCGTAGAAAGCAATCTTCATTAGTATATAATCAGTGGGTATTCATTACAATTCAATAATTCTTACCTAAATTTAGTTAGTGTTTGTGAGGCAAAGCTAAAGCTGCTAAACCTGAATTTAAGGAAAATTAAATGAAACTAACAATGCCTCCAGAAATATCTGGAAAGCCAGCAGTTTGAGAAGAGGTATTCAAACATTTCACCACACTCTTTCTCAAAAATCAAATGAGATCAAGGAAAATCGTACAGATGGGACCACACCAAAGACAGGCACAGAGGGTGGCTTCTGCGACGGAGTAGCATTCGGGACGTTACTGGAGACATTCCCCAAATAAACACACCAAGAAGCCCAATCAACACTCTCAAAATTCTTGGCTCTTAAAGTTTAAAAAGCTGCCCTCTTGATGAATGACAGGAAGATTTGGAATGAATGCTTGGTAAGTGTGAAATTTTTCCACACTCCAGAGAAGAAAAAACCTCTGAGGAGAGGAAGAGGGAAAGAGTTAGGGGAGAATGAGAAATGTGAGATGTTGCTGTGAGACCCTGAACTCTCCACACTCTCTCCACACCCCTAACTCTGTCACAGAAGAGATGATTGACAAGCCTCCCTTTAGGCATAGAGGTCCCCAGGTCCTCTTTCCATCTGGATATCTGGGATGGTGGTACATCCCAAAGAAGTGCCCTTGGTCATAATGACAGCGGACAATAGAGCAGTGGTACCCAACCTTTTTTTTTTTTTTTTTTTTTTTTTGAGTCAGAGTCTCACTCTGTCACCCAGGCTGGAGTGCAGTGGTGCGATCTCGGCTCACTGCAACCTCCGCCTCCCAGGTTCAAGCGATTCTCCTGCCTCAGCCTCCCGAGTAGCTGGGACTACAGGCACATACCACCATGCCCAGCTAATTTTTGTATTTGTAGTAGAAACAGGGTTTCATCATGTTGGCCAGGATGGTCTTGATCTCCTGACCTCGTGATCCACCTGCCTCAGCCTCCCAAAGTGCTGGGATTACAGGCGTGAGCCACCACGCCCTGCCACATGAGCCACCACGTCTGGCCAGTCCCCAAACTTTTTGGCACCTGGGACCAGTTTCCTGGAAGACAATTTTTCCATGGAGTGGAATGGGGCTGGAGGACAGTTTCAGGATGATTCAAGCACATTATATTTATTGTGCACTTTATTTCTATTATTTTTACACTATAATATAGAATAAAATAATTATACAACTCACTATAATGTAGAATCAGTGGGAGCACTCAACTTGTTTTCCTGCAACTAGATGGTCCCATCTGGGAGTGATGGGAGACAGGGACAGAGTGCACAACTTAGATCCCTCGCATACAGTTCACAATAGTGTTCACGCTCCTATGAGAATCTAATGCTGCCGCTGATCTGACCGAAGGCAGAGCTCAGGTGGTAATGCTCACTTGCCCACTGCTCACTTCCTGTTGTGTGGCCCAGTTCCTAACAGGCCATGGATCAGCATCAGTCCACGGCCTGGGTACTGGGGCCCCCTGCAGTAGAGTAAAACTACTCCATTGGGTGGTAAAGGAGAGGGCACCTGAAGAAGCTTATGTATTCCAGAGAGGTATAGCAGAGAAAGAATCAATGCAATTTTAAGACACCTGAAGGAGTCTTGCAATAATAAAGGTATGGCAGTAGATGACACCACAGACCTTGTGAGCCAAGAAGAGATGTGTCTCTCTTGGGCAATATCCATGGGAAGAGATCCTGGAAGCCGCAGGAGATAGCTGCATTAAAGGTTATGAAACTAACCAACAGACATGCGGATGACCAACAAAGACCATCATGACTATTGATGAGACAACTGGGCATCTCAGAGGATGGCAGCACAGGACATGTCAGAGCTGAGAGGTAAGTATCTCTTCCTTTGCTGTAACTTTGCCCAAGCCCCAGAGCTTCACGTCAACTACAGGGAGGAAGGGAAGAGGTAATATTTCTCAACGTGACTTTGTTTTCAAAAGTGCAGTGCTTGAGAGCCTTCTGATTTTGAGTTTGCTTAGATGTGCCTACGTGAGGTTTCTGTCATCAGGAGAACTGGGGTCACAAAATGTAAATTAAATTTAGTATTGGGGAAATAGAGATTAAAAAATTTTAATCAGCAGATAGTGAATTTGTTTATCTTTTACAAACACAGTTTCTCTTCCTGATGAAACCCTGTGATATCTTGGAAAGTAAATAGAGAAAACTTTTTGGAATCCTGCCATCACCACCTATTTAGAAGGAGAGGCAAGGGCTAGAGATGAAGGCCAAGGCTGGGAGAGAAGGAGGTCACTTTAACCCCTCTGCGACACAGTTCAAAGATATCCAGGGGAGACAGGCCCAGGTATTTCAAGGCCAAGGATGGCTTCAAACAGAAGCCCAGTCTTCTCCCTAACTGTAACTTCCTTGAAGGCAGGTATTTTTGTGTATTTTTTAAAGTCATAAAAACCCAGAGACTAGAACAGTGCTTGACAAATGATACGCGCTTAATAAATATTTGTCACTAAGGAGTGGCCCATCGTGCAGCAATTCTTCCAGTTGCTCGAGCAAAAACCTTGGAATCATCCTTATCTCCTGTGTCTTCCTGTATCTTGCTTTAAAAAGTTTCCCCACCGCAAGCCTATTAAATATTCTCACATACTTTTCCTTAATGCTTATATTTTTAAAATATTTCTTAAGTCCAAATAGATATCTTTTGTCTTTGCTGTGACATAGAGACTACTTTTACTTTTATTAAACAGGATAAGCAATTTTCCTGCAAATTATTTACTGATTAAACTGTTCTTTCCCTGGGTATAATCTCTGCATCCAGGTTACTTGCTCTACTTGCTTATTCTTGGCCTACACCACCCGTCTCGGCTGCTATAGCTTTATACTATTTTTTTTTGTATCTGGTAAGGAAAGTCTACCACCTTTTTTTCTCTCTATTAAAATGTTTGTGGTTAACTTTGATTTTTTCTTTTCCAATAGAGCTTGAGAGTCTGCTTATGAAATTCTTCACTAAAATGTTTCTATCTCATCATTTGATCCAGTAATCCCACCTCTAGGAATCTATCCCAAAGATACACTGGCAGATACACAAAAATGGACAGACCAAGGACCAGCCCCAGTAGAAATGGGCATCTCTAAAGCCCCCTACTGTGGTCTCCAAATACTATTACCCACTAAAAGGAACCAGGAATTGGTGAAGAAATGGTTGATTTTAGGTCTATGGCATGGAATGTTCAAAATGAGTTTGCAACATCCTCTCATGTCAGAAAACAAAGATGCTGTTCAAGAGCCCTAAAAACATGCCCAGAAGAATCAGGAGCCAGCCTGAAGAGGCTCCTTCTGGCAAAATAAAGGTCATTTTGAGTATCAATAAAAATAATTGAAATGGATTTAAATGTATCAAGTATAATATAGACATTTATGTGTATGTATAGATGTGCGTGTGTGTGTGTGTGTGTGTGTGTGTATGTATGTATTTACATTTTCAGTTAGTACACATTCCAGGGGAAAAGTGTTATTGACATAAATAATACTTGGAACAAAGTGAAATATGCATACACAAATACACACACATTTTTGTTGTTGTTGTTCAGAACCACCTTTGAGGAAAAGTCCAATTATCTGTTATGATTGAGATGAAATGAGACATTATTTGTCTTTAAAATTATACTTTTCCATATTCGAAGGGTAACTCCTAGTTGTAGTATGCCAAGAGGTGGAAAGTTGTGTTTACACCATCCTTGCTCTTTACCAAGTAATAAACTTGCTTTCTGTCTGAGTTGTTCCCCTCTGAAGTCACAGTCTCACCTCCACGGACACCCACCCTAAGCTTGTGCTCATTTTGATTACTGCTTCTTCTACAAGGTCACAGCAGTTAACTGTAAGCAAGACATTAAAAACGTGAGAATTTTCCTAGAAAGGAGGAGAAGTGGGGAAAAAAAAAAAAAAGGAAATTGTCTCTTCAGTGTGATATTCTCAATAGTGCCGGGCACAGAGTACATGTTCATAACTATTTCTTCAATGAATGAATGAATGAATGAGTGCAGTGGATAAACTACAGGATAGTCTGGAGCAGAGTTACTTGAATGAGTTGGTCTTGAGTGAGTAGTTAGTGTGTCTGGGTACATGCACGTGTGTATGTTTTGTATAGTTTTGTACACCAAAGATAAAATTATGTGCGCCTTTATTGTCCTTCTGAAACAAATGAATGCTATTTTTAATATTAATGTAGCTCCTGTCAATAACATTCTTTAACATCCACATTAGGATTTAGCAGTGATTTCTTGCTGTACTACTCATTACACACAAAACACTTCAAGCCATGATTCTATTTTTCTTCTCTTTTTACAGAGAACTGGTGAATATTTACAGGAAACATTACATCTGTTGGCAAGACAATATATTAAGCTTAAAATAGCAAGAATAGCAGGACTAGTAGTCCAAGCAAAGAATTACACAAGATCTGGGTTTGGAATGCACTTTAAGGATAGAGGAGGGGTGGGGGATTTACTGAAAATAATTTACCCCTCGCCCCAATCTTTGTGCTTCATCGTACTTGAATAAAAACATTAATTCAATCAAAACGTTTTTATACCCCAGATTTAAGAAGTAAATAGATCTGTGGTAATGTTTGTGGAATGTATTAGAAGGCCAGCACTTGATTCTCTTTTCAATGTTCCTGAAATAGTTTACATCATCTGCTAGCCTTTGTGAGACATTTAAGAAACAGAATTTTTTGGTCCAGAATACTGAATGAGACAAACCCTCTGCTGCCAAAGAAAAACTCAACATGGACTTTGTATGGCAAAAGGTTATCACCATCTGTATTGTATCAAGCCTCCGATTAGCTTGTATAAATATCTGGCAGGAAAGTAAGCTTCCCTTGTCCAGCAACAGTCATTAGAATGACAAAAATGCAGGGTTGTGTAATATTGTTCTAACACCCGAGATCCATCACCATTACACAAGACGGCACCCCCACTCCATGTCAGGCTGCAAGAGAACTGTTTTGAAAAATGGTCTTGAAAGAAAAAGAGAGGTCACAGCAGATCTGGCATGGGGACAGTGTTTGCTCTTGGGCTGCATTAATTAAACTACGTGCCGATATCATACCAACTGCAACACAACCTTAATTGCAATTACCCATTGTGACCAGCCTTCACTGAAAATACTAACTAGAGACGCTAATAAAGTCTTTTTTTGTTGTTGTTTTGTTCTGTTTTTTTGAGACAAAGTCTCACTCTGTCACCCAGGCTGGAGTGCAGTGGTGTGATCTTGGCTCACTGCAACCTCCGCCTCATGGGTTCAAGCAATTCTCCTGCCTCAGCCTCCCAAGTAGCTGGGATTACAGGCACGTGCCACCACGCCCAGCTAATTTTTTGTATTGAGTTGGGGTTTGGCCATGTTGCTCAGGCTGGTCTTGAACTCCTGACCTCAGGTGATCCACCCAGCTCAGCCTCCCAAAGTGCTGGGATTACAAGTGTGAGCCACCACACTTGGCCATAACGTTATCTTTTAAAGAACTTGATCAATCTTGATGAGCCAATAGAAGGAAATATAAATAAATAAATAAATACAATGAACTAATACCTACAATGACTATATGACAGCTATTCTCCAAGGGGCAGAAAATTAGTAAATTATGTCAGTGTTTCAATCTGTTTTCCACATATATTGTTTCTGTGTTAAGAAACATTTAGTCCAAACAACACACCATAAGCTACTTGTAATACTTGACCCTTCAAATTCTAAAATTTCACCACGCCTTGTCTGTTAGTTAATATTTCTAATTTGAATCTCAGGTGTTCTTCAGTTCAAAGGCTGTTAATGGTTTTATATTTAACATTATTTATGGGAAAAGAATCTATTCTGTTCATTGTTTTCTGGACTTCATATATTCTAGTATGTTTTCATTTTTATCTCATCCTACTTCCAAGCTTTTCTTCTACACCACTGTTTTGGGTATATGCAGTGTCATTCTCTTCTCTACTTCTAATTGAGATTGAATCCCGGCATTGCATTTATTTTCCTTATTACAATATTTCTGTCTTTTATACAGTTCTCACTTTATTCTTTTCAGCTTCTCAGCCAGTTTTGTTTGAATTTTAATCTGTTGTTTATCTTCTCTTTTCTCATCTCCATTTCAAAGTTTTATTAATTCATGTTAAGCACATGTAACCCCTTCCCTCCCTTCCTGCCTCCCTCCCTCCCTCCCTCTCTCTCTCTCCCTTTCTTTCTTTCTTTCATACGGAATTCTTATACTTTATATCTTACATTCTACCTTTATTTTATTTAGCAGAAAATTTTCAAAGAAGCCAGATAGAGTTGTGGATTTTTATTCTGCTTTTTCACCATCCATGAATGAAGACATATATTCAGTCATAGTGTTTCCAACAAACAATGAACAACTAACTGGGTAAAAGTAAAATGAGTGTTGGAATTTATGGTTGTAAATTTTGCTATCTATTATTATTAATATTATTAAAGCAAGCTGATAACCCACCCAAATGATCAGTGAAGAGGTTAACCCTCTTATTTGTAACAAATAAGCCACAGCCTGTGTCTGAAAATGGATGGCCTAGATCACCAATCCCCAATAGAACTTTCTATAATGCTTGACATTATCATTTGTTCTGTTACATACAGTAGCCACATATGGCTATTGAGCACTTGAAATGAGACTATTGCAACTGAGAAATTGAATTAGTAACTTTGTTTAATTTTAATTAACTTAAATTTAAGTAGACACATGTGGCTAGTGGCTATAATATGGGACAGTGTAAACCAAGATAGATATATCCTCATCCCAGGATGAAAAAACACAAAACATCTAGAGAAGGCCTATGAAAATATTCTGTAAATCCAAGATATACAAAATCAACTGAAGCATTTGGAAGAGTATGTAATTTAATACTAAAATAAGAAAATAAGAATAATTGGCCCGGTGCTGTGGCTCACACCTGTAATCCCAGCACTGAGGCAGGCAGATTGATTGAGCCCAGGAGTTCAAGACCAGGCTGGGCAACATGGAGAAACCCTGTCTCTACAAAAAAAAAAAAAAAAAAAAATTGCAAAAAATAGGCTGGTTATGGTGGTGCACACCTGTAGTCCCAGCTACTTGGGTGGCTGAGGTGGGAGAACTACTTGGGCCCAGGAGGTGAATGTTGCAGTAAGTCATGATGGTGCCACTGCACTCCAGCCTGGGTGACAGAATGAGACCCTGTCTCAAAAAAAAAAAAAAAAAAAGCATAATAAAATGGTGCTTGTATTACTAGGATTTAGAAAGTCAAAACCTCCATAAAAAACAAGAACTGAAAGCCATAGAAAGAGAATAGGCTAAAATGAAAAGAGAGATGTGTAAGAGAGGAATTTGATAAGAAACTAATGCATGAAAACTCAAAATAATGAAAGACAGAGATCCACATTGCTCATAGTGAGATAAAAATGCCAGAAATTCAAATTGATAAAGTTTAGTACAAATTTTAGTGTAGAAAGCTGCTGACTAATCTCACATAGCCACAAAATTTTATATAAATACTACCAAACTGAATTCAAATATTAAAAGAAACTTTCTCGTTTATGTGATAAGGCTTATTCCTCAAATATAAATATATATTAAAATTGGAAAGTCTTTGGCTCCAATGCAACACAATTATTACCCCAATTAAAAGGAAGTAATAATCCAATATGCTGAAAAGACATTCAATAAAATTAATTTTTGCTTTGCTTATCAATAAAAATTAGGAATAAAAATATACCTCATTAGTATGATAGATTATCTATCTCAAAACAATAATGGAAACCATGTTCAACTATTAGAAAAACAGCAGATTTCCCAAGTAGGTAAGAAATAAATCAGTAGTATTAAGTATTTTCATTATTATTTAAAATCCTTTTGAACTTCCTAGCTAACATAATAAGACACAGAACCATAGAAAGTGTTATACTTCTTAAAGCTTCTGCTCCCTCTAAAAAAATCAGAATTAGAAAGAAAACAACAAACTGGAAAATATATGTATTATGCTTATCAAATATAGTATTAATGTCTTTAAAATATAAATAATTTTTATAGCTGTCTAAGGAGGAGAAAAGAGAAAAAATAACAGAAATACAGTTGAGCATTTTTGACCAAACAAAACAAAGACCAAAAAAAGAAATTGTATTTGCCAGAAAATATGAAAAATGTTTAACTTCATTAATACCAAAATAGCATAAGTTTAAAAATAGTAACACTGTTTTTTTTTAACTTCTCAAATGGCCAAGGTTTTCTTTAAATTTCAAAATTGCAAAATACATAGGAAAACAGATATTTTTGTTGGGAATACCACCTGTCCTGGTAATATTTGGAGGACGGTTTGACAAAGTGATCAAAGCCTTAAAATTTTCACATGATTTGAACTGAAATTCTACAGCTAAGAATATGTTAAGGAAATAACAATGGATACACACACAAAATGATCAAAAGGATGTATGTGTATCCCAGAATAATTTGCAATAATAAAAAATTAGAAACAATATAAAGTTCCAACAACAGGACAAGCACACTAGTTAAATAAATTATAGGGTAATCACATAATATTATTACAATGATATTATTGAACACTATTAAATTTAAGAAGTAGGCAACCAAACACAATGATTTCATTACCTATATGTACATGACATTAGTGTGCATGTATGTGGAAATGTACTGTATGTCTGTTTGTGTATGTATGAGTGTGACTGACTCATACAGTATATAGTCATGTATACACTCATGTACCACATAATGATGTTTTGGTCAATGACAGACCACATATACAACCGTGATCTCATAAGATTATAATGCCATATTTTTGCTCTGCCTTTTCTATAGCTATGTTGAAATACACAAATATTTAACATACTGTTACAATTGTCCACAGTATTCAGTACTGTAACATACTGTAAGGGCTTATAGCCTAAAAGCAATAGGCTATTCCATATAGCCTAGGTGATTAGTAGGCTATACCACCCAGGTTTTTGTAAATACAGTCTGTGATATTCACACAATAACAAAATTGCCTAATGATGCTTTTCTCAGAAGGTATCCCCATTGTTAAGCAATGCATGACTGTACATCAAAATGTTGACTGTCTCCTAGTAGTGTCTTTAGGGTTTTTCATTTACTTCTATGTTATAGTTTGTTGTTGTTTGCCATTTCCAAATTTTCTCTTTCATGCTTCCTTTGGGCAGTATCATGTGAACTCAGAACTTTGAGTCTCACTTACAGTCTAATGGCTCCTAAATCAATGTCAAACTCTTCAACTTCCAACGTGAAGTTCCAGTGGCCCAGTATACACCTCTGTCTGAATGCACCATGAGGCTCCTCAAACTCAACATACCCTCTCCACACACAAATAGGGGTTCCCTCCTCCTGTTTTCAAGATATATCAAATATCTTTCAAGTCTGAAATCTGGGAGTAATCTATGGTGCCTTCTTTCTGACCTATCACATTTAGTAACCATCCAGATGCGTACATTTCCAAGTTATCTATCTAAATCACAATCTAATCGCCCCAGCCATGGTTCAGGAATTTCAGTCTGGCTTCTTGAAAATCAAGAGTTGTTTTAAACATCTGTAGCTGAAGCTGTTCTTCTTTCGAATCCATTTTCTGACCTGCCATCAAAGTTATCTTTCTGAAATACTGATCTGATTGTCTTTAAACTTCCAATGTTTTCCCTCCATCTACAAAATAAAATCTAAACTTCTTTACATGTCCTTTTACTATCTAGTGCTAAATAATGCTTCCAACCACAACCCTTACCACACCCTTGCCTCCTGTCTACCCTCTCCCCAACCCCACTTTTGCACTCGATTTTAGCTACACCAATCCATTTGGAGGTTCTGAAATACACCATGCGTTCTTGATGTTTGCTCTGCTTGGAAATTCTTAACAACTCTTTCCACCTCCCAATACATCCACCTCTGATTTTTACTAGTTCTTCCAACTTTAGATCAAAGTTTCCTCTTTTTAAACTTTCCCAAATTCTTCTGCTATGCATAAAATCAGTACCCCC
Source organism: Homo sapiens (assembly GCF_000001405.40). Lineage (NCBI taxonomy): Eukaryota > Metazoa > Chordata > Mammalia > Primates > Hominidae > Homo > Homo sapiens. The sequence continues at coordinate 110,561,326 of NC_000009.12, forward strand.
ACTCACATTCCATTATATTAACCCCATCGTAATAAATTCTTGTAGGTCTGACTACATCCCAAGTCGGATGGCAAGATACTCTATGGCAGGAATTGAATCTTATATTCTCACTCTATTGATAACAAAGATTAACTATGAAGTAAGAGAATGAAAGCAATTGCCTTAATTTGTACTAGCTATATGTCCACCATGCAGAATAAACTAATACATTCTAGGCCAAAACGTTTTTAGTAAATTCTATCCTGCAATCATGAAATGAAAATTCATATAAATATTATATGTAAACTTATTTTACCAGATCCATATTGAGCATCTATCATATACCAGGCACTGTACTAGGGATTTACCAATTGTATTATTTGATGACACAACCATTAACTAAAAACAAACAAAATAAGTAAACAAATAGATAAAACAATGACAAAAGCATAAACTGGAAACAGTATTCTGCAGTAATTGAGCTTTCCTATTTATACTGTAATTTTAAGTCAATCACTGTTAGTATGCTTCATTTATTTTAAGTATTTACTTGGGCTTCATAGACTGAGAGTCTAGAAAGAAAGAAAAAGGTTGGTTGGCCCTATAACATTTAGGCTATTTATTATAGTCTAGCCTAATCACAGAAGAACCAGAGGGTCAAAGAAGAACTAAGTCTCAAATTTATGGTTACGAGGTTTTCCACCCACATACATATTTTAGTTATTAAACATGGATACAAATCATTTTGAAATGGACCCATAGGGACAGTACATCAAATTGGGAAATGGTACGCACAGGAGTTGATGAGTAGCAGACTTAATTAAAATGGTTTAAAAAAAACATGCAGAAGACCAAACAAATTTCTAATAATGACAAATTCCACCATTTGGAATAAAAGCACATAGGGAATAAAGAAAATATGAATAGCAAAAACAAAAAAAAAGTCATCAGAATCCAAATGAAAATTGGAGGCTAAATGACCTATCATTCTTAAACAAATGCTAATTTATTACAGGATAAAAAATCAAATTTAATTTTATTATCAATATTGTTATGAGTAACTCTATCATTTCAGTTGACATGTTAAATTCCTATACAATATGATCAAGTAGCACTTAGCCCAAAAAATCAAAGATATTAGAGAAATTATTCACATGCTAATGTCAAGAGGTCAAAGGAGAAAGTAAGATAATCTCAAATGGCCCAAGTATTACATATGGTATTTGGACATCAGTGTATGATTCTACAAACAAATTAGGGAAAGAACAGAGAGGTACTTACATAATATGACCAAGAGAGCTATCATAAACCAATGACCAAAATCATGCCTGAAGCATTCTTATTAAATTCAAGAACAAGGCAAGAATGCCTCATCACTTTTTTATTATTATTATTATTTTTGAGATGGAGTTTTGCTCTTGTTGCCTAGGCTGGAGTACAGTGGCGCAATCTTGGCTCACTGCATCCTCTGTGTCCCAGGTTCAAATGATTCTCACTAACTCAGCCTCCCAAGTAGTTGGGATTACAGGTGCCTGCCACCGCACCCGGCCAATTTTTTTGTATTTTTAGTAGAGATGGGGTTTCATCATGTAGGCCACGCTGGTCTTGAACTCCTGACCTCAGGTGATCCAACTGCTTCAGTCTCTGAAAGTGCCTCATCACTTTTATGTGAGAAGTTTAGCTGTTGTAACAAGGCAAGAAATATAAATAAGTGTAAAAGAACTTAATCATGTTTCAGATGAAAGAGAATAAATTGAAAGATAATACTGAGAGGTATTGAGAAAAATTTATATACAAGAATAACTATTTCAACTGCAAAATTTTGTGGTAACTGACCAGCAATAGGAGATTTCTAAAATTCAATTGTGGTATATCTACATGAAAAAATATACTTGAAAGGTAATTTTAGAGGAATCTATTATATGGAAAAATTTTCATTACGCAACTTTAAAAACAAAAATTACAGCATGTGCTTTTACTACATATGACATATAATTACATATGCCCACACATACATAAAAAGAGTGAGAGACAAAAACTGTAATTATTATTATGTTTTCCTGCTTTATCTAAGCTATTAATTTGTATATTATTTCCATAATAAGGAAAATAAGCAAAAATTATTTTAGAGAAACATGCAAATAGAAGAAGAAAGTTAGTAAAGACTTTTAATGGTTACCCTTGAATTAAATTTATTCACAAGTGTGTAAATAAATTTTGCAATTTATAGGGCCTTTGCAAATTTATTTGCCAAATTCACAAAGAATGAGGGCAACCACACTCTGTTGTGTGGTTGGATAATCACTTAATTAGCTTAAACAAAGATTTACTGGATGTATATAGGAATATTTTTTTCTAACCCGAAAGTAGGGAGAAGAGCTAGTTCTCAAGAGGGATTGAAACCAGGAACAAGCAAGCCAGTAGAAGCCATGGTGGCTACTTCCTCCAACATTACATTTATTTCCTCTGGAGTTACACAGTATGGTGTCTCCACTTCTCTTTGTATATCTTCTTCATTCTCTCTTCCTTACATTGATGAGATTTCTATGGTTCTCTGTGCAGTCTTAACTCTGTAGTACCTGTCTACTGGTAATAAAACCAAAAAAACACCTACTCTCTCAGGGTTCTTTGTGCCCTAATTCAAATTCCCAGGAAAAAGAATATAAATGAACTATCTCAATCTCTGGATTGCCACCTGCAATCCAAACAGAAAGGGACAACCCTCATGGGTAGGCAGTGGACTGAAGAGTGGGGGCATGGTCCTCAGTGAAAGTGGCTGTTGATTGACTGGACTGCAAAAAATACGAGCTACGAAGAGAAGAAATAATTTAATGCTATGCTTAGGCTTAGCCAGTAGAACAAGTATTTCGGAAATGTATCAGGTCAAACTGTTCTTCCAAAAGGGCACCAAATGCCAGGATGCATGCATAGAGATTGGGAGAATTCAAGTGTAAAAATATTACTGAGAAAGAAGAAAAATGTGATTTATGATTCAAAGCTGTTAGAAAAGAAATAATGTCTTCTTACCAGGTATTTTAATACTTACCATAAAGAAAAAGTTTAGCAGGAATTTAGAACACATGAAAGACATGGAAAATCTAACCATTACCTTGCAAATACTTAGGCTTCAGCAACAAGCCAACTCTGGAACGCTTGAAAAAGCCAAATATATTTCAAATCAAATCTGACACAAGAGGGGTGCAAAGGAGTGGAGGTTGAAGAGAGATTTTTTAAGTTCGTGAACTTACTGTGTACTTTCTTTGTTATAGTTATCTTAAATTCATAAAAAAACACATTTAATTTGTAACATTTATTAGCATTCCAAATAAACGACATTTGGAAGTTTGTTTCATTTTTTTTATTTGTTTGTATGATTGACCATATGACCACATAAATAAACCAGGATGGAGCAAAATATTCTGTTTCTTATCTTTAAGAAACTGAAATTAAAACCCAAATGATTCAGGGTTGACTTTGATTCATAGATCAGAAGATTAATTATCTGTATTTAAATTATCAATCAATGACAGTAGTCATATTTATATACATTATCTTTCAAATGTGTTGACTTTTAAAATTATTTTGAATAAAATGTAGTCTCTGGTGGATTAAACAATCCTTACAATTCAGTTACATGCTTCCTCTTACAATAGGGGCAGTGTTCTTTAAATATGCACTGGACATATAAATGAATCTAGTTTATTACCTACCATACTTGAAGAAAGATTTTAGTAAGCACTGATGATCATGGAGCTAACTGCTATAGCAAGGTTTTGGGGTTTTGTTTTGTTTTGTTTTTTACCTGAAGAAAGTACTAAAATAGTCAAAAGGAATTGGGTTTTTGTTTTCTTTTGTGAAATGGGCAGTGTATGAAAAGAATAGGAATGTTATGATGCAGGGGAACGCTGAGTAACTCAGATTAGGATAAATTGAATTTAGCTGGAAGACCAAGTCTTGTACTGAGGTTCTGCATATACATTTACAAACTTAAGTGTAGGCTGAATGATTATTTGAGAGTAATACTTAAGGTCACTTAGGACTAAAAGAAAATTTGATTTTTGCTTGGGTTACATTTTATTTCAATAAAGGGTGTGAGGTGGAGTGTTGACCTTGGATTAAAGGAACCTAAGACTTCAGAAAGCTAGATAAATACAAAGGAAAGAGGCAGATATCTTGCAGCTAAAAGATATGATCTCCTACTGCCTCAGTGGCTTGGTCTCTGCAAGGACTGGTAGAAATATCTGTTAAAGTATATGAGGCAGGAGATGCTAGCTGATATGATTATATCATGTAAGAATGGCATCTGAGAGAGAGTGAAGTGGGTGTGAGATAAGGGTGGTCAGCTGGGATTATCAGGCAACTTAGAGAGTGCCCATTCAAATGACAATCTCCAAACATCCCCTTCTCTTAGTCCTGTATCTGCTCCAACCTGCCTTCCGCTTGGTCATGGACATACCCAAGTCCCTTTCATGGCTGCCGTTTCTGCCTCCTGACTTTGCAATGAACTTCACTGGTGAGTATGTATCAGTGTGTCTTGCATCTACTAGATCTGACAACATGACATAGAGGTAGTTCTGCATGGTGGTTAAGAATTTAGACTTTGGCCCAGACTGCCTGGATTTGAATCCTAGTTCTTCAACCTAACCAGTAGTATCACCTGGTCAAGTTACTTACATTCTCCATGGTTCAGTTTCTTCATCTGCATTTTGGTAATAATAATAATAACCTAACCGGCCAGGTCCAGTGGCTGACACTTGTAATCCTAGCACTTTGGGAGGTTGAGGCAGGTAGGTTGCTTGAGCCAGGAGTTTGAGACCAGCCTGGGCAACATGGCAAAACCACATCTCTACAAAAAAATACAAAAAGAATTAGCCAGGTGTGGTGGCTCACACCTGTATTCCCAGCTATTCTGGAGGCTGATGTGGGAGAATCACTTGAACCTGGGAAGTTGAGGCTGCAGTGAGTCGTGATAGTGCCACTGCATGCCAGCCTGGGCAACAGAGCAAGATCCTGTCTCCATAATAAATAAATAAATAAATAAATAAATAAATAAATAAATAAATAAATAATAACCTAAGTAAGAAAGCTTGCTATTGTGAAGATTTAATAAATTCATATGGGTAAAGTGCTTACAGTGGTGCCTGACAAGTAGTAATCATTCATTATCATATACCATGATTCATCCAAGGAACTTTTAACATGTTAGTAGAATACATCTGTCAAGTAGATAAACCAATTACAATGCAACCAACATTTTATGCAGAACAGTGAATGAAAACCAGTAATCATGCTTATCACTGGTAGGACATGGGATTAGGGAAAACTGTGACTCTATAACCAATAACCACACAACTCCACCTGAGCCAAAAAGTAGGTGGTAATGCTTTTGGCAGAAGAGCAGAAAAAGAACTATCTGAATCTGTGCAATATTGAGGAGAACATTACAGGAGTGGTTAAAGGGCAGTTGTGACAGCGATATGGAGAGAGGACATGAATTTAAAAGCCCAGAGCCTACAGATTCTCTTCAGAACTCACTGGATGAGCTTCTCTCTCCAGAGGTGCTGTAAAGTTTACCTCTTTGATCACAATTTGTGGGAAAACAGGTAGGAGTCCACATCTGTCTGAGATCCTTCCAAACACTTTATATTGCTCTCTCGGGAAAGTGATCTGAAGGATGAATTTGCTAAAATTATCCTATCATTTCAAAAGTCAAGCATCCACTGAATAGTCCTTTGAGATGTTACAACTATTTTGTTTCAGTTATTTGCAACAGAAACATTCAGGAAAACACAATATAATGCTTGATACACTAAAATGAAATGCACTAAAGATATATCCTTTCAAGAATTCTAAAGTTCTAATGAATATCATTTTCTAGGTCTTGTAGGAGGTACAAAGTCAACTAAGATGTGATCTTTGTCGTAAGCAAGCAGAGGGAAGACAACAAACACCACAAGAGAGTTATAAACCATGTATATACATCTCTGTAATTTCCTTATCTAATATCTCCCTACAGTATTTCCCCACATTTTGGCAAAATATCAAATTGGTGAATACAAATTAACTCTGAAAAATTCCCACAAGAACAATACTGCTGTGACTTCAGCCACCTTTGCCTACTAAATTTTGATACTCGGTCTCATTCCATGAAAGAATAGGAGAAAGAGGAAATATTGAAAGAGAAAAAGTGAAAGGAAATAAAGAAAAAGGCATTGGTCCTTTCTGTGTTTGTGGACTCTCAAATGCTGGCCCATGTGTGAGTTCTTTGAAGAACACTCCACATTTTCTCAGATCCCACTTCCAGTACTGCACCTAGTAATTTCTTACTGCTGGAGTTGTCTGCTTAGCAGGCAATAAAGTGATTTCAGTTGAGTTATTTTCCATAGTTCTTCACCTGTGGAAATGTCACATACCCTTGCTTGGCCAAAAGTTGATAGTGCAGGCTGGTCCTCTTAGCCTCCCTTTCAAGCTGCCACAGAGGACCCTGCTGATGGCCCACCCAGACTTCCTAGACATCCCCTGCCAGCATCTGCATCTCCGCCTGAGGGCTTTCTTGGGTTCCTGGAGATGACTCTGCCTATTTGCAGGGGACAGAAAAGTGACAGAGAATTATTGCCCTCCAGGGACCAATCCTTGGCAGTGACTGACATGAGGTAGTCTCTAAATACCTGAGACCTATCACCCTTAAGCTGCGATACTTCTAAGGCCTGAATTCTACACTGGCTCCCAGTGTTCCCTAGTGGAATTAAGAACAACAACTGTTTTATGGTGCTGTTGGCTAGCTTCCTTTCCTTGTCTCATTTCCCCACTCTCACATCAATATTTACTAGGACCACCTCCCAGATAAGCTACTTACACTACAAACTTCATCTTAGGTTGTGCTTCTGGCAGAGCCTAGATGGAAACATCAGATGTGTCTCCAGCTCACTTCTTCTTCCATAAGTAGGCACAGGGGCAAATCAAGGCTCCCGCTCAAGTTCTAAGAGTGCACATAGTTTATGAAATTGAACTTACATTATTTAGAGAGTTTTATATACTCATGGTAAACACACACAGAGTGTGCGATGAACATTCTTTTATAGGGAATTTTATCTCAGATTATTTTCTCATGGGAAATTCCTTGATTGGTAAATATTTCGTTTTAGGATTTATACTTTTATTGCAAACATACTGACAATTTACCATATTGCTCTGGAAATATGATGCCAGTTTCTTAAATATGTAGATAAATTGTGAATGCTCTATGTTCAGAGAAAAAGGCCTGTGAAGAGGAAGATCTCGAATGCACAAGAAAGAAGGGAAAATGCTTGGTGAAAGTTCTACCTTGCTGAGGGAAGGGACCCTTACTCTGACAAATGTAAGAAAATAAGGATGATTACAAATGCACAAGTTTATGGGTTGAACTACTGAAAATTTAAGAGTTTATATCGAATAAAATTAGAAGTGTTGGTATTTTAACCATGTAGATACACAAATATACATTTTAAACACCAACTTTGAAATTAGAAAGACAGGCCAGGAGTGATGGCTCATGCCTATAATCCCAGCACTTTGGGAGGCCGAGGTGGGAGGATCGCTTGAGCCCAGGAGTTCAAGACCAGCCTGGGCAACATGGCAAAACCCTGTCACTACAAAAAATACAAAAATTAGCCAGGCATAATTTGTGACCCTGTAGTCCCTGCTACTTAGGAGGCTGAGGTAGGGGGATACCCCAAGAGGTTGAGGCTGCAGTGAGACATGATCATGCCATTGCATTCCAGCCTGGGAGACAGAGTGAGACCCTGTCTCAAAAAAATAAATAAATAAAAATTAAATTAAATTAGAAAACAAACAAACATACTTGGCATTAGCAACTGGTACATCCTATCTGCTAGTGCTATAGGATGGGCAATTTAAAAAATTGAGGCTTTGGGAGGCCGAGGTGGGCAGATCACCTGAGGTCGGGAGTTTGAGACCACCCTGACCAACAAGGAGAAACCCCGTCTCTACTAAAAATACAAAATTAGCTGAGCATGGTGGTGCATGCCTGTAATCCCAGCTACTTGGGAGGCTGAGGCAGAAGGATCACTTGAACCCGGGAGGTGGAGGTTGTGGTGAGCCGAGATTGCGCCATTGCATTCCAGCCTGGGCAACAAGAGTGAAACTCAGTCTCAAAAAAAAAAAAAAAAAATTTGAGGCTATTGGGGCTGTTTCAGAGAAATTAAGAAAAGAGTTCATCAAACTCATGTCCTCAAAATATAGTTTATATACTCTGGCAGTAGCTTACAACTGGGAAAATATTTAACTTGGTGTTATTACTTTTTCTTAGTAAACGACTCAATCATGTAATAAGTCCTACTAAGAACTTCCCTTAAATTATTTTTTTCTCTATTTATCTTGTGGAATTAAATTTTTCCTTAATTAGTTTCAAATTACATTTATTCACATAAAACAAGGTAGCTATCACTATTTCAATAGACATAGTAATTAGAATCTATCTTCAAGCTTACAGCTTACACATTTAGTACATCTATGAAATAACTATATGCTCTGAACTTGAAAAATCTTTATTGCTTCACCCTTTACAGAAATAAACTATTAATTTCTTGAATGACTCTATGAGAAAGACATACAGCAGAGAAGATGAATACTTTAAAAATCTTTTCATAAAGATGGATAGGGGAAAATGCATCTACTGATGATTCACATATTGCATTTTCTGAGTGCTATCTTTCATTTCAAGTGAAGCATTGTAACAACATTCATGCTAAACAACAACTCTCACAGAGTTTTTCCTATCCACGGCTGACCTCCAAACCAGAGCAGGTTACTGTATGGAAGCGGACTCTGACTCTATGCCGGCAATCCAGTCTTCATATGGTCTGGAGAGATTTAGAGAACAGTCTTTAAAATCTATGGGAAATGCAGAGACAATACATAACAGGAAATTCCTTTCAATGTAGACATGTCTTCACCTGGCAGCTTACTAGAGAAAAGATGAAGAACCATGTTTTCCTGAGAAATGTTCACTTGTATTTATCAAATTAACACTAAAGTATTAATTTTATTTTGTGGTATACAATTTTCCCTGTCTCTATCAGTATCATCTTTTATTTGTGAGTGAATTTCATATTATTTAGAAGCTTCTGACTTCTGGGAAACTAAGACAAAAAGTTTCTGTTGCGTGTGTGTGTGTGTGTGTGTGTGTGTGTGTGTAGACAGAGTCTTGCTCTGTTGTGCAGGCTGGAGTGCAGTGGCGCAATCTCAGTTCACTGCAACCTCTGCCTCCTGGATTCAAGCAATTCTCCTGCCTCCGTCTCCCAAGTAGCTGGGATTACAGGTGTGCACCACCACTCCCATCTAAATTTTGTAGTTTTAGTAGAGACGGGGTTTCACTATGTTGGCCAGGCTGGTCTTGAACTCCTGACCTCAGGTGATCTGCCTGCTTTGGCCTCCCAAAGTGCTGGGATTATAGGCATGAACCACAATATTTAAATGAGTTGCTTAGGAACTCTGATAATTTTTACTAAAAGAAGCATCATCTGCCCTAAGGACTAAGGTATTTTCAGTCAAGGCCAGACTCTTTTATCTTGATCCTGGCCAGGCCAGTGGCATTTGAGGAAGAAATGGAATAGGATTTCTTGACGTCATCTCCCTGGTTAGACATATACTCTTCCAGATGGCTCCTTTTTTTTTTTTTTTTTTTTTTTTTGAGACAGGTCTTGCACTGTCGCCTGGGCTGGAGTTCAATGACGCGATCTCAACTCACTGCAACCTCGGCCTCCCAGGTTCAAGCGATTTTCCTGCCTCAGCCTGCTGAGTAGCTGGGATTACTGGCATGTGCCACCACAGATGGCTAATTTTTGTATTTTTAGTAGAAATGGGGTTTCACCATGTTGGCCAGGCTGGTCTTGACCTCAGGTGATCCACCTGCCTCAGCCTCCCAAAGTGCTGGGATTACAGGCGTGAGCCACCATGCCTAGCCAAGCTTAGCATCCACATTTTCCTTCTTTTTCAGCAATAAAGCTCCATAAAACTAAGGGTAAGCATGAAACCAAGTGTTCCCCAATGAGATCTATGTGGAAGTACTGTGTGGACTGCCACAGAGTCTCCTTAAGAGCGTGACTGTCTCTGTCCTTTTCTCCTTCTTGGCATTTGGAAAGAATCCCTGATGGTAGGAGCTCCAGTAGCCAACTGAGACCATGAGGTGACCTGAAGATGATGGAGCAGAGCTGAAAAGAGGGAACTAGATCCCAGAAGACATTTCAGACCTGTCATTTTCCCTCTGAATTTTCTACTCAAGGCTTAATTTGAGAAAGAAATAAATGTCCATCATGTTTAAGCTAGTGGTACCTCAGATTTTCTATTAGATCCAGCTAAGCTACTCCTAGCCACTTCATTCATTCTAGTTTACATCATCTAGGGGGTTAACACCATCTCAGCCTCTGCCATTGATTGTTCCATGTCAGGCCATGAAATAGCACTCAAGGACCACAGTATGAAATTCCAAGTGCCAGGCGGGGACTCCAGTGGGCTGAAAGAATACACACCCAGAATTGCTACAATTTGCTAAGAGTAAGCCAAAAAGCCAGATTTTTGAAAACATGCTATCTCCTGATTTTAAAATGTGTGATTAAATTATACACACACATACACACACCAAGTGAAATGCACCCTTGGAATGAATATTTTACAGCCATCGTTTACATTCTCTGGGTTACACTGTTTGGCTTTACATCTTGTGTAACAGTTTAGCAACACTGGACATGGAATCCCCTACTTCTCCTTAGCTTTTGATACCTACCTCCAAAGGTAATATAGTAAGATATAGGAAAAGAGGGGCACAAAAAGACCAGGTGATAAATCAGAAGACTGGATAGACTGTCTTTGGCATTTACTTAGCTATGTGATTTGTGTGTAATTATGGTCATTGTTAAGAGAAACCCTCTCTATGCACATTTGTATCATTAGGTCATTGGTGGAGAATTTTCCTACCCTTTGGCCACAGCTGTGAGGGAGGACAAAGCAGTTGGCTCTCTCCATGTGTCTAAGCATTCACAGTCTTTGACCAAGCATTTTCATGATGTATTTCAACCAAACAGAATATAACACTGGCAGCCAATAATAATAAGTGCCTTTAACAGTAGCAGTAGGTACACATTCTTATTACATACCAGTGTCCTATATGCAGGAAATAACAAAACTAATAAATAAAATACATGTAGTGCTAGATTAAGAAGAAATTTGAATTCGACATTTAAGAATTATTCACTCTCTCTTCAAATTAAAAATTTTAGGCCAGGCACAGTGACGCACACCTGTAATCCCAGCACTTTGGGAGGTCGAGGTGGGCTGGTCACTTGAGCCCAGGAGTTCGAGACCAGCTCGGCCAACATGGCGAAACCTTGTCTCTACTAAAAATACAAAATTTAGTCAGGTGTGACGCCGAGATGGCGTCACTGCACTCCAGCCTGGGTGACAGAGGGTGACCCTCTCTCTCTCTCACAAAAAAAAAAAAAAAAAAAAAAAAAAATGAGTACTACTTTTTTGCCTGGGAAATATATGTGAGGTCTGGAATTGTTGTACGTACTGAGGATTTATTTCTTCATTATTCATTCATTCCATTCCATTCTATTCCATTCCACTTATACTTCTAAAGTTCTGATAAGGTTGAAAAAGAGATTCCTATATAATACTAGGGATGATTTGAGAATTCTTCAAAAGCTTAAGAAGCACAAAAGAGAGAGCATTTCCAGACGTAAATTTGGAAATATATCTTTTCAGCATAAAGAACTTAGCTGATGCAACAGTGAGCGATTGTTGATGTTAAAACTACCCTCTGAGTGTGGAACAACTGAGTCCACTGCAGATTACATAAGTACCCCCACCCCTTCCTATAAAAAAAAAAAGAACCCAAACTTTCCTTATTATTTCAGCACTGGGGCCATCAGAGAGACCACTGCAAAACATACAAAGGCTATTATCAGCCTTTGTATGAACAAATCCTAGTGGCATCTCACAGATCTTCAGGGTTTGTTAGAAAACATAAAAAGAGACACTTTCTTCCCATAAGCCTGGGAGAGAAGATTACTCTCCAGGTAAAGGTGTGAATATCTACTAGTGTGGACACATCATGGAAGATGCTCTTTCCCTGAGCTAGGAAGCACTTCTGCCCACACATTCCCAGTCCTCTGACCATCTAAAGCTTGGATGTTTGGCGAGACAGCGCATCCCCCACCAGAGGATCACATTTCTGGAATTCAGGAACAATGAGGAAAGCAGATTTTTTTTTTTTCAAAGGAAGCTTCATGCGATGTTTGTTTAACGGATATTTAGCAAAAGCGAAGTGGAAATGAGGGGCTCTGGTTTTATTTTGATGTGAAATACGTAGGATTGAGAAGAGCCTGGCATTCACAGTGGGACCAATTTAAACATATTCACTTTAGGAAAGGTAACTTACAAACACATGGCAGGAAGAAAAACCAAGAAAAAGGTCGTTATGAGATAATTACTCACCCAGAACAAACAGCTGAAGAGCTTTTCATTAATTCTGTAAAAGGATTTCATGTAATTAAGTTCAAGGTGCTAAACTTTCCCCCAGGCTATTGACTGTGTACTAATTACAGAATTCACTGCTTTAGTCCTTGCACTCTTTGAAGAGTGCTAGGGGGTGGTTCTGAAGAGACTATGTCTACACTGCACTTTATCCATTCAAATCAGGTGTGATAATGGTGAGTACCCACTCATATACTACCCCTCGAGTTGTCCAATTCTGACACCAAATAATAATCATTTAAAAAGAGAAGCAACACTGTTAATCCTTTTTGTTTGGTCAGTCCCATCTGCTGAGAAATAACAGCAAATTTCATGTTGTTAAAGAAAATTTCTACATCTCGCGGTTTTTATACAAGAGGAATAAGATGTCTGACTGAGGGGTAACTGTGCGCTTGCACAGTGTGCCTATGCACCATACATGTTTATGTGTTTGCCTGTGATTGTGTCTGTGAACAGTTGTGTGAGCATTCAGTTTCAAACAGAAAAGGTTTGAAAAACTGATTTTTCCAGGGAGTAATTAATAATCTCAGAAATGTCCCTGTGATTTTCAATTTCACACAAAGGCTAGGTCACAATCAGTTATAATAATACCACTCTGCACACACGTGGGAATCTGACAAACGATCTCATTTCCATGATGAAACGTACAAAGTTTCAGGTCAAAACCCATTCAAGATAGCTTACCATTTTCAAACTAACTTTGCAGCTAAATGCTTCTGCCTGATCCCTATGCAAAAATTCAAGCCTCAACCAACACCATTTCTAAATGTTGGTCATCTTCTACCAATTTTCTCTAAATCTTATATTTTAGTTATACCTAAGAATGCTCATCAGAGGCTTGGAAAAGTTACAATGCAGACATGTAGGCTTCCAGTTTAGACAGGGACTGAGTCCAGTCGACCTTCTTTTTTTTTTTTTTTTTTTTTTTGAGGAGTCTCACTCTGTCACCCAGGCTGGAATGCAGTGGTGTGGCCTCGGCTCACGGCAAGCTCCGCCTCCCGGGTTCACGCCATTCTCCTGCCTCAGCCTCCCGAGTAGCTGGGACTACAGGCACCCACCACCACGCCCGGCTAATTTTTTGTGTTTTTAGTAGAGACGGAGTTTCACCGTGTTAGCCAGGACGGTCTAGATCTCCTGACCTCGTGATCCACCCGCCTTGGCCTCCCAAAGTCCTGGGATTACAGGCCTGAGCCACCGCGCCTGGCCGAGTCCAGCTGACCTTCTTTTGTACCTTCTCATAGCCCAACCAAAATGAGAAAAAATAAAAATAAAAAAGTCAAAGGGAAGATCAGCTAATACAAACTTTTGAGAAATCCCTGCTTGTTAGATTACAAATGGATCCAGGCTGAAGAGCAGCACTGGGAACCTTGTAGGCAATTCCTCTGTTCAAGACAGGATGTAGTAGTTGGAAGGGGAAAGCTGAAGACAGAGTAGGTCTTGAGGGGAGCACTGTGTACTCGACTCATTACCCATTTTACTGTTTTGGATCAACATTCTCAGAGGCCCCGGGCAAGTCTGGCCAAGCCAAACAGAGGAGCTGGCACATGGCAGGTTTTTCCCTGATGCAGCAGGGTTCTTCCTGGATGGAGTAGACCATGGCATTAGGAATAAGGCCAGCCATCAGGACCTCATGAGTATTTAGAGCGGAGACCAGGTCCAACAGGGAACTACAGCTGCAAAACTATACCCTGCCTGGCGCGACTGCTTCAACACACAGAGAGCATTTTTAGGGTAGCTATTTATCTCTTAAAGGCAAAAGCCTTTAAACCTTCATAAGCAATGAAAACAGTACAAATGAAAAAAAAATAGATCCAGTAGACTAACAAAACATTTGTTGCCATCACCTTAAACAAAATTAAAGCGCTGAGAAAAAATATTTGCCACACACTTGGGTCACTGACAGCTGAGGGTTAATACCATTAAGATTTAAAGAGCATTTGCAAATCAATAAGAGAGCCACCCCCAGTTAAAAACTGGATAATAATCCTCAAATATCTTAGTGGGTATTCAAAAAAAGGAGCTATATATGGACAATAACATGTTTTTAAAATATTCAGCCTCACTAATAGGGAAATGCAATTTAAAATGGGACTCCATTTCTCACTTAGAAAGTTAGGGGGTGGGGGATGGAATCTTCAAATGATATTAGCCAGCACTGGCTGGTCTGAACCCCAGGTCCTGACACTGGGGCTGCATGTGGAGGGCAGGTTGGCACCATTTTCTGCAGAGCAACTTGACACATGTATTAAATGTCTTAAAAAAACATGAATATTCTTTGATGCAATAATGGCACTTCAAGAATTTGCCTTAAGGAAATGATTAGAGATATGGACAAAGATTTAGTTACACAATGTTTGTAACAGCCTAAATACATAGTAATAGGTAGTCTCACACACACACACACACACACACTCACACACAAAAGCACATTCTACAGTGGAAAACTGTGACCCTGAAAAATAATGATAGTAGAAATATGTTCCTTATTTTGGAAAGAAGACTGAAATATATGGTGGGAATACAAAGTCAAATTACAAGAGGATGTACAATTGAATCCTTTTTCCTGGGTAAACATAATTTAGGCATAATATATGTATGAAAACATGCCTATTACCTAGACAACTGAATAAAGTCAAGGAAGCTATGTACCAAACTATGACGGTATATTTTCAGGAAATAGTTTTCCTGATTATTTTATTTTCTGCAATAAATATTTATTATCAGTAAAATAAAATATATATAAAAAGAGAAAAAAAGAATCAAAGAGACTTCAACAAGAATCCAAATATAGAAGGCATATTTTTAAAAATCAGTGTTTCTATACGTCAAGAAAAGTTGTTTGAAATTTAATTTTAAAAGATGCTATTCATGACAGTAATATTGAACAGAATATATTTAGATGTAAACTTGAAAAATATATACAGGACTTAACTTCTAAAAATCTACAACTTTGTTAAAGATGTATAAATGTATGTGTATAAAGAATATGCATAAATGCTATTAAGCAAATTATATGAACCAAATAGTGCTGGGACAACTGCTTATTCATTTAAAAAATAAAATTAGACATCTTTGTCACACTATGCACAAAAGTAAGTTCCAGATGGATTAAACTGCTAAATAGAAAACTATTTCTCTGATTTGGGAAATGAGAAGGCTATTCTAAGACTTTGAGAAAATATAAGGTCTTACACTTTTGAAATGGAAGAATTATTACTATAAAATACATATAATCCCCAAGTTAATTCAATATTTTCTATATTGAAATCAAAATCCTTACTGACTTCATTGGTAATATGTAAAAATGAATTTAAAATTCATATTAAATAATAAGTGGGTAAGAATTAACTAGAAAAAGAATAGATTTTTTAAAAGGAGAATTTGCACTACCAGATATTTAAATATGTTGTAAAGTTACAATAGTTAAAACATTTTGGCAATGATACAAATGAGATAGAGAATGGGATGAAATAGAAAGCCAGGAAGAGATCAAATACCCATAAGCATTTAGCACATGATAAACATGACATTCAATTAAATTGGAAAAGGACAGATGGCTATTAAGCAAGTAGTGCTGGGACAACTGGTTAACTATTTATTTTTTAAAATCAAGTTAGACCTCTTTGTCATATCATACACAAAAATAAATTCCAGATGGATTAAGCTGCTACATGGAAAACTATTTCTCTGATTTGGGAAATGAGAGAGCTATTCTAAAACTATGAACAAATATAGGATCTTAAGGAAAATGTTTGATAGATTTGAGTGTATAAAAATGTAAACCATTCATCTAACAACATTTCCATAAACAAAAATAAAAGGCAGTGAACTGGAAAAACATTTGCAACATATACACAAAAGAATTACTGGCCTCACTATATAAAGAACTTTTGCAAATCATTAAGAAAAAAAAACAAGCCAATGTGTTAAGAAAAAACAAACAAGCACTATAATGGCAAAATGGGCAAAAACTATAAATATCAGAGGAAAAAATACAAATGTCCAGTAGATGTACTGGAAAATGTTCATCCTCAAAAATCAAAAATGTGTATTTGCTAAAATGATGCCTCCATCACCTCTTAAATTGACAAAGATATTAAAAAGAATAGTATGATATTGGTGAATATGTGGCAAATTTACTGCTGAGATACTCTGCTGATGAGAATATAAATTTATACAACCCTCCAAGGGAGAAATGGACAATAGTATCAAGAAGTTACAAATGTTCATAACCTTTAGTTCAGGAACTTTTATAGAAATTCTTCCTAAAGATGTAAACAGAGGAGTCCACAAATATTTATGTTCACGATAACTTAGTAAGGAAAAATCCTAAGTGTCCAACAATAAGTGATTGTTGCACGCAATGGAATAGTATGCAGCTAATGTAGAACATTTTAATTAGGATATAACAAACGAAAAATGTAGGCTACAAAACAGCAAGATATTAAAAGTATGAATGGATGTACATACTGGGCAACTGTTCAACAACCTGCAAACAGTGGCTTTTTTAAAGTGATGAAATTTTAGGGTTTTTTTTTCCTCTCCCTACTTTTTGTTTAATTCAGTCCACAAACACTGGCTTGCTATTATGTGTTAGATATTTCTATATGTTTCTTTTTCCCCCACTGAATATGGATTAATTTGTAATCAGAAAAACAGACACACTTTACAAAAGTCCGACATCCCAAACTGACTTCCTCTTCCAGATATTAAAAATCTAATAAAGGATTGGAGCAAAAATAGGAAGGGCACGAATCTTACATTGAAAGCATAACATAACTTTAAAAAGAATTGGGGTTAGGTTTATATCACTCCATGTCCTACCTTTAGAAACACTTTGTAAACCATGCTCACCTGTTTCAGCTTGGATACCGTCTGCTCCTACAAACGTGAATGTGATTAGCGTTTCAAGGATCCCTTCCTAACAGGGTCCTCGAAGCCGACTATCTAAGGAGCCTGACATCCCTCTAAGCGTTTTAAAATCCATTATCCCATTGGAACCTCCACAACAATAATAGGCGGGTAGCGATGACTCTGGTTTTGTGGATGGGGACGCTTGACTTGGGGTGGTTATGCCTTGCCCAGGACTGAACCCCGGGATAGAGACGGGCAGGCAGCGGTGGGTCGAAGGGCCCGGGGACTAGGGCCCGGGTCGGGAGGGGCGGGCGCCTTACCGCGGCTTGCTGGAAGGCGCCCTTGGTGTAGGTGCCGCCACCTCGGTAGGAGATGGCAGGGATCTCTTGGAGGAGCAGCGCGCACTTGTGCTGGCGCGCGCGGCGGGTGGAGATGTAATCGACGCGCGGCACCACGTAGTTCTTGGACGAGAAGGTCACGATGGCCACGCGCGTGGCCGTGGGCACCACGGGGAAGTCGGACAGCAGCTTGCGGACGAACATGAGCTCGCTGCGGAAGTTGACTTCGCCCACGCTGGACGAATCATCCACCAGGAAGACAAGCTCCAGGCGCTCGCTGAGCTCCCGCAGCAGCCGCACGCGTCGCCGGAACGCCTGGCCCAGCCGCTCCACTCTGCTCCCCGCCGCTTCGTCGCCAGGAGCGGGCGGCGCGGGGATACTCCCGGGGGCCCCGGGCGCGGTCTCGGGGAAGAGGCGGAAGCTGAAATTGCGCGACGGGGACATCTGCTGAAAGGTCGCCCAGCCCGAAACGAGCGCCAGACCCCAGCAACAAAAGGCCAGGCGAGGCCACATCGCGCTGGAGACAGAGCGGCTGCCCCGGAGCGCAGGCGGCGGCTCGGGCGGGAAGAGGCGCTGGGCGGCCGGACTCGCAGAGGGGCGTGCGCGGAGCTGGGCGCGGGGCAGCGGCCAAGAGCCTCAGCGCCCTTTCATCTGACACTGGGGACAGACACAATCCAGACTCCTCAGCAGCTCGGGAACTCCGGAGGGAACGGCGCGCGCTCTCTACCCCTCTCGCTCTCCTCTTTTTTTCTTCCCTCTCTCCTCCTCCTCTCTCTCCCTGAAGCCTATAAAATGTTTGAAGGAAAGGGGGCAGTCAAGAAAAATCTCCCGCTTCCCTCCTTCTCTCCCTCTCTCCCTCTCCCCGCTCCTGTCTACTTTCTGTATCTGTGACTCTATCTCCCTCCTCCCCCTCTCATTCTCCTCCCGGGATCAAGCCAAAGGCTCGGAGATTCCATGACACCAGAACCCCGCGTCTGTCAGGCTGTCAACATTCCCGCAGCAAGCGCACCAGCGCCGAAGCCCTGATTGATCCCATATGTCTGGCAGGAGCTGCAGAGGAATTCACTGGAGATGGATCCAGATACCGAGAGTGCCACAGTAATTGGAAACACTTTGTAGACGAAAACATACACGCGGACTGGCCAGGGAGTTGAAAGCATCCTTTGAAAACTGCTTGCTCACCTTTTGTGTTTCTTTTCCCCCATTCAGTGTCCCAAAGCCCTCGCCAAATAGATGATTGTACAATTTTCCTGATGGGGATTTCTAATCAGTGGTGTGTGTGAGCGTGCAGATTAAGCCCTTAAGGGCCCCCTCAGATCACACCATAAAGGAGTTGCATCTAACCTTATGCGTTCCACAGGAATGATTTGTCATGGTACTTCAGTCGTGCATTTATTCATTCATCTGTTTGTTCATTCTTTCCTGATTTTAACAAATATTTTTTGAATACCCATTGTGTGCCAGGAACTATGTGAGGCACTGCAAATATAAGGAACAAAAATTGACAGGGATTCTATCCTCAATGAACTTAAAGGGTAACAAGTGAGGTGACCATTAACCAGATATTAACATACAAAATATATGTAATTACAAGTGACCATGCTAAATAAAGGAGAGCTTAGGTAGACAGACTTGACCTTGGAGAGGCCAGAGAAGCCTTCTCTGAGGACAGAAAGTTTGTGCTGAAGTCTGAAGTGTAAGTAGGGGGTCCCCAGTCCCCTTTCATGTGTTCTTGATCTATTTCAACAGATAAGATCCACCTGGCTTTAAGTGGTACCTGGCATATATCTGCTTTGAAACAAGTTGCTACCTGGGGTGGTTTTTCCAAAGCAAGACCTCCAAAGGGGAGAGCGCACGTGTAAAGAAAAGGTGCACTTTGCATGAGGGTGGGGCCTTTGGTTAAAAGATTCCAGCTGGGAGTCAGGAACACCGTGTAGGTAAGCCTACGGTTATGTAAACCACCTGAACTGAGTCACTTCCAATCCTTGGCTCAGCATCAGTATCTATTTCATGATGGAATTCAGTGATCTCAGTTTCCTCTGTTTCTAATAGTGAATGATTTAACTCCGTCTGTATTTAACAAAATACTTTCAGTGACAAGTATCACAATGTATTGTGTAACATGTTAGGGCTCTGGCATCAGTTTTCCTGGACGAAATCATGACTCTGCCATTTATTAGTTGTACAGCCTTGACTCAGTTTGTTCATTTGTAAAATGGAGTAATAACGATAACATATTAAGGGCTGTCATAAGGATTAAGTCATAAAAAAGTAAAATTCTTAGGACAATGCTTGGAGCATAGCGTGTACTCAATAAATGCTGGCTGGTTGCTCTTATTGCCACCTTTAATCATGAATGTTCTTCAAATTATTTTCCTAACAATACTTATTGACCACCTGCTATGTGCTGGCATGTTAGATACGGAGGATTTAAAGGTGAATAAGACTGAGTTCCAGTCCTCCAGAAGTTCAAAGAACATTAGAAAAGAACATAGATTTGCAAACAATTACAAAGCAGTAGGGTGACTGCAAAAGCAGAGAAGAAAGAGCAAGGAGGAGAAAGATCTCGTTCTTCCTGGGGAATGAGTAAGACTTCATTTGAGCTGGGACTTTTTTAAAAAAAAAAAAGTTTTTCCAAATATCATCTACTCTGTGTTATTTAAAACACATCATGAAGCCCTTTATGTGCAAAGCACCGTGGCATCTGCAATGTGTGCCATCTCCTGTGTTCCCCACACAAACCAAGGAGGTACTCAATTGCTTTAGAACTCTTGCTGCAAGTAAGTGGCACCTAATGTCTCCTCATTTAAACAAAAAGGGATTTTTTGGTTAGTATAACTAAACTAGGGAAAGGGCAGAGGGTACAGCTGGTCTCAAAAAGGCTTGGAAAAGGAAATTAAAAACTACTTAGGTCTTTAATTTTTCTCTCAGTTTGGCTTCTTTTTGGATGCCACATTTAGTCTCTTCTTCGGATTTATAACCTGAGAAAGACTTTTACCCCACCAACTCAAGTTAATAATATTTTGAGATGTCTGCCATAGGCCTAGACACATTCAAAGCTCTCTGGATAATTCTAACACATGCCCCAAGGGTGAACGCCTAAGAACAGCACTCTGGCATTGTGTACCTCCAACGGGATGAACAGTCAGGCCTATGTTACTTGTCCTCATGGTAAGAGAGTGGGGACACATCAGTCAGAGAAGTCCTGCCTGAGTGTTATTAAGACTGCTGCTCCAAGTCTTGCCACCGCTCCCCAGAGCCCTGTAGTCCCTTCTGCTCTCTAATCTAAAGCAGTGGTTCCCAGCGGGAGAGATTTGCATGTCTCACTCCCAGGAACCTTAGGCAATGTCTGGAGACATTTGGGGGATGGGGCAGTGCTACTGGCATCTAGTGTATAGGAGTAAGGGGTGCAACAAAACCTCCTACAATGCACTGGCAGCCACCACAACAAAGAATCATCTAGCCCCAAATGACAATAGTGGTGAGGTTGAGAAACTCTGGCCTATACCACAGTAATAGATGCAGAAGATGACAAAAACTTGTTAGACTAAACATTAAGATTAGAAAGGCTGGGCACAGTGGCTCATGCCTGTAATCCCAACACTTCAGGAGGCCGAGGCGGGTGGATCATTTGAGGTCAGCAGTTCGACACCAGCCTGACCAACGTGGTGAACCCCTGTCTCTACTAAAAATACAAAAAAAAAAAAAAAAAAAAATAGCTGGGCATGGTGACACATGCCTGAAGTCCCAGCTAGTCGGGAGGCTGAGGCAGGATGATCCATTGAACTGAGGGGGCAGAGGTTGCAGTGAGCCTAGATCGCACTACTGCACTCCAGCCTGGGCAACAGAGTGAAACTCTGACTCAAAAAAAAAAAAGAAAAAAGAGGAAAAGAAAAAGCAACTTAAAGGTATAGAAATGACAACATGGAGCTGAAGTGTAAAAAAAACCTACCCTGACTTCCTGACTTCATCTCATGAAATAAAGACTTCTGGAAAAAAAAAAAGTGTGTTGGTGGGCTAGGGCAAGAGGCATGCATTATATAATTCTCACCACCTAAACTGTGATTCAGAGTCCCACATTTTGTTCAATCAGGAATGGAACCTCAATCCTGTCTACCCGCTGGGACCTCTGCTTGAGTCGAGGACACCAACTACACCCTCCCTTCACAGCACCCATCTTTCTACATTGAAGCTGATACTGTGAACAGATAAGTTGCAACGTGCATATGGGGAAAGATGGAAGAGGGACTGAGGAAGAGAGCAGAGTGGTGCTGGTAAAGATCCTCCTGAGATTCCAAGCATCAAGTCCAGTCATGGGAGCAGAGGCAGGAAAAATGTCTGTTTCCACGCATGCTAGTTGTCATGTTTTGTTTTAAAAACAAAACTATAACACAGTGTCAGTGAATCACAGCGGCAGGCAGTGGAGATAGGAGGAAGATGCCACCTTGTGACTGCATTATGACTGTATTTATAAGAATATCTTTCTGCCGTGAATTTAACAAAGACATTCTCTCACATACAGAGGTTGGGAACATCTGCCACTCTATATGTTTCTTTTTAAAAAAAATTCCCATCAGTTTTTTGGGGAACAGATGAGTAAGTTCTTTAGTGATGATGTGTGAGATTTTGGTGCACCCATCATCTGAGCAGTATACACTGAACCCAATTTGTAGTCTTTAATCCCCCACCCCCTTCGCACCCTTTCCCCCTGAGTCCCCAAAGTCCATTGTGTCATTCTTATGCCTTTACATCCTCATAGCTTAGCTCCTGCTTATGAGTGAGAACATACGATGTTTGGTTTTTCCATTCCTGAGTTACTTCACTTAGAATAATAGTCTCCAATCCCATCCAGGTTGCTGCGAATGCCATTAGTTTATTCCTTTTTATGTCTGAGTAGTATTTCATCGTTCACAGTTTCTTATCCACTGATTGATTGATGGGCATTTGGGCTGGTTCCACTTTTTTGCAATTGCAAATTGTGCTGCTATAAACATACCTGTGCAAGTATCTCTTTCTTTTCCTCTGGGTAGATACCTAGTAGTGGGATTGCTGGATCAAATGGTAGTTCTACTTTTAGTTCTTTATGGAATCTCCACACTGTTTTCCATAGTAGTTGTACTAGTTTACAGTCCCACTAGCAGCGTAGAAGTGTTCCCTGTTCACCGCATCCACCTCAACATCTATTATTTTTTGATTATGACTATTCTTACCGGAGTAAGGTGGTATCTCATTGTGGTTTTGATTGCATTTCCCTGATCATTAGTGATGTTGAGCATTTTTTTTATATGTTCATTGGCCATTTGCATATCTTCTTTTGAGAATTGTCTATTCATATCCTTAGCCCATTTTTTATGGGATTTTTTTTTCTTGTGAATTTGTTTGAGGTCATTGTAGATATTAGTCCTATGTCAGATGTATAGATTGTGAAGATTTTCTCCTGCTCTGTGGGTTGTCTGTTTACCGTGCTGTTTATTTTGCCATGCAACAGATCTTTAGTTCAATTAAGTCCCAGCTATTTATTTGTATTAATATTTATTTGTATTTGTATTTGTTGCATTTGCTTTTGGGTTCTTGGTCATGAAATTCTTGCCTAAACCAATGTGTAGAAGGGTTTTTCCAATGTTATCTTCTAGAATTTTTATGGTTTTTGGTCTTAGATTTAAGTCCTTAATCCATCTTGAGTTGATTTTTGCATAAGGTGAGAGATTAGGATCCAGTTTCATTCTCCTACATGTGGCTAGCCAATTATCCCAGCACCATTTGTTGAATAGGGTGTCCTTTCCCCACTTTAGTTTTTTGTTTCCTTTGTCAAAGATCAGTTGGCTGTAAGTATTTGGGTTTATTTTTCGGTTCACTATTCTGTTCCATTGGTCTATGTGTATTTTTTATACCAGCACCATGCTGTTTTGGTGACTATGGCTTTGTAGTAAGTTTGAAATCAGGTAATGTGATGCCTACAGATGTGTTCTTTTTGCTTAGACTTGCTTTGGTTATGCAGGCTCTTTTTTGGTTACATATGAATTTTAGAATTTTTTTTTTCTAATTCTGTGAAGGATGATGGTGGTATTTTGATGGGAATTGCATTGAATTTGTAGATTGCTTTGGCAGTGTGGTCATTTTCACAATATTGATTCTACCCATCCATGAGCAAGGGATGTGTTTCCATTTCCATTTGTTTGTGTTTATGATTTCTCTCAGCAGTATTTTGTAGTTTTCCTTGTAGGGGTCTTTCACCTCCTTGGTTAGGTATATTCCTCAGTTTTTTTGTTTGTTTATTTGTTTTTGCAGCTATTGTAAAAGGAGTTGAGTTCTTGATTTGATTCTCATCTTGTTTGCTGTTGATATATAGGAGAGTTACTCACTTGTGTACATTAATTTTGTATCCTGAAGCTTTGCTGAATTCATTTATCAGTTCTAGGAGCTTTTTGGAGAAATCTTTAGGGTTTTCTAGGTATAGGATCATATCATCAGCAAACAGCAACATTTTGACTTCCTCTTTACTGATTTGGATGCCCTTCATTTCTTTCTCTTGTCTAATTGCTCTGGCTAGGACATCCAGTAATACGTTGAATAGAAGTGGTGAGAGTGGGCATCATTGTCTTGTTCTAGTTCTCAGAGGGAATGCTTTCAACTTTTCCCCATTCAGTATTATGTTGGCTGTGTGTTTGTCACAGATGGCTTATATTACATTGAGGTATATCCCTTGTACGCTGATTTTGCTGAGGGTTTTAATCATAAAGGCAATGCTGGATTTTGTCAAATGATTTTTCGGCATCTATTGAGATGATAATGTGATTTTTTAGTTCTGTTTCTGTGGTGTATCACATTTATTGACTTGTGTATGTTAAACCATCCCTATATCCTTGATATGAAACCCACTTGATCATGGTGGATTATATTCTTGTTATGTTGTTGGATTCAGTTAACCAGTACTTTGATAAGGATTTTCACATCTATGTTCATTAGGGATATTGGTCTGTAGTTTTCTTTTTTGTTATGTACTTTCCTGGTTTGGGTATTAGGGTGATACTGGCTTCATAGAATGATTTATGGAGGATTCCCTCTGTCTCTACAATTGATACCAATTGTCAATACAGTTGGTACCAATTCTTCTTTGAATGTCTGGTAGAATTCAACTGTGAATCCATCTGGTCCTGGACATTTTTTGTTGGTAATTTTTTTATTATCATTTCAGTCTTGCTGCTTGTTATTGGTCTCTTCATGGTATCTAATTCTTCCTGATTTAATCTGGGAGGGTTGTATCTTTCCAGGAATTTATCTGTCTCCTCTAGGTTTTCTAGTTTATGCATGTAAAGGTGTTCATAGTAGCCTTGAATGATCTTTTGTATTTCTGTAGTGTCAGTTGTAACATCTCCCATTCTATTTCTAATTGAGCGTATTTGGATTTTCTCTCGTTTTTTTGGTTAATCTTGCTAATGGTATATCAATTTTATTTATCTTCAAAAAAACAGCTTTTTCTTTCATTTATCTTTAGTATTTTTTGTTTGTTTGTTTCCATTTCATTTAGTTCTGTTTTGATCTTGGCTATTTTCTTTCCTCTGCTGGGTTTGGGTTTGGTGTGTTCTTGTTTCTCTGGTTCCTTGAGGTGTGACCTTATATTGTCTTTACTCTTTCAGACTTTTTGATGTACGCATTTAGGGCTATGAACTTTCCTCTTACACTACCTTTACTGTATCTCAGAGGTTTTTATAGGTTGTGTCACCATTATCATTCAGTTTGAAGAATTTTTTAATTTCCATCTTGATTACATTGTTGAGCCAATGATCACTCAGGAGCAGGTTATTTAGTTTCCATGTATTTGCATGGTTATGAAGGTTCCTTTTGGAGTTGATTTCCAGTTTTATTCCACTGTGATCTAAGAGAGTACTTGATGTAATTTCAGTTTTCTTAAATTTATTGATACTTGTCTTGTGGGCTATCATCTTGGAGAAAATTCTATGTGCTGATGAATATAATGTATATTCTGTGGTTATTGGGTAGAATGTTCAGTAAATATCTGTTAGGCCCATTTATTCCAGGGTATAGTATAAGTTCATTGTTTCTTTGTTGACTTTCTGTCTTGATGACCTATCTAGTGCTGTCAGTGGAGTATTGAAGTACCCCACTAAAACGTATTGCAGTCTATCTCATTTCTTATGTCTACTAGTAATTGTTTTATAAATTTGGGAGCTCCAGTGTTAGGTGTATATATATTTAAGATTGTGATATTTTTCTGTTGGAAAAGGTTTTTGTCATTATATAATGTCCCTCTTTGTCTTTTTAACTGTTGTTGCTTTAAAGTTTGTTTTGTCTGAAATAAGAATAGCTACTCCTGCTTGCTTTTGATGTTCATTTGCATGGGATGTCTTTTTCTACTCCTTTACCTTAAGTTTATGTGAGTCCTTATGTGTTAGGTGAGTCTCTTGAAGGCAGCAGATAGTTGGTTGGTGACTTCTTATCCATTCTGCAGTTCTGTATCTTTTAAGTGGAGCATTTAGGCCATTTACATTCAATGTTAGTATTGAGACGTGAGATACTATTTCATTCATTATGCTATTTGTTGCCCATATACCTTGGTTTTTTGGGTATTTTTAAATTGTATTTTTGTTTTATAGGTCCTGTGAGATTTATACTTTATTTTATTTATTTATTTATTTATTTATTTATTTATTTATTTTGAGACAGAGTTTCACTCTGTCACCCACACTGGAGTGCAGTGGTATCATCTCGGCTCACTGCAACCTCCACTTTCCAGGTTCATGTGATTCTCCTGCCTCAGCCTCCCGAGTAGCAGGGATAACAGGCACCCACCACAATGCCCAGCTAATTTTTTTTTTTTTTTTGTATTTTTAGTAGAGACAGGGTTTTGCCATGTTGGCCAGGCTGGTCTCGAACTCCTGACCTCAGGTGATCTGCCCACCTTAGCCTCCCAAAGTGCTGGGATTACAGGTGTGAACCACCATGCCAAATTTCATTTGTAAATTATCATACAGTAAAATTGAGTTTTTTGTTTGTAGAGGTACATGAAATCAGGAACTGTTCTGTATCCTATTTGTGATTGTGGTTATATAACCACAGATCCAATTGTTTTGTAATCAGAATACAGAACAGTTTCACTGATTAAAAAACTGCCTTTATAGTTACACCTCACCTCACCCCTAATCCCTAGCAACCACTGATCTTTCCTTCAACATTATAGTTTTATCTTGTCAAGAATGACAATGTAAATGAAATTAAACAGTATGTAATTTTTGGAGACTGATGCTTTCCACTCAGCATAATAACCTCATCTAAGTGTTTGTGTACAGGCCTTTGTGTGAACTTATGTTTTCAATTACTTAGGGTAAATACCCAGAGGTGAAATTACTAGGTTATTTGCTGAAAGTATGGTTTCATTCTAAGAAATTGCCACAGTGTTTTCCTGAGTGGTGCAGGCACCATGTCTCATTCACAGTAGGAATGTATGAGAGTTCTAGTTGCTCTGCATTCCATTCAGTGTTTGGTATTCTGTGTGGGCGTGTGTGTGTGTGTGTGTGTGTGTGTATACATATATACAGATATACACATATATATGTATACATATGTATATATGTATATGTATACATATGTGTATATATATGTAGACATATATACATATATATAGATGTATATGTATACATACATCTATGTATGTGTTTTTATATATATATTTATAAAAACACATACATAGATGTATATGTATACACCCACATATAACCATTCAAATAGGTGTGCAGTGGTCTCTCATCATGGTTTTAATTTGCATTTCCCAAATGGCTAATGATATTGACATTGATATTAACCTTCAACTCCTGAATTTCCAAGTTTCCCTCTACTTGCTTAGTAAATATTTGTAGAGCAAATCTACTAGCAACAAATCCTCATAGTTTTCTTTCATCTGAAAATGTATTTATTCCATTTAAGTTCCTGAAGGATATTTTTGCTGGATATATAATTCTGAATTGATAATATTCCCCTTTTCTTTGTTATCTCAAATCTACTATTTGCCCCATTCAGTAAGTTTTTGTTTTCAGTTATTATATCTTTCAGTTTAAAGTTTTTCACTTCCTTCTTCATTGCTTCTATTTTTTGCATGAAACTTTGTATTTTTCCATTTGTTTCAAGAGTGTTTATGATTGCTTGTTGGGTCTTCATATGATAGCTCTTCTAAAGTTTTTATGATATAATTCTAAGATCTTTCATCTGGGGCCATCTTTTCCTGTTGAGGGAAGTCAGGGACCCTAAACGGAGGGCCTGACTGAAGCCATGGCAGAAGAACGTGGATTGTGAAGATTTCATGGACATTTATTAGTTCCCCAAATTAATACTTTAATAATTTCTTATGCCTGTCTTTACTGCAATCTCTAAACATAAATTGTGAAGATTTCATGGACACTTATCACTTCCCCAATCAATACCCTTGTGATTTCCTATGCCTGTCTTTACTTTAATCTCTTAATCCTGTCAGCTGAGGAGGATGTATGTCACCTCAGGACCCTGTAATAATTGCATTAACTGCACAAATTGTACAGCATGTGTGTTTGAGCGATATGAAATCTGGGCACCTTGAAAAAAGAACAGGATAACAGCAATTGTTCAGGGAATAAGAGCGATAACCTTAAACTCTGACTGCCGGTGAGCCGGGCAGAACAGAGCCATATTTCTCTTCTTTCAAAAGCAAATGGGAGAAATATCGCTGAATTCTTTTTCTCAGCAAGGAACCTCCCTGGGAAAGAGAATACACACCTGGGGGTATAGGTCTATAAATGGCCCCCCTAAGTGTGGTTGTCTTTTATGGTCTGTAGACTGTAGGGGTGAAATAGACCCCAGTCTCCCATAGCACTCCCAGGCTTATTAGGAAGAGGAAATTCCTGCCTAATAAATTTTTGGTCAGACCAGTTGCTCTCAAAACCCTGTCTCCTGATATGTTATCAATGACAGTGGTGCCTGAAACTTCATTAGCAATTTTAATTTCGCCCCGGTCCTGTGGTCCCATGATCTCGCCTTGCCTCCACTTGCCTTGTGATATTCTATTACCTTGTGAAGTACTTGATGTCTGTGACCCAAACCTATTCGCACACTCCCTCCCCATTTGAAAATCCCTATAAAAACTTGCTGGTTTTGTGGCTTGGGGGGCATCATGGAACCTACTGACATGTGATGTCTTCCCCGGATACCAGCTTTAAAATTTCTGTCTTTCGTACTCTGTCCCTTTATTTCTCAAGCCGGCCGATGCTTAGGGAAAATAGAAAAGAACCTACGTGACTATCAGGGCAGGTTCCCCGATATTTTCCCATACAAGTAGTTCCCCTTTTTTTGGTAGGACAAGTAATATTTAATCATATCCTGAATATTTTAATATTATGTTATGAGATTCTGGGTCTCCTTTAAATCCTATTGAAAGTGCTGATATTTTGTTTTAGTTTACAGTTAACCTGGGGAGGCTCAGATAACAAGATGTAACCAACCTTCCGTGGGTATTGATTCCAATGTTAATTCAAGTTTCAAAGTTTCTGCAATACTATTACAGTTTTTCCTGTGTGTGAGCTCCTCACTGGTCAATCTGGGATATGGGTAGTATTCTATCTGAGATATCCTTACTAATGAAGTTCAGATTCATGGGTGAGCAGCTCAGGAGTGAGCCCAGAAGTTCCTAAGCCCTTTGCTCCCCACATGTCCCCCATTACATTCTGGTTTTCTGGGGCTCCCTTTTTTAGACCTCTGCCCCTGAAGCTGGGACTTGAATTATCCTGCTCTCCTATACACTTCTGTGAGTGTCCTTGCATCTAGGTCAACTAGGAAAACAGAAGCATAGGAAAGTCAAGGTGAAACTATTTTAAAATCAGTTCCATCTTAAAACTAGCAAGGACATTCCTTGTCAGTCACCATCAGTAGTCATAAGATGTTTACAGTAAGGAAGCAGTTCAGTAATGCCTGCAAGGACAAATTCTTACAAGAGTAGAATGTCCAGATGTCCTGATATTGCATAACAATATATGCTTTTAAGATAGTTAAAAGCCATGCTTTGATGCACGTATGCACTAAAATGCTAAGAACAACTATCTTTCAGTCAACTCAACAAAGTACTAAATTTTGTCATGTTTACATTAAGGAACCAGTTCAGTAATCCCTGCAAGGACAAACTCTTACAACAGCAGAATGTCCAGATGTCCTGATACTGCATAACAATATATGCTTTTAAGTTAGTTATAGTCATGGTTTGATGTACTTATGCACTAAAATGCTAAGAATAACTGTCTTTCAATCAACTCAACAAAGTACTAAATTTTATCATGACCACACACCCGCATGTAGACATAATTAGCTCAGCTTTTTCATATATAAGACCCCTATATGAGAAGGGTTTAAAACAGATGGCACATTCCTCCTCTTACTTTCTGAAGACACCCTATTGTGCATCTGAGTAACTTTCAATAAACTATCTCTTCTCACTGCACTCTGTGACGTGTCTTGAATTTTGAATTCCTTCCTGTGTGAGATCCAAGAACCCTCTCTTGGGATCTGGAATTGGGACCTCTTTTTCTGGCATCAAAATGACAGGAGGACAAAGAGGTTTTGCCCCCATCCTCCTAGATTTACAAGTCCTCCATTAAGATAAGAAGGTTCTTTTTCCTCCAAGGTTTGGCTCCTGCAGATTCCTGTTGCATTACAAACTCTACCGTGGCTGCCACTGTCAAGAGATTGCCTAAGGGTGGGGAAGTAAGAAAACAGAGAGAAGAAAGACAAATGGAATTTCTCTCTCTCTCTTTCCCACTCTCTAAGGTAGAATTTGAATGCCACTTCTGGAGCTCTCTCTGTCTGCATCCATGCTTACTTGGGGTTTCAGGCTGTATTGAATTAACACCAGGGGATCCTAGAGGGGAATAAAACTGGTAAAAAAAACTCACTACTGCTTCCATGGCACTTTAAATTCTAACCTTCTGCCCAAAACCACCTGCTACTATTAACTTTTCAGTGCCCTCAAATTATGGCTCCATGCACTCTGTGCAGATTTTATAGTTGTGTAACTGCTCAGTGGGTTCACCTTTCCCACTGCCTAGACAGAGCAGATTCATCAAGACAGGGGAATTGCAATTCGGAAAGAGTAATTCATGCAGAGCTAGCTGTGCAGGAGACCAGAGCTGTATTATTACTCAAATCAGTCTCCTGTAAGCATTCAGAGATCACAGTTTTCAGGGACAATTTTGTGGGTGGGGGAAGGCCAGTGAGTCGGGAATGCTGATTGGTTGGGTCGGAGATGAAATCATAGGGAATTGAAGCTGCCCTCTTGTGCTGAGTCAGTTCCTGGGTGGGAGCCACAAGATCAGATGAGCCAGTTTATTGATCTGGGTGATACCAGCTGATCGATCAAGTATGGGATCTGCAAAATATCTCAATCACTGATCTTGGGAACAGTTTAGAGAGGGTCAGAATCTTGTAGTCTCCAGCTGTATTACTCCTAAACCCTAATTTCTAATCTTGTGGCTACTTTGTTAGTCCTGCAAAAGCATTCTAGTCCCCAGGCAAGAAAGATGTTTGTTTGGGAAAGGGCTGTTATCATATTTGCTTTAAACTATAAACTAAGTTTCTCTGAAGTTAGTTCAGCCTAATGCCCAGGAATGAACAAGGACAGCTTGGAGGTTAGAAGAAAGATGGAGTTGGTTAAGTCAGATCTCTTTCACTGTCTCAGTTACAATTGTGCAATGGCAGTTTCAGCTGCATTCAGTGGGATGGGCTGGGCTTAATACCTAGTTGACGGGATAATCTGTGCACCCAACCTTCACGGCACACGTTTACCTATGTAACAAACCTCCACATCCTGCACATGTACCTTGGAACTTAAAATAAAAGTTAATTCAGAATAAATGGATTTAAGTCAGGGTGGAGTGTGCTTACTCCATTTTACTCAGAACTAGATTCATTACTTTATGTTTTGAATAACAATTGTATTTTGTTCCTCAATTATTATTATTATTATTTTTAAATAGAGAAAGGTTCTCACTATGTTGCCCAGGCTGGTCTTGAACTCCTGGACTCAACTGATCCTCCTGCCTCCATCTCCCAAAGTGTTGGGATTACAGGTGTGAGCCACTGCATCTGGCCCTCAATTACTCTTTAAAAGTCACCTGTTCATTCAAAGTTCGATACTTCTTAAGTAAGTTTTAGTAATTCATATTTTCTTAGGAAATTGTCCTTAAATTAGCACATCTTAAAATGTATTAACCAGAAAATTTGAGTAGCATGTGCTTTGATTTATTGTATCCTCCTTCATACCTGTGGTGTTAGTTTCTTCCCAATATTGCGTATTGGTAATTTTACTGTTTTTTTCTTAATTGCACCTGTAAATGTTTATCTATGTTGTTATGCTTTTTAGAGAACAAATGCTTAGACTCGTTTTCTGATACATTAAATTATGCTTTTATTCTGAACAATGTCTTTTGTAGTTCCTTGACTTAAATCCATTTATTCTGAATTAACTTTTATTTGAAGTTCCAGGGTACACGTGCAGGATGTGGAGGTTTGTTACACAGGTAAACATGTGCCATGATGGTTTGCTGCACAGATTATCCCATCAACTAGGTATTAAGCCCACCACCTATTAGCTATTCTTCCTAAGGCACTCCCTCCTCCCACCCCCCCACCCTCCCACGGGCCCCAGAGTGTGTTGCTTCCTGACATGTGACCATGTGTTCTCATCGTTCAGCTCCCACTTACAAGTGAGAACATGGGGTGTTTGGTTTTCTGTTGCTGCATTAGTTTGCTGAGGAT
This sequence comes from Homo sapiens, assembly GCF_000001405.40. NCBI lineage: Eukaryota > Metazoa > Chordata > Mammalia > Primates > Hominidae > Homo > Homo sapiens. The sequence goes on from NC_000009.12 coordinate 110,593,818, forward strand.
AATGGCTTCCAACTCCATCCATGTTCCTGCAAAGGACATGATCTCATTCCTTTTTGTGGCAGCATGTATTCCATGGTGTATATGCACCACATTTCCTTTATCCAGTCTATCATTGATGGGCATTTAGGTTGATTCCATGCCTTTGCCATTGCAGTGCTGCAATGAACATAGGTTTGTATGTATGTTTATAATAGAATGATATGTATTCCTTTGGGTATATACCCAGTAATGGGATTGCTGGGTCCAATGGTATTTCTGTTTTTATGTCTTTAAGGAATTGCTACACTGTCTCCCACAATGGTTAAGCTAATTTACACTTCCACCAACAGCATATAAGCATTCCTTTTTCTCCACAACCTCGACAACATCTGTTGGTTTTTTACTATTTAATAGTAGACATTCTGACTGGCTGAGATGGTATCTCATTGTGGTTTTGATTTGTATTTCTCCAATGATCAGTGATATGAGCTTCTTTTCATATATTTGTTGGCCACATGTATGTCTTCTTTAGAGAAGTGTCTGTTCATGTCCTTTGCCTACTTTTTAATGGGGTTATCTGTTTTTTTTTCTTGTAAATTTGTTTAAGTTCCTTATAGACTCTGGATATTAGACCTTTGTAGAAGGATAGATTGCAAAACTTTTCTCCCATTCTGTACATTCTTTGTTCACTCTGATGATAGTTTCTTTTGCTGTGAAGAAGCATTTTAGTTTTATTTGATCCCATTTGTAACTTTTTGCACTTGTTGCAACTGCTTTTGGTGTTTTCTTCACAAAATTTTTGCCATGCCTATGTCCTGAATAATATTGCCTAGATTTTCTTCTAGGATTTTTATAGTTTGGGGTTTACATTTAAGTCTTTAATCCATCTTGAGTTGATTTTTGTATACAGTGTAACGAAGGTGCCTAGTTTCAATTTTCTGCATATGGCTAGCCAGTTCTCCCAGCACCATTTGATAAACAGGGAATCCTTTCCCCATTGCTTGATTTTGTGAGATTTGTCGAAGATCAGATGATTGTATGTGTGCAGTCTTATTTCTAGGTTCCCTATCTTGTTCCATTGGTCTATGTGTCTGTTCTTGTACCAGTATCATGCTGTTTTTGGTTACTGTAGCCTTGTAGTATAGTTTGAAGTTGGGTAGCGTAATGCCTCTAGCTTTGTTCTTTTTGCTTAGGATTGTCTTGGCTATTAAGGCTCTTTTTTGGTTCCATGTGAATTTTAAAAGTTTTTTTTTTCTGAATTGTGAAGAGTGTCAATGGTAGTTTAATGGGAATAGCATTGAATCTATAAATTGTTTTAGGCAGTATGGCAATTTTCACGATATTAATTCTCCCTATCCATGAGGATGGCATGTTTTTCCATTTGTTTGTGTCATCTCTGATTTCTTTGAGAAGTGTTTTATAATTCTCATTGTAGAGCTCTTTCACCTCCCTGGTTAGCTGTATTCCTAAGTATTTTATTTTATTTTATTTTATTTGTGGCAGTTGTGAATGAGATTGCGTTCCTGATTTGTCTCTCAGCTTGGCTATTGTTGGTGTATAGAAATGCTAGTGATTTTTGTATGTTGGCATTGTTTCCTGAAACTTTGCTGAAGTTGTTTATCAGCTGAAGGAGTTTGAGGCCAAGACTCTAGGGTTTTCTAGATATAGAATCGTGTTATCTGAAAACAGTGATAATTTGATTTCCTCTCTTCCTATTTGGATGCCCTCTATTTCTTTCTCTTGCCCAATTACTCTGGCTGGGACTTCCAATACTATGTGGAATAAGAATGGTGAGAGAGGGTATCCTTGTCTTGTGCCAGTTTTTAAGGAGAATGCTTCCAGCTTTTCCCTAATCAGTATGATGTTGGTTTGGGGTTTGTCATAAATGGTTCTTATTATTTTGAGGTATATTCCTCCAACAACTAGTTTATTGAGAGTTTTTAACATGAAGGAATGTTGAATTTCATCAAAAGTCTTTTCTGTATCTATTGAGATAATCATATGGCTTTTGTCTTTAGTTCTGTTTATGTGATAAATCACATTTATTGATTTGTGTATGTTGAATCAACTTTGCATCCTGGGGATGAAGCCAAGTTGGTTGCGGTGAATAAGCTTTTTGATGTGCTGATGGATTTGGTTTGCCAGTATTTTTTTGCAAATTTTTGCATCAATGGTCATATTAGTTCATTTTCACCCTGCTGCAAAGACATACCAGAGACTAGGTAATTTATAAAGAAAAGAGATTTAATTGACTCACAGTTCCATATGACTGGGGAGTCCTCAGGAAATTTACAATCATGGTGGAAGGGGAAGCAGGCATGTCTTATGTGGTGGCAGGTGAGAGAGAGCATGTGAAAGAAGTGAAGGGGAAAGAGCCCCTTATAAAACCATCAGATCTCAGGAGAACTCACTCACTAACATGAGGAAAGCATGAGGGAAACAAATCCCATGATCCAGTCACCTCCAACCAGGTCTTTTCCTTAACACCTGGGGATTACATTTTTGAGATAAGATTTGGGTGAGCACACAAAACCAAACCATATTATTCTGCTCTTTGCCCCTCCGAAACCCATGTCTTTACACATTTCAAAACCAATCATGTCTTCCCAAAAGTTCTCCCAAAGTCAACTCATTCCAGCATTAACCCAAAAGTCCAAGTCCAAAGTCTCATCTGAGACCAGGCAAGTCCCTTCCACCTAGGAGCCTGTAAATAGCAAGTTAGTTACTTCCAGATAGAATGGGGGTATAGGCATTTGATAAATGCTCCCATTCCAAGTGGGAGAAATTGGCCAAAACAAAGGGGCTACAGGCCCCATGCAAGTCTGAAATCCAGCAGAGCAATTATTAAATCTTAAAGCTCCAAGAGAATCTCCTTTAACTCCATGTCTCACATCCATGGCACATTGATGCAAAGGGTGGGCTCCCATGGCCTTGGACAGCCCTGCCCCTATGGCCTTTCAGGGTAGCGTCCCCTTCCCCAGCTGCTTTCACTGCTGGCTTTTCCAGGCATGTGGTGTAAGCTGTCAGTGGATCTAGCATCCTGGGGTCTGGAGGATGGTGGCCCTCTTTTTATATCTCCACTAGGAAGTGCTCCAGTGGGGACTCTGTGTGAGTGTTTCAACCCCACATTTCCCCTTTGCACTGCCCTAGTGGAGGTTCTCCATGAGGGCTTTGCCTCTGCAGCAGAATTCTGGCTGGACATCTAGACATTTCCATATGTCCTCTGAAATGTAGGTAGAGGTTCCCAAACCTCAGTTCTTGACTTCTGTGCACCCATAGGCCCAACACCATGTGGAGGCCACCAAGGCTTAGGGCCTGCACCCTCTGAAGCAATGGCCTGAGCTGTACCTTGGCCCCTTTTAGCCATGGCTAGAGCTGGAGTAGCTGGGACACAGGGTACCAAGTCCCTAGACTGCACAGAGCAGGGGGAACCCTGGGCCCAGCTCATGAAACCATATTTCCGTCCTAGTCCTGTGGGTCTGTGATGGGAGGGGCTGCCATCAAGATCTCTGGTATGCCCTGGGAGACATCTTCACCAGTGTCTTGGCGATTAACATTTGCCTCCTAATTACTTATGCAAATTTCTGCAGCCAGCTTGAATTTCTCCCCAGAAAATTGGTTTTTCTTGTCTATCACATCATTAGGCTGCAAATTTTCCAAACTTCTATGTTCTGTTTCCTTTTTAAACATAAGTTCCAATTTCCGATTATCTCTTTCAGGTTTAAAGTTCCACAGATCTCTAGGGCAGGGACAAAATGCCTGCCAGTCACTTTGCTAAAGCATAGCAAGAGTGACCTTTGCTCCAGTTCCCAAGAAGTTTCTCATCTCCATCTGAGACCACCTCAGTCTGGACTTCACTGTCCACATCATTATCAGCACTTTGATCAAAACCATTCAACAAATCTCTAGGAAGTTCTAAACTTTCCCACATCTTCCTATCTTCTTCTGAGCCCTCCAAACTGTCCCAACCTCTGCCTGTTACCCAATTCCAAAGTAAAGTTGCTTCCACATTTTTGGGTATCTTTATAGCAGTACTCCCTCTACCAGTACAAATTTACTGTATTAGTCCATTTCACACTGCTACAAAGACATACCTGAGACTGGGTAACTTCAAAAGGAAAGAGGTTTAATTGACTCACAGTTCCACACGACTGGGGAGGCCTCAGGAACCTTACAATCATGGTGGAAGGGAAAGCAGGCATGTCTTACATGGTGGCAGGTGAGAGGGAGCATGGGTAGGAAGTGAAGAGCCCCTTCTAAAACCATCAGATCTCAAGAGAACTTCCTCACTATCACGAGAACATTACGGGGGAACCACCCCCATGACCTAATCACCTCCCACCAGGTCCCTCCCTCAACACCTGGGGATTACATTTTGAGATGAGATTTGGGTGTGGACACAAATGATTTCTGCCTTAATTTCATTATTTACCCAATAGTCATTCAGGAGCAAGTTGTTCAAGTTCCATGTAGTTGTATGGTTTTGAGTGAATTTCTTGGTCTTGAGTTCTAATTTGATTGCACTATGGTCTGAGAGATTGTTATGATTTCAATTCTTTTGTATTTGCTGAGGAATGTTTTACTTCCGATTATGTGATCAATTTTAGAGTAAGTGCCATGTGGCGATGAGAAGAATGTATATTCTGTTGTTTTGGGGCAGAGAGTTCTGTAGATGTCTACCAGGTTCACTTGATCCAGAGCTGAGTTCAGGTCCTGAATATCTTTGTTAATTTTCTGTCTTAGTGATCTGTCTAATACTGTCAAATGGCAGCCTGCTCCTTCCTCTGGAAACTCCATCTCAGATGGGTATCTGCCTGTTGTGGGCCTGGACATGCCTGTAGCAGGTGGTTGGAGACCTCTGTTGGGAGTTTTCACATAGGAGGAACAGGATCAAGGAACCATTTAAAGAATCACTCTAGCACTTTTGGGTAGAGCAGGTGTGCTGTGTGTTGGGGATCCCTTCAGTCCCAGATCGCTGTGGGCTCTTCAGGGCTGGCAGCCTGGATTGACTGAGAAACTCGAATAGCCAAGATGGCAGCCTGCCCTGCCCCCCAGGCACTCCATCCCAGGAGGAAGTTAGAGCTTTGTTAGCCTTAGAACATGAGCGGGGAGTGGGTTGATGTCCCAGCTGGGAGGACCTGCCCCATGAGCAGGAGTGGATCGGGGATCCCACTTAAAGAAGCAGTCTGGCCACGATCTGGCAAAGTAGCTGTGCTGCACTCCAGATACTGTTTCTCATCTGGACCATTTGGAGTCTCCAAAGCCACTGAGCTGGAATAGCTGAGTCGACCAAATCACAGAGATTGTGGCAGCCCCTCCCCACAGGAGCTCCATTCCAGGGAGAGATCAGAGCTCCGTCCATACAAAACTTGCTGGGGGTGCTGTAGCCCCAACAGGGAGGTCCTGCCCGTTGAAGAGAAGTGGACTGGGGTCCTGCTTAATGAAGCAGTCTGGCCATGATCTGGCAAAGCAGCCGTGCTGCACTGGAGGACCCTTCCTCTTCTGGACCATTTGAACTCTCCAAAGCCGGTGGGCTGGAAGGCTGAGTCTACCAAACCACAGAGATGGCAGCTGCCCCTCCCACTGGGAGCTCCATCTCAGGCGGGCTCCACGCTGTTGCCATTGGCTGGCTGGAATTCCAAGCCAGTAGGTCTTATCTTGTGAAGTGCTCTGGAAGTGAAGCCCACAGACCGACGCTGCTTGGCTCCCTGGATTCAGCCTCCTTCCTAGGGGTATGTACCGACCTCCTGCCTTGCTGAGGATCCTAGGGCCGAATATGTAAAGCTCCTGGGTCTCTGTGCATGCCTGAGCAGCTGCTCTGCCGAGATTCCGCATAGCTCTGTGTGTCAGACCCAAGGCCCTGGTGGTGTGTGCTCACAAGGGGATCTCCTGATGCAGGGGTTGCAAACATCCGTGAAAGAGGCCTGGTTTCTCAGGCATGGTTGCACAATCACTCACGGCTTCCCTTGGCTGGGGGTGGAGGGTTCCCTTGTCTCTGTGCCACTCCCGGGTGGGCCATCGCTCCACCCTGCTTTTCTTATTTCTTTGTGGGTCAAATTGATTGCCTAGTCAGTCCCAGTGCAAGATCCCAGATATTTCAGTTGAAGGTGCTGTATTTACTTACCCCTTATTCTGCTTTTTTAAATAGAGCTTTTACAGATAAAATTTTCCATTAACTAAATCTATGTGTAGTATCATTATTATTTTCTAAACAATCTATAATTGGAGTTTATTTTCCTCTTTTGCCCAGAAATTATTGAAGTAATGGTGTGTTTTATTTTTATGTTGTTTTTTTAACTTCAAGTGTTTATTTGTATGTTTTTTTTGACCTATTTTAAATTAATTCCTGACTTTATTTCACTGGAGTTAAAAACAGGCGTGTACATCCTCTGATCTTATTGAAATTTCTTGTGGCCTACTATATGACATGCAGTAAAACATACCATTAGATTTTGAGAAAAATAAACACTTTTGGTTGTAAGATATGTATAATTTATCTTATAAATCAACTTTATTACATACATTATCCAACTACTCTATATCCTTAGTCACTTTAATCTATTCCATCTGTTTGAGGCTGAAAGTCTGTTAAAATCTAGTACAGTTTTTGACCATTTATATTTGTATTTTTCCAGGGTTTGCTTTATATTTTTATGATGTTTTAAATTTTATGCATAAATGCTCATATTTACATATTACTGTGAATAAACATTCATTTATTAACAATGTAACTTCATAACTTTAATAGCATAAAACCAGTCTTTATTCATCTAATATATTTACCTTGAATTCTATCTATGTCTGGATGACACTGCAGCTCTTTTTTTTTTTTTCCAGGAATGAAGAGTTTAATGTAGGATGTAGACTTTATATGGTAGTTGGGAGAACTGTAGGAGTGAGAGTCAGGGACATCACCAGCAGAGATCAGGGAATCTGCCACCACAGATCTGTGTCTGAAACAGCTGGATGGCACTTCAGCTTTTATTATAATATTACTATTATTATTATTATTATTGTCATCACCATCATTACTATTTCCGATTTGCTTGGATATTTCTTTACTCTTTCTTTTTACCTTCTTTTTTAGTCTTTGTCTCTTTGAGATGCATTAGGATATTAACCCATTTTCACGAATTATTTTAACTAAAACATTTAGTTTCCTGTCACTTTATTCCAGGTTCTTTGTTTTTAATGCATGTTTGCCGCCTTCCTTTGTTCCCTTCCATTTTCTTTGCAGGGTAGATTGGACTCTACTCCTCAGTTCCATGGGAGGCATTGCTTCAACACCCCTTAATTTGGGGCTCAGCCTTGTGACTTGCTTTAACAAACAAGATGTTCACAGAATCGCACAAGCTTGGGCTTGAAATGTATTAGCACAGTGAGCTCTCTCTTGAACCTCTGTTCTTGCCATAAGAAAAAACATGCCTGTATTAGCCCATTGGTCCCAGGAGACAGCAGGGAGATAAGGAATGCAGAGCCAAGTCTCCGTAGCCCAGCCCATAATAGCCAGGTGCAGGAGGGCCCCCAGCTGAGATGAGTAGAGCCACTCCTCCAAGCTGAGCCACTCCACTAAGCCCAGCCAGTGTGTGCTTATGATCGCACATACTAACATTTGTGGGGTTTTGTTGTTGTTATCTCATTTGTGTATGCGTAGATGTATGTGTGTATTCATCTCTATGTGAATATAGATAACAGACAAATTGTATAACCATGAACTTGGATGTTGTGGCAAACACTGTTAGTTGAGTCCCCAGTAATCATACCCATCCCCTTTACCCTTGACAGGTTCTCACTACTACAGTGGCTGAAGAAAACAGAATCTTATTTTCTCAGAACCTCCACTTGCAGGACATGGTCATGTGATCCAATTTGACCAAAGAGACATAAGGGGAAGTCAGTTGGATGCTTCTTGGAAAGGTTTTTCATCCCTGAGAAAGACAGGGAGTTCAATGAGACCTTTTCCTCAATGGTTCTCTCCAGTCCCTTTAATACAAACACCCTAGTTTCTGCCTTTTGGGGGGCCATGTGAGAATATAATGCCCTGAGCTGTCACAGTCTGCTTGTGACCTGAGGTGAAAGGGCTCGGAATGAAAAGCTAGCATAGTTCAATTCCCACCTATGAGTGAGAACATGCGGTGTTTGGTTTTTTGTTCTCGCGATAGTTTGCTGAGCCAACTAAAAAAAAAAAGCTAGCATAACACTGGTAACTCACAGAGCCAACTCTAGGACATTTATTGTGTTGACTTTCAAAATGATCAGGTGAAATCTTTTATTTCTTATTAAATAGGACATTTCTTATCCATAGCCTTAATCATAAATGCTATGTAGACTTTTTCTCCTCTGTTCAGTGTGACCTTTGTCTTTCTATATGGAGAGACCTAGGGACCGGTTCCTGAATCGTTGGCTGCTTTTAGGAAGTAGAAGGGTGTACTTGCTTCTTGGCCCTAGATTTCTCATTTGAGAAGTGTCCTTTTGTCTTTATTCTTTTCTCCACTGTGATTTCAGATCTGGTGTGTTTTGGAACATTAGGTGAGGTCCCTATGGGCAGACACCTGGTCCCTTGAGCAGCTTTTAGGGAAAGGAAATTCCCTTGAGGATGAGTCATGCCGTGCATCCAATCCCTGGCTTGGATGTCTGTCACTCAGCCTTCTACCCCTCACCCACACAGTCCCTGGTACAGCCTTTGGTTGGGTATTTTGCACAGCCTCTGTTCCAGGCAGCCAATGGGACACAGCTGGGGTGAGGTCAGTGAGTCACTTGCCTTGAGCACAAAACTTAATGAGGTGCCAACAACTTTAGTAATCAAGATAAATGACATCCTAACGCAATATTTTTAAAATAGCAGAATGAATGCAAACAAATGATTAACAAAATATCACAGTTTTAATTAACAAAAGGATCTGCCGTGCACTTGCATGACTTACCCTTCACTTGTTCCACCCTCACTGTAGCCATTCAATGGGCATTCTCTTACCATGTTCTTCAGCCTCCTTGTGTCACTCTATCTCACCTAGCGATGTGCGACCCATTCCTGGGGATACTTTATATTAAAAATCTGGATAGTACAGGCAAATAATCAGCTACTCTTAAATTAATTTACCCTGTCTTTGAAGGTCAGGATGGTGCCCTGCTAGTCCCATCAATCCATCCTCTTTTCATCCAACCCATTAGTCCTATCTAAAAAAGGGAGGGGCCAGAAAAATAATCTGTACTCCCAGACCACATCTTCCAAAATCTCTATTTCATGCAGAGGTAAAGGAGCTTTTGACCTGGCCAGCTAACACGGTTTTTATCTCTCAGTGGGAATACAGGGGTGTTCTAGAGGAGAAAAATAGAATGTCCCTTTAGTTGTTAAAGTCTCCTACAAGTTAAGATTTCATATACTGTTCTCCTATACTCACATATGCATAAAAACATCAGAAATATATACATCTATATGCCATGCCTTTACATTATTTTCCATTTGAAATAAATCAATTAATGTTTGTCAATCAGAAAGAATACTAAATGATGTGTAGCGAGTTAAAAATGCCACATTATTTCTGAACAGCTCTAAAATGTTTAAATCATGTAACTCTTTAACCATTTTAATTGCAAATACCCACAGAGGAACCTATGCACCAAAATAAATACAAAAACAAAAACTCTTTTCTGTCCCATTTCTTCCTATTCAATCACTCTCAGCCAGAGGAGAAGCCTGTCAGGACACAGGGGGGTCTGGATCCTTTCTTCAGCAGGTGTAACCTGGGCCATCCTGCCCCAGCACTACTGTATGTCAGCGCTTCTATATTGTTACCCAGCCTAAAGTTTCTCACGGGCCTCATCTTTTCCGATTTTGTAGAGAATGGGCTGCATTTTTATGCTGGAGCATAAGAGAAAGCCTCCAGGTAGCTGGCTCAGGGTTTGGTTTCATGTACTGGCCCTCTCTCTTTCCTTTCAGAATTTCAAAATGCAACCATAATTCCCTTTTTTTTTTTTTTCTTGAGATGGAATCTCGCTCTGTCGCCTAGGCTGGAATGCAGTGGCACGATCTCAGCTCACTGCAAGCTCCGCCTCCTGGGTTCACGCCATTCTCCTGCCTCAGCTTCCCGAGTAGCTGGGACTACATGCGCCCGCCACCACGCCCGGCTAATTTTTTGTGTGTGTTTTTAGTAGAGGCGGGGTTTCACCCTGTTAGCCAGGATGGTCTCGATCTCCTGACCTCGTGATCCACCCGCCTCGTCCTCCCAAAGTGCTGGGATTACAGGCATGAGCCACCGCGCCCGGTCATAATTCCCTCTTTATACCAGAGTCAGCTGCTTATGAAATTCTGTAGCTATCTGCAAAATTATTTATCAAACCACTTAAAGCATGTGTATTCTACTTTGTGAAATGTGTGATTCTGCCAATGTTAGGCCACTTTAGCAATGGGAAGACCATCCAGGAAGGAGTGAGTCATCCTCCCAGTGCCCATGCTTTTGAATTGCGCTATATTCGTGAAACTTGTATTCACCGCCATCCTCTTCCCTTCCCCCACCCCAGATGTTCAGAGTGAGTGGATTTGTCTGGATAAATGCAGAGAAGGCTTCCTGTGCCTCAGCTGCTGTTTTACATTCTGCTGTTCTTCCTTGCACCTCACCAGAGTGACCAATCTGAGAAACCCAGGAGCTGTGCTCCTCCGAGAAAAAGAGAAGCTGAAGAGCCCTCACTGACGTAGGTCATCTTATTTCCTGTTTTACTTATATACTCCTCTTTACAGACAGTTAGTTGAAGTGGAGACAAGAGAATGTAAGGGTGAAGCCAATTGGGGAATTCAACAGGAAGTGTTTCATTTTGCTTTGTTTTTACCTTATCAGTTTGGTCTATTAAAGAATCAGGGTTTGAAGCAGAGGCTCATGACCCTTCTCACAGAGACTTCCGTGCTTTTTTCCCAGATCCAAGGCACATGGACATACCACAGTACAGGTCCCTGCTGAAAACACAGAAAATGCAGAAGAATCCCCGGAACACAAGTGACCACCAGAGCGCTGTACTGCACTTTTTCTAGCCCTGCACCAAGACAGAGGCTTAATTTAGTCCAGAGATTCAGAAGGGAAATCCAGAATAAGCTAAACCTAATGGAGTGAAAAAAGAGAACATTCTCATCTCTTTAGCTTTGGCAAGATGCCAGACAACCTGTGCCAATATCCCAGAATCCATCACCTGTCGAGCTTTTACTAGAAACATCAGGTTTCCCACATCCTGGGGTACAAAATTCATCCTCAATGCTGGTTACCTGCCCCATGCAGATGCTGGCATTTAAAATGTTTTGTCGGTGGGTCACGCCTGAAATCCCAGCACTTTGGGAGGCCAAGGTGGGCAGATCATGAGGTCAGGAGATCAAGACCATCCTGGCTAACATGGTGAAACTCCATCTCTACTAAAAAAAAAAAAAAATACAAAAATTAGCCAGGTGTGGTGGTGGGCACCTGTAGTCCCAGCTACTTGGGAGGCTGAGACAGGAGAATGGCGTGAACCCGGAAGGTGGAGCTTGCAATGAGCCGAGATCGTGCCACTGCACTCCAGCCTGGGCAACAGAGCGAGACTCCATCTCAAAAAAATAAAAAATAAAAAATAATAATAATAAATAAAATGTTTTGCCTCCCTCAAAGGAAGTTACCAGTAGTGATACCTCCAGTTTCCAACACCTTTTTGATATCCTCTTTTGTACTTTAGGGTACCCTTAAAAATTTAAAACCTCAGTTCTCCTTTAAATTTATTCTGAGGCCCTGGTTTCCTGCCACCGCAAAATTCAGTTATGCTTGTGCTTTCTGTCACATAAAAAGCAAATAAGTTAATTTCATGGCCTTATATTTCTCATAATCTCATCCCTTCTGATCTTTTCCACATACTTCTCCAACGCATCTGGAGCATGGGGGGTTTCTTTCATCAGCATCTTCCAAGCCCGTGTCCTCAGGAGGCAAGGAAAAAGCAGTGTGATTCCTTCCATGTGTTCATATGCTTGCAAGAGAGACACCAGAGATGAATCACGAAAAACACGCCAAAGGAAAGAGAGCACTTCCCAAGACCTAGAAAGGAGTTGAGGTAAGTCATCTATTCATAGACCACAACTTTGTCCTCCAGCCCTAAGAATAAAGGTTTTCAACCTTGGCTATACCTTAGATTTTTAAGAGTACCTAGGGTACTCTTAAAAAATGCCTATCCTGGGCCAGGCGTGGTGGCTCACGCCTATAATCCCAGCACTTTGGGTGGCCGAGGCGGGCGGATTGCTATGTTGGCCAGGCGGGAGTTTGAGACCAGCCTTGCCAACATAGTGAAACCTCTTCTCTGTGAAAAATACAAAAATTTAGCTGGGTGTGGTGGTAGGAACCTGTAATCCCAGCTACTTGGGAGGCTCAGGCAGCAGAATCGCTTGAACCTGAGAGGCGGAGGTTGCAGTGAGCTGAGATCACGTCACTGCACTCCAGCCCAGGCGACAGTGCAAGACCCGGTCTCAAAAAAAAAAAAAAAAAAAAAAAATTCTTATCCTGAACCACGTAAGTAAGAATCTCTGGAGTGTTTTGTTTTGTTTTTAAATTCCTCAGGTGATTCTAATATGCAGTCATAGTTGAGAATCATTGCCTTGGTATGACAGACCAAAGTTGTCCCCTAAGAAATCTATTTTATTTTCTCCTGAGCCATATATTATGAAACTCTTCCGTCTTGAAGTGGAAGGAGATGGGTAACTTCGAGTTCCCCATACATCTCTGTAATCCTCCATCAGAGGTAAGAGAATGCGTCCTACAAATGTACTACCTGAATACCAGAATATTAAAGAGTGAGTATTCACAAACACACCCCATACATGAATTATGTACATATGTGTAAATTACATATGATAATTAGGAAATGTTGTTTTAGCCACTGGAAGTACAGAAAAATTATTTCATGGTACTAACATGGCTTTTATCCATTCTAACTTTATTGAAAATGAAGCATAGCTATTCTGAAGAAGTTAGGAGAGTAAATGTGCTGACTTCTTAATGAAAGGAAAAGGGGAAATAACTCCATAAACTTTATTGCAAATATTCTTAAGAAAAAGATAAAAATTAAAACTTTAAGCATGCATTCCTAATTACTTAATTTCAAACATTTCATTATTTCTTTCTTCCTTTCTTTCTTTTTTGTCTTTGAGATGGAGGCTTGCTCTGTCACCCAGGCTGGAGTGCAGTGGCACGATCTCAGCTCAGTGCAGCCTCTGCCTCCTGAGTTCTAGTGATTCTCCTGCCTCAGCCTCCCAAGTAGATGGGATTACAGGTGTGCACCACCATCCCCAGCTAATTTTTTGTATTTTTAATAGAGATGGGGTTTCACCATGTTGGCCAGGCTGGTCTTGAACTCCTGACCTCAGGTGATCTGCCCTTCTTGGCCTCCCAAAGTGCCGGGATTACAGGCGTGAGCCACCGCACCCAGCCCATTGTTTCTATTTTTATCAAAAGTTTGCTGTTCCTTCTTTCAGGAGAAGTTGAATGATTGTTCTTATTTGTTGAACATGACCCTAAATGAATTTCATGAGCATGAGCCTCTTGGGATTCTAAATGCAAGAATTCTGTGTTGATGCTCCAGATGGGGCATATAATCTTTGGGACCTTCTCCTTAGCAAAAATGAGTTTCTCCTTTCCAAAAAAGTATATTTATCTAAACTACTAAGGATTTCGTTGGAGACGTTCTTTTAGAAAAATTATGCAAAGCAGCCTTCCTAGAAGTAATCAATAAACTTCGATAACATCTACACGCCCAACAGCTTCTGCATCTCTGCAATGTTTTCGTTCCCCCTCTATCTATTCTATATCTGGTTGCCTTCTTTCCACATATATGTAAATGAGGAGACACATAATAGTTTACATAAAAATTCTTTCTCTCCTTTTAAATTATGTTCTGATCTTATAGTTTAAATCCAGAGAATGTGTTGTACAGACAACTCAGAATGAACTTTTTGCTTTTCGGTCTCTTTTGGATGATTTTGCTCATTGCAACATAGTAATTAGAAGGATAATCAATATTTCCACTCAAGCCTCTCAAGCCTAAGAATTATCTCCCACAAACTAATAAGCTAACGGGAAATTCTGTGTTTGATATTACTTTTTGAATTTTCTGTGTTAGTACAACAAAAAGTAATAAATTTGAAAGTCATTAGATTTGATAGGCTGTAGGCCAAAAATGCTCACTGCTATGGCACATAGATAAATAAGTAAATAGATAAATTAATACATAAAGACAAAGGATACTATGTCTCAGTTGCAAATTTAAGGAAATAGATCAATGAAATGGCACAGAAATTTCTGAAACAAACACCAGAATAGTTAAGAATTTAGTGCATAATAAAGATTGCATTTCACATCAGTGGAAAAAGAAGGATTGTTTAATAAACATGCTAGGATAATAGCTTACTTATGAAAAAATATAAACTTAGATTTCTGATGGATTTAAGAGATAAATATACATGCTAGGATAATAGCTTACTTATGAAAAAAATATAAACTTAGATTTCTGATGGATTTAAGAGATAAATATAAAGAGATTAAATCATAAATAAGTCCAAAGAATATATAGATAAACATTTATAAGATTGTAGGGTAGGAAGGAATATTTTAAGGCTGAACACAAAGGAAGAAACCACAAAGAAAATGTTAAATTATTTGATCATATAGCAATTACCACTTTTATTCATCAAAAACTCACACATAAAATAAAAAATAAAAATAACAAATTAGAAAATAGTAGGAAAAAAATTGAATTATCCTTATATATAAATCACTCTTATAAGTCCATATTAGCAAGACAACTGGAAATATGGACAAAGGATAATGGAAAATAATTTACAAAAGAATAAGTTCAGATGGACATCAAACATATGAAAAACTATTCAACCACAATTGTAATTATGGAAATATGCTTTATAACAAAAGCAAGAAACTTTCTTTTGTATTTCATGTTGGCAAAAATTAATGAATATATGTATATTCATCCCCAGAACTGGCTAAGGCTGATTTGGCAGACACAAAACACATGTGCTTCCATGCTTCCATCCTTCATTGAGGTTAAGCATCACTAATTTATCTTAGCATTCTTTGCTGCCATATTCAGATGTGGTCTTGCAGTCATTCTCAAAAAGGAGTACCAGGTCAACATTGATATTTAATCAATGATGGTACTCTAGATGAAATCTAATTGCCCTTCCCAGGGTTTGAAGAAAGTGGAGCTCTTCTACATGGTTAGTCCTTGACAGTCTGATTCAATAATATGATCTTTTTTTTAAAGCTATGATAATGGCCATATCCTTTAGCTAGAAATCTTTTCTAAGGAAATAGTCAGAGATGAGCACATGCATTCATATATGATAGAATTTACAGTACAATTACAAAAGTGAAATGTTGGAAATCTTGGAAACAACTTTTATATATAATAATAAGAGAATGGTTGAAGTATATTAAATATAAAGAAAAATACATAGTTATGCTTATGTTTTCAAAACTAATGTTAAAAATGCTAAATACGTACTGTTAAATTGATACACAGTTGTGCAATTTTTTTAACGTGCACATAGAAAAGATGAGAAGAAACATACAAGTATGTGATGACATTTATCTTAAGGTAGAACAATAGTTATTGATTGTCACTTATTTGTTATATTTTAAACTATAGAAAGTAATTAAGCTACAGATTATAAATTTGTATCTATATGCAGATAGATATTATAAAATGTCCATCAGTTGTGTCCTATAGCTAAATAATGTAATATCGTAAACCTCCTGAAATGTCCATATTTAACATAAAGGAGTTTTTCAAATTTTGGCTTTATGTGACAGACCGTCCTAAACTTAATGACGTAAAGTGATAATGTCTTACTATCATCCTTGATTCTATGTGTTGACTGGAATCAGTTGAGTGGTTCTCACTTGGGATTTCTCATGTGATGGCATTTAGACAGCGGCTGGGTCTGGAGTGATCTAAAGGCTAAAATGAGCAAGATGTCCAGATGTCCAGGATTCTCCAAGAGAATAGCTTGGACTTTTTCTACGGTTGCTCAAAGCTCCAAAGACAGGAAGCAGAAACTGCTGGATCTATTAAGAGTGATGGCTGGTACTGACATGCCATCACTTCCACCATATTCTAATGGCCAAAGCCGATATAAGGCCAATCCAAGAAAGAGGTAGAAAAATGGACTCCACCTCTTGATAAGAGAGTAGCCAGGTCACACTGCAGAAGAGCAGGTGGAATGGAAAATATTATCATGGACCACTTTGTAAAATACTCTCTGCCACTCATTATTAGAAGGAAATTTGTCTCTTTTAGAGATCTCCTTCTTTTTTTCAATTTGCCAGCCCGATACCCAAGTATTCTATTCCTTCAAAGAGCTTTAATGTGCTCAGTGGATCTTAAGCTGATATAAAGTCTAAAAAAATAGGAATGTCTCTTACTTCTCCACTTGATAAAGGACCAATTTGAAGTAGCTTAATTTATCCTTTGCAGAAGTGTGATTTGATCTCAGACTCACAAATTTCAACAGTTTAAAATGAAGTAACATACTCCACTAACTTCTGTTCACCCTAATTGTGCCTTGTTTTCCTCCAGCCAGATGTTTCTTATAATTAATTTGCCTAATAATATTCAGACTAGGAAACCATTCTGCATTAAAATGATGCACTAAACATACCCACACTTACTTTCCATATCCTTGGCTCTTTCTAGATCTACCTTGCAGTTTTCAACATACTTAATCTCTTTTGAATCCAGATGGAATCTATGTTTACCAGGAAAGAAAACAAAACCTGTAACAGTATTTTATATTCTTTCATTTACATGGAAAAGATATGAAGATATAATATGTGCTTAAAAATTATACACACAAGGCAGTGGTTTAAGACAGTGTGGCAGGCAACTTCCAAAATGGCCCCAAATTAGCTCCGCTTCCTGATATTCATTGTGCTGTATAATTCCTTCCCTTTGAATGAGGGGCTGGCCTTAATGATTCACTTCCAACAAATAAAATATGGTTAAAATGTTGGGATGTCACTTTCAAGATTACGTTACAAAAAAAGACTCTGTTTTGCTTTTTTCTCACTCTCTTTCACTCTATCTCTCTCTCACTCTGAGGAAGGCCAGTTGCCATGTTGTGAGATGTCCTAAGGAAAGGCCCATATGGCAAGGAACTGATGTCTCTGACCAACAGCCAACAAGGACCTGTAGCATGTAAGCAGCCACGTAGTGAGCTTGGAAGTGGAGCTTCTGAAACCTGTTTACAGCCGTATGAGTGGCCTTGGAAGCCGGTCCTCTCCCTGTCAAGCCTTGAGATGACTGCAGCCCTGGGTGGTACCCTGATTGACTGCAGCCTTATGAGATGCCTTCAGCCAGAAAACCCAGTTAAGTGACACCAGGAATCCTGAACCACAGAAAATGTCACATACTAAATGTTTGTGTTAAGCTACTAAGTTTTAGGATAATTTGTCATGGAAGCAGCAATCTGGGCAGCAGCAAAGCCCAGAGAGAGAGCTCATTTCTCTGACTAGATGAACAAAGAAAAGGGACACCTATGGTCCAAAGAGTATGGAGGGGATCATCATTGTTCTCTCTGTCTCTCTTTCTCTCTCTCTCTCTCTTTCTTGCTACTTCATCATGAGGAGCATCTCAGCTGCACAGACTACACACAGAGTAAGGGGCTAAAACTCAGATACCATGGCTTTCTGGTTAGAGAAATGTGCTCAACAGATCTTATGGTCCCTATGGAAAAGGGACCATAAGAAAAGGAACCATAAGAGCCAGAGAGTGTGATAGGAAATGCCAGGTAGGGGAGAGCTGGAGAAAGATATCCCCTAATTCTATGTATGCACTAACATAAGTTCTCACTATGACCTGCAAATGCATGGAACAGACGCAAAGAAGCATAGCTTTGAAAAGTGAACTACAGTATAAACCACCAGCTATATCTCAGACTAACCCAATGAGGTACACGCACGGAGCGAACCCAAGCAGCATAGAAAAGGCTTTGAAAACTATAACTGCCACCCATAAAAGGAGAGACAGAGCTCATGGTCTAAACCTAACTGGGCAAAAACAAAAACAAATTGACATCTCCAACAGGTTTTCACATGCCCACGAATCTCACAATATAATCATCAAAGTTTTCAGCATACAACCCAAAATTACTTTAAAAAGATAGAAAAATCTGATCACTTTTCAAGGAAAAAGATAATCAACAAGTGCAAACCCTGAGATGGCCTAGATATTTGAATTATCAGACAAAAATGTTAAAGCCGTTGTTATAAAATGCTCCATAAGGTAAAGGTGAACACTTTTAAATGAGCAGCAAAGTGAAAGTTTTGAGCAGAAAAACTATGAACATCAATGAAATGGAAATTTAAAAACTGAAAAATAGAATATAAAATTTTTTTTAATTACTGGATGGGCTTAATGGCATAGGGGAAATGACAGAGGAAATAGCATTGAATTTGAAAGTAGGAAAATATAAATTATCAAATCAGAAAAACAAAATGACAGAAAAGATTTTTAAAAAAAGAACAGAGTCTCTGGTACCTGTAGAAGAATATCAAAGATATTTGCGTCATTCAAATCCTAGAAAAAGAGGAGAAATAGATTACTGCCAAGTATTTTTTGAAGAAATATAGGTGAACACTTTGTAAGTTTTATGAATTTAAGACACAAATTTACAGATTCAAGAAGTTCTGAGAACCCCACATAGAATAAACTCAGAGAAAACCATGCTAATACACATAATTAACTACTTAACCAAAGATTTAAATATTTATATATAGAGAGAGTGGTCAGTGACAAATAACACATTACATTCAGGGGAACAACAATTTTCTTATCAAAAGCTGTGGAGGCTAGAGATAGGGAAATACCAACCTTCAAGTGCTAAAAGGGAAAAAAAATTGCCAGCTCCTAAGCCTATATTCAATGAAAAGACCTTCAGGAATGATAGCAAACTAGAGACATTTTCAGCTGATCGAAAGCTTGAAGAATTGGTAGGCAGCAGACCTGCTTTAAAATAAATGTAGAAGGAAGCGCTTTAGAAAAACAGAAATGTAGATATTAAGGTAAACATACAATCATCCCTCAATACATACAGGTGATTGGTTCCAAACCACTACATATACCAAAATTTGCGTATACTCAAGTCCGGCATTTGGCCCGGTAGAATCCACGTATACAAAAAGTTGGCCCTCATGATTTGCAGGGTTTAGATCTTCAGTACTGTATTTTCGATTCACATCTGGTTGAAAAAAGTCTGTGTATAAGTGGACCCACACAGTTCAAACATGTATTGTTCAAAGGTCAACTCTAAAAGCCTATTTTTCTACTTTTAAGTTCTTTAAGTAAGTAGAATTATCAAAAGCCAAAATTATAATATTGTCTGGTGGGGGTTTCCATGTGAGTAAATGAATATATATTATATATATAATATGCACAGATATTATATCATTATTATTATATTATGTAATATAATTATATGGCCATAGGCAAGTTGCCTCACCTCTCTGAGTATTGGTGTTTTCATTTATACAACAGGGATAGTAATCCTAAGCCTAACCCTAATATTATATTAACATAACTAATAATATAATATTATATATAAGTATTATATTATATATATTATATATATTCACTACATAAAGAAGAGAGCATAAAGGGACCAGGTAAGATTTCTACATTTCTATATGTTCTAATTAAAAAACAGACTATCAAATTCAATTTTTAAAAAGACAATTATGTGACTACAGGAAACACATTTAAATATAGATATATAGATAGATAAAATAAGAGAAAGATAAAAGATACATCATGAAAACACCAATCAAAAGAATACTGGAGTTGCTTTATTAATATCAGATAGAATAGACTTCAGAATTAAAAATATTATCAGGGATAAGAAAAGACATTAAATACTGAGGAAGGGGTGAATTGTCCGAGAATATGTAATAATCCTAAATGTGTATGCTCCTGACAACAGGCATCAAACTATGTGAAGCAAAAACTGAGAGAACTGAAAGAAGAAATAGGAAAATTAACAAATCTATTTGAAGATATCTACACTCAGGAATTAGAAGAACTAGACAGAAAAATCAATAAAGATATAGAAGACTAAAACAACACTAGTTGACATTTATAGAATACACCACCCAACATTAGCATAATACACAATATTTTCAACTGTTCATGGAATATTCATCAAGAAAGACCATATGCTGGGCCATAACACAAGCCTTAATTGATTTACAATAATTGGAATCATGCAAAGTATGTGCTCTAACCTTTAAGGAATTAAATAGAAATCAATAACAGAAATACATCTGGAAAATCCCAAAATATGTGGAAATTAAAAAATCCATGAGCCAAAGAGAAAACCTCAAGGGATATTAGAAAATATTTTGAACTAACTAAAAATGAAAATACAACATATCATAATTTATGAAATACATGAAAAGATCATTAAATGCTCATATTAAAAAAGAAGGAAGGTCTCAAATTTGTTAGCCTCTTAAGAAACTAGTAAAAAAAAAAAAAAAATCAAATTAAACCCCAAACAAGCAGAAGGGTAGAAATGATATATATAAAAACAGAAATAAATGAAGTGGAAAACAGAAAAATAGTAGAGAAAAATCAATGAAACCAAAAGGTGGTTCTCTAAGTAAAACTCTATGCAGACATTCTATGGGTGGTGGGTATTATAAATAAAGTTTCGGTACCGCAAAAGAAATAGCACTCGAATATAAAATTTTCTTTTTAATTATCAGCAAGGCAAGGTACTTCTATAGAAGGGTGCGCCCTTACAGACGGAGCAATGGTGAGTGCACACCTGGACAAGGGAGGGAAAGGGGTTCTTACCCCGACACACATGGCCTCTGATGCTGTGTCGTTCCCCTATTGGCTAGGGTTAGACCGCACAGGCTAAACTAATTCTGATTGGCTACTTTAAAGAGAGTGACAGGGTGAGTGGTTTGGGAGGAAAAATGGTTATGACAGAGCAGTTAATCGGAATGAGTGAGGGTGGAGTAGGTAATCGGAATCAGTCATGGTGGAGCAGGTAATCAGAATGAGTCAGGGTGGAGCAGGTGATTGAAATGAGTCAGAGTGGAGCAGGTAATCGAAAAAGGTTGCTTTATGAGGAAGTTAAGTTTAAAAGTAGAAGGCAAAGAATTGAACATACTGACATATTGATTCTTTGAAAAGAAATTTAGAACTCATATCTAACATGGGAGAGTGGGAAGAGGAAGAAGATACAAATGACCAGTACCAGGACTGAAAGGGAGATATCACTGCAGACCCTACAGACATTAAAAAGGCTAATAAGGGAATACAATAAACAATTTTATGCATACAAATTCAACAGTTTAGATGAGATGGACAAATTCCTTGGAAATTATAAATGCCAAAAGTCACCCCAAACTGAATTTTTAGTGACTGGAGGCATTTATCTCAGTGGACTCTCCAGACTTTATTCAAAGCCATTGCCTGCTTCCATCAAGCTTAGTCTTGAATCTTTACCAATGTTTGATTTATTCCTCTTACTTTTTTTTCTATTAACTTTGAATACCATCCCTCCTCCTTTCCAAGACTTTATTTATTGTGAGTGATAATTGACATAACCTTCAGGAACCTCAGAAACCTTAGGCATCTGCAGAAACATTTTGAAGCATATCAGACTAGCCTATCTTTCTAGAAACCCGATTCCCATTCCCCTCTGCCAAACCCCTCAGCGGCGATGTGTATACTTTGTATTAGTGCATATTCAGGAAGGTTCAAAGCACTTGTCTGCTACTCTTTGCATGGCCACACCCTCAGTCAAGGGCCTTTCTGCTTCCAGCATCATTACAGATGGATTTGAGGCTTTGGGCTATCTCCAGGGGAGCCATCTCCTCCAGGTTTTTGTTCCCTTTTCTGACTCAGAACTTAACCATTCTGGCAAAACTTTCTGTGGTGTGGCCATAGTTACAGTACAGCGTTTGCATTCTATGGGTCTTACAACACTATCCCCCAAATCCACCAATTTTCAGTAGCATGTAGCTTGTCTCATAAGCTTTATTTCCTGCTTTAAAGGATGAACAGTCCTCAGAGGAACCAAGTTCCTTGCCCAAATAATTTTGGCAAGGCTAAGACACTGAAGGACATCTATACGCCTTGTTTTCTCATACATCTTAGGCCTGTAAATTCTGGTTTATGGGTTCACATCCAGAGTCCCTCCTTTCTTTCCAGCTTTCCAATTAGTTTCTGTTAATTTATATGGTAGAAAATACATATTTCAAAGACGTAGTTCTTAGCTCTGTCTCAAAGTGCTTAAGCAGTTTTTATCAATTTCTTCTTATTTGGGAGTGGTATCCCCAAGCTAATACCGCCTGTGAGGGAAAAATATATACTCTTAGGCAACATTTTGCTAGTAGCTTGATAATCATAAGAGTGTCTTCTTGCTAGCAATATTTTGAGTACAACAGCAACAGAGTGTGCAATGGATTCACTGGTTAAGCCAAAAAGTTATAATGTTTGAACCTCCCAAGGGCCACCTCCATATTTAATATGAATTTCTTTAAACCACCAGAGCTGGGCCTCATTTCTCCCATACTCTGTGGGAGTTCTGACTTTCATCCAAGATCTTCCCTATGACTTTAAGAGCAGAAAGACATGGTCCTTGTGGTGTCTCCCAAACTGGACTCCTCTTAGTTACAAGTGGACTATGACTGACTTATTAAAATGATCCTCATCTTTCCAGAAACACTTGAATGCTGCCACCAGTATATTTTTTAGCTGAGACCTTCCTCTTCCTTTTTTCCCCATAACCAGAATCTGTGGTCTGTGCTAACATTGCTTCTCCATGAAAATTTCACTCCCACTCCACTCTTTCTACCTTTCTGCAGATGCCTGCACTTTCACCGCAAATCATGAAATGATTACATATTTTTAACAGCATTATTGAGATTAAATTTATTTACCATAAAGCTCACCCAGGTAGCAGTGGCTGCCAGCTATACCCTTTCATAGAATTAGCCTTTTCTTTAGGCTTTGCTCTTCTCAAAACAAATACTTCCCTTTTTGTTCTCTTGTTTCCTCTTGTAAGTCCCTAGGATTATTAAACATAGGGCTTGAATTTCACTTTGAAATGTTTTCCACGTTTGTGGTAATAATGTCACCTGAGGGTTTCTACTAGATTAAGTAAAGGAAGAAACAGAGTGGGAGGGGAATGAAGTGTGACAAACTCTCTTATAAAAGATAAGGCAAAAATGGCAGTCAATTATTGTTTCTGATAAATGTAATGTCATCCAATAATTTATAGTAATTCTGAGAACTATAGCCAGTAAAATGAATTTGCATAGTCTGTCTTCTTTAGGACACTGATTTTCAAACTTGAATGCACACTGGAATCACCCGAGGAATTTAAAAAAACACCGACACCTGGATCCCACACAAGGACCCTGATTTAAATGGTATGAATTGCAACCTGAGCATCAAGATTTTTTAAAGTTCCCTAGGTGATTCTATTGTGCTACGAAGTGACTCTTTTACTGCAAACTTGTTAGCATGATCAGAATCACCAGGGGAGTTTGATAAAATAGATTGCTAGAGTTTTTGATTCAGTACATTTGGGTGAGACCAGAGAATTTCAAGTTCTAGCAAATTTTTGGCTAAAACTGATGCTATTTTTCTGGAGACTATATCTTGAGAATCACTGCTTTAGAGCACTTTAATATGCAAATGAATCACCTGAGGATTCTGTTAAAAGGCAGTTTTGATTCAGTAGATATGGAACTGGACCTGAAATTCTGCATTTCTAATAAGCTCTTAAGTTATGCCAGTGCTGCTGATCCATGGATCACACTTTAAACAGCAAAAGATTAGAGTACAGAGGTTAACAATTATAATTAGAGAATACAGTAAATAAATTTTATTTTGTAAAAATATTGAGAAAAAAATTAGCACCAAAGCACCAATTTAAAGGATATTTTATTCCTTAATTTCCATATTATTACATGGATACATGATTTTTTAAAATTCCATGATCTTTGAGAAATTAACAAAATATTTTGGAAATGTTGTATCATGAGGAATTCAAAATTACTCTCTTTTTTTAAGGTAAAGGTGTCAATATTCAAGAATGCCCCCCAAATCATTGAATGATTACATATTTTAACAGCTTTATTGAGATATAATTTACTCATTTGAAGTGTACAATTTTATGGTTTTCAGTATCTTTTCATCATCACAAAAGAAAACTCATTGTTCATCACTCCCCATTTTTCTACTATCTGAGTCCTAGGCAGTAACTAAGCTGCTTTCTGCCTCCATAAGTTGCCTATTCCGGACATATCATATAAATGGGATCACACAATACGCAGTCTTTTGTTCCTTCATTTATCGTAACACTTGCTTTTCCATGATATAATCCCATCAACATTATATATGGATATTTTTCTGGTGATATTTAAAAATTAATATTCAGCTGTTCCATCTATTGGTTTATTTTTAAGTGTAAATAATCAATTCTAACCAAGAATGTAGAAGTAAACCAGTAACTCACATTTCTGCTTTTAAGTATACTAAGAACAGTATCAAATGTGGCTCTCACAGTTCTGAAACTTAAGAGGAACGCATGGAGATTCTGATTGTGATATTTATGTCTATGTATTTTTTCTCTTGATTTTGGTAATTTACAATATGGGAATAAGTCCATCTTCCAAAACCTAATTAGGAATACAGTGTTTAGCAGATCAGTAATATGTGTATTTCTCTCTTTCTAATTAGGATAATCCTCACCAGCCTCAGAGTTCATGTCTGAAAGTATAGAGGCGGCAGATAACCAATGCAAGTGAACATGGGTGAAAATGGATGAAAGTCCATCTGGGCTGTCTGCAAAATGAGAAGATTCTAGACACTGTTTCTTAAATACCTTGGAGGCGAGGATCACAAAATGCTCTCAGAAGTTTATGAAAGCTATGGAGTCTCCGGAAATATTCAGAATTTTGCATGTAATTTTCATAGATTGCAGATTCCCTGAAGAACACCAGTAGTTGAGGACTCCTAGAACCCAGGTTAACAGTAGCTAGGGTTCATGCAGTACTTGACATGTAGTAAGTTATAAATGTTTGTGATGATGAGAATTAATAGCTTTGTTTCATGGAGTGAAGAATGAGAAAAAAAATACTTGTTTTTATAAATGGAGTTTTTAATGATTACAGAAAATATGTTTCCAGAGCCTGGAAACAGGCTGCTTGTTAACATTCATTATCAGTGTTTATTATTTTTAATGCTCATTCTTTTGTTTTTAATTGGCAGTTTTGGCAATATGGAATAGTCCATTTAGGAACTCCTGACTACTTGTTATTTACTTTATACCAAGCACGCTGATAATCAATTTACCTGGATTAGCTCATTTAATCCAAACAAATCCCAATAAGTAGGTTTCTCTAATAAAGAAGTTGAGACTTAGAGTAACTCGTAATGGTCCCAAAGACTGTCATGTGTAGGGAACAACTTTGTTTCATGAAGTGAAGAATGTATAGAACACAAACTATTTTTTATAACCACCTTCATTGGCAAAATAATTGCTGAAAAATTCCTACAGATTCCAGCAAGCATTTGTTAATAATAATTTGTTGCTTTGTGTTGATGTATAATCTGGCTTTCACTGATATTTTAGTAAGGACTCTGCACAGGATAAGTATGGATAGCTAGCTAGAAGCTATTCTCACTCTTCTCTTCAGCATGGTGACTTGAATTTCCATGGTATAGTTTCAACATTGTCATTTGGTTTCCTCATTATCTTTGGCTTTTCCAAGAGCATGCTACCTATATTATAAACTGAACCTTATTTTATGTTCTATAGCTCCATAGCTTGTTTCTGCTTCATTCAACCTGATTTCATGCTAAACATGAAAGTAGCTATAAAATTCCTACTTTAAAGTGTTAATTGAAAGATTATGAAGAAAAGAACAGGGTTTTAGTAAAGACTATATTTAACTGATGGTAAAGACTATCATGACCAAATTTATTTGGCAAATGTTTGCCACTAATGTTGACAGGTAATGTAAATGGCTCATACTATAATAATCTGCTTTCTTTTTTTGTCTTCTTCCAGGTTCTGGATGAAGCCTTCCACCATTTTAAAGCTCCTTTTATGGATATTTCTGGTTTTGGTCTCAGATTTTCATTCTCCAAACATTCTCTTTAGATGACCACATTCACTTTCAAGTATTCATGCCAAATAAATCTTCATTTCCAGCCCAGACCTCCCTCCAAACTCTTGGTTTGTTTAGTCACTTGCAACACAGATTATTCATCCAGATTTCCATGGGCATCTCAAAATCAACACATCCAAAATGAAGTTATCATCCCTGATAATCCTCCTAGCTCCTGTCCCATTCATCTCCCTCCCATCTCTCACCCATAAAGAATTAACTACTGATGTTTCTCACTAACCAACCCATAATAATGACCTGCATTAATTAATCCATGTGCAATTCAGAATTACTTACATTCATTTATCCATGTGATATTTTCACTCATTAATCACCATCGTCTGCATATGTAAACAGGAACAACAACATCCACCTATCCCAGCAGGGGTTTTGCAATTACTTTAAAGCCTTTTCAAATATATTTTTGTGTGATTAAAATGATGGAGATATTTCAAATGAATTCAAGTATAAAATGCAAAATATTCCAACTTCATAAACTGTTTACTTCTGGCTTAGAAAATGTTAATATTTTTACTCAACCCATCTGGCTCTGGAGATGCTGTGTGTGCTTGATAATTGTATGTGAAAATTATTATTTGCATCTTTAAAAATTACTTGAGGAATGCTATTTATTAAACTTGTTATTCCTATCTATTTTTTGACAACATAATACAACTTTAAATTCAAAAGAAAAATTGACAAGACATATTTTAGCAGTTTAAAATGAACATCACAGATACAAAATGATCAAAGTAAAATATTATTAGCTGTAGATGACTCAAATATTTCCTCGTCTTACTGTCTTTTGTTTTGATGTGATTTCCTTCCATCCTTAAAAAATCCTGTAGCACCATCTGCTCCTATAACACTTTGGCATGCTTAAAAATTTCATTTCCAGACTCGGCAGTTTTGAAATACTTCCATGGACATTTCTTAAAGAAAATAAGTTGGAAGAATTTCCATTCCTCCCAGCTTGTTTCTTAATAAACAGCAGACGAAGTACTCAAGAAACACAGAGCTATATAAATGTTTTGTTATAATCAGACATTTCCCTTCTGATTTTCCCTCTGACCCTGTGGCTATATTATGCCTGAGGAAACAGTATTTTATATGCTATGTGCACAGTTTATGCAACAATTTTTTAATATGCAGATCTGGTTTTATAATCTGAATTCTAAAATGTAATGAATTTCCATGAAGTGTATGTTTCATGGATAAGCCAGCATTTAATAAATGACTAGATTACCCAAACACTCCAAGGGAAGTTGGAGACTAAGCAAGTAATATCAGTAAAAATAATCCAATAAACTAAATAGATTCTCCTTCTACGAAATTTAACCATACATTTAGAAAAAATTAGACTTCCAGTTTTTGACAGCGGTAATGGAAAATTAAGTGGCTCATTTTTTCAATGTGTATGACTCCAAGTCGTTGAAACTGATACAGAAGTATAAATAAGAGGTATTAAGTGATGCTGAAACTGTGGTAGGAGAAATAGCAATGGACTAATGGCCTCCTCAGGGAAGCCTAAATATAGGTGTTGCATTGTTTACAAATATATTCATCCTTTTAGTCACTTATTCAGCATATATCAAACACCTACTATGTCTAGATTTCATGTTAGTTTCTGCAATGAATCAATAATTTCCTTGTCATTTTAAAATAATATTTATCTATCATCTTAGAGATGCAACTTGGTCCCCTTCATCCAGCAATTTCTACTCTAACCCGTTTTTCACATAATAGCCAGAGTAAATTTTGTAAAGTTACAATTGTATTGTAGGATAAAGGTCTAACTCCTTAATGTGGTTTACAATGCCCTTTACAAAAGTCTCACTTTTACTTACCCTCTTAGTCTCTGCCTTTCTACACTTACTGTCTAGCCATACTGAATTACTTCGCTGTCACTCGAGACTTAGTTCTTTGCATGCTCTTTCCTCCACCAAAAATATTTTTTTTTCTCCTCTCCTTACCTGGCTTCTTTTTTAAAAACTTTTATTTATTTATTTATTTATTTTGAGACAGAGTCTCTCTCTATCACCCAGGTGGGAGTGCAGGGGTGCAATCTCGGGCTCACTGCAACCTCTGCCTTCCAGGTTCAAGCGATCCTCCTGCCTCACCCTCCCAAGTAGCTGGGATTACAGGCATGCACCACCATGCCTGGCTAATTTTTGTAGTTTTAGTAGAGACGGGGTTTCACCATGTTGGCCAGGCTGGTCTCAAACTCCTGACCTCAAGTGATCTGCCTGAGGCCTCCCAAAGTACTGGGATTACAGGCGTGAGCCACCGTTCCCGGCCTCTTTACCTGACTTCTTTTCTTTACCCTTTAGTTTCTGACATAAACATCTTATCAGTGAAACCTTCCCTAAGGAACAATGCCAAGTCAGATGACCATAGTGACCTATGCTTTCCACCTTGCAGCACATAACACAGCCAGTTATTTATTTCCTTGCCTCTTCTACTGGACTGTAAACCCCTTGAGGACAGGAAATATACTTTGCTTGCCCTGGAAACCTCGTTATGTGAAATAGCACTTTGGCATACCTTGGTAAAAAAAAGGCTGAATGAGGAAGTGGAAGAGTGAGCCATGCATTCTTCCTGTCTCTCTGAGTGAGGTCATTCAAAATGGCAAGGGTGTAAAGACGAGGGAGGCATTCATTTGCCTTGCCACTTGACTACATGGGTTGGAATATTTGATGGTAAATGCACATACTTAATCATACTCTTTTTTAAACACTACATTTAAATTCTAATTTACTATTAAAATATTTCCAACTTAAATCAGTAATGCCTTAATTTTTCTTATGGAGAAGAGTGTGTGACTTACTCTTCTTGTTTACTTTAGTGCATTATGATGGACTGAAATACAAAACAATTCCAAGATCAACTTAAATATATTTTTCTTGTTTTGGAAGCAGAATAATAATAACAAATTAACTAATCTAGAGAAATAAATATGTTCAGTAGAGAGATAATTGCATTTGCTTGGGTAAAATATTTTGGCTTGCTCAGTATCACATGTATACAGCTGTATTTCTAAAACAACTTTATTCATAAATAACATTTCTTTAAATATTTATTGATAATGATATGGCAATCTAGTATACTATGACTTTAACCTCTATAGATTCTAAGATCAAATATGTAAATGAAATAAACATACATCTATGCATATTCAACTAGGAAGCATTGTATTGAAACACTAATGATAGTATTAAGGGTTGAATTTTATTTTCATTTTTTTACTTTTCTATATTTTTCCAAACTTTGAGAATGAGCACATAGAAAAGAAAACCAATTAACATTTTTATATATGAGATAGAGCAGAAAAGATAATGACATTGTTCAAGAGAGAAATAGTAGATATGGGTGTTCCATAAGTTTCTTGCTAGCTTTAAAACTAATTTTATGAGTTCTCAATTGTACTGTCAAAAAATATATAGATTTCAATCCAGTAGAGATTCAAATAGAAATATCTGTCAAATATTCTTTCTTAATAGATAATTAATGAAAAAGCATACAATATGACTGTCATAAAAGGTGAATGCCTTTCACCTCATGGGCACTTACGTATCTAATGAATCCATGAACTGGTCAATGAATAGAAACTGAAGTTTGTGTATTAAAATCCTGTCTCTGCTGCCCTCCAGTGGCTTAACTCTGAAGAACTTCAAAAGAGAAAATCAAGTGCCATCTATTCCCAGATCCTTATTTGTGGTGAGTATGAATGCTCAGGTGTGTGAGCTTGGGATTTTTCCTGGACAGTTTTGTATTTGTCCTATTAGATATTACCTTGGTATATCAAGACCAAATTCCCAAGACTAAATGCATTACCCATCTCCTCCCACCTGCAGAAGGGTAAGCTGGAGCAACTGCCATAAATGGTGCCAATAAATACTAGCATTTGTTCGTGGACAGTTTATAGAGACTTTTCAATTGTGTTATCACAGAAAACTCCTAGTAAGAAATAGTGGTGATAGCAATTGCATCTCGTTTATTAGAAATTTCTCTGATTCCCTTTACAAAGTGGGTGATGGTGTCAGTGTTATCTTTAGGTATGAAAACCCTATGAACAGCTTATAGTCTAAAACTTACAATGTGGTGCTGTAGAAAGATGTTAGCTTAGCAGCAAACATCATCAATAAATATCTTCTGCAATCTGGTAACCATTAGAATTATATATTTTTTATTGCCCTGGACTATGAGAATTACATTCTGAATTCATTTGGTATCTTGTGTAGGCATAGGAGAAAACCTTTTTGTATCTAAGAAAATGGGGTTTTTGACATTGACTATCACCTGTTCCCAGATCTCCTAGGACTCAGACCTCAGACCTCACACCCCTGAAAGCTGAAACCTCGGGGGTTTCAGATAGTGATCTCTAATTGAGTTCTTGTCTAGATGAATTCTTAAAATATTTTACCTTTCCCTGTTATTGTGGTTCTGGAATATTCTTTTGGTTTTAGCCAAGGAAATCTCTCAATTTCTTCAAAAGTTTGCTACTGTGCCTCTAGGTGGTACAATTATTTCCATCTTTTTGCTCATTTGCAGCCTGTCTTTTTGGATTATAGTCTCTCACTACTTAAGCAATTTCTTCCTTTTCTGTAGTATGTCTCATTTGTCCTTCATAATAATGAATGTCTGTGTTTTTTATTCTCAGGTAGATTACTGGAATTTTACGTATATTTTATTGGTGTTCTCATGAATGCTTGGATTTAACAATTGTACCATTTTCCAACGTTCTATGTCATAGTAATTTTGCAACTTGTTTTCAATTAATAATATGTTGAGAATAGTGTACATAAAATGCATTTTAGAACTAATCCTAAGATAAAGTGTCTCACCAAAGCATATTTTATAACAATAAAGCAGTAGAAAAAATAAGTTAACTAAATGTCCAACAAGTGGAGATGTATTATATAAATTCAGTACCATCAAAAATGTAATATTACTCAGTAATTAAAATTATATTTTATTTAAATGTTCATTGGCTTGTGAAAAGTCTATAACATACCAAGTAGAAGTTAAAGTTATATTTTGTAAGTTAAAAAAATTTTAAAAGGTGAGAAGTATATACAAGATTTTTCCCATTTTTTTAGAAATGGATATGCATGTGTATATTGTATGTATGTTTATATGTTATGTATATGCACACAAAAATGCCTAAAAGGATATGAGTTACTAATAGTGATTTTATCTTTGGTGTGGTTGTCATTATTTAAATCTAAAATAAAAAAAATCTTAACTCCATTATCCTTCATGAAGCCCTTAATCTAATCGAATAGTTCCTTAAACTCTAGCATATACTACTTTTATGCTGTTGGTGGGACTGTAAACTAGTTCAACCGTTATGGAAGTCAGTGTGGCGATTCCTCAGGGATCTAGAACTAGAAATACCATTTGACCCAGCAATCCCATTACTGGGTATATCAAAGGACTATAAATCATGCTGCTATAAAGACACATGCACACGTATGTTTATTGCAGAACTATTCACAGTAGCAAAGACTTGGAACCAACCCAAATGTCCAACAATGATAGACTGGATTAAGAAAATGTGGCACATATACACCATGGAATAATACTATGCAGACATAAAAAAGGATGAGTTCATGTCCTTTGTAGGGACATGGATGAAGCTGGAAACCATCATTCTCAGCCAACTATCACAAGGACAAAAAACCAAACACCTCATGTTCTCACTCATAGGTGGGAATTGAACGATGAGAACACATGGACACAGGAAGGGGAACATCACACACTGGGGCCTGTTGTGGGGTGCGGGGAG
Organism: Homo sapiens; assembly: GCF_000001405.40. Taxonomy (NCBI): domain Eukaryota; kingdom Metazoa; phylum Chordata; class Mammalia; order Primates; family Hominidae; genus Homo; species Homo sapiens. The sequence goes on from NC_000009.12 coordinate 110,625,789, forward strand.
AGCGGAGGGATAGCATTAGGAGATATACCTAATGTTAAATGACGAGTTAATAGGTGCAGCACACCAACATGGCACATGTATATATATGTAACTAACCTGCACGTTGTGCACATGTACCCTAAAACTTAAAAGTATAAAAAAAAATAAATTAAAATAAACAGCTGAAATGAAAAAAAAAAAAACTCTAGCATATACTTTCAGTTTCCTAAACACTCTCATAAATGTATTGTAGTGCAATAAAATCTAACACATTATAATGCCATCTTTATTCTATCATCTCCTATCAGTTCTTAGTGGAATAAATTTGAGATCAGAACAGTAAGATAATTCTATTGACCAATGGACATTACTGAATCGGGGGAAATTCCAAAGTGGAAATGCACTGTGTCACACGTTTGTTTATTATAGTTGCAGCCTCAGCATTCATAAGTTGTTAGGAATCCCATAACCACTTAGGACTGACATAAGTTGTTTGAATCCCAGTCATACCCCGTCACCTTTGGCCTAGTTAAAACTCCCCCTTCCTGCGAGGTTGTTTGCAAAATAACATGCTTATGCCTCATACCACTGATCCAAAACCCAATGCATCCCACCATTGCCAAGCACAATAACACCTAATGGTCAACACCAGAGCTCTAAAAATAAGTTCCTCATTCACACATGTTTTCTTTACACTAGCCAATCCACAACTTCCGCAGGAAAAACTAAGGGATAGTGCCCGTGGCTTTGGTCCTTCCTAAAGACATAGCCCCACAGGTTCCCCTCCTCCCCATCTCATTGCCCACCCACTGGTTGAGCTTCCTGCTACCACCTACAGATTTCCCCATAGGCCTCACATTGGCACCCCCAACCTCTCTGGAACCGGTGAGTAATAAATTGCTTCTGTTTTATGCATTTTGGTTTCACAACCTCACTGAGTCTCACTTGGCTGACATACTTGAGGCTAACTTTCCCCCTATCAGGGCTCTCCTAGGGAGTGTCTATCTCGGCTTATGGCGACTCTCAAGAGAGAGATCACAAAAACAAAGCAGACAGAAATGATAACAATAGAAATCATAACACACTGCATTGGAGAAGTACAGAGAGTTTTCTTCAGACCTCTTAGGTTCTGTGGCTGGGTCTGAGAATTAAAGTAACAGAAGACATATTAACAAGAGAAAAACATACAAGTTTAATTTTTTTCATATGTACACGGGAGTCTTCATAAGGAAAATTAAGACCTGAAGAAGTTATTAGGCCTCAATAGTTATATATCTTTTTAAACAAACAACAATAAATTGTGAGGATGTGACAACAAAGAGGCTTGGGCCAAAGGCAGTAAATGTGGGACAGTGACTAGGAAATATATGGGAGAGACTAGTGGAAGATAAGGACTATTATAATAGATTTGTTTGTACGATTGATTTTGGTGTCAACTCCAAGTCTCCAGTGATAAAGATGGTCTTCTCTTCCTGGTACAAGAAGGGCATCTTTTTCACGGGAAATTTTATGGCCTGCTTTTAGATAAAAGGTGTTCAAAGCGTATTTTCTGTATCTGCTGATTCTCAAGTGTCTCCAGCTCAAAATAATCAATATGCAAAACAATAAATTTGGGGGTGACGTGTTCTGAACCCCTTTAGAAGAAAAATACATCAAGTTTGGTTAATAGACAAAAAATAAAACAAGATAAATAGATAAATTAAAAAGACATTTGTCATTGAGATTTATGGAGAGACACACAACAAAAGGCAAACAAATTGACCAATCTGTGGAATGCCTTCCATTCCTGTTGCAACAAAAGTAGACAAATAACACAATAATAATTTGACCTGATAGAATTAAAATTTTACCAAAAGCTGAACAGAGCATATAACACTCCCAATTTTCCTGGCAATGGGGCTGTCATTTCTATAATAATTACATTTTAATGAGGATAAAACATATCCAAATAAGATAAGCAATAATTAAAATCTGAGTCACATGTGTTCTACTTAGTTCCACTTTAAGGAAAGATCTGAAGAGGAATTGAGAGATTTTTGTTGCAGGCCAAAAATAAAGTTATGAGAAAATAATTTGAGTGATATAAATGAATGATAAAATTAAGCCTTTGTTCTGAAGAGCCTCTGGGTATCACACAACTGTGTTTGTCCCAGTGTCTTTGATGGTGATAGCCACATTGTCTCACCTGTTCTTCCCATCAGCATTTCTGATTGGAGAAAATGAAGACTAGAAAGTGGCAAAAGCTCATTCTTTCAGTGGCCTGAGAAACCCAGTAGCCATAATGAAAAATGTTGACAGATTTTAACTATATAATTACTTAAATACTCTTTCGGGATAATGATGGTTCATAAACAAGATTAAAAAGGCAAATAATAGAGGAAAATGTTGCAACACATGAATCATGAATTAATGTCTTAAATCTTTCAAATCAATAAGGAAAGGCAAAACTTGACTGAAAAGTGAACAAAGGATGGAGCAGGCAATTCATAGGAGTAATGCAAATGGTGTAGGAACACAAAAAGTAAATCATCTTCTCTGGGAACCCTAGAAATGCACACTAAAACAAAAATGAAATTCTCTTTTACTCCATCAGTTTAGCAGTGGTGTAAGCACAGAGGCATTCTCATCTGTTGTTACTGAGAGGCAAATTAACAGAGCCTTTGGGAAGGCAGTGTTACACCCTCTAAAAATATTTAAAATGTGAAAAGCTAAGACAGCAATTTCACTTCAAGGAATTTAATCTCTAAAACTATAATGCACACATATATACACATAAGCAAACAGGATAAAAATATTTATGTATGAAATTGTTCCCTGTAGAAATATTTGTGTAGCAGTCAAATTGTAATCAATATAAAGGATGAAATAAATTATAATATGTGCTTATTACTAGTATGCTGCAATGCAATGTTTCCACTTAAAATGGGTTAGAACTATGTGTACAAACATTGAATGATGTCTTTAATATAGTTTGAGTTCAAACATGTTGCAGTTATGTATATGTTATATATGTATGTATATATATGCACATTAAATCATATTTTAAAAATAAATTCAGATGAGTTGTATGATTAAGTTTTCTGTCTGGGTATCACCATTTATTTTTCTGTTATTTATTAAACTGACCTTGGACAAGTGACCTGACTCCATGTCCTCCATGTCTAAAATGGAAATAATAATTTGGTGAGTCTTAAATGAATTAATAAATGTAAAACAATTAGAATCTAAGTGTAAAGCCTGGCACAGGGTTAAACTATATGTGATGTCTATTATTATAGTATTTTTGTTATCTAAATTGAATGATTTTAACCCTTCTTACAAATAATGTTTTCTCACATAGACATTATTTTTTCTTTTTTTCTTATTAATAGAACCCTGACCTTGTTTTTTATCCATGCACTTTTGTGTATCTAAGTGCTTAAGAGGAAAATAGACTCATTTCCAGTCTCATCAATTAAATCTTGATTAGTTTAAGCCAGTGATAAGCCGAAATGTGAACATTTTAGGTCAATGAGATATGACAGATAATTACCTAGATTTCTGGAAAGAATTCTGGGATCTTGAAAAGAGGCATAAACAAGAGACTGTCTTTTCAAGTTTTGTTTGTTTGTTTGTTTTATATCTAGATGTTGGTTTGTAATGATATGAGGCCTGAAGCTGCTGCAGTTATTTTATCCCTGTGAGGGAAATTAGCACCCACAGATGATGATAAACGGAAGAGATAAAAAGAATCTGTGTCTTTGTTGACATTGCTGAGCTACTGAATTGATCACTCATAGAAGGCCTTATTATATAAGATAATAAATATTGTTTTTCAAAAACTATTTTGATTGGGATTTAAATGTAAAGAACACGTCTCAATAAATATATCCATAATCCTGATACTTTGAAAAATCTATCATCTTCTATTCCTCTGCCCTCACACCCATGCCTTCCTCTATCTTCTTGAATATATGAAACATATTTATAATAACTTATGGATCTGTTCCCCTAGCTTGATTTTTCTCATATGAGTTATGCTTATATTTTTCTCTTGAGTTATATTCATATTTTCCTCTTGAGTTATATTCATATTTTCCTGCTTCTTTGCATTCCTGATAATATTTAATTGGATGCTGAACACTGTTAGGTGCTTGATTTTGTTGTATTCCTTTAAATATTTTTGGGGTTTTGTTCTGGGATGCAGTCAAGTTACTTGGAATTAATTTGTCCTTCTGATTCTTGCCTTTAAGCTTTGTTAGTGTGTGTCTAAAACATACGTTAGTCCTAAAATAATTTGGCCTCAGTATTTTTTAAATGATTCTACCCCAAACCCATGTATTAAGAGGTCTTTCTACCCTGGCTGGTGGGACGAAGAACTATTCCCAACTCTTTGTGAATTTTAGAAATGGTTCCCCTTCATTCTATCAGTTCTTTCCCTGGCATTGAGTAGCTTACTCACACTCATATTAGGTCATTACTTGGTTATAAAGAGTCAAGGAGACTCCTTTGCAGTGGTCAGGTCTCTTTCTGTGTAGGTCTTTCTCCTCTGGCATATTTTCCCCAGCAAATTCTAGCCACTTAGTGTACCTCGACTTGGAACTCAGAGTGGCTGCTGGATGCTTTTGGATGTTCTCTTTATGCTTTGCAGCCTGGAGACTCTCCATCGATGGTAAGCTTGGCAACCACAGGGCTCACCTCATTTGTTTTCCTACTCTCAGGGACCACTCTTCTAGCTGTCCCTTGTCCAATGTCTAAAAACAGTTTTTTCATGCACTTTATTTGGTTTCTGGTTATTCAGGGTGAGACATTTTCTAGTTTAATGAGATGAATTCTACAGCTGTGAAGTACTCCTTTGTGTAGTGTAACATACTTTATTCAACTACCTCCATATATACAAACATACAGTGTTTCCAAGACTTTGTCAGTACAAACAATCTTTAATTAATGACTTGTACATATGTAGTTTGTATTGCTAGAGGAAATTTTAGTGTATATTTCTAGCCAGTGGGAACGCTGGGTTAAAGGTAGTTTTGTTAAATACTCCATAAGTGTTGTAACAACTTGTATTCCTGCCACCGATATGGACATACGCCTTTTTCACCACAGCCACACCAGTTGAGTGTGTGTTGTTATATTTTAAAAATTTTGTCACTCTGATGGATGAGAAATGGGTCCTCAATGCAGTTTTATTTTGCATTTCTCTCATGATAAGCAAAGTTGAACATTTTTCCATATGTTTAAGTTCCTTCTACATGTATGTGTGTGCATGTGTGTGTGTGAGTGAATTATTGCAAATATTTTCTCTCAGTTTTTTCTAAACTCTGTTGTTTTTCTTTTTTTGCTATGCAGAAGTATTTATTTTTATTCCTTTATAGTCAAATGAATTATACCATCTCAATTTCTAGTCCTACTTAGAAAACCTTTTCTCCTCACTGAAGTTAAAGACGAATTCACCCATATTTTCTTCTACCACTTGTATGGTTTTTATAGTCTATATTCAGATTTCTGGATCATTGGAGTTTATCTTTATCCCTGGTATAAGGTATGGATCTAATTTTAACTTTTTTGAATTGGCTACTTAGCACCATTTATTAAAATGTCTGACTTTGTCCCAGTGATTTTTGCAACATTTATCATATATTAAATTTCCATATGTACTTGGGTATCTTTGAATTTTTTATTTAATTTCATTGGCCTGTCTGCTTGTTTGTGTGCCAGTACCAAACTGTTTTTATTAGAGAGGTTCTATAATGTGTTTCAACATCCATTTCCTGGATATTCTTACATGTTTATTTTTCCAAATGAATTTCAGTATTAACTTGTCTAGCTTCATTTAAAAGCTTGCTGCTGTTTGTATTGAGAGTGCACTAAATTTATCCATTAACTTAGAGAAAGCTGATGTATTTATGATGTTGAATCATTCCAAGAACAAAGAATATTTTTCCAATTGTTCAAATCTCCTTTTGTGTTTTAAACACAAGTGTTTTGAAGTGTTCCTCATATAAATTTTACACATTTCCTATTAACTATATTTCTAAGTATTTTACTTTTGTTGCTATTGTGAACAGGGTTTTAAAATACATATATACATACACATACACAAACACACATCTTTATTCTTTAGAACACATATTCTAATACATATATGTAGATTTATATATACAGAGATGGAGAATATATATACTTTAAAAAGTATTCATCAGTTCTTATTTTCTTGAGTGTTTTCATCAGACAAATATTTGTTTTTATCTAAGACTTTTTTCATTATCTATGAATATAATCAAGGCTTATTATTACAAGTGTTATTTGAATAAATTTCTTAATATTGAATCAATCTTGCATCCTTGGAAAAAAATCTACTTGATTGTAGCATATTGTTTTCTTAATGTGTTTGATTCTGTTTATTAATATTTTATTTAGAAACTTTGCATCAATATTGATAAATAATATTAGTATCTTTAATTTCATACTTTCTTTACTAGATTTAGGTATCAGGTTTAGGCAATGGAAAACATATAGAGGCTGGTCTATGAAAATCTGGTAGAACTTTCTGGCAATTGTTTATTGGTTCTGTCTTTATCACTTTTTCTATTTCTTCATGGAAATTAATCTGTTTAAGCTTTGTATGTCTCATAGGTAATTTTTGTAACCTGTATTTCTGCGTAGGTAGAATCGTGTCCCTCCCACCCTGTCCCCAGGTCCATAAAAAAAGATACGTTCAAGTCCTAAACTTCAGCGCCTGTGAATGTGACTTTACTTGTAAAGGCTTTTTGCAAATGTATTAGGTGGTACAAAAGTAATTGCGATTTTTGCATTGTTGAAATTTGCTGTTTGATACTGGAATACATTCTTAAATTTGATTATGTTAGACATCATTTTAACGCACATTTCTCACTTTATGTTTTTTGCTAATGACTTACTACTTGCTGTTTATTTTATATGTATTTTAGACTATGGAAATGATGTCAGACAAAAAACAAATTTGATCGATTTTCTTAATTGAGTTCAAAATGTTTAAGCAGCCGAAACAACTCGCAACGTCAACAATGCATTTGGCCCAGGAACTGCTAACAAACCTACAGTGCAGTGGTGGTTCAAGACGTTTTGCAAAAAAGACAAGAGGCTTGAAGATGAGGAGCATAGTGGCTAACCATCAAAAGTTGACAAAAACCAATTGAGAGCAATTATCGAAGCTTATCCTCTTACCAATACACAAGAGGTTGCTGAAGAACTCAACGTCGACCATTCTGTGGTTGCTCAGCATTTGCAGCAAATTGGAAAGGTGAAAAAGCTCAGTAAGTGGGTACCTCATGAGCTGAGCGAAAAATTTTTAAAAACCCTCATTTTTGAAGTGTACTCTTCTCATTCTACATCACAACAATGAACCATTTTTCAATCAAATCGTGACATGCAATGAAAAATGGATTTTATATCACAATTGGTGACGACCAGTTCAGTGGATGGGCTGAAAAGAAGTTCCAAAGCACTTCCCAAAGCCAAACTTGCACCGAAAAAAAGGTCATGGGCCCTGTTGGTGGTCTGCTGCGGGTCTGATTCACTACAGCTTTCTGAATGCTGGCAAAACCATTACATCTGAGAAGTATGCTCAGCAAATCGATGAGATGCACCAAACACGGGCAGCCAGCATTGGTCAACAGAAAGGGCTCAATTCTCCACAACAATGCCCAACCATTTATCGCATAACCAACACTTCGAAGTTTTGCCTCATCCACTATTCACTTTACCTCTCACCAACCGACTACCCTTTTTCAAGCACCTTGACAACTTTTTGCAGGGAAAACACTTCCACAACCAGCAGGATGCAGAAATTCCTTTCCAAGAGTTCATCGAATCCTGAAACATGAATTTTTATGTTATAGGTATAAACAAATTTATTTCTCGTTGGCAAAAATGTGTTGATTGTAATGGTTCCTGTTTTGATTAATAAATATGTGTTTGTGCCTAGTTATAATGATTTAAAATTCATAATCCAAAACTGTGATTATTTTTGCACCAACCTTTTGTATTTCCCTTTTGCCCATTCTGCAAAAATCATTTAATGTAAGGCTTTTAAATTCCCAGTTGAACCTTTATTTGTTGCTAATAATTTTTAGTTCTTGGCTTTGTGATAAGAGAATATGTAATATTTCTAGTTCATGTTACTGACTTTTTGTATGTGTAACATGATCTCAAAGTCAATTTTTGTGACTTCCATTTACACTTCAGTAGGTGCACTCTCCATTAACAGAGTTTAAAGTTTTGTATAGCCTTAAAATCTACCCCATTTATTATGTTGTTTAGGTCTTTTATCTTATTTATTTTTTGTCAACTTAATCTGTCTTATGTGGAGAATACTGAGCTAAAGTTATAATGAGTGTATTTCCACTTATGTCTTCTTGCATTGTTGTAGTTTTTGCTTCAGTGAGGGAATTCTGTTATTTAGTGCATAGATATTCATAAATATAACTTTATTGTGAATTATGGTTCATTCTAGCATTAAGAAGTGAATTATGGTTCATTCTAACATAAAGAAGTGTCATTTTTATACCTTTAATGCTTATAAAATTGAATTTTTCTTTGTCTAATGTCAGAATTGCTACACCTGCCTCCCTGACAGATTCCATTTGCCTGGTATGCCTTTGTCTATCTCTTTATTTTTATCCTTTGAGTCACTTATTTTAGAGACGTCTCTTGTGTGTCCGTATAGTTGGTTCTTGTTTTGTGAGTCAAATTGGAAGTCTTTTCCTATTAATATATGGGTCAAGTCCATTCACGTTTATTAGTAAGTGTGATTGTCTAGTCTCACAACTACATATTATTTGTCATAATTATGCATTTTATGTTATAATTGCTGAGTTTTTCCTTTACTATATTTTTTTTGCTGTTTTACCTTTACAATTTCTTTGGCTATTTAGAAAGTTCTAGTGATCATCTTTATCTTAATGCCTTTTTAATGAAATTGATAGATAAAATTGTATGTGTTTATTATGTACAACGTGATGTTTTGAAATATATAAACATTGCAGAATGGTTAAATCTAGATAATTAACATATGCACTAACTCACAAAGTTATCCTTTTTGTGGTGAGAACATTTAAAATATACTCTGTTAGCATTTTTCAAGAATACAATATATTGTTATTAACTATAGTCACAATACATCATGATCTCACTTATGTGTGGAATCCATCTTTATAGATTTTTAAATATCATTAGTTCTCTGTTTCCATATTTAACCTTTTACTTACCACTTTGTTAGTTTTTACTGGTATCCATTAGCTTTCACTTGTTCCCTATATTAAAAAAATTAATGTGCTTATTTTATTTTCCTCTTTCAATTTTTCTTCTCTCATTCTTAGTCACATCATTTACATTTGTCAAAGATAAGACACATAATATGATATATAATATATGCTATGTAACATGTTATTCTATCGCTGTTATCCTCACTTTTGTCTGATCTCACTTGTATCTACAAATTGAACATACTAAATGCTCACCATTAGTCTTTTTTCCAGAAGTTTCACTCATCATATCTTGGTTCAAAGAAGCCCATTCTCTAATGTATTTCTCAAAATGGGCTGCCAAGGATAGAATTTCCTGATTTCTTCCATATTTGAAACATTGACATTTTAAAGACAACTTGGCTTTATAAAATGTTTGGTTCACATATTCTTTCCTTGAATCTTTTGAAAATGCTGCCCAATTGATGCTTTGCTTTGTATGTGTGTTTTTTCCTTATTATCTGGGAAATTTGATCCTAGTCTAATCTTGTCCTCGTAATTTATTTGTTTTTTAAAAAACTAGTGGCCCTGATAAATCTTTTTCTTCATTTTAAGGTTTGATAGTTTTACTAGAGTTTGTCACAGAGTTGATCATTGTGGGTCAGTTTCCTCCAGTACCTGGTGGGTCCTTTCCATATGTAAACACAGATCTTCTTTATTTCTAGAAAGTTTACTATAATTTTTAAAAATATTAGTTCTATTCTATTGTTTTTCTTTTGAAACTCCAATTATACATAAATTGGTCCTTTGCCTGAATACCATTTCAACCAATTTTATTTGACCTTTTAAAAAAGGCTTTTTCTTATTTTTTCATGTATTAGTTGTTTTTCCACTTCTACTTATTGCCCTTTATTAAGTGATCATTCACACCTTTTCTTCCTTGGGTGCTCTAGGTGCCTTAGTCTTCATTTCTTATGTAATTTTTGCCCCTGAATTCAGTCAGCTCTCATTTCATTTCTTCCAATTCTTGACTTTTCAATTTCAGATGCAAGGTCTTTTGCTGTTGTTATTGTTTCATATATCAAAATGCTTGTTTGAGGATACTTAATTCAGTTTTAAAAACTGTAATAGTTTTGTTTTGCTTTGCTAGTCTCCTGCTTGGAGAAAAAGTTCCTCAGATAAACTGTTTTTATTTTAATTTGTTTTCCTTTAACAGTAATTTGTACAAAGACTATGTCCCTGCTTGGTGTAGTATATAAGAATCCTAATTCAAAATTGCCTCCTTCTATCAATATAGCAAAGTAGACCTCGTTTCTAGATAGCTTTGCTTTCTGTAGGGGTTTGGGAGAATAATTGTGTGTTCTTTGATATTTTTACTTCCTTTTGTGTTCCAAGATCTTAAATTTCTATCTCTTGCTTCTTTTTCTCATTCACTGTGAATTTTCCAAAAGGTACCTCTTCTATCCTTTCAACCATTATTGCCTCCAAATATTTACTTTTTTAAAAAATAATTGCCTCCTCATATCTTAGGTATACTTTTAAGTCTTTTCCATGAGATCAGTACTCTTTTTCAGTATTTTTCTTTTTCTTCTTGAGACAGAGTCTCACTCTGTTGCCCAGGCTGGAGTGCAGTGGTGACATATTGGCTCACTGCAACCTTGGCCTCTTGTGTTCAAGCAATTCTCCTGCCTCAGCCTTCTAAGTAGCTGAGATTACATGCACACACCACCACATCTAGCTAACTTTTGTGGTTTTGTTGTTGTTGTTGTTGTTGTTGTTTGTTTTTTGTTTTTAGTAGAAACAGGGTTTCACCATGTTGGCCAGGCTGGTCTCAAACTCCTGATCTCAGGTGATCCGCTGCCTCCACCTCCCAAAGTGCTGGTATTACAAGTGTGAGCCACTGCACCTGGCCTTTCTTCAGTATTTTTATACCTATGGTTGATTTTCTTCCTCTGGAAGTGTTTTTTTTTTTTGGTTAATCCTAGGCACACTGCTAGTTCCCCTCTTTTCTCTTTTATTCAGTTTTTACTTGACTGTTTTATTTTCCATGAATGCATTTGTCATGAGTAATTCAGTAGTATTTTGTTTTTATTTCTCTTACTTCACAGGTTATATGAAGTTTGGGCATTCTCTACTAATAAAACTCACGAAAGCAGGTATTTTGCATGGTTATATTGGTTCTTTTTGTTGTTCTGACTTCTTTCTTTAAAAGTTATGCTGGGAGGTTTGAATATTCACCACTGCCATTGTTTTGGCTTCCCCTAAATTCCCCTGATTTATTCTCAGGAGGCAAATTGTAATATATTATCAACTTGATTAAAAGTACTTTTGAAAACAATGTGTATTTTTAAAACAATCCCACACAGCAGCACAAGATGCTTCTCAGTAAATCTGGATTATAGCACACGGACATGGATTAGATTTTGATACCGTCATGAAATATGAATGAATGAGGAAAAAATATAGAGCTACTCTGGTACAAGTTAACTTTTGTCTTCTCTTTAAAGGAAATAAATATGGGACTGAAAATTCTAGAAAAACATCTCTCTTAGAAGATGACTGGAGCCCTAGATGGGCAATGAGCATGGAATTAAAGAGAACACCAAGATAAATGTGTTTAAGTCTTCAGGCTGTGCTTGAAGAGAACTTGCTATTGAGCTACCAGAACCACTGCTATTGATCCTCAGAGATATGAAGGGGCATGAGACAGCTGCGAGGAGATTGCATGTGGGTAAATAGTGTTCACATTTCCACAAAGTGAAAGATGAGTTATGTAAGACAATTATAACAATGAGCCTAAGCTGGGTCACAGAATGGTTATTAAAAAGGTAGTTTGGAATTACTAAGGTGAAGCACTAGTTGAAGAGAAGTCCATTGTGAAGAAGCACTATCATGTTAGCTGGACTACTTTCTTTGATAGGATGGATAGGTTTGGGGGATTACTGTAAATATGATGTATCTGGAATTGAGAAGACATTTGACAAATCTTTTATTACATCCCTGTGGACAAATGGAAAATATAGGCTGTATTATAGTATCATCTGATTCCTATTATTTCCTATAATGATTAGACATATCTGTGTCAGATACTCACCCCACCATATAAAAGAAGTCCATTAACACATTCTTTTCCACTCCCATGTCCTAAACAGTTGTTCCTCATTCATTACCCTGATTTATTTTCCCATTCATTATTTATTTATTAAGGTATTTCACTTTATCTTGAGCCTTGGAACTATTACTTATTATAATTTTCTGGCTAGCATCTACACTTCACTAGCATTCTAAACTTGGCTAAGTCTCTCTTTGGTCACTTCTATGACAAGGAATTACTGTAAATTGAAGATGATAAAACTGTAATGCAAAATGTAGGAATAAAAGAATGGTAGACTCAGTGTTCAGATTCTGAACACCATATGTAAGAGTTAAACTAAGTAAATTTCACAATATTTCTTCTTATATATTCCACTTTTCTTCTTAAATATTTTATAATATTTAATTATGATAATTACTGACTTCCCTAAGTTCCGAAAAATTTTATTGTTATTCTGAAGGAACACTCCAAGATGATCAGCAGATGGCACTGCTAACTTGAAAAACCAATTCTTAGATATATTAAAAATTGATGACATTTTTAAAGCTGTTAACAGTTACTATGATGTATTACAGAATAGTGAGAAAACAACGTTAAACAGGTGGAAGAAATTTAAAATGATCCACAATTGTATATAAAATAACGATTAACATTTTAGTACATGGCCAAGTTTTATATTCACATAAATGGAATCTATCCTACAAGAGCCTACTAACTGAATTTTGAAAATAAAAAATGTATTATATCAAATTGCCATGTCATTAAATCTTTCTCTGCAACATTATTTTTTATGGTATATAAATACACCGTACTTTAGTTAACCAATGACTTGTAGTAGGAAATTTAGTTTATTTCCAATTTCTTATTCTCATAAATAACACTGTTATGAACATCCTTGTGTCTAATTCCTGAATTATAGGTCACATATTTAATTGTCTCCACAGGATAAATTCCCAAAAGTAGAACTGCTGTATTAGAATATATTTTTAAAATATTATATTCAAATTGGACCCAAGAAAGGGTATAATAATTCGCACTCATTTTTAAAATTTATACACATTGAATGTTACATTAAAAATCATTTGTCTCAAAATAGGTACAAAATATAACTTTATTTAAAATTATGCCTTTGATTAAATGTTTTCAAATATTTTGTAAGTTTATGATCCACTTGATATTTGTGAATTTCATTTTCATGTCTTTTAACCCTTTTAAAAATAGAATAATTCATAATTTCTCTACTTATTTTGTGAATACTCTATATATTAAAGTCATCATTGCAATTAAGGCTATTCTAAATAAGCTAATGTTGCTAACCCAAGTGTTATTTAGGAGAGTGTTATTTTACTTTAGAAAAAAATATGTCTTTTTTTAAGTTTATTGAATTTTTCTTTGAGTGTTTTTTTATGATAAATTTTAATAACTGTTTCTCAGGGACCATGAAAAGGATTAGTCTATATTTGTATGATATAGAATTCAAATATTATAACTTTCTTATATTTCTCAGATTCTCTATATAATGTTATGTGCTTTTTGTTGTTGTTGTTTTTCTTTTTTTTTGAGATGGAGTCTCACTCTGTTAGCCAGGGTGGGGTACAGTGGCATGATCTCAGCTCACTGCAACCGCCGCCTCCTGGGTTCAAGCGGTTCTCGTGCCTCCGCTTCCCAAGTAGCTGGGATTACTGGGATTACAGGCATGTGCCACCACGCCTGGCTATTTTTTGTATTTTTAGTAGAGACGGGGTTTCACCATGTTGGTCAGGCTGGTCTCAAACTCCTGACCTGAGGTGATGCACCCACTTTGGCCTCCCAAAGTGCTGGGATTACAGGCATGAGCCACGGCACCCAGCCAATGTTACATATTTTTTTAACCACTTGATTTCTCATGGAGAAGAGATATCAAAATCTCTGACAATTGTATTTCTTTTCATTAACATTTGCTTTTTCTTTACATATTTTACCATTATATTATTCAATGAATTAAAGCTTATAACTCATATTTTAGTGTGATTTTTTCATTTTGATTTTAAAAAGCCCTTTGCCTCATTTTAAGTTTTACTTTTCTTAACTCAAATTATACTTAGTATACTTTCTAATTAGTTTGTCAATGTACTCATTGACAACTGAGTACAACTGATATATTTATTAGTATATCAATTGATATATGCTTCTAAAGTGATTGAAACATTTGATCTTTTCAGTAGCATTAAAAGTTTTCCTAAAAATATTTCTTACCGTTTTTCAATGGCTTCCTTCAAACTGTAGCCTAACCACAGTCTGTGACAGCATTACATATGATGAATTAATGAGATCTGAATTCCATAGTATAAATGTTGTAAAGAAGAATGCGGAATATCTTTATGTGCTCAGTATTTAGGAAGCTGCCTAACTGGACTAGAATAGTTCCAATTTAAATTGGTGGATTTTCAAAAATTTTGGCCATTCGATTAATGACAAAGTTTTTGGAATAATTTAAACTCTTTAAGCAAGGGATAGGTGTACTCACTCATCAAAACATCTACACGAGGTACGTATTATTATTATTATAACATTTTAGAAAGGAGGAAAGAGATTAAATTACTTTCCCAAGGTAATATAGCCAGGCTTCAAACCCACACAGTAAAAACATCTTACAGCTTGTGGTTTTATTTCCACAACTATGTTAGAGAGAGAGAGAGGCCTGCAAATAAAAACTTCAAGTGCTGATTTTACCTAGAACTCTGTAAAATGACTTAACATAGCATTGATTGTCACCTGTGGCTGGGTGCCCAGTGGGAGTACCTAGACATCTGCAGTGGAAGTTGTTTTGACAGCTTCAGGAGTATTAGAAGACAGTCCTTTTGGCAGGCCTGGTGACATTATTACAGAGAACAATAGAAGAAGTGACAGTGATGAGAGGCTCTTACAGCTGAGGTTTGACAGGATGTCTCATTGAAGAGGCTGTTGCAAGAAAGTAAGATAACAGCAGCTGTGGGGGTAGGAGAAGAGATTCAGTTGTGAATTCAAGTGCAACCCCCAACCCACTCACTTACCCTGGAGACTTGCAATGTATATGATAGACTGTGCAGAATGCCTGACGCTACATGGAGTGATGGAGTTGAAAGCAGAAAATTTTGCATATTCCTTGACAAATAGTCCTACTTTTGCCTCTGGTATGGTCTAGAGAATAGACAGTATTCCTCTACCAAGACAGAGAAGCTGTGTCGAGGGGGCAAAGTTGATGTAATTTGGCAAGAATTACCTTCATGACATCAAGGGATTGATTTGCACAGCCATAATTCATTCCTGGGCTGCAATGCTCTATGATAGCTGAAATCCAGTTATCCTTATTTTGAGTCAGTTGGTCCTTTGACTGAAGCCAAACTTCAAATGATGAAAACTTAACGGGGCTCAGAGAAAAGCTAATGTAGGATTTAGAAAGATCCACTCATGGGTTACACATCATCGTTTTTCATGGATGATTACTAAATTAGTCAGAGCAAATATCTATAATTTTACTTGCAGAGTCACAGCCCTAGCTCTGCCAAGTACCCTGAGCTTTGTGTGATCTGAGGGACAGCATACATAGCCTTGGTGCAGTCACCAGGGGTGACCACAGAATTCCCTTATTCCAGGTGACACTGACCTTCAAATTAAAACAAGCCTCTGTCTTAATGGCTAAAATTGGTGAGAAATGGAACCAAAGTTTTTCCGATTTTGATAATGAAACACTGTAGGAGTAACCAGGCAAAAACAAAATTAAAAAGGTGACTTTCAATAGTACAAAAATTAGATTTGCTTCAAACTCATGCAATATTGAATGTCCGTCAATAGTACGAAAAGACTATATTCGATCTATTGCCTTTTACAAGTGGAGTCTTTAGGAGACAATTTTTCGTACACAAAGCCTTAGAAAACAGCTACTACGTACCCTTTCTGAAAAAGAAAGAAAAATATTTTACTCAATAGAAAAATGAATCAAAATTTACAAGTCAAGGCCAGGTACAGTGGCTCATGCCTGTAATCCCAGCACTTTGAGAGGCTGAGGTGGGTAGATCACTTGAGGTCAGGAGTTTGAGACCAGCCTGGCCAACATGGTGAAACCCTGTCTCTACTAAAAATACAAAAAATTACCCGGGCGTGGTGATGGGCACCTGTAATCCCAGCTATCTGGGAAGCTGAGGCAGAAGAATTGCTTGAACCCGGGAGGCAGAGGTTGTAGTGAGCCCAGATGGCGCCTCTGCACTCCAGCCTGGGCGATGGAGCGAGACTCCATCTCAAAAAAAATATTCGCGAGTCAAGATAGTTTTGTGACATGTAAGAACTGATGAGTGCAGGAATAATGTGTAAAGTTGACTAAAGTGTTGTAAGCATAACTGCAAAACTGGGCACAGATGTAAAAACTGTCTGTAAATGTTTATTTATAAATTTTATATATATGTATGTGTATAGTTGAAAGTAATGCATAATCATAGTGAATAATTTGGGGAATCAGAAAATTCAATTACAAAATAAGAATATAAAAATATATTTTATATAAAATGTAGAAACTTTTTATATAAATATAAAATTAAAATACTAAAATATTTAAAATTTATCTGCTCTTCTACCTCTGAGAGAAAATTCTAAAGATTTCAGTGTATTCTCTCTCTACATATATGCATGTGTACAAACCATACTATATAGGCACATTTTATTCTTATACTTTAAAAACAATAATGGCACTTTGGGAGGCCAAGGAAGGCTGATCACTTTGAGGTCAGGAGTTCGAGATCAGCCTGTCCAACATGGTGAAACCCTGTCTCTACTAAAAAATATACAGATTAGCTGGGCGTGGTGGTGTGCTCCTGTAGTCCTAGCTACTTGGGAGGCTGAGGCATGAGAATTGCTTGAACCTGGGAGGTGGAGGTTGCAGTGAGCGGAGATCACGCCACTGCAGTCCAGCCTTGGCGACAGAGTGAGACCCTGTCTCAAAATAATAACAATAATAATAATAATAAAATGGATCAAAATTTATATTCTTAAATTCAAAAAACATGATTATTTCAGCTTTTTTTTTTTTGGCTGTGATGTCTAACATAGATGTAAATCTCTTTTACAGTTCTGTGTTGGATAGAGTACTGAATGTGGGACTAGTTGGTGTAAAGGTATTGTCTTTATGAAGCTTTTGATAAAAATTTTTAACTAATTTGCACAATCTTCATCTGTGAATGAGAGTACCAGTCTCACTATGTCATCAATAGCAATACTTATCCTCAAAAAATATAACTTTTCCATTTTAAAGACATTATATTTTATTCCATTTAGCACCTGTGTCATCCACAGAAATTCAAGTCAGGGCTTTCTCCCTGGAATAAATGTGGCTAGTGAAGGAGGCAAGGAGTCATGTTCTATTTAACTACAGTATCTGAATAGACTATGTCTACATCTTAATGGCACCAACCCCTCAACCATACCATCCCCACTGTCTATCGCCCCTGCACACTACTGTGCCCCTATATTGTCTGTCTTTCTAGTTCTGAGCAACTGTCATATTCTTACACCATCTACCTACCACATAGACTGGAACAAAGTAAGTTAGAGCTTGGGTTAGAGGCATGGTATATTCACTGCTCTTCATTGACTAACATTCTCTTACTATTTGCTAACTTGAAACAGAGCAAATTCTTAATGGTTAGTACATTTGATTTAACTTCCTTGATAAAGTAAAGCTTAATAACATTAGAAATTAAGACACTCTTATAGTCATCAGGAGCTGATCAGTACACAGTTACTTTGACTTATCACAATACTAGCTGTATATTAGCAAATTGTTCCTGCTTTTTTCTCTTCATCTCTCAAGGTGGAATAAATAACTGTAAGAAACTTCATATATATAAAACACTGATGTTTATTATTTGTATTTCTTTGAATAGATGAATTTCAGAATGTTCATATTTTATTAGGTATTTGTAATTCTGTGAATTTTTGTATCCTTTGCTCTATTTCCTATTGGAATTTCTCTTTTTTTCCCCTTATATAAGCTCTTGTGCACTATATGTAGTAGCCAGTTCAAATCCCTAACCAATACGTACCCTTAAATTCTGTTTGGCAAATAATAGTTCTACCTTATTTCTCATGTTTATGTGTGAACTCTATTTGTGTAAGATTCCTGGTTATTTTTTAACCCATTTCTTTCAAAGGGAGAAGAAGCATTGTAATCCAATTGATGAGTTTGGGAGCACAATCTTGGGCATATATAGCCTGACCCCCTTTTCAAGTTTTTTCTTTGGCAGCAAACTTCCCCACAGTGAGACAAGAGGCATAAGTTGTTTTTTGCTCTTTTACACTGTAAGTTCATCAGAGGCAGACACCATAAGGGAAGGCCTGAGTCACTCTAAGACTGCCTGTGCATGGATGGATATATCTGCCTAACTTAGGGGACCCATGTTAGTAAATTCACCTGCCCACCACTGTCCAGCAACATTCTACAACCTCAGTTTAATAATGATAAAGATGATATTTTGGCCTCTATCCTATTGACTCATCTTCTTTATTGTTCATTTGGTTCAGAAGTTGACCAGAGTAGAGGTGTCTTATTTATTGAGCCCCTGAATTCCAATTATTTGTTGTTTGCTTCTTAACGATGTTTTTATAATACAAAATATCTTAATATTTGTAAAGTCAAATCTCTTGATGCTTTCTTTTATTCCTCACATTGATTTTATTCTTAAAAAATATTTCCCCAAGTCAAGATCATTCAGATTTATCTATATTTTTATCCACCTATTGCGTAGTTTGGTTTTTGTTGTTCAAATCCATGTGGAATCAGTTTTTGTACATGATGTGAGGATTTCTTTTCTGAATAGTTAAGAAAGCATCCTGCAATCAGGCAGGAGAAATAAATAAAGGGTATTCAATTAGGAAAAGAGGAAGTCAAATTGTCCCTGTTTGCAGATGACATGATTCATGATTATATATCTAGAAAACCCCATTGTCTCAGCCCAAAATCTCCTTAAGCTGATAAGCAACTTCAGCAAAGTCTCAGGATACAAAATCAATTTTGCAAAAATCACAAGCATTCTTATGCACCAATAACAGACAAACAGAGAGCCAAATCATGAGTGAACTCCCATTCACTATTGCTTCAAAGAGAGTAAAATACCTAGGAATCCAACTTACAAGGGATGTGAGGGAGCTCTTCAAGGAGAACTACAAACTACTGCTCAATGAAATAAAAGAGGACACAAACAAATGGAAGAACATTCCATGCCCATGGAGAAGCAGAATCGATATCGTGAAAATGGCCATACTGCCCAAAGTAATTTATAGATTCAGTGCCATCCCCATCAAGTTACCAATGACCTTCTTCACAGAATTGGAAAAAAACTACTTTAAAGCTCATATGGAACCAAAAAAGGGCCCGCATTGCCAAGATAATCCTAAGCCAAAAGAACAAAGCTGGAGGCATCATGCTACCTGACTTCAAACTATACCACAAGGCTATAGTAACCAAAACAGCATGGTACTGGTACCAAAACAGAGATATAGACCAATGGAACAGAACAGAGCCCTCAGAAATAATACCACACATCTACAACCATCTGCTCTTTGACAAACCTGACAAAAACAAGAAATGGGGAAAGGATTCCCTGTTTAACAAATGGTGCTGGGAAAACTGGCTAGCCATATGTAGAAAGCTGAAACTGGATCCCTTCCTTACACCTTATACAAAAATTAATTCAAGATGGATTAAAGACTTAAATGTTAGAACTAAAACCATAAAAACCCTAGAAGAAAACCTAGGCAATACCATTCAGGACATAGGCATGGGCAAGGACTTCATGTCTAAAACACCAAAAGCAATGGCAACAAAAGCCAAAATTGACAAATGGGATCTAATTAAACTAAAAAGCTTCTGCACAGCAAAAGAAACTACCATCAGAGCAAACAGACAACCTACAGAATGGGAGAAAATTTTTGCAATCTTCTCATCTGACAAAGGGCTAATATCCAGAATCTACAAAGAACTCAAACAAATTTACAAGAAAAAAACAACACCATCACAAAGTGGGCAAAGGATATGAACAGACACTTCTCAAAATAAGACATTTATGCAGCCAACAGACACATGAAAAAATGCTCATCATCACTGGCCATCAGAGAATGCAAATCAAAACCACAATGAGATACCATCTCACACCAGTTAGAATGGCGATCATTAAAAAGTCAGGAAACAACAGATGCTGGAGAGAATGTGGAGAAATAGGAACACTTTTACACTGTTGGTGGGACTGTAAACTAGTTCAACCATTGTGGAAGACAGGATCTAGAACTAGAAATACCATTTGACCCAGCCATCCCATTACTGGGTATATACCCAAAGGATTATAAATCATGCTGCTATAAAGACACATGTACACATATGTTTATTATGGCACTTTTCCCAATAGCAAAGACTTGGAACCAACCCAAATGTCCATCAATGATAGACTGGATTAAGAAAATGTGGCACATATACACCATGGAATACTATGCAGCCATAAAAAAGGATGAGCTCATGCCCTTGGTAGGGACATAGATGAAGCTGGAAACCATCATTCTCAGCAAACTATCGCAAGGACAAAAAACCAAACACCACATGTTCTCGCTCATAGGTGGGAACTGAACAATGAGAACACTTGGACACAGGAAGGGGAACATCACACACCAGGGCCTGTCATGGGGTGAGGGGAGGGTGGAGGGGGGAGGGAAAGCATTAGGAGATATACCTAATGTAAATGATGAGTTAATGGGTGTAGCACACCAACATGGTGTATGTATACATATGTAACAAACCTGCACGTTGTGCGCATGTACCCTAAAACTTAAAGTATAATAATAAAGATTTTTAATAGCCATTATATAGAAATTAAATCACTTGATTTTTGTATATAGATCTTGTATCCTGTTTTGAAAAAAAAAAAAAGAAAAGATCCTGGTGCAACTTTTCCAAATAATCCTTTCTATTCACAAAATTGTGATAACTTTATCATATACCAAATATGTATGTATATGTTGTATATACACGCACACACAACACATACATAATGGTACATGACATATATAGACATATATATATATACATACATGTACACACAGATATATGTGTATATATGCATGTAAGTGTGTGCATACATATTAGTATATGTCATTTTTCTGGGCTATCAATCATACATGCTGTTGGTTCTTTTGCCAAAGTTTTATTTTACAAATTACCATAGCTACATTTTTTTAAATCAGGTAACAAAAGTTCTACTTTGCAAGGTCTGATTATGAGGATACATGTTATGATAAAATACCATCTTTCAACAATCAAGTTTGTAAGCAAATATTTAAATGAATTTTCCAGAATAAACTTTTATGTAACTGTGATCTTTAAACATTGCTCACGTGTATGAGGAGTGAGAAGCCTGATGCCTGTGAGTCAGGCTGTGGACTGTACTATGGCTCGTGCCACCAGCTGGCCTATTGCATGACAGAGAATGGTCTCCACAAGTCACAAATTACATCTGTTTATGCTTCTATTTGTTAGACAATCTGGCACCGGGAACAGCTGAGCAGAAGGATTTGAAAACAGCTTGTTTGATTGATGTATCTAGAGTTATCTCTAAATCCAAATAAAATGTTAAGTGCTATCAAGAAATCATAAATCAGGCATGTCTCTCTTTGAGCTATGAGAAGTTCTTGCTAAAGCTTTTATGACACCCATTTGAAAGAAATACAATTGGCTTGTATTCAAAATAGGATTTAGGCCTGTGTGTACCACACGATTAATTAGGTCACATTTTTAACCCGATTCAGCTGTGAGATAGCACAGGGCCTAGCATGTAAGTCATGGTGATGGAAAAGGTTGGAACTAGGGTTTTCAACCAGGTAAGAGAAATGTAGAGAGCATCAGGTACAAATGCAGAAGGTGGTTGATACTAATGAGTATGTTCGAAGAGTAGTTGTGATCAATGACCTCTGTTTACGGGGAGCAAGACGCCAATCAGAACAGGCAACAACACAGGGAAGCTGAGTGCCAACTACTAGGACATCACTTTGGCGGGATCCCAGCACTGAATCTTCATCAGTTATGACAAGAAAATTTTACATGCTTATGTCTGTGAAAACTCTAAATGCCCAGGAGACAGTAGAAATGCACTTTTTCATTAAGCAAAACTTTTGGGGAAAAAAAAAAATTCCAGGCCAGGCACTGTGGCTCATGCCTGTAATCCCAGCACTTTGGGAGGCCAAGGTGGGAGGATCACTAGAGCCCAGGAGTTCAAGACCAGCCTGGACAACACAGCAAAACCCACATCTATACATTTAAAAAAAAAATTAGCTGGGCATAGTGGTGTGCTCCTGTAGTCCCAGCTACTCTGGAGGCTGAGGCAGAAGGATCACTTGAGCCCAGGAGTTCGAGGCTAGAGTGAGCTATGATTGTGCCACTGCACCAGCCTGGGCAAGAGAGGGAGGCACTGACTCAAAAAACAAAAACAAAACATTTCTGTATGTGTTGTATTAGGTGTTGCCAATTAATATCAGCTCTGCCTAACTTAGGCTGAAAAGGAATTACTAGAAGACTGTTGTGAAGTTTATAGTATCAACAGGAAGGCTAGAGAATAAAACTTGAAAAAATGGGTAAAAGCCAAGGAAAGCTAGGTGGGAGGCACAACAGTTTAGTCAAAGTCATGCCTAGGAGCAGATGGGCTCTGGTGACATCTTGTCACCAATACTGCTGCTCCAGACTCGGCTGCTGCTGTGCACCATGACAGTGAATGTATTCTCCAGTGCCTTTTTGCTTTGGCTTGACTTACTCAAGAGTCAATGCCATGGTCAGGAGCATCCCATTGGCTGATCCTGGTCACGTGCCCACCTGGCTTTGCCTGCAAGGGGAAGAGATCTGGAACCGTCAGCTTCTTTAATGTAAGGCTGGATTTTGACTTCTTCTCAAGTCCCCAAGTGTGGGAGGGGAGAAGTTCTGGATGTTAAGTAGCAAAAAGTACACACACACAAGCATACGCACACAAACATATATATACTATAACTGAAATTTTAACATTTTGAATACTTATTACTCACGTAATAAAATTTTGTTTCTTTTTTTTATAATAATTTACTTTTATTTTTCTTAAGGTCTATTTTTTCCACTTTTGATGAAAGAGTCTCTTCTGTTCATTCATTCTTTTGTTAAAGGCCTAATACATCTCCCTATAAGTAGGATGCCTGGATTCCCCTTATATTTTCCCATACTTCACTTGAGTCTTCATAATGAAGCCTAATCTCTAACTCCTTCATCCAGTAGCCCAGATTGAGTGCATAGTGATCTGGGGCCGTAGGTAGTCCTGGCAGGTACATCTCATTTCAGGAGAGTTTTTCATCTGTGTCTCTCAACACTTACCTAACGGTGCGAAATCATTTATGGCTGTACCCCATTCCTGGTGCAGTATATGAAAAACTATGAGAACCGAATGAAAATGTGCCTCCTGCAGGAGATCGTTCCTCACCTGCCTTCATCAACCCCCAGTTTTAGCATTCTGAACAGTTAGTGACCTAGACCTTGACAAAAGTTTTCCAATGTCACCCTTGCCAGCAGCCAGTGACTTGATAAAGCCATCTATGGCCCAGACCTCATGGGATAGCTACTCCTGAATCCCGTTACACTCTCCCTAGGCAGCTACAGCACTGAAATCTGGTGAGCAGGCAGCCTCTGCCAAAGGCCCTCAAAGAACGAGATTTTCCTCTGATTGGGTGGTCCATTACTTATCCAAGTCCTAGACTAGATAAATAATGGTATCTATGACGTTCAAAATCTCTTGTTAATTTTTGAAAGGTTCTGCTTTCTAAGGTAAGTGATTTGCAAGCCAGTCCTGCTCAGCCTTCTTCATACATGTCTCCTCTGCCCTGTAAGTAACAGAAATTCTAGCATTTGGATGGTTCCCTAGTTTCTGATGTGAATGTAGTCATTTCACCATTTTCTGGGTGATTTCACTAGTTACTGGGGGAGAACATGTAAAATATCTGTCTGTTGTCAACTGGCCACTTTCCTCCAGAACGCAAACCGATACCAATTTGTTCTCTGATTTTATTTCACCTCTTTGAATCCTTGTCTCATGACTTGCACTTGGCATTCAGGGAAAGGTACAAGGGAAAAACAGACTAGGCCAGAAAAGACATGGCATGTATCTCTCAGATCCTGACATCTTGTAGGCTGTTTTCTGTGAGCTCTGCTGCTCTCCCTGCCTTCACATCTACCCAGTTAACAACTGCTTAGTTCAAGCACTGTCCTCTCTTTGTGGGGCGGGGTGGTCATCTCAGACTGCCCCCATGATTGCCTAACTCCTGTAAGTGCCCATACTCTGTTCTCCCAAGAGCTCTAAACATGCCTAACACTTATTGCACTCTCTCATAGTTGTTGATATAGTCACCCATCTCCCTAGCCAGACTGTGAGTTCTCTGGTAGAGACTAATCCACCTGTCACCGCATTCCTGGCGTCAAGTTCAGTTAGTTAAATGAATAAATAGGTTTGGAAAAGAGATGGGAAAGAAAAGAAGAAAACAATTTATTAGAATATCTAGATTTTTTTCTAAATTGGTAACATTCAAGATTAATCATGCTTTGACAGTTTGGAAGAACAAAAGTGAAGAATAAAGAAAGAACTAAACTGTGATACTGATAGCCTTATTGTTTCTGCTCTGTTAAAAGTATAGTACATGTGT
This sequence comes from Homo sapiens, assembly GCF_000001405.40. NCBI lineage: Eukaryota > Metazoa > Chordata > Mammalia > Primates > Hominidae > Homo > Homo sapiens. Next base: position 110,650,770 of record NC_000009.12, read on the forward strand.
TGGAAGTGAACTTACTGATTGTGAATAACTAATAATAGAAAATAATGATAGAAACATATCTTCTGATGACAGTTTCTGTATAATTCCCATTTCTTTATAATAAATACACTGTTCTTCAGTGGTAGAAAAACTAATTGTTCGCTGTGAAAATGCTACCCATTAGCATCACTGTTCCTAAACAATATACAGTCTTCTCTTATATGGCTCTCAGCTGCACGCTGCCTGGAAGATACTTTAGACATGAGCCAGCTTTTTACATATAACAAATGCCCAGTAAGAGGCACTTAGAATTCCAGTTGGACTGAACTTGCCCCTTCTCCAGAGGGCACATAAATGAATACATACAAGGAAATCCCCTCCCATCATGCACACACATATGCCCGCACGCAATCCTCGGAGCAGCTGTGTTATATTATAAATTGGAGGCCTTTTGTTAGTTCAGATGTTTCAGGTCTGCAAAGGCACTCTGGAGAAGAAATAAATATTATGAGTAAGTCTCGTTTCCATGCTTGTAGTGGGGAAATACTTTCCAGCACAGTTTACTACGGTTTTATACTAAAACAATCTCGTAAAACAATACCAGCATTACTCACTCAGCACATGACTGCTAAGACAAGAATGGTGTCTGTTTTATTCCCTAAATATTCAAAACATTATTTCATTCAGACTCTGTCCCAGATAGACTTTCTTTTCAGTAAAACTAACCAGAATAATCATGGATTGTGTGCTCACTAAATCTATTATTCTTTTTTTAATATAAAATAATTCGTCTTTTTTCCCACTTTACCAAATATTGCATATTTATAAAACTTCACCAATAAGAGAGATCCAATACAAGCATTTAAAGGAAAGGCAGCTTGGAGCTGGGTGGGAGCTCAATCTGGAATCCAGGTCATTCCATTTAAGGATCTGGTCTTCTGCTTTGAAGGCTCAGGATCTGAAGTTGCTTATAAGCTTGGTAACAAGAAGAGAAGGTACTGGAGATAGGTATAAATGCACATTTATTAATTTATAAGGGGAGAGGACTCATAATAATCAGTATACTAAAAGTCTACATAATAAGTGCATTCTCCTCTTATTGTCAAACTATACATGAAGCCAACTGATAAGATTTTATTAAATATGAAGTCAGAATAAGGGTACACAGAGAAATTTATTTTAATGGCACTGGCCTAAGAGAGATATATTTATCTCCCTATGAGATCTTGTCAAAGGGATTAGAAACACTTTGCCATGCTCTTACCAAAGCCTGGCACATTCTCCCACCCCCATTCTCTGCTTACTTTTAGTAATCCATTTAATCTTAGCTTAATTATCACTTTCTTAGAGAAACCATTCCTAGTCTTCTTATCTAAGAAGGGGCCCTGATGTATACTCCAGAGCACTCTGTAATTTTCTTTTGTAACACTTGTCTCAATCTGTAGCTCTACATTTATTTGTTGTTTTAAGTTTTGTCTGCCTCTAGATTGTAAGCTCCAGGAGAGCACGCGTATTTGTTTTGAGCTCTACTATTCTCAGCATCTAGCACAGTGCCTGGCATAGCTAGGAGCATTCAGTACACATTTGTTGAATGAATACATGAATGTACAAGGTAGCGGCTGAGAGCACAGGTGCTGGATTCAGGCTTCCTTAATTGAAATCATCTCTCTGCTTCTTAATAACCACGTGAGGCTGCAAATTACAAAATTAGTTTCCTTATCTGTAAAATGAGAAAATGATAGTATAATACCTACCTCATAGGTATTATACCATCTAATGAGGATTAAATTCCAATGAGGATTAAATAATAGATACAAAATACTTGGAACAGTCAGTGATTGGCACAGAGTAAGCACTCAAGCAGAGTTAGCTGTTAATATCATCTTACAAAGAATAATTCTAAGAAAAGTCGAAAGCCTAATTTCTAAAACTCAGCTTTCTTGGGACGTTACTGGAATAGTACTATCAATACTAACCTCTGGAGATATTTATTTATGTTTCCAAGGTTTAATAGAACCACCTTTTTTATTATAAAATTCTTAAATTAAATAAGTGACTATTAAAACAGATTATACCAAAGCCCTTTCAGCATGAAATAATTTTTTTATTATACTTTAAGTTCTGGGATACATGTACAGAATGTGCAGGTTTGTTACATAGGTATACACATGTCATGGTGGTTTGCTGCACTCATCAACCCGTCAACTACATTAGGTATTTCTCCTAATACTATCCATCCCCTAGCCCCTCAACCCTTGACAGGCCTCGTGTGTGATGTTCCCCTCCCTGTGTCCATGTGTTCTCATTGTTCAACTCCCACTTATGAGTGAGAACATGCGGTGTTTGCTTTTCTGTTCTTGTGTTAGTTTTCACATGAAATATATTTTATCTTATTTTCACAATGTTTTGAATGTACTGATGTGTACTGATCTATTATGCATAGATTTCAGAACTTAACTCTGATGGCAACTGTGTTCTTATTTCCAAGTTGTTGGGAGGGACATCTCTGTAACAGTGAACTATGAACAACAATATTACAGGTGGAAATCATAAAATTTAGAAAGGAAAAAATAAGAACATAATAACTATATATATGTTCTATAACATATAACTATATAATAACTTTTTTATTTTATAAAAAAGAGGTGGTCATTATTGTATTTGTTTTATATTGTTGTAAGGGCTTTACTATGGGGCAAAACACCTTATTTAACAATTATATATTATTATGTTGTAAGGCAAATCTTGGTTGTTAAGTTGGCTGTATAGTTGTTAAGAGTCTTACTCTCTGGCTCATTCATTCAACATTTATTGAGTGGCTAATAGGGCTGGTTTATGACATTTTGGATTTGCACTAAAGCATGGTACAAACAAGATTCTGTTTTTTGATAAATTGGTATTTTGATCATCACAACTTTTATCAATTATTTTTTATGTATTACGTCTGTTATTTTCAATGACAAAATACTGACAACAATAATATATGAAAATGCATTGCTAAAATGACCAAAGTAAGGGCAACCACCCTTTTCAAATTTTCTTATCCTGTATATACCTGTAGTGCACCCTCTGGTCATTAGCTGTAGCTGCTACTCAAAGAGCTTATTTTCATTCACAATTGAGCATCTTTTACCTGGAATTAAAATATTCATTTCAAAACATCTTCTTTTCTTTCCTTTGAGGACATTATAATACTTAATCCTAAATCGGGACTTTAGGAAGTGGCTTTCTATATTTGAGCCTTAATTTGTTCACCTTCTCACTTGTTGGAATCTCCATCCTTTTATTTTCTCACATAGGGGCTCTGCTGTTTTCAGTCCCTAAGACAAGGTTATATCCTGTGTCCACATGAATATCCCACAGATTAAACTAGTGCACTGTCCTCAGAATTGAATCAAACTCAAATATCTTGTACAATTACTCATCTGTTATTCACTTTCTCCTTATCAAACAAAAAGGACTTATAAAAACTATAATTTGTATACTTGAATTATCAATTATAGAGAGATGTGTTAAAAATCTTCCACAATGGTTATAGATTTGCCATTTTCTCATAGTAATTTTATAAACTTTTCTTTATATTTTATAATGACTATATTATTAGGTACACATACCTACAATATATGATAGCAGGTCAAGAATAGACATTAATGAAACACAATGTATATGTATAAAGCATATTTATTATTCCACTCCCACTTATGTGCTCATGAGAGACATCAGTAATTAATCACAGCACTCCATTTTGATCCTAAAGTTGTTCCAGAATATGTTTTAACACAGTGCCCTGTGCAATCATCTTAGTTGTCACTCAAGGTAATTCCTGTTTGCCTTTCCTTGCCCCACCTTATTTTCTTGAAAAATAGAATGTACTAAAAAGGTGGGATTTGAATATCCCATCAATGGGGATGAACATTATAAAATATTACTCAATACATGGTATTGGAACAATTGATACTTTTAAAAAATGATGTCATGTTTCAAACTTTCATCATATGCTAAAAAATCAATTGAAACAATTAATGTAGATATAACAAACTTTTAGATGGTCTAGAAGAAGATATAGGTGATTATCTTTTCTTGAGATCCAGAGACCTTTTATGAACATATAAGCAGAGGCTAGCGAGAGGGCATACAGAAAATCTCTGGTAAATTAGGCTTCATAAAAGTTAAAATCTTCCTTCTTTCAATCATAAAAAGCAAATGGAACAAATGAGGAAAAGGTAGGCAGTGTATGTAATACTAAAAGTTCTTAATATATAGTGATTTTATAAATTAAATAAGAAAAAGCTATTCTAGGTGAAAAATGACTAAGAACAAAATCACACAATTTGAAAAAGAAGTATTAATGGTGAATATGCATACTACAAAAGGTTAAATCTGACACTAACACAAAATAACACAAGATAATTTTTTTCCTGTCAATTTATCATAGTTCAAAAATAACAATGTCATGATATAATGTACATTGTTGAAAATATCTGAAAGGAAATTTGGAAACACAGATCAAGAAACTCATAAATATTCACAGACTTTGATTCAGTAACTCCATTTCTATTTTCACCTGAATGCCATAGTTTGAGGATTGCATATGAAAAGAATGGATGAGATGTTGACATTTTCTTCCTAATGATTAGAAATTGGAAGTAACTAAAGTAGGTGATTACACAGATTAGAGTATACCTATATATTGGAAGAAAATGTATAATAACCAATTATAGTAAAATGTATAAAAATGTGCAATGTACATAAAATCCCATTTAACACATTTTCTATGTATATATGTAATATGAAAGAAGATGAGAAATAAATGCACAAACATGGTAATAATATTTGTTTCCTAAGTCTTGGCACTACTGAGAAATGATCGTTGTTTTTGTTTTTGTTGTTCTTAACCTTTTATGGTTCTTTTCTTCTTATTATTTTACAATAAACAACTGTAATCAGAAAAATATTTTTTAAAAAGAAAATGTGAGGGAACAAATAGTGCCTAAAAATCATATCAGTTTATTGCAGTCCCCAAGTATTTCCTAATCTGGAAAGATACAACCAACAACTGTTTCATTAGGCTATTGCCAAAGAAACATCTAAAAGTTACTTCACTGATGAAGACAGAAAACCACAGAAAATTTCTTCCTGGGTACATATTGTAATAACACATAAAAGCCTGTGTAAATCACAGCTCAAAATTACCAGGACTTTCCCTAGTCAACACAGTTCAATCCAGCCACTGCCCTGGGCTAACTTAGAGGAACCTCTAGTCTGGTCCGTAAGCCACACACCCAGGCTTTGAGAAAGGGCCAGAAACATAGCTGGTTTGCTTTCCTAATCCTGGTGATGACCAGGACGTTATAAAAATAAGTTTTATCTCTGGGTGTATATTTTTATTAAATTAAATCTCCTGAGAGCATCAGAGTTATGCATAGACCATATTTATTAATCTTGCATCAGCTCTAAGTGATTGTTTTAAAAATAGGCTATGAATAAATTGACACGTCATACTGATTCAGTCGTGCAGCATAGTTTTCCTAGCATAATTTGGTGCTGCTGAGCTTCTGGGGGACTACCCTGAAGGATTCTCTTTCCTGAGGTGATATATTTTGCAAAAGGGGAAAATTATTTTCCAGGTAGCCATGACATTAGCATTACACATTTCTGAGCCTTTATTTAGCCAGTATCGTCACTACAACTGTACTGCACTATTTATAGATGATGCTAGAAGATTCCGTTATTGTATTCAATCACACACAGAACCATTTTCATACTGCATGTGCCACTAGTAATTGTTGCTAGTTAAGGAGTAGGGAGAGTTGATTGTATTCATTTTCTTATCTTTCAATAACCTGGCAAGAAAGAGGAATAGAAATTTTGGGAAGAAATTTGCAAAGCTACTTTAAATATAGCGTTAGTAGTTTGAATACATTATGCTTTCATTTTCTGAAATAGGGATTCTGTAAGTGAAATTAAATCAAACTGAAATTAATAGATGCAGAGCTCTCCTAAGGACTTGTCATGTGAAATGTTGTCTATAACCCTTTTTTTTTGTGCTCATATCAACCCTTAAGTCTGCAATACGAATTACTGCTGTTAAGGTCACTATCTGGCCAAATCAGATGGATACTTCCCATATCTAGACCCCCTCACCCTCTCAGCAGCATTTAACCAATTTGATCTCTCTCTCTTTGGGAACTTCCTTCCCCTTCTTCTCACAAGAATGCACACACCTGGATTCCTCCAACTTCTCTGGCGATAGTTTCTTACTCTCTTTTGTTTTACTAACTTGCTCTTCTTCCTCAATACAGCCTCTATGGGTTGGTATTACTAAGGTAAAATCCTGGGCCCTTATTTTTGCTCCACCTATTTCATGACCACATGCTACCCCATGGTTAAACATCAACCTGCTGTAAACTCCCAAATTTATATTCAAGCCCAAACTTCTTTTCTGAGGTCCAGATGTAAACCTGACCTGCTTACTAGACATTTTGATTCAGATATCACAGAGGTATTCCAAACTTAACGTCTAAATTCAAAATCATGATTAAGAAACTTTTCCTCTTTAAGCTTTTTCTTTTCCAATTTTCTGCCTGTTAGATCACACCACACTGATTGTTATTTAGTCCAAAAATCTGGGCATCATTTTAATTCCTCTTTCCATCTCAACTAATCCCAACCTTCTAACATCCCAGATGGAAGCAGCAGTCTTTTTATAACTTAATCTCAGTAGCAACACATCAATACTTCTTCTGTATTCTATTCATTAGACATGAGTCCTCAAGTCCAGTCCACCATTAGGGCAGCTTGACGGGGACTGCCTGTCATCCTTCTGCAGTGCTCCAAGCCTTGCCAAGCACTTCTCTCCTCACATAGCCACATGGCCTGGTGGATGCAGTTGTCAATGTTTCTTTTGGATTCTAGTGTCTGGCATGGCCCTAGCAATGATCTGCTGAACTGGATTGAAATATAGCACTCTAAGCCATGGTAAGAACATATAAACAGTACTAATGGCTGGGACTAAACGGAGAAATAAAACTCATACAATGGGATGTTTCCTTTGGAGGTGATCTAGTTCACTGTTTTCCTATTTTTTCCACAGTGTACCAAAAACAGATCTAGCATTTTTGTGTAATATACAGTAGGATCTGGAACACTCCAGTTATTATAATAAAGAAGGAGGAAGAGGACAGGCAGAGAGAAATGGGGATGAGTTTGTCACCCTGGTAAGGGCTCAGATGATAGTTTTCAAGCTACTCTGTGTCTTTCTATAATACCTTTGGAAATTCTAGATGAAGTCTAAAATTGAGGGAGGCAGAAGAGATGAGGATGCAGAAGGGAGGCTTTCAGGACACTCAGCTACCAGTTGTATTATAAGAGGAACCAAGGAAAGAAATTGCTTACCACCTCCTTCAAGACACCAAATGATAAAGGCCAGGGAAGGCCCAAATAAAATTCACTCTTTTCCTGTACACAGAATATGCCCAGAATTCCTGCCCGCCATATTTTCTCTAATGAGCTGAATAAATAGCATAGATCCATTTTGCCCTACCAAAAGCATAGACTTTAAGTATCCAGCACTATGCAATTTCAGTCCTTTGGCTCCAGTGTTGAGTGCACCTCCAAACAATCATTTCCCTGAGTTGTAAAATGCAATTCTGTATCACTTAGAACACAGTTCTCTATGGCTTAGCATGGCTCTAAGAGGAAGAGAAAAAATAAGACCTAAGAGAATGAGCAAGGAAATCACTTGTAATGATTTCATTCCCCTCTTGAAGAATTCATCTCCAAGGCCTAAAATTCCTAGGGATATGATTTCATTTATTCCCTCTTTCATCATAAACTAGTGCTGCAGTACATCAGGAACTCTGCTAAGCATAGGAAATGCACAGATAAAAGACATAAAAATCAGTCTTCACTAAGTTCACATTCTTGCAAAGAGAGAGATGCAGGAACAGGTAAAGATTCTTTTGTAGAGTGTGTTGTGAGTTAGGTGCAGTGAGCAAGGTGTGGGAGCTCTCCATTAGAGCAAAGAAGAGGAAATCCCACTTGGACTGAGGCATCAAAAGGCACCTCTCAGGAAAAGTAAGAACCAGGTGTAGTCTTGAAAGACAGAGGTAATTAGCTAAAGATAAAAAGGAAGGGGAAATTCCCGTGGAAGGGAAGACATTAAAAGGCACAGAGGCTAGAAAGAGCATGGTAATGAAAAAATGCTCATCATCACTGGCCATCAGAGAAATGCAAATCAAAACCACAATGAGATACCATCTGACACCAGTTAGAATGGCAATCATTAAAAAGTCAGGAAACAACAGGTGCTGGAGAGGATGTGGAGAAACAGGAACACTTTTACACTGTTGGTGGGACTGTAAACTGGTTCAACCATTGTGGAAGACAGTGTGATGATTCCTCAGGGATCTAGAACTAGAAATACTATATGACCCAGCTATCCCATTACTGGGTATATGCCCAAAGGATTATAAATCATGCTGCTATAAAGACACATGCACACGTATGTTTATTAAGGCACTATTCACAATAGCAAAGACTAGGAACCAACCCAAGTGTCCAACAATGATAGACTGGATTAAGAAAATGTGGCACATATACATCATGGAATACTATGCAGCCATAAAAAGGATGAGTTCATGTCCTTTGTAGGGACATGGATGAAGCTGGAAACCATCATTCTCAGCAAACTAACGCAAGGACAAAAAACCAAACATCGCATGTTCTTACTCACAGATGGGAATTGAACAATGAGAACACTTGGACACAGGAAGGGGGACATCACACACCGGGTCCTGTCATGGGATGCGGGGAGGGGGGAGGGATAGCATTAGGAGATATACCTGATGTAAATGATGAGTTAATGGGTGCAGCACACCAACATGGCACATGTATACATATGTAACAAACCTGCATATTGTGCACATGTACCCTAGAACTTAAAGTATAATAAAAAAACTATATATATATATATATATATATATATATAAAAGAAAAAAAAAGAAAGAGCATGGTTATTTTAAGGACCTACAGTTATGCCCAAGAGCAAAGTGTGTGAAGAAGGGAAGACGAGGGAAGAGAGGGGAGAGGTGAACAGAGGTTTGACAGGCTATGCAGTGTGGAGTTTCTTTTAAAAAACCATGGAGAGTCAAAACATTTCAAACAGGACAACAATGCAGCCAGATTTATGTATTAGAAGGAGCTCTCTGACACTGGTGCAGAGAAATGACTGGCAGAGAGGCCCATTAGGGAGGGATCTGCTTTAGTAAACAGACAGTAAATTAATGAGGCCTTTAACTGAGGCAGAGAGTGTGGTGAGGAAGGGTTGAACTAGAGAGGCTTCACAATGTCAAACTGATAGGACTCATTAAACATGAGGTTCAGGAAACCAGATGTCAGGGATGATTCACAGCTTGATTGCTTGGGAAGCTGAGTAGAAGATGGTGATATTCACTGAGATCAGAGATGAAAGAATTCCCAGGTTTCAGGGAAGTTGATGAGTTTAGTATTAAGCATACTGGCTTAATTCCCCCTGGTACTTAGGGCACGTACTATCTTGGATAAATTTAATTAAGACAGACTCTTTGGTCAGTAGAAATTTCTATCTCAGATCTTGAGCAAGATGGAAAAAAGCTTTTGAAACAGATTTTATCAGCTCTAAAAGTATAATATCTTTCCAAACTGTCTCCCAGAACTCCCCATAATGACTTCTCCCTTGCATAGAGGGCAAGGAGGCGAACAAAAATGGATAGCATTTTATTTGAAGATAAGTTAGCTGTCTAGGATTAGCTATTTGCGTGATACTATCTTAACTTTAACAGCACTTTGACTTTTAGAATTCATGTTTTTTCAGGTCAATTTACAGACCTGCTAATTTTTTAAAAACAATTCTGAATTTATATACAATCCATAGTTTATCAAACATATTACATTCTTCTGCACGTGGCTATCCAGTTATCCCAACACAATTTATTGAAGAGACTATTAAACTCACCAATAGAAGGAAACACATATTCCCCAACTTTTTCCCCGTGCCTTCATGTATAAGGATTTTGAACAGAGTCCAATATCTGGATGAGTGTTGGTTTACAAAAGTATTTTAGCTCAATGAGGACAGTGAGCACCCATTATGGAGATATGGCCTGTAAAATGGCATTTTGTTTTAAAGTCTCTCACAGTGATGGGAAGAGAAAGCAAAGTTTAAAAGTGAGCGGTCCTCTTTTATCTCACTGTTAGTTCTAATTGAATATTAAACCATTTAAAGATTAATTTAATATATCTCAAAAGTTGAGTTTTGGTTTCTTGTGAGACGGGCATGTAGGTGACCAGATATACCAGTGTTTCCCAAGACAGAGATTTAATTCAGAGATACAGGTGTAGAATTCACATGCATATACCTGTTAACTAATGCTGTAAGTGTGGACACTGAAAAAAAAATGCCAATGACTTAAGCTTGGAGAAAACTAACATTTATTTTCTCCATGGAAGAAAAAGGATTTCATGAAAGAGAAAACAAAAAATAACAAGAAAAACAGGAAAGAGCCCGATTTAAAAAGCCAAGTGAAAAATGGCTTTTAAGTGAAAATAATTGGCCAGTATTTTCATATGTTTGGGAAAATATATGTAAAGCTATAGATCTAATAGATATATTCCTTCTCTCTCATACACATGTTTTTTCTGGTACTTTTAAAATCCCAAATTTTATTTTGGCGTAATATATGAGGTACAGATGTAATTGATTTTTTAAAATGGCTACCAAATTCACCTAATAAGTCATCTTTCCTCACTAATTTAAAATGCCGTCTTTATCATTCATTCAGTGTGCACTGACCTTCTACTTATAGCCTCATACCACAGGATTTTAATGTCATTACATTAAGCTATTATTAAACCTTTACAATACATTTTAACACTTGGTAGGCAAGTGATTCCTTATTTTTATAACGATGCCAAGAATACACAAAAATAGTCTCTTCAATAAAATTGTGTTGGGACAACTGGATAGCCACATGCAGAGAATAAAATTAGGCCCTTATTTTATATAAAAATCAACTCAAAATGGATTTGAGACTTAAACGTAAGAATGGAAACTGAAACTACTAGAATATAAATGGAAAAAGCTTTTTTTCCCACATTTTCCCTGATTATTTTTGCTTACTTTGTTTCTGTATATATGTTCTAAAATCAGCTTCCTAGTTTCCAAAATACGATTGGAATTGTATTAAGATTACCTTAAGTGTATAGGCTACACTATCTCAGGAGACAACAGTTCTGATAAAACTATGGTTTGCTATTTTTCTCCTTCGCAAACTGCACTAGGAGCAGGTTGGAGAAACTGAGTTGTAAATGAAAACCCACTACCAGTAGCTCCCCTTCACTATCTAGATCTCCAGCTCTAAGAAAGATGGCATGAACTAAGGCTGTGTATAGGGTAGATGTGAAATCGAGGTTCCGGTGGAGAGGGAAGTGTAGTCTCCTTTTTGTTAAGAAAGAAACAAAACCCCAAACTTACTTGCCCAATATCTTAGGCCCTGAAACACCAGGATAATTAGGTGCCCAAAAATTCATAATCATTATTTTTTATTCCTCCTAACTGCAATTTTGCATCCTTTCACCAACATCTCCCCAATACCCATTTCCCCTCCCCCAGTCCCTTGTAATCACCATTCTCTCTACTTCTATGATTTCAACTTTTTCAGATTCCACAGACAAGTGAGACCATGTGGTGTTTGTCTTTCTGTGTTTGGCTATTTCACATAACATAATGTCCTCTAGGTTCATTTATATTATCCCAAATCACAGGATTTTCTTCTTTTTAAAGGCTGAATAGTATCCCATTGTGTATATATATACACACACACATATATATGTGTGTATATATATATATATATATATATATATAGTACCACATTTTTGTTATTTATTTATCTAGTCATGAATATGTAGGTTGATTCCATACTTTGGTTATTGTGAATAATGCTGTAGTGAACATGGGAATACAGATATCTCTTTGACATACTGATTCATACTGATTACATTTCCTTTGAATATATATCCAGTAGTGGGATTGCTCTATTATATGGTAGTTTTCTTTTTAGATTTCTGGTAAACCTCCCCACTGCTTTCCATAATGGCTGTACTAATTTACATTCCCACTAACAGTATACAGGGTTCCCTTCTGTCCACATCCTCACCAACACCTGTTACCTTTCATCTTTTTGAAAATAGCCATTCTAACTGGAGTGAGATAATATTTCATTGTGGTTTTGATTTGTATTTCCCTGATAATTAATGATTTTAAGCATGTTTTCATATACCTGTTGGCCATTTGTATGTCTTTTAAGAAATGTCTATTCAAATCCTTTTCCCACTTTTCTTTAAGTGAATGAGGTCTTGCTATGTTGCCCATGCTGGCCTTGAACGCCTAGGCTCAGCATCCCGAGTAGCTGGGACTAAAGGGGTGTGCCACTGTGCTTGACTTCTTTGCCCATTTTAAAATTGGGTTATTTGTCTTTTTTTTTTTTTTTGCTATTGAATTGTCTGAATTCCTTATATATTTTGGATATTAACCTCATCAGGTGTATGGTTTGCAAATATTTTCTCCCATTCTGTAGATAGTGCCTTTACTCTGTTGATTGTTTCCTTTGCTGTGCAGAGGCTCTTCTGTTTAATGTAATCTCATTGGTCTATTTTTGCTTTTTATTGCCTGTGCTTTTGGGGTCACATCCAAAAAATCATTGCCCAGACCAATGTCATAAAGCTTTTTCCCTATATATTCTAGCAGTTTTAGTTTCCATTCTTACATTTAAGTCTCGAATCCACTTTGAGTTGATTTTTACATAAAATAAGGGCCTAATTTTATTCTTCTGCATGTGGCTATCCAGTTGTCCCAAAACAATTTATTGAAGAGACTATTTTTGTGTATTCTTGGCATTGTTATTAAAAATCACTTGATCATAAAGGCAGAGATTTATTTCTAGTTTCTGTATTCTGTTCCATTAGTCTATATGTGTGTTTCTATGCCAGTACTATAGCTTTATATTATACAGTCATTTATCACTTAACATCAGGGATATGTTCTGAGAAATGCATCCATAGTTCATTTTGTTATTGTGTGAACATCATAGAGTATACTTACAGAAACCTTGATGGTATAGCCCACTGCACACCTAGGCTGTATGGATAGCCTATTGCCCGTAGGCTACAAACCTGTCAGCATGTTACTACACTGAATACTGTAGGCAATTGTAGCACAATGGTACGTATTTGTGTATCTAAACATAGAAAACATACAGTAAAAATACAGTATAAAAGATAAAAATGGTACACCTGCATTGGGCACTTACCATGAACGAAGATTTCAGCACTGAAGTTTGCTCTGGGTAAGTCAGTGAGTGAGTGATGTGTGAATGTGAAGGCCTAGGACATTACTGTACACTGCTGTAAACTTTATAAATACTGTACACTTAGACTACGCTAAATTTATTTTTAAAATATTTTTCTTTCTTTAATAATAAATTAACCTTAGCTTACCACAACTATTTTATTTTATAAACTTTTAAAATTTGTAATCTTTTTGACTCTTTTGTAATAATACTCTGTTTGAAACACAAATATATTGTACAGTTATACAAAAATAGTTTTTCTTCATATCCTTAAGCTCTTTTCTATCTTAAAATTTTATTTTTATTTTTTACTTTCTAAACTTTTTTTGTTAAACACTAAGACAAAAACACACAATAGCCTTGGCCTACACAGGGTCAGGATCAAAACATCACTGCCTTTCAACAGCTTGTCCTACTGGAAGGTCCTCAGGGGCAATAACACACATGGAGCTGCCATCTCCTATGGTAACAATGTATTCTTCTAGAATACCTGCCTGAGGCTGTTTTACAATCAATTTTTTATTTATTTTTATTTTTTATGTTTTTAAATAAGTACAGGGTATACACAGTAAAATAATAATAAAAATATAGTACATTAAAAAAACCAGCAACATGGTCATTTATTATCATTATCAACTATTATGTACTCTACATAATTGTATGTGCTTTTTTATTCAAAAAGAAAATCATTAAGAACACAGCAATATTAATATTTATTCTTTTTTTTAGAAGAACCTGATTTATTTATTTAATTTTTTTATTATACTTTAAGTTCTGGGATACATGTGCAAAACGTGTAGGTTTGTTACACAGGTATACATGTGCCATGGTGGTTTGCTGTATCCATCAACCCATCATCTACATTAGGCATTTCTCCTAATGCTATCCCTCCCCTAGCCCCCCACCCCTTGACAGGCCCCAGTATGTGATTCTCCCCTCCCTGTGTCCATGTGTTCTCATTGTTAGCTCCCACTTATGAGTGAGAACATGTGGTGTTTGGTTTTCTGTTCCTGTATTAGTTTGCTGAGAATGATGGTTTCCAGCTTCATCCATGTCCCTGCAAAGGATATAAACTCATTGTTTTTTATGGCTGCATAGTATTCCGTAGTGTATATGTGCCACATTTTCTTTATCTAGTCTATCATTGATTGGCATTTGGGTTGGTTCCAAGTCTTTGCCATTGTGAATAGTGCTGAAATAAACATATATGTGCATGTGTCTTTATAGTAGAATGATTTATAGTCCTTTGGGTATATACCCAGTAATGAGATTGCTGGGTCAAATGGTATTTCTGGTTCTAATCCTTGAAGAATTGCCACACTGTCTCCCACAATGGTTGAACTAATTTACACTCCCACAAACAGTGTAAAAGCATTCCTATTTTTCCACATTCTCTCCAGCATCGGTTGCTTCCTGACTTTTTAATGATTGCCACTCTAACAGGCATGAGATGGTATCTCATTGTGGTTTTGATTTGCATTTCTCTAATGACCAATAATGATGAGCTTTATTTCATATGTTTGTTGGCTGCATAAATGTCTTATTTTGAGAAGTGTCTGTTCATATCCTTCGCCCACTTTTTGATGGGGTTGTTTGTTTTTTTCTTGTAAATTTGTTTAAGTTCTTTGTAGATTCTGGATATTAGCCCTTTGTCAGATGGATAGATTGCAAAAATTTTCTCCCACTCTGTAGGTTGCCTGCTCACTCTAATGATAGTTCCTTTTGCTGAGCAGATGGTCTTTAGTTTAATTAGGTCCCATTTGTCAATTTTGACTTTTGTTGCCATTGCTTTTGGGGTTTTAGTCATGAAGTCTTTGCCCATGCCTATGTCCTGAATGGTATTGCCTAGGTTTTCTTCTAGGGTTTTTATGGTTTTAGGTTTTACATTTAAGTATTTAATCCATCTTGAGTTAATTTTTGTATGAGATATAAGGAAGGGGTCCAGTTCCAGTTTTCCGCATATGGCTAGCCAGTTTTCCCAACACCATTTATTAAATAGGGAATCCTTTCCCTACTGCTTGTTTTTGTCAGGTTTGTCAAAGATCAGATGGTTGTAGATGTGTGGCATTATTTCTTAGGCCTCTGTTCTGTTCCATTGGTCTATATATCTGTTTTGGTACCAGTACCATGCTGTTTTGGCAAACCAGGAAGAAGCTGAATCCCTGAATATACCAATAAGAAGTTCTGAAATTGAGGCAGTAATTAATAGCCTACCGAGCAAAAAAAAAAAAAAAAAAAAAAAAATCCAGGACCAGACGGATTCACAGCCGAATTCTACCAGAGGTACAAAGAGGAGCTGGTACCATTCCTTCTGAAACTATTCCAATCAATAGAAAAAGAGGGAATCCTCTCTAACTAATTTTATGAGTCCAGCATCATCCTGATACCAAAACCTGGCAGAGGCACAACCAAAAACAGAAAATTTCAGGCCAATATCCCTGATGAATATTGATGTGAAAATTCTCAATAAAATACTGGCAAACTGAATCCAACAGCACATCAAAAAGCTTACCCACCACGATCAAGTTGGCTTCATCCCTGGGATGCAAGGCTGGTTAAACATATGCAAATCAATAAATGTAATCCATCACATAAACAGAACCAGTGACAAAAACCACATGATTATCTCAATAGATGCAGAAAAGGCTTTCAATAAAATTTAACACCCCTTTATGCTAAAAACTCTCAATAAACTAGGTATTGATGGAACCCATCGAAAAAAAATGAGCTATTTATGACAAACCCACAGCCAATGTCACACTGAATGAGAAAAAGCTGGAAGTATTCCCTTTGAAAACTGGCACGAGACAAGGATGCCCTCTCTCACCACTCGTATTCAACCTACTATTGGAAGTTCTGGCCAGGGCAATCAGGCAAGAGAAAGAAATAAAGCGTATTCAAATAGGAAGAGAGAAAGTCAAATTGTCTCTGTTTGCAGATGACATGATTGTATATTTAGAAAACCCCATCATCTCAGCCCCAAATCTCCTTAAGCTGATAAGCAACTTCAGCAAAGTCCCAGGATACAAAATCAATGTGCAAAGATCACAAGATTCCTATATACCAATAACAGACAAACAGAGAGCCAAATCATGAGTGAACTCCCATTCACAATTGCTACAAAGAGAATAAAATACCTAGGAATCCAACTTACAAGGGATATGAAGGACCTCTTCAAGGAGAACTACAAACCACTGCTCAAGGGAATAAAAGAGGACACAAATAAATGGAAAAACATTCCATGCTCATGATAGGAAGAATCAATATTGTGAAAATGGCTGTACTGCCCAAGGTAATTTATAGATTCAATGCTATCCCCATCAAGCTACCATTGACTTTCTTCACAGAATTAGAAAAAACTACTTTAAATTTCATATGGAACCAAAAAAGAGCCCATATAGCCAAGGCAATCCTAAGCAAAAAGAACAAAGCTGGCGGCATCACACTACCTGACTCTAAAGTTCTATAAATGAACTCACGAGGCCAAAGAATGAAGAAGACACCAACACAAAGGGGAAAAAATCAAAACAATATGGTCATTGCAATGGTAGAGATATGCACAGTATATTATGGAAACCCAGAGAAGACAAACGTAACACAGCTTTGGGAAGATATGGAATTTTTCTCCCAGGAGGAGAGGATGATCAAGCTGAGAGATGTGTGAACTGAGTGGAAAGGAGGGGAGTAGTATTCCAAGAGAAGCAAACAGTATGAGCAATTCATGGAGGTAGGAAAGCTGTATACAGGGAACCATCAGCAGGTTGTTGAATAAAGGAAGCTGAATGAGGCTGGGCACAGTAGCTCACGCCTGCATTCCCAGCACTTTGAGAGGCCGAGGTGGAATCATCATTTGAGGCCAGCAGTTTGAGACCAGCCTGGGTAACATAGCCTGACCACATCTCTCCAAAAAATAAAAATAAATTAGCCTGCTGTAGTGGCAGTGCCTGTAGTCCTAGCTACTCTGAAAGGATCACTTGAGTCCAGGAGGCTGAGGTTGCAGTGAGCTATGATTACCCCATTGCACTCCAGCCTGGGCAACAGAGCAAGACCCTGACTCTGAAAAAAAAAAAAAACAAAAAACAAAAACAGGATCGTAAAAGACAATACTAACATACAACAAAGCATGCAGATTCCAGTAAAGCCTGTCATATTAGGCAGATTAGGCAGGTTTAAATATATTTTTATGTGATGATGAGCCCCTAAAGGCTTTTGAGCAGGAGGGACTATCTGAAAAAAGATATAGAATGGTTAAGACCCAAGACAGAGAGAAGGTACAAGGACTATTTGGTTGATAAAATCTGTAGGAATTGGAATGGGCTGAATGTGGGAGTGGGGGTGGGGTGAGAGATGGGGAGGACTGAAGACTGAATAGACCCAGATTTCTGGTTTGAGTCCGGGAGAGGTGGGGTGCTGAATTCGAAGGTCAGGACACCTATACCTCTGGGAATACAGCGATGGTTGCAAAAGGCATCTGGTATTGTCCTTCTGCCACTGTCTTAAAAGGGATTCTAAAGGGATTTTCTTGCCCTTGTTCCTCCAGCCCTACACTTGCATTACTGGCCTACGTGGATGCTCACCAGCTGGCTGTGTCCATCATTGCAGCCAAGTCTGAGAATTCCTGATTATACTTAGAGCCTGTGGAGCTGCTGACACAAACAGTCATTAGCAGACAACCCTTTTGCAACAAAGTATGCTTTAAAATGTAAACTGTGGAGCCATTTTCCTTGCGTTGTCCAGAAGGAACTTCGTCCTGCGTGAGCCTGGATTAATCATGAGAGAGCTCGTCAACATTCCACTGGTACATATTCTTACTCTGGTTGCCTTCAGCGGAACTGAGAAACTTCCAAAAGGTTGGTTTGAGCAATCGTGTCTTCTTGTTGTCTTGTCATGGTTGTAAAGTGTGTGTATATGAGATATGACCAAGACTGATTTATAGTATGGTGGGCTTGGGTTTTACTTGAAGAAGTAAGGGTGAAATGTATGATGAGGGAGGAAATTATATACATAAGCAATTGGTTGATGGTCTCTCTACCAATATTTTACTCCGAAGTTCTGCAATAAAAGGCTTAGCCACATAGTGCATGCAGAGCTCTGACTTCTAGGGCAAAACATAAGCATGTACACTGCAAGTTATCAAGGTCTATTTTGTTTATGCGAATGTCAAATTTCAGGGTGGTCTAAGTGGATGATGACAACCTTTTCGCATCAGGTTTGCCAGGAATAGAATCAACCCCATTCTCAGACATCCAGAGCATTTGCTTCTGAATAAAAATCACTTTTATTTTCAGTTTTAGCTTTGCCAAACTCTTAATAAATATTTTAGTTGCTAAAAATTGGAAATACAGAAAGACGTACACAATTTGCCTGTGTAACAAACCCGGAAGACAATGGATTTTAAATAACTTTGAGGCTGGAGTCATGATTTGGCTTGGCAAGAGACTGCAAAAGTTTTTTTCAGAGCCTTTGGAATGTACCGGAAATAACACCACCTCAGGGGAAAGGAAAGCAACTTAAGAAACTGACAAACACCTGTTGCAGTAGCAAGAATGTCCAGTGATATAGTTTCTGGCCAGTGTATTATGAAACTGGGACTAGCGTATTTGAAATCAGAAAGACTGGAAAGTCTGTGATTTGCAAAGTGACTAAGGGTATCACTGAAATCTTTTTTTAAAAAGACATGAGAAAGCAGATCGAGTGGTATCAATACAAGAGTTTTCAAATTTAATGTTATACCATAGAGTAAAAAGAGATTTTTGCTTCAGGACATGTTCAAATTAATCATTTTCCCTTTATATTAATCAAAGCACTGAAACAGTTTGTATTGTGTAGATAAATGAAGGTGGTATCTGTATATAGATGCAAAATGTATCTTTAGATTTTCTGGTTCACTAAAAATTCTGGAGCCATAAGGTCAAAGTTCACATGCAAATAAGATGCGGGTTTCTTCACAAACAATCTGATTTCACAGATTTTTTTGTTTCATTTTGTTGCTTCTCTTTTTCCATTTTACTTGAGTATAATGGTATCTTCAAATGTATTTAAACATTTAATTTCTAATGAATACTTTAAGGCATCTACAGATAAAAGAGACTCTAGATCTTTTCAAACAGCTAATAATAGTCAGAAAGACTTAACATTGGCTTCAGATTATTTTAATACTTCCTGATCAAACAACGGATGTCCGGTAAGGCCCCACCTGGATGTTTGAACGTATGGGTTGTCTTAAGTATTATTTGTATATTTCTAAACCACGCAGTTACATAAAAATGATAGGGTTAAATACTAAAATACAGTCTTATAAAGAGCAGGACAATTGATTTTGATGATTCAAATAAGGATTTGTTGTACACACACACAAAACCCCCAAAATCTCTCTATCTGAATAAGTCTTAATTTATATTCTAGAAAGAATTGATTTTCATTTCCAAACTTTACAAATAAAGCCCTTAATTCAAATGCACACTATCTCTATTTTGAAAATATTGAAATATAGTGGCATAGAGATAACAAAGCCAAACACCCTGACTTTTAAATAAACTAACCAGATCATTCACCCAATTTCATTTCTTATAATTTATTTACTACTAGAATTAGGTTTTAAAATCAAAAAATTTAAGCAATTTTTTCTCAGTCTATTGTACTGTAAAATCTAAATTAGTATGAGTTTAACATCACTCTTAGCCAAAATACCATGTCTAGGAGAACAAACATTTATTTACTACATACAGCAGTTCTGAGAATAACTAATATCATGAAAGCATAATCCTTAAAATTTTAAATGTTGAAGGGTGAGGAATACATTGGTAGAAAAGAACCACAATAAAATTTTATTATTTTCATTATTATTATTATTATTTGAGACAGAGTCTCGTTCTGTTGCCAGGCTGCAGTGCAGTGGTGTGATCTCAGCTCACTGCAACCTCCTCCTCCCAGGTTCAAGCTATACTCCTGCCTCAGACTCGCAAATACCTGGGACTACAGGTGCAAGCCACCACACTCGGCTAATTTTTATATTTTTAGTAGAGACAGGGTTTCACCATGTTGGCCAAGATGGTCTCCATCTCTTGACCTCGTGATCTGCCTGCCTCGGCCTCCCAAAGTGCTGGGATTACAGGCATGAGCCACTGCGCCAGCCATTATACTACTGAAACTAATAAAAATGGCCCACCCAAACTATTTCTACTATTTCTAGAAAACTACTGTTTTCCCTATTCTTGGCAGACGGTAATAACAAAAAGAGTTTTTTAGATAATATACTTCTTCCTAAGTCCTTTATCATGAATGCATAAAGGAAATTGTACAATATGTATTAGCTAATAAATTGACATATTTAAAATAACACAAAAGTATTCAGTGGATTATTTTCTGACTTTCTGCACATCATTTTTTGATAAAAATTAATATCCAACTTTGTAGAATTAATTGTTCATAGTTTTCATTTTAGTTTAATTAAGGCTACTAATGCCCAATGATAAGGGGAAGAATCATTGTCTTTCTGAATCATTTCAACTAGTGATATTTTCAATGATGAATTCAGTGCCATAACCCAAGTAGTAGAATTTCACAAACTGTCATTTATGAAAGTAGCCAATGTTCCACTGGATAATTGGCTTAACTACATACATCAATAACATTTAATGCTTTATTAGGGAGTATTAAATGTATGGTGCAATGTTAGATTCTGCAGGAGCATAAGAGTTCATGTAAGCAGCTCTGGATTTGCTTAATATGCACAAAGAACTATCAAAAGTCTCACTTTCAAAACACCCGACTTACTACAATACGTTGAAGTGTTTGAGCGTACGTGATTTTATCTTTAGATAGATTTGAATAACCTCCTCTTTTAAATTGTATGTATATAAGGATAGGATTCACAGATTTGACATATGACTAAGTCATGACTGACACAGCTGTCATTGAAATCCAGGACACACAGTCCTGGATGAATATTTTATATTGACATGCATTGAAAGAGTTACTCATTGCATGTTTGAGTAAACAGAGTTGCTTCAAATATTATTGACCTTAAAGAAAAGAAGGAAGGAGCAGAAATTTCAAGATCTCTTTAAACTCTACCTTATTTCCAAAGGTAAATGAAGTAGGCAGCTTCTCAGTGAAATAAAACCTGATGTCGTTGAAGGAGAGTAACAAGTGAGGGGTGGAAAGAGGGCCTGAAAGGAGTGGCTCTATTCAGGAAGATGAGAGGATCACATGGGCCATGCTGAAGACCCAGCTGGGGCTAGGAACTGCAGCTTTCTTTATAGTGCCCCTGACCTGAACATTTACTGCACTATACCCAGCAGTGCTATGTGAACATAGGGTAGGGAGGACAGATGGCTGGATTAATTCAGGATTGGCACTTTCCAGGGTCAGTACAGCTAAAGAACTAGAGAGTAAAGGAGTTGGAGTTATATGGCAGCGTACCATGAGATACAGATTGGATCAGGAAGAAAGTAAAACAAGGATATTTAATGCTTGGAAGAGAAGGTTAAAAAGTTTAAACCAACCCCAAAGTGTTTTGTTGTACTAAAAAAAAAATACTGCATTCATAATGTTAGAGAAACATGAATATTTTCCAAGTCAGAGCCCTAATTTTACTAAAATAGAAAGGAGCAAATACACCTTGTTTCTTTATGTACCCAATCATTGGGTCATGTCAATCCAAAAATAATCAATCAAAAGTTGGTAAGTCAATAGTCATATGCGAGAGCCCATAAAATACAAAGGAAAGGTAATGTCATGTCCTTCTCATCAAGCAGTTGATATCCAAGTCAAGCTTTTCTTCGGGTCCAGAAAAGGATTGTGTTCATTTTCATGTATTTGTTATTCATGTAGTCCTTGGATTGAGAGAAGAAATAGTGCCCTAGTTTAAACGAGCTCTGGCTGAGATGAAAGCTGGATAGTAGAATGAAAGTAAACAAGAGACAGTGTGCTGAGTCAACAAATATCATTAAATACAACTGATCCATGTGATTGTGTCAGTGAAAACCGGAAAGCAGATTTGGATAACTGGAAATATGGACAATGTGGACTTGGCATTCTGTGTGTAGAAACTGATATTGATGTACATCTTCTCTTATCCATCTGTGCATAATCAGTATGATCTTGAAGATGCAGTATGTCTTAGAGAAAGGAAGTATAAACCAACTTTAACCCTGAAGTTCAGCTAGTTCAGCTCTATCACTTCCTATTTTTGTGATATGTAGACAAGTTGTGCAACCATTTTTAGTCCCCATTTCTGGTCTGCAAGTGGAAATATTAATAGTATCTACCTTTTTTGTGTTAAATAAAAAGATAATGAATAAAAAGTATAATGCATGGCACATACCAGATTCTTAATCACTTTTAGATGCTAATATTAGTAAAAACAGTCAAACTTCACACAAGACTGTTATGTCACTGAATCTTATGGGAAGGTGTTAACTTAATAAAGTTCTTAGTAACACCTTCCATATTTCTCCATGTCTATTTTCCAAGACATTCTAAGACTCACTTCTTTGATCTTAACTGATCTCAACAGTTCATGTGACATCTCCAGTGTGTCACCTCATTGGAAAGATAACATTAATAGTAAGTCTATTACCTCTGCCACTTCTGCATCTGTGTATTGAGTGAAAATAACACTAGTGCATAAAGTTTCTCTCTTATAAAAGTAGCACATGGTATTTAAGATTGATTTTGAAAATGCAAAATACATAAAGTTTAAGACAGAAGAAGTCATCCATACTTCCAGGACTATTAACACATTGGCATATTTTCTTCCATTTTTTTCTACATATTTTTAAAGTCCTTATTAACATTGTGCTGCCTGCTATTTTTACTTAGCACTAAAGCATGAGCATATTCTATATTATTAGTAATCTTCCAAACGTCATGTGTGGTGACTAAATAATATTCTGTTTAGATAACAGTGTGCTAGTATATGTTTAATATTCACCTCACTGAGAAAAAAAAAGACGTGGATTTGTTGCTCTTGTTTATTTCTGCAGTAAAATACTCTATAGTAAAAAACTCTATTGTGTCTGTGGCCAGTCTCAAGCTACTATCAAATAATGAGCACTGAGTTGGGAAATAGCATGTGTAGTAGCATCCTTCATATATTATTTCTACCACACAGACACATTACAGATAACCTCAAGAACTTATATAATAATAAAATGTAGTTAAATCATTGGGAATTTCAAGTATTAATACTTTGTTTTTAATATATTTGATTATAAATGTATACAACTTAGTTTTTAATAATGATTGTATATAACAATCACCTCTCAAAATTCCTAAAAAATTACCAAGTGGCTCTTGCAAACCTGCGGAAGACAAAACTTGTGTGCCTCAATCTTCTCCCACTTGACTACGATTAATAGAATTTAGTACAATTGATCTGTTTTCTGCAGTAAAAGTCACCTATATGCCTTTCTATATGTGAGATTATTTCCTTAGGATAGATTCCCAGAGATGATGATGATGATGATGATGATATTATTATTATTTTAGAGATAGAGTCTTGCTCTGTCACACAGGCTGGAGTACAGAGGTGCAATCACAGCTCACTGAAACTTTGAACTCCTAGGCTCAGTTGATCCTCCCACCTCAGCTTCTTCCCAAGTAGCTGGGATTACAAAGTGTGTGCCACCATGCCGGCTAATTTTTAAATTTTTTGTAGAGATGTGGTTTCTCTGTGCTGCCCAGCCTGGTCTCAAACTCCTAGGCTCAAGTGATCCTCCCACCTCGGCCTCAAAAGTGCTGGGATTACAGACATGAGCCACCAACCACACCCAGCCTGAGATAAAATATTAACGGTATAATACATTTGAATGTAATAAAGACAAGGAAAACAATCAAACAGCCTGGGTTTCTTTTTCTAAATTATAGAATCAAGTAACATTTGCACAGTGCTCCATGTGGACCAAGGACAATTTTAAATGGTTTCCATTTATTTATTCCTTGTGACAAGTTATGTGGAGGCTATACATTATCTCCGTCTATAGCTGAGACACTGAGGTTAAGTGTGGTTAAGTGACTTGCAGAGTCGGTAAGTGATGGAGCTGGGATGTGAATTCAAGTCCTGTGCCACATTGCCTCTTTTTTTTTTTTTTTTTTTTTTTTGAGACAGAGTCTTGCACTGTCGCCCAGGCTGGAGTGCAGTGTCGCGATCTCAGCTCATTACAAGCTCCGCCTCCCTGGTTCACGCCATTCTCCTGCCTCAGCCTCCCGAGTTGCTGGGACTACAGGCACCCGCCACCACGCCCGGCTAATTTTTTGTATTTTTAGTAGAGATGGGGTTTCACCCTGTTAGCCAGGATGGTCTCGATCT
The DNA here is from genome assembly GCF_000001405.40 of Homo sapiens. Classification (NCBI taxonomy): domain Eukaryota; kingdom Metazoa; phylum Chordata; class Mammalia; order Primates; family Hominidae; genus Homo; species Homo sapiens. Next base: position 110,675,448 of record NC_000009.12, read on the forward strand.
CCTGACCTCGTGATCCGCCCGCCTCGGCCTCTCAAAGTGCTAGGATTACAGGCGTGAGCCACCGTGCCTGGCCGCTACATTGCCTCTTAATGTGTAGTTGCTCAATAGTCTTCCCTTTTTTTTTTTTTTTTTTTTTTTTTGGGACTGAGTCTCACTCTGTTGCCCAGGCTGGAGTGCAGCGGTGCGGTCTCGGCTCACTGCAATCTCCACCTCCTGGGTTCAAGTGATTCTCCTGCCTCAGCCTCCCGAGTAGCTGGGATTACAGGCCTGCACCACCACACCCAGCTAATTTTTGTATTTTTAGTAGAGATGGGATTTCACCATGTTGGCCAGGAATCTCTTGAACTCGTGGTCCTCCCCGCCTCGGCCTCCCAAAGTGCTCGGATTACAGGCGTGAGCCACCGCACCTGGCCTAGTCTTTCTTTTTAAACAGTAAAAGCATTCAACATCATCAATTAACCTTTGGGCTCATTGTTAACCACACTCCACAAGCTTAATAAAATATTGTTTTTGTTCTTTATCTCTCAATATCTAGATGATTATACTATTAATTGCTTATTTCATTCATTCGTTGTTTAGAAAATAACTTTTTATTGAGATTGACTTTCTCAAACTTTATGAATTATAAGTTTGCCTCCATTGCATTTTGAAAATTAACACTTCTTTGGCATTCTATCTGCTACAATTTTTTTCTATTATGAAAGCAATATGTATTCATTTTTTTAAAAAATCCTGTAAGATACAGAAAAACAAAAATATAAAATTACACATAATGCTCATAGCAAGGGATAAGTGCTCTTAGCATTTTGCTATTCATTCTTTCAGTCTCTTTCTCTCATATATGTGTGTGTGTATATGTAAGTGTATATATGTTGTATATATACACATACACACACATATATTATATATTATATATTATATATGTGTGTGTATGTGTATGTAATTTTATTTTGTAAATTTTAAGTTCCGGGGTACAAGTGCAGGATGTGCAGTTTTGTTACATAGGTAAACGTGTGCCATGGTGGTTTGCTGCACCTGTCACCCATCACCTAAATAACTGGGCTCAGCATGTATTAGCTATTTTTCATAATGCTCTCCCTCCCCCAATCCCACCTGCTGACAGGCCCCAGTGTGTGTTGTTCCCTTCCCTGTGTCCATGTGTTCTCATTGTTCAGTTCCCACTTATAAGTGAAAACGTGGTGTTTGCTTTTCTGTTCCTGCATTAGTTTGCTGAAGAGAATGGCTTCCAGCTCTATCCATGTCCCTGCAAAGGACATAATCTCATTCCTTTTTATGGCTGCATAGTATTCCATGGTGTATATGTATCACATTTTCTTTATCCAGTCTATCATTGATGGTCACTTGGGTTGCTTCCATGTCTTTGCTATTGTGAATAGTGCTGCAGTGAACATAGGTGTGCATGTATCTTTACAAATTTCAGAGGCTGTTATTTCATTGAGGAAAGAGAAGCATTTAAATAAGAAGCTCTCTCTTCAGCTGCCTACCAGCAAAGGGGAAAAACCTACCTCTCTGCATCCATCTTGTCCTCCTTCTCCCTCACTGTGCTTTAAGAGGACTTTCTCTTCCTATCCGTGGTTAACCCGTCTTTCTTCCTCTGAGCCCCACATAAATCTGCTTTCTCAGGGACCTATTTCCCTCAATTATCTCCTGTCTTTCTCCAATGTCCTACATTTTTGCTTCTACTAGGTGCTTCCAGTCAGCATTTAAACCCACTCTTGTCACCATACTCACCTCCAGCACCATGCAGCCCCTTTCTTCCCTTTTATTGTTAAACTCTGCTGCAAAAAGATGTCTTCCCTCTCCTCTTAGTTTCCACTTCCTTATCACAACCTAACCCCCACCACTGCAATCTGGCTTCCGCCAAATCTGCAAGCACCAAAATCAACATGACCTCCTCATCAGGAAACTCAGTGGGCACTTTTAGGTCCTTATTTAACTTAACGTCTCGGCAGCATTTGATTCTCCCTCTTTTGTGAAACGTGTGCTACTCTTGGGCTCTGCCAATAGCCTCCACTGGCTTTGCTTACAACTCTGATTTCTTCCTCTCAGTCTCTTTTCTAAACTCTTCATTCTCCCACCCATCTTTTATAAATGTTTGTGTTTTCTTCTAATTGGCTTAGGGCACCAGCCTCCCTCCGTCTTCAGGCTTTCACGGGTACCGTTTCCTCTGCCTGGAACACTCTTCTCTCTCCACTGCACCAAGCCAAATTTGAATCATCCTGTGAATGTGTGTGAATGTATTGTGTAGTTTTTTTTTATTCCTAGTTTTATCAAGTTCAGTGGTTGAGAAACATTATTTATCATGTTAAAGAAATACTATTATATTCCGACTCTACTAATGGTTTTCAAGTAGGGAATGGATAGTTAACTCTGTTACTGCCTTTTTGACTGTGATAGGTATCTTTTAAACTATGACTATAGTAAATCCTGTTTAAAGGACTTTTCTATTAAATTATCCTTATATTTTTGCAAGGATTTTTTTTCTGCCTAAATGCATAGTAATAATTTTGAAATTTATGATTTAATTTAATTTGCTTTTTAAAATTTTACTTTAGGGCTTTACATCCTGCTTGACTTACATTAGCATTGTTTTATTCCAAAGATTGATTTGAGAAGCTTTCTATACTTTATATTCCCTATAGCTTTTGTTTGTTTGTTTTTGAGACAAGGTCTTTCTCTGTCACCCAGGCTGGAGTGCAGTGGTGCAATCACAGCTCACTGCAGCCTTGACCTCCTGGGCTCAAGTGATCCTCCTGCCTCAGGCTCCCAAGTAGCTGGGACTACAGATGTGTGCCACCTGTACCCGGCTAATTTTTTTATTTTTGTATTTTTTGTAGAGATGCAGTCTTGCCATGTTGCCCAGGCTGGTCTCAAAACACCTGGATCCTTCAGTGGATCCTTCTGGGCTCAATGGATCATCCTGCCTCAGCCTCCCAAAGTGTTGAGATTACAGGTATGAGCCACTGCACCTGGCTCCTTGTAGCTTTTATGTAACTGGAGACTTAATTCTTTCTTAAGAGTTTTTTAAAACTTATCTGAAAAACTTTGGGGCATTATATTTTTTTCAGAAGTGTTCTTTGCTAATCTAATCTTTTTCTTCTGTGAGTATTGTTGATGATTTTACCCCACCCTTTACTACATGTGAACAATTTTGTTTTTAAAATTCTTAATTCTTTAGATTTTCATCTTTAAATATTCATTACTGTTTAGCTCTGTTGAATTGTGGTCCAAGAATGTGACATATAATCTGTTTTTAAAATTTATTTAAGCTTTAATTTTCATGGGCATTTGAAAATATGTGTCATCTATCAGGGCTTACAGTTGATGTGCATATCTGTTTAATTAATTTTACTAATTCTGCTATTCTGTTTTACTACATATATAATTATATTTTTGTCTTTTGATCTATAAACAGGATTGGGATTTTTTGTTTTTTTGCTATCTTTTTATTGTCTATTTCTTACAGATTTTATTATGGTTAGAAAATATAGACTATATAAAATCAATTCTTTGAGCTGGGTTAAAATCTCCTATGTAGCTTGGTATATTTTCTTTATGTTTGAATGTTTCATCTATGCATCATTTACAAAATGTATTCTGTAATTGTTTCATTGTTTTATAAATGTACATTATATCTAGTGTTAATTTTGATGTTTATATCTTCTATATCTTTACTGTAGTTCTGTTTGATATATTAGTGTCTGAAGGAGATCTCTTAAAGGGTTACACTATGTTAAAACATTTCTCCATGTACTCTTGTGATAATTTTACTTTTGGGTTTGAGTCCATATTTTTAAATAATTAAGTTTCATGATTGTCATATCTTTTTAGGGCTTGTTCCTTTTATCATTAAGCAATGTTTCTTTTTTTCTTATAAATGCATATGCCCCTATATTACATTTTTCTTATATTACTATTGCTATGTCACTTTCTTTGGGATATCGTTTGCTTTATACATATTTTCCCTCCCCTTTATTTTTAACATTTCTGTTTTATTTTATTTAAGTGTGTCTTTTGTGTTTGATAGCATCTGTCATTTCATAGGTCAGCTTATACCATTGGCACTTACTGTGATTTCTGGTATATTTGGACTTGTTTCTTCCATATTATTTTATGTCTTCTGTTAACCATGCTTTTTCTTGGCTTATTTATTCCTCCTCTTCTTCCTGTTTGTTTTTGCTTTTGTTTTTGATTGATAAAGCCTTTCTGGTACCTCTTTTTTTCTCTGTTGTTTTGGAATTTTTGAATTTTATTTATTTTTTAGTAGTAACCATTAATAAGGTTTTAACATAATCATTTAACCATAGATGCTTCTTTCTGTTTGAAGTTATTCAATATTTCTGTCCTCTTGTTTATGGCAAAGAGCTTAGCATTTTTTAATTACTTAGCATTTTAAACTTCTTTCCTGAACTTTGATCTTATAGTTGTTTGTCTAGAATTTAATTCCACTCTTTTTAAACACAAAAATTTGTGATTTTTTAATATTCCATAGTGTGTTAAAATTGCAATGGTATTTCACCACCATTTATGCTATTGTTTTTTATAACTCACCCCTTTCTTTCTGGTATAAATTATTCCTTAGTGAGTTTATTTACTCTAGTAACTATTTCAGAGAAAGTCTGTGAGTGGTAAACACTCTCAATATTTGTTTATAAGTGTTCTGAGTTTAAAATTATTACCTAAGCTAGCTGTGTAATTCTAAGCTAACAGTTATTTTTACGCAGTCATGTAAAGGTATTAGCCTATTGCCTTTTGGTATCAATTGTTGTTGCTGAATAATCTCAGGTTACCCAAAATTGGCATTCCTATTAAGGAATTAAACTTTTTCTTTCTGGTAGAGTTTAAGATTTTATTTATCTTTAATTTTTACAGTTTTAATTCAATGTGTCCAAGTATGAATTTCTTTCTTTTTTTCTTTTTTTTTTTTTCTTCTGAGACAGAGTCTCCCTCTATCACTCAGGCTGGAGTGCAGTGGTGCGATCTCAGCTCACTGCAGCCTCCACCTCCTGGGTTCAAGCGATTATAGTACTTCAGCCTCCCACATAGCTGGGACTACAGGTGTGCACCACCATGTCCAGCTAAATTTTTTGTATTTTTAGTAGAGACAGGGTTTCACCATGTTAGCCAGGCTGGTCTTGAACTCCTGAGCTCAAGTGATCTGCCCTCCTCGGCCTCCCAAAGTGCTGGGATGACAGGTGTGAGCCACCATGCCCAGCTGTATTTCTTTTTTAAATCTGTCTTGTCATTTGGTGGGTACTTTCGACCTTAATATTCCAGGGTTTGTTTTTCAGTTTTGAAAAATTATCAGCCATTTATCTCTTTATATATTGCTTCTAGGCTGCTCCCCTCTTTTATTTTTCTCAAACTCCTATCAGAGGTGTATTAGTGCCTGTCACTGTATACTTTATATCTCCTAACTATTCTTTAATAGTGTCCATGTCTGTATTTCTTTGTATTATGTTCTGTATATTATAATGATCCTTATGATATATATATCATATATATGATATATATAATGATCCTTATAATATATTATATTATATATAATATATATTATATATTATATATTATATAATATATATTATATATTATATATATAATATTATATATATTATATAATATATATTATATAATATATATTATATATAATATATATTATATATATTATAAGGATCGTTATAATATATATTATAAAAATTATTATAATATATATTATAACAATCCTTATAATATATATTATAATGATTATTCTGTTGAAAAGCTGGGAAGAAAGTGGCCCTGATGACTGTGTATAAGATGTCATTTTACATAAAAATTCTGCTTTCTTATTTCAACTACTATGTTTCAACTTTTTTATTTACTCCTTTTGTGAAGGCCTTATAAATACAGTTTTGTTCATTTAAACAGTACATCAGTCACTGTGCTCACCCTGGGAATTAAATGATGTCTAAAACATGATCCCTGACCTAAAGCTCAAGGTTTTAATAATTGAGTGTGGGTCAAAGACGTAAACAGATCATTTTAATAGTATCTGTGTGACAAGTGGCATTATAAGAATGACATTTCAGGATAACATAAGGTTAAGGAAAGAGGCATTTGGGTCTGCCTAGCATGTCAGGGGAAGTGGAAGGAGATGGATGCTTAAACTGAATCGTAAAAGACAAAATAACATTAGCAAGGGAGATATGGGGCAAGTAAAACGCTCCCACTCACCATTTTTTTTCACTCTCAGCAGATGAGCTTGCCTTTGACTTTACCAAAAAATAATAATAATAATAAGGTTTATTCAGAAAGTGGATGTATCTTTTATGGCCAAACAACGTGCCAGTCTGTTCTAGATGCTCTATAAGTCTGTCACTGACTATTTCACTTCTAAATGTCAATCATACTACTTATTTGGCTTTGATGTATACCTTGCCCTTTAACTGAAGGGACCATATAATTTACTGTATAAATGCAGGTAGCCCTCATTTCACAGAGGAGTGAGAAAAAAGAAAGGACGATGTCTATAGCCTTTCCTCCTGTTGTCTTAAAAAAAATAAAATAGAACAAAACAGCTTTGAGATCTAATTCACATACCGTGCGCTTTACCCATTAAAGTGTACAATTCACAAAGTGGTGTCTCTTCATTTTCTAGTTGTATGCCCAAGTGAATTCTCTATGAATCTGATGAAGCTTAAGCTTCAGATTCTCTCATTTGCAGGAGCCCTTTCTAAGACCCTCAGTGGGCTTTAGCAATGTGCTTTTATGAGTGTCTATTTTTATAAAATTAGGGGAAAATTGTTCTTAAAAAACAATTTTTTAAATTATTATCCTTTTCCACCCTGACTTCCCTTCAGACTCACTTCCCTTTATGCTGATGATATTGGGGTGGACACAGAAATTTTGTATTCATAATTTTATATTTTTTCTTTAAAAAGTACAAATTGCACAAACTTGGGCCCCATAAAACTTGGATCTGCCTCTCCTCGTATATCATAAACTCTAAGCCCTGCTCTCCTGAGAGACTTCTCTTTTGATTTTCAAATGCCTAGTTTGGAAGTAGAAACAACATTCTTTACATAAGCTCTTCCTTTCTTTTGGCAAATTTCTACTCTGGGGAAACAGAATTCTCATTCAGGTATGTAATGGCTTCTGACTGCTTAAGGAAGGGTTAGTAAACAAAATTCTAGAATGTTCTCTTTTGATTTCTCCTTTCCTTTCAGCTCCTGTCATCACCACTCCTCTTGAAACAGTGGATGCCTTAGTTGAAGAAGTGGCTACTTTCATGTGTGCAGTGGAATCCTACCCCCAGCCTGAGATTTCCTGGACTAGAAATAAAATTCTCATTAAGTAAGTATTCCACATTTTAATTTTTTTAAATTTTTGTGGGTATATAGTAGGTGTATATATATGTATATATTTATGAAGTAGATGAGATGTTTTGATACAGGCATGCAATGTAAAATAAGTACCTCATGGAGAATGGGGTATCCATCCCCTCAAGCATTAATCATTTGAATTACAAACAATCCAATTACACACTTTAAGTTATTTTAAAATGTACAACTAAGTTATTGTTGACTATAGTCACTCTGTTGTCTTATCAAATAGTAGGACTTTTTCATTCTTTCTATTTTTTTTGCACCCACTAAACATCCCCTACTCCCCCCGATCCCTGTACTACCCTTTCCAGCCTCTGGTAACCATCCTTTTACGCTCCATGTCCATGAGTTCAATTGTTTTGATGTTTAGATCCCACAAATAAGTGAGAACATGCAATGTTTGTCTTTCTGTGCCTGGCTAATTTCATTTAACATAATGATCTCCAGTTCCATCCATGTCTTTGCAAATGACTGGATCTCATTCTTTTTATGGCTGAATAGTACTCCATTGTGTATATGTACCACATTTTCTTTATCCATTCATCTGTTAATGAACACATAGGTTGCTTTCAAATCTTAGTTACTGAAAACAGTGCTGCAACAAACATAGGAGTATAGATATCTCTTTGATATACTGATTTCCTTTCATTTGCTTATATATGCAGCAGTGGGGTTGCTGGATCATATGGTAGCTCAATTTTTAGTTTTTTGAGGAAACTTCAAACTATTCTCCATAGTGGTTGTACCAATTTACATTCCCACATCAACAGTGTACAAGGATTCCCTTATCTACACATCCTTGCGAGCATTTGTTATTGCCTGTCTTTTGGCTCTAAGCCATTTTCACTGAGGTGAGATGATATCTTATTGTAGTTTTTATTTGCATTTCTCTGATGATCAGTGATGTTGAGCACTTTTTCATATGCCTGTTTGCCATCTGCATGTCTTCTTTCGAGAAATTGTTCAAACTTTTTTGCCTATTTTTGATTGGATTAATATATTTTTTACTATAGAGTTGTTTGAGCTCCATATATATTCTGGTTATTAATCCTTTGTCAGATGGGTAGTTTGCAAATATTTCCTCCCATTCTATTTGTTGTCTCTTCACTTTGTTTATTGTATCCTTTGCTGTGCAGAAGGCCTTTTAACTTGATGTGATCCCATTTGTCCATTTTTGTTTTGGTTGCCTATGCCTGTGGGTATCTCTCAAGAAATTTTTCCCCAGACCAATGTCCTGGAGAGTTTCCCCAATGTTTTCTTGGAGTAGTTTCATAGATTGAAGTCTTAGATTTAAATCTTTAATCCATTTTGATTTGATTTTTGTATATGGAGAGAGATAGGGGTCTAGTTTTATTCTTCTGTACATGGATATCCAGTTTTCCACACATCATTTACTGAAGAGACTGTCTTTTTCCCAGTGTATGTTCTTGGTACCTCTGTCAAAAATGAAATGAGTTCACTGCAGGTGCATGAATTTATTTCTGGGTTCTCTGTTTTTTCCCATTGGTCTATGTGTCTCTTTTGATGAAAGTACTGTGCTGTTTTGGTTACTCTAGCTCTGTAGTATGATTTGAAGTAAGGCAATGTGATTCCTCCAGTTTTTTTCTTTTTTCTTTTGGCTATTCTGGGCCTTTCGTGGTTTCACATAAATTTTAGGATTTTTTTTTTCTATTTCTGTGAAGAATGTCATCGGTATTTTGATAGGAATTGCATGGAATCTATAGACTGCTTTTGGTAGTATGAACATTTTAATAATATTGATTCTTCCAATCCATTAATATGGAATATTTTTCCATTTTTTTGGTGTCCTCATGAATTTCTTTCATTGATGTCTTACAGTTTTCATTATAGAGATCTTTCACTTCTTTGATTAATTCCTAGCTATTTAATTTTATGTGTGGCTATTGTAAATAGGATTATTTTTAAATTTATTTTTCATATTGTTCATTGTTGGTATATACAAATGTTACTGATTTTTGTACATTGATTTTGTATCCTGCAACTTCATTGAATTTATCAGTTCTAATAGTTTTCTGTGGAGTATTTAAGTTTTTCCAAATATAAGAGCATATCATTTGTAAACAAAGATAATTCTTCCCTTCCAATTTGGATGGCCCTTAATATCTTTCTCTTGTCTGATTGCTCTAGGTAGGACTTCCAGGACTGTGTTGAATTAACAGTGGTGACAGTGAGCATCCTTGTTGCATTCCAGACTAGAGGAAAGGCTTTCAGTTTTTCCCCATTCAGTATGATACTACTAGCTGTGGGTCTGTCATATATGGCTTTTATTATTTTGAGGCATTTTCCATCTATTTTTTGAGGGTTTTTATCACAAAGGGATGCTGAATTTTTATCAAATGCTTTTTCAGCATATATTGAAATAATCGTATGTTTCTTACCCTTCATCTGTTGATATGATGTATCACATTGATTGATTTGCATATGTTGAACTATCCTTGTATCCCAGGGATAAGTTTCACTTGGTGATGATATATGATCTTTCTAATGTATTGTTGAATTTGGTTTGCTAGTATTTTGTGCAGTCTGGATAGGCCAATAATCCCAAATCATCAAGTCCTGGTTCCTTTTTTGCTTAGCAGTTTTTCCCACTTATCTTTTCCTCTTGAATTTTACTATAACCAGAAAAAAGAAATGAGGCCGCAGCTTCGACACATTTCTTAGAAATTTCCTCAGCTAAATATCTGAGTTCATCATTCACAAGCTTTGTTTTCCACATAACTGCAGGACACCATTCAGCTAAGTTCTCTGTCCTGCATAACAAGGATCCCCCTTTCTTCTTTTCCCAGTAGCATGCTCCTCATTTCCACTCAAGTCCTCACCAGTAGTGCTTTGAACATACATATTTCTACGAATAGTCTGTTCATGATAATTTAGGTATTCTTTAAGATGATGTAGATTTTCTCTACCATGGAACTCTCTTCCTTCCAATTCCTCAGGAGCAGAATCATTAACACACGTATTTCTATTAACAGTCTCTTTGAGGAAATACAGGCTTTTTCTAGCATGCTTTTCAAATTTTTTTCGGTTCTAACTATTCATCAATTGCAAAGCCACATCCACATGTTTAGGTATTTGTTGCAGCAGCACCACACTTCCAGGTACCAAAACCTGTATTTATTTATTATCCTTGCTGTAACAAATTACCACAAACTTAGTGGCCTAAAACAACATAAACGTACTATGTTACAGTTCTGGAGTTCACACGTATGAAATAAATCTCTCTGGGCTAAAATCAAAGTGTTGGCAGGGCTGAGTTCCTTCTGGAGGCTCTAGGGAAGAATCTGATTTCTTGCCTTTCCTAGCTTCTAGAGGCCACCTGCGTTCCTTGGCCCCCTACTCCACTTATAAGTCTAGCAATGGCACTACTCTGACCTCTGCCTCCATTGTCATACCTCCCTTTATCAATCTGCCTCTCTCTTCCATCTTTTAAGGATACTTATTATCACACAGGGACCATTCGAATAGTCCAGAACACTCCATTTTAAGATTCTTAACATCTGCAAAATAAGGTAACATATTGACAGATTTTGGTGATTAAAACAAGAACCTCTGTGGGAGTGTTATTCTGCTTACCACACGCATTTGGCATAAAAAAACTCTTATTTGGTTAAAAGAAACTCTCTTTTATATTGCTGCTTCTCTTCCTATTTCTTTCTACTGCCCTAATTCCCTTCTCAACAAATGGTTTGCATATAATTAAATAGGTAATATATGTAAAGCATATATTTTTATAGTTGGAAATTGTTTTCCTCCCTTATGTATCCCAAGTAACTAGAAGTGTGCCTGGCACTTGTTAGCAATCAGTAAGTAATTGTTTAATGAAAGAATAAATATTCAACTAATCATTAGTTACTTCTATAAGTAATTAACCCTTTCTGTTCATCGTATTTATACATATGCATGTTCTTTATCTATTAATAGCTGCTACTTCCCAGAACTTATTGGGAGAAGACACCTATGTCTTGGTTTTATATGCTTTTCTGAATAAAGTAAACTTTACATTTTGTCTTATCAGTGGGCATCACCCTTTGAAAGCATTTTTGAAGGACTATGGTACTTTGACTATTGGAGCCTAAGAAAGATGAGAATATAATGTTAGCTTTATATTATCAAGTAAGGTTATTCTATTATTCAGAAGTCACTCAAGTTTCCTCTCACCTTTATTCTACTTCCTCATTAACAAGTCATCGGTTTGATACATTAATCATGGCAAAAAAATCACAGAGGAAGCACTAATCTGTCATTTTTTTCTGTGACCTGCAGACTCTTTGACACCCGGTACAGCATCCGGGAGAATGGGCAGCTCCTCACCATCCTGAGTGTGGAAGACAGTGATGATGGCATTTACTGCTGCACGGCCAACAATGGTGTGGGAGGAGCTGTGGAGAGTTGTGGAGCCCTGCAAGTGAAGATGAGTGAGTGGGAAACAGATTCGTCTATTGATTTGAAAGTTGACTTGGTACACTTAGTTTTGTATTTATTTTTTACATTTTTTTTTTGAGACAGAGTCTCACTCTGTTGCTCAGGCTGGAGTGCAGTGGCATGATCTCGGTTCACTGCAACCTCCACCTCCTGGGTTCAAGTGATTCTCCTGCCTCAGGCTCCTGAGTAGCTGGGACTACAGGTGCGTGCCACCAAGCTCAGCTAATTTTTCTATTTTCAGAATATACAGGGTTTCACTATGTTGGACAGGCTGGTCTCGAACTCCTGACCTCTGGTGATCCGCCCACCTTGGCATCCTGAAGTGCTGGAATTACAGGCGTGAGCCACTGTGCCCCCGCTGACTTGGTACACTTTAAAACAGTCAGTAAATAGAGATTTTCTCAGGCCTGGTGATTCAGCACTGAGACAAGTTCAAGTTCAAGCACAACCCTGAGGCCAATTAATCCCACACCTCTTATGCCTGCTATCAACCACTACCCTAAGGCAAGCCTCTCAATTCTCTATCCTCTCCCATTTTCTTACCTTCACTCATCTCCTGACTTCTTCCACCCTGAATTCTTTCACCAGGAAAACTTCCTCTGAAACATTTACCCTACACCTGTGAAACACAACCAAACACACTTTTTATTTCTAACCTCTTTGCAGACACTTTTGCCTTATTTCAAATTTGATATTCTTCTGAGTGATTTTCTGCTTCAGTGGAAGCTGTTCTATTTTCTCCACTTCATGTCTACAAGACTGCCAAACACTAGTAGGTAATCTCCCAGCCCTCAGTGTTGCTTTTAAACCATTCTATTTTGTATTCCTATACAAAATCTTTCCTCTGATGAGGGCTTATGCCATTCTGACCTATCTTTTCTCTAACTGTATTCATCATGTCATCTGCTCTTCTAGGCACTTCCCCATATTTATTAAAAACTTTGATTCCAGGCTTACTATCTTTCTATCCATCTCTACTCCTGCAATTACCCTAAGAAATTTTAACAGCCATGAAATAGAACCACTAGCCACTTAATTCTCATAATTCCTTGACCTGCAGAAATCCAGTGATGTTTGTCTTTTTTTTTCAATTTTAAGGCTCATACTTTTAATCTCTATGTACACACGTATGTAGTCGTTAAGGTAAGTCTGCCACTGTGAGGAAAGGTAGTTTCATTTTATTTTTTTAACTTTCATTTTGAGTTCAGGGGTACATCTGCAGAATGTGCAGTTGTTTTACATAGGTAAACATGTGCCATGGTGGTATACTGCACAGATCATCCCATCACCTAGGTATTAAGCCTAGCATCCATTCTATTCTTCTTGATGTTCTCCCTCCCCACACCAACACCCCCGACAGGCCCCGTGTGTGCTGTTTCCCCCCATGTGTTCATGTGTTCCCATCGTTAGCTCCCACTTCTAAGTGAGAACATGCAGTGTTTGGTTATCTGTTCCTGCATTAGTTTACTGAGGATAATGGCTTCCAACTCCATCCATGTCCCTGCAAAGGACATGATTTCATTCCATTTTATGGCTCTGTAGTATTCCATGGTGTTTAGGTACCACATTTTCTTTATCCAGTCCATCATTAATGGGCATTTAGGTTGTTTGTGTTAACTGTTTTATTGTTTTTTTGTTATATATATTTATATATAAATATATGTAAACATATATTTAAATATAAATACATACATATATTTAAATATATACAAATATATACTTAAATATATAAAAACATATTTAAATATAAATACGTATAACTATATATTTAAATATATAAATATATAGCTATAGTTATATATAGTTATATATTTACATTTAAATATATAGTTTTATAATTTATTTATATAAACTACATAAATAAACTATATATTTATATAAAATATAAATAAACTATATATTTATATAAATATATCATATATATATTCATATTTTATATAATATATAATATATAAATATATAAATATATAAACTATATATTTATATATTGTATAGTTATATTTATATATAAATATATAGCTATATATTTATATTTAAATATATATTAAATATATATTTAAATATAAATATATAAATATATATAAATACATATTTATATATATGTAAAAAATATAAAAATATGTGAAAAATACATATTTATATATAATATATGTAAAAAATATTAAAATATGTAAAAAATACATATTTATATATATGTAAAAAATATAAAAATATGTAAAAAATACATATTTATATATAAATATATACAACTATATATAAATATATAGTTATATATATTTATATATTATATATATTTATATATTTTTTACTACATAATATATAACATATTATATATTTTAGTATATATATTATATATTAGTATATATTAGTAATATACCATATAATATACATAGTATATTATATATAACTATATATAGTTATATATAAATATATAACTATATATGTTATATATAGTTTATATATAATATTATATATTATATATAAACTATATATATCACATATAGTTTATATATTTTTTAATATATAATATATAACTATATATTTAAATATATAAATATGTAACTATATATTTATATATAACTATATATTTAAATATAAATATATATTTAAATATAAATTATATAAATATACATAAAAATACATATTTAAATATAATATATAAATATATATTTAAATATAAATATATATTTATATATTATATTATAAATATTATAATTATATATTATATATTATAAATATATAATATATATTATATATTAATATAAGTATAAATATATAAATATATATTATGTAAGTATAAATATATAAATATATATTATATAAGTATAAATATAGAAATATATATTATATAAGTATAAATATAGAAATATATATTTAAGTATAAATATATAAATATATAAATATATATTTAAGTATATATAAATATATATAAATATATATTTAAGTATAAATATATATTTAAGTATATATAAATATATATAAATATATATTTAAGTACAAATATATAAATATATATAAATATATATTTAAGTATAAATATAGAAATATATATTTAAATATAAGTATATATATATTTAAATATAAGTATATACATAAATATATATATTTAAATATAAGTATATACATAAATATATATATTTAAATATAAATATATATTTCAATATAAGTATATATAAATATATATTTAAATATAAGTATATATATAAATATATATTTAAATATAAGTATATATATAAATATATATTTAAATATAAGTATATATATAAATATATATTTAAATATAAGTATATATATAAATATATATATTTAAATATAAGTATATATATAAATATATATATTTAAATATAAGTATATATATAAATATATATATTTAAATATAAGTATATATATAAATATATATATTTAAATATAAGTATATATATAAATATATATATTTAAATATAAGTATATATATAAATATATATATTTAAATATAAGTATATATATAAATATATATATTTAAATATAAGTATATATATAAATATATATATTTAAATATAAGTATATATATAAATATATATAAATATAAGTATATATATAAATATATATATTTAAATAAATATATATATATTTTTTGAGACGGAGTCTCGCTCAGGCTGGAGTGCAGTGGCATGATCATGGCTCACTGCAACCTCTGCCTCCTGAGTTCAAGCAATTCTCCTGCCTCAGCCTCCCAAGTAGCTGAGATTACAGGCATGTGCCACCGGACCCTGCTAATTTTTGTATTTTTGGTAGAGTCAGAGTTTCGCCAAGTTGGCCAGGCCAGTCTCAAACTCCTAACCTTGAGTAATCTGCCCACTTTGGCCTCCCAAAGTTCTGGGATTACAGGCATGAGCCTGTTTGTGTTAACTCTTTATCAGCGTAGCCAATCGATGACTCACTCTTGGCCTTGTCACCCACTGGAAGTAGTCTGCATTTAAAATCTTCAGCTTCAGTATGTCACTCTCATCATGGACATTTTTTGGTACAGCCTTGTCAGATGAGCAAAACAGTTTCCCATACTCATGATTTGCCTCCAAGTAGAGTTTGTGGGCACAAACTTCCATTGTCTCCTTCTCAGCTAACAACAGTGTCTCAGTCTCTCTCATTCTCCTACTCTTGCTATACAACCTCAACATCACCAGCATCATCATGTTCTCTTACCTTGATTCGTCTCTGTTCTCCTTTCCATTGATTCCCCAATGGGGCTTTTATTTCCTTCCATACTTAGTTCTTTCTTCTACCTGGTGATGTATCATCAAACACTGCCTTACCAGCATCTTTAAATCTCATGGCCTCCTGTCCTGTAAGCATCTGCTACTTGCAAACTGTCAATCTTACAATGATGTAACCTTCATCTTCTCTTCTCTGACATGCTTATAACCATACATACGGGCACCACACAAATTAGAG
Source organism: Homo sapiens (assembly GCF_000001405.40). Taxonomy (NCBI): domain Eukaryota; kingdom Metazoa; phylum Chordata; class Mammalia; order Primates; family Hominidae; genus Homo; species Homo sapiens. The sequence goes on from NC_000009.12 coordinate 110,691,707, forward strand.
GAATTTAGGTCTACTTGGGACATTTATTTTTAGTTTTTGTGTTGTTGTCTTTCCTCATTATTTCTTATCTTTTGTTATTTTGCTGGAGGAAATCATTAGGTACTTTTTTCAGAGTGTGAAGATGTAAAATATTTCCTGAATTTGTGCACGATTGGAAGTCTTCATTTTGCTCGCATTGTTGGATAATAATTTTGCTGCATGCAGAATGAGAGTTTTAAAATCCCTTTTCTTTAGTTTTAGTAGATATCCTCTGTTGCAGATGAGAAGTCTTTTTCTTATTTCTTTACAAGTAAATCTGATGTCTCTCTTAAAAAGTTTAGGATTTTTCTTTTTTTTCTAGAGTTCATAAATTTCACAAATTGACAAGAATATATTAGGTGTATTTTTAAGAATTATTGCTACTCAGTTTTAGGTGGGCCTTGTTTTTTTGTTTGTTTGGTTGGTTGGTTTTTGTTTTGTTTTGGTTTTTTTGAGACAAGATCTCACTCTGTAACTCAGGCTGTAGTGCAGTTGTGTGACCATGGCTCACTGCAGCCTTGACTGCTTGGGCTAAAGCAATCCTCCTGCTTCAGCCTCCCAAGTAGCTAGGACTACAGGCATGAGCCACCATACCAGGCTACTTTTATTTATTTATTTACTTTTTTTTGGTAGAGATAAGTTCTCAGTGTGTTGCACATACTGAGTCTTGAAGTCCTGTGCTCAAGTGATCCTCCCACCTTGGCCTTCCAAAGTATCGAGATTATAGGAGTGAGCCACTGCACCCAGCCTAGGTGGGCCTTTTTGATCTAAAGACCAAAGCTTTTTAGAAAGGTACATTTTCTCTATTTTTTTTCTTTTTTCTTTCTCTATGACTTCAAATTTTTCTTCTCATATTTTCTGCATGTCTTAATATTCTACTCTCTTGAAGATTCCTTTTACTTTTTCTTCATATTATGAATGTGGTCTCCAGTATGACTATTCTGTCATTCTGAGTGTTTTGGTCTTAAAAACTATATTTTTAATTTCTAAGAATTTCCTTGATGTCTCTGTTGTCATAACAAACTCACTTGTATGATACAATATTCACTTAAGCTTCTAAGGATATCACTAGTGCATCTTTTAAAAAGACATTTTCTTTTTTCCCCTGCATTACTTTTATTTCCTTCAGAAAAAAAAAAATTGATTTTGTTTGGGTTCCATCCTTTTATGTTTACAATTTTTCTCAAATTGATCTTTTATTTTTTGATCATAATAAATATACATGGAGTGTTCAGTTAATTAGGATAAAAAGCTGGTGGGAATAGCATGACTTTATGGAATACTGATTTGGTACTTACTGTGAGTAAGTAGGTGGGGATCTGCCTATATGCAGGCTTCCCTTCAGTATGCAGAGAAGTAAGAAATCAAATAAGGAAGTTGGAATGCTCTCATTTGCTAAATAATGAAGACTTCATTCTGAGGATGAAACACATTCAAGTATTTCCTTACTTTGTGACACTACCTTTCTTTTGAATATTTTTGCATATTCTCTCTGGCCCAATTGTTCTTGATTTGGGTTCTATACTAAATCCCCTTTTCTTTTCTTGCCTTCTTTTTTCCAACCTCTCCTTTGGAGATCTCATCCATTCATGTGGATATACACCGGTGTGGCCATTCCAATTGCTAAAATTTTGGAATGCTTCCATACTTCTTGGAAAGATCCGTTTTATAAGGCTCCCGAGATCCCCCAACCCCTATCACTACTCCAGCTCTCTTAAGCCCTCCCCCAAGAGCTCCCTCCCCTAAATTCCTAATGGTCCATCAGCTAAAGTCTCAATGCTGGCACAGCGGGATACTTCCAGCATCCTGCTTTAAGGTGACCAGTTCTGATTGGTCAGTACTTATGACTCCACCCTGAATCATGTTCCCTTACAGTGGGGATCCATGGCTATGCGTCAATACCCTAGTCATTCCTAGTTGACTTTACATTCAATTTCCCAAAAGGGAATTCCTCACCCCTCACCTAACAGATGACCAAGACATCAAGTCACTGAGAAGATAGGAGATTTTTGCTTTAAGCAAAGGTCTTTACCTAAGACATTATCTGTGCCTCAGCTTTACCATAGAGATCTTGTTCAGGGAACCTATGGAAGGCATAGATAACACTTTATTTGACTGTCATAGGAATATCAAGTGCTCAGCTAAGTTTTTCCCAGCAACTGTATGACAATACAACTCACAATTGAGGAACCTGGCCAGTACTGTATTTACATGTAGGTATTTACAGTTTATTAGAAGGAGAGTTGTATGCTATAGATAGCAGGCAAAGTAATAAAGTTGTTATTTTCCTATATTTTAAAGCCTTTCTTGTATTTTTGCTATAACACAGGGCCGCAGGAACTCTAAATGACAGTGAATGCTTAGATTAAAAACCAACAGGTCTCACGCCTGTAATCCCGGCACTTTGGGAGGCCGAGGCGGGCAGAACACGAGGTCAGGAGATCAAGATCATCCTGACAACAGGGTGAAACCCCGTCTCCACTAAAAATACAAAAAAAAAAAAAAAAAAAAATTAGCCGGGTGTGGTGGTGGGCGCCTGTAGTCCCAGCTACTCGGGAAGCTGAGGCAGGACAATGGCATGAACCCGGGAGGCGGAACTTGCAGTGGGCCGAGATCGCGCCACTGCACTCCAGCCTGGGCGACAGAGCGAGACTCCGTCTCAAAAAAAAAAAAAAAAAAAAACAAAAAAACAAAACCCAACAGGTCATGAAGGCTTTGCAAGTATCTCTTACCACCAACAACACCAAAGCCCCCATTCCTCTCCCTCACATTGAAGTAGAAGAAAACAAAGTCCATATTTCATGCGTTCCTTTGTCAAAATAACAAATTGGTTACGGCACATGTCCTGCAAGAAATAAAATGTGTCCATTGCTCAGTAGTCTCTCTTGCGAAGTCCCCCTCTGTATCTGTAACGTAAAATTCCTAAGGACATAAATGTAGTTTTAACTATTTTACGAATAGTACTAAAATAACTGGCATCCTGAACTTATCAATTCTTTTGTATATTAGATTTAATAACTTTCTTTGAAAGTTTCATATTTGAGAATAAAAATTAACTGGCATAAACTATTTCTTCTGAAAGATTAAAAGTGTTTGAACAGTAAATTACATGTTTGAGTCCCCCCAAATTGTATGACAGAATTTCTTCTGATTGTTAATATAATAATATCTGGTTTACTTTCTAGAGAATGAATGTATTTAATTAATAATCATAAAATTTAATAGTCAAATTAAGATGGAAGCTAAAGGGAAAATAGGTCATAATTTCTAACTAGGTAAGAATATAGTTATATCAAAATTTTCTTTTCAAATGTTTTATGTCTATCAGTATGAATTAAATAATGTTGAATTGCTATGGTGACAGTCTATGTTAATCAGCTTTTATTAACTATCTTTTAAAATGAAGAATGCTATGGTAACTTCACACTGTTAATATTTTTCATAAATTTGTGTTTTGCTAGTAAGATTCTAATAAAGCAGAGACAACCAAGTGTTTCTAAACTGATTTCTGTTTGAGATCTACTGAGGAAAACTGTCTTTGCATTTGGTGAATTTTGTAATGTAACATGCCTCAAATGATTCTCAAAACAGATGTTTAGAATTAAATTGAAAGTTAGAAACTCTAGGTTTAATAAAGCCATATTGCCTTATTTATTTTGAATTTTCATTTCTTTTTAGAACCTAAAATAACTCGTCCTCCCATAAATGTGAAAATAATAGAGGGATTAAAAGCAGTCCTACCATGTACTACAATGGGTAATCCCAAACCATCAGTGTCTTGGATAAAGGGAGACAGCCCTCTCAGGGTAAGTGGTTATGATGTTAAAACACATATATAAAATGTATTTTAAAATATAACATTTCTTTACACACTCAGTTACACACTTACAAACTTCTAGTATAAAGTAGTTTCCATGTACATTTTAACCAAATGTAAATATTTCTGTTTGCATATATGCAAACTGCATGGCATTTCATTTGGGTCTGGCTAGGGAAAAAAGAGATGGGAACCAATAATGTTAAAGATAGAAAAGGAGGCAATGAAAAAGCAAACCTGGAATCCTTTGTATTTGTTGGCTGGCTAAATCATTTATTTTTTTTTAATGTTGAATCTGAGACTTAGGGGATGAAAAAGAAAAACTAAAACCCAGGCTTTAGAACTGACAGTTTCTGGAAGGAGGGAGGGAGACAAGGTTCGGAAGAAAAGAAATGAGATCTCTGGAGAGAAGTTAGGCGAAAAGACTCAAGACTCATACACAAATACCTTGGCAAATCCCTCCTGAGTCATGAAGAGTAGTCACGCCTGTAATTCCAGCACTTCAGGATGCCAAGGCCTGAGGTCAGAAGTTCAAGACCAGCCTGGCCAACATGGCGAAATCCTGTCTCTACTAAAAATACAAAAATTAGCTGGGTGTGGTGGTGTGTGCCTATAATCCCAGCTACTCAGGAGGCTGAGGCAGGAGAATAACTTGAACCCGAGAGGCAGAGGTTGCAAGTGAGCCAAGATCTCACCACTGCACTCCAGCCTGGGCAACAGAATGAGACTCCATCTCAAAAAAAAAAAAAGTTATTATCCATATGCTTATTTTGTACTGCCTCTGTATCTTATCCCCACATTTATTGATAAATTATTATGAGGCATCATTATTGTCTTTCCATCTTTATATCACCTAAAAGATTACAGACTATGTTTTTCATTTAACAATGCATAGTATATTTTAAGAGGAATACAAAGGTGTCACTTTATGTCAATTAACTGAACTAAGGTATAAAATTGCTCAGCTTTGCTTTATTTAAAATAAAATAAATATTGCTAATTTTTAATGATTAATTATCTGGCTTTCCTCTTGTTATAAATCTTGGTGCATTTCCTACAATGACAAACAAGGGTGGTTGTACTTATGTTACTGAATTTAGGGTTCAAAACAGAAAAGACAGATGTAATATTTAAACTCCAAAGAGTAATTTTAATATTATGTGTGAAATTTTCTAGTATTTCAAAGGACATGTACTCTTCTAAAGATACCATCTAGGGTGCAAGGTAAACCTGATAGTTAAAAGCAATGTGTTTATTTATTCATATTTCAATAGCTTTTGGGGTACTAGTGGTTTTTGGTTGCAAGGATGAACTGTATAGTGGCCAAGTCTGAGATTTTAGCGTGCCTATTACCTGAGTGCTGTACATTATACCCAGTATATAGTTTTGTATGTCTCACCACCCCACTCTGCAACATTTCCCCCTTCTAAAAGCAATGCTTTTAATCAGATTTAGCTGTGACTTTGGGGAAGCAAAATAAGCCCATATACATATATATATTATACATATACATATTATATATATAATATATATATACACACACTCATGGGATGAAAGAAAATAAAAATAAACTATACCTCATAGGACCCTGGTGAAGATTAATTTAGGTACTCTTGCACTATTTCATTTAATATTGTATGTTTTACATAATAAGTGGCCAATAAAGGTCAAAGCGATATCTTTGATGATGATAATAGTGATGACAATAAGTTGATGATATTTGGCAAATGTATCCTTGATAGACCCATAAACATTTTTGAATTCACGTCCCTATCTCTGGCAGGAAAATTCCCGAATTGCAGTTCTTGAATCTGGGAGCTTGAGGATTCATAACGTACAAAAGGAAGATGCAGGACAGTATCGATGTGTGGCAAAAAACAGCCTCGGGACAGCATATTCCAAAGTGGTGAAGCTGGAAGTTGAGGGTAAGGAGCTGCATTTCTTCCCCTGACTGTGTGACCAGGGGCCTCACTGTCTACTGTGAAGGCTGCACCTGGGCTTGGGAGAGAAGAGATGTGGGCAGCCCACTTCCCTCAGTTGTTCCAGATATTAGGCCATAAGTTCAAGCGTATGATAACAGAAAAGGAAAACTGAAAAAAGAAAGAAATTTTCACTAGTATAAAAGGTCATATTCCATTGATTACTCACAATCACTGGTAATTTTTACCAAAACAGACTAAATTTACTGTAACAGTAAAATAATAGAAACCCATTTTAGAATGCCTTCCTGGTTTGGACAATTCTTCCCTCATTTAAAGACTTGGGCATAATAATTTTAATCTTTTTAATCATACAGAACAACTTTAAAAAGATGTGATAAGGAGGAAAAAGTAGCTATTTTCAGATAGTGTTCTATCACAAAGCTTGAAAAAAAAAACATTAACTCAAATCGTAAAGCCAAAAATAATCCCAGTTCTGTGAGTTATGTTATCAAAATCGTTTTTCTTTTCTTTCTGAAAATATTTTTTAATCAGCTAATTCAATAACTTGGTGTGAAAGGTCTTCACTGAGAAATCAGAATCCAAATAGGTCTAGGTGTTCTATTTGCTTGTTAGTCGGGTCCTTCTTGACCTAAAATTGCACCACATTTTGCTTAAAAAGAACTATCAGCACACCTCTATTAGGCGAATAAACTGAGTACAAACCCTTCCTAGCTCTTCCTGTTGTATGCCAGAGAATTAACATTTTTGGCTCCTAGCTTTCTCACCTGTTAAGTGGGGTTTGCTCTATTTAATGAAGTTAGGTGTTGATAGTGTTTAGCAGAGCATCTGGTCCTTTGTGCACCCTCAATAAATGTTGGCTATAAGAATTATCATCTATTTTTCTGCTTTTCTCTTATCTGATTGATAAGTGTTAGAGTATCACATACTGGCACAAATTACAGTTCAATCAGGAAAAGACTTGAAGAGTTCTCCATATTTTACTTTGATTCTGTCCTACTTTCCTTAGGCCAAAATCTATCTTTTTCTGCATATTTCCTTCTCATTCATATAGTTTTCTATTAACTCCTTTAAGATTATTTTTATTTCCTTGATGGACATTCCTGTCACAGCTTTAATGATCTCGTTTCCCACGTTTGCCTCCAATTGAGGTAACATCTTTATTATGTCATTGTACCAATTGCTCATAAAATTTTCATTAATTCCTCATGGAAAATAATGAGGTTGGTGGGAATAGTGGCTGTCAGAATATAAAAATACATTTTCATCAAGTTGCTGTAATTTAATATCTTCTAAATAATCAGTGCTATTTGAAGCTCCGTATTCAACAACCAGTTGATATGATTTATTCAGTAAAAACTAAATAAACCTACAAACCCACCCAGACACACATTCAGACTCACTGAATATCTGTCTGCCTAGATCCAGTGTTTTCTTGTTCTGTCTAAGGAATGATGCAGAATTAATGCTATCCATTTGTATAAAATATCACAAAGAGTTTTTCTCTTTAAGATATTAAAAATAAGCTTTCTGTATTATAATATTTAATACTGATCATTTAGGTCACTAGCTTCATAGATATTAAAACAACTTGCTTTACCTTTGACCTAGAGAAAATTATCACCGAACTCCATTAGTTGGAGTTATTATACAGTTTGGTTTTGTGTTACCATTTAATTTTGTATCATGCCTGTCAGTAACATTGAATACTGCCTCTTTTCTCGTAACCTTTAAATGGTCATGCTTAGTGCTTTAAAAGTTAATATATGCTAGAGATAGTATTAAATTTGCTAGAACTGAGAGCTCATAATATCATTTAAAGTTATTCTAACTGTAGGTAAGATGATTTTCGCACACATTTAGCACACATGCCTATTTCTACCCTCATCTTAGTCCCTATTAAAATAGCCAAAATATGTGACATGCTTAGCACAATTGCTGGTACATAATAAGCATTTAATAAATGGAATCTACTATACTTATTATGATTAAAACATAAAATTGTAACAAATTTGCTTTGGCTCTGGAAGCTCTGAAAGGTTGACTTCCACTTGAATAAATAGTTGAGGTATTTTCATAAGATATAATGTAGACGTGACCTATTTAGAGGTAAGGCTAACTCAACCTACAACTCAGAACAAGTTTTTTTTTAAAAAAAAGCAACTGAGAAATGACTGGAAAAACCTCAAAAGTACATGCAGATGCCTGCTAGTTTGGCAATGATGAGGACTGAAGATGATGAGGCAGGGCCATCGTCAGTTGGGGCAGACGAGCATATGTATGTATCAAGTCGTAACTCTGCAAATTAGTTATGCAGTGACTATATCGAATCAGAACTCTATGGTGCCATTTGATGCTGGGCTACATGTAACACAGATGGGCATACAGGAAAAGATAGAGTTTTGTCATTGATAGCCTCTAATAAAGATAAACATGCCAGGCCATGGATTGGGTACCATGTGTTAACTAAATCTTTGTTGTTACAACTGTGAAAGAAACACCCTACCACACAGAAGTAAAGCTCCCTTTCCAGATTGCCATTCTCAGACTGCTGGACCTCTGCAATGGAAATGTAAAGGTATCCTATACTTTGGTCTTGCCTTAAAATGTTCAAACGGTGACATACATAATTATTGATGGAACCATCTAACTCAAGCGTGGTGCAGCATGGATGTCTTTCTGAAAGGATGTCCAATGGGAAGGCTAACATTTTAAAAAGTTCCATTGAGGCTAAATGTTTTATGTGGATTATCTTGTTTAATTCTCACTAAAAGTCTGTAACAAGGGCCCTATATTCTGCCATTTTAGGAAACAGAGGAATAGAGAGGATAGCTAACTTACACAAGGCTGCACAGATAGCTGTGTCTAAGAATTTGAGTCAGGCTGAATACTGTCTGTTCTATTAAAGAATGAGATAGTCCTGTGTGACATTGTCAAGAGAAGTATCTAGATGAAAATGAGGGGAAAACCAGAATTCTGCAAATGAAGGAGAGGATGGGAGCTGAAAAAAAATAGACAGGAGGTATTGACAAATTTTTTGATAAATTTTTCAGAGAAAAGGGAGGAGTCAAAAAAGGAAGCAGTAGCTGGAGCTATGTTTGGTGTGTAGATCACGTTGCATTGCAAGATTTCTCTTCGAAAAATATTGAAATGTAAAAAAATTTAAATGTTAAAATATTAATGACACTGAGCTCAGAGAGAAGAAAAATTTGAACATACATAAGAGAACAAAATACTCAATGAAATGTGGTGCTGGATAATGCACAAGGGTTGTATTTGGGGGCCAAGTAGAATGATAAACTGTATACAGAGGGTGACCACATGTTCTGGTTTTCCCAGGACAGTTCTGGTTTACACCTGTTGTCCTGGAATCATTATTAATAGAGTCTCTCTTTTACTTTCAGAAGTATCCAAGCTTCCACGATAAATTATATGGTTACTCTCCTTAGACAGGAAGACAGAATGTCCTTGTAATAGGAAGAAAAGAGAAGAGGGAAGTTTTCAGTATAAATCAGTTCATAAGTATGATGGATGGAATTTGAGAAAATTCTGTTCTTATGGTCTCTATTTCCTCTAGGAAGGAGAAATTAGGGTTATCTTTTGAAAACACTTTTGTTAAAGGGTCAGGGAAGGGGGTGAGGATGAAGTGAGTTCTAAAATAGCTGTGGAATGGGAGAGATGACTCACAAAGTAAACCAGGATTGTAGGGCAGCATTAAAGTTTTAGTAGAGAGCAGGACCGTGAATATGGAGTAGCATCAATCCACATGGTTGCAGGGTTTTTCCCTCCAGTGTTGCTCTGCTGTACAGGTGTAAGTTCAGAAAATAGCAGAAAGCTAAATTCAAAGGCAAGACATAAATGTTGGAGTTTTGTCAGGAAGGAAAATAGGGCAAAGGATTTGAGACTATTGCAAAAGAGAGATTGAAGCATGAATCATGGAATCTTTAGGTACCAAATACACCTATAATTTCTCTTTCTTTTCTTTTCTTTCTTTCCGTCTTTCTTGTTTGTTTGTTTTGTTTTGTGACAAAGTCTCACTCTGTTGCTCAGGCTGGAGTGCAATGGCACAATCATAGCTTACTATAGCCTCAAACTCCTAGGCTTAAGTGATTCTCCCACCTCAGCTTCTTGATTAGCTGGGGCTACAGGTGTGCACTACTGTGCTCAGCTATTTATTTTATTTATTTTATTTTATTTTTTTTACTTTACTTTATTTTATTTTATTTTATTTTATTTTATTTTATTTTATTTTATTTTATTTTATTTTATTTTATTTTATTTTATTTTATTTTATTTTATTTTATTTTATTTTATTTTATTTTATTTTATTTTATTTTATTTTATTTTATTTTATTTTATTTTATTTTATTTTATTTTATTTTATTTTATTTTATTTTATTTTATTTTATTTTATTTTATTTTATTTTATTTTATTTTATTTTATTTCATAGAGACAGGGTCTTGCTATGTTGCCCAGGCTGGTCTCAAACTCCTCAAGCAATCCTCCAGCCTTGACCTCCCAAAATGTTGGGATTATAGGCATGAGCTACCATGCCCAGCCATACCTATGATTTAATATCCAAATATGAAATATCCTCGGATATGAGCCTAGGATTAAACACTATAGCTCCAGCAATATAACAGACAAGATAATATGAAAATCTTCCAACTAGCCCGGAAATGCTGGGCTAGTTGTATAACTGATAAGAATAAAATATAAATCTCTGGAAGCTCAAAATGGACAGGAACTGCAAAAACCATAAGCTCAATGAGCTGGTTTCTTATTGTTCTAAAGGTAATGGGACAGGTGCTCATCTCCATAACCTAGGAGATTGGTTTTAAGACCCTTAAAGGGGCAGGAGACAGGGTCTTGGCCCATGTGAAATGGAGGTTAGCATTCAAAACCTTGTATAAAGCTGAGAACCACAAAAGTAGAAAGATGGGCCAGAAATTCCATCTTCAGGCACAAAAACACAACACAATGGCTTGTCTGTCTTTAGTCGTGAGGGAGAAAAAACCAGGTCATCTTAGGAGTGAATATTCAACACTCAGGACTATAGCTTCCATAGGCTTGATATTGACTTAATACCATCAGCACAGTCTGGGAATTCTCAGCTGGAAAAATGAACATACAAACTGGTTTCAGGCTGGGCACAGTGGCTCACCCCTGTAATCCCAGCACATTGGGAGGCTGATGGCTTGAGCACTGGAGACCAACCTGGGCGACATGGCAAAACTCCATCTCTACAAAAAATATAAAAATTAGCCAGGTGTGGTGGTACATGCCTCTAGTCTCAACTATTTGGGAGCCTGAAGTGGGAGGATGGCTTGAACCTGGGAGGTGGAGGCTGCAGTAAGCCAAGATTGTGCCACTGCACTTCAGCCTGGGCAACAGAGTGAGACCCTGTCTCAAAATAAAAAAATAATAATAAAAAACCTACATACACATAAAACATTGGTTCCAGGCCAAAAAACCCACACACACACAAAACATTGGTTCCAGGCCAAAAATTTAACAAGAAAAAAAAGCTAAAAGAAGAAGCACTTTACCCAAGTTACATAGGCTTTTCATGGATATACCTACACTGAGGATGAGTTCACAATGCAAAATTGTCACACCTACAGAAAACAACCTACCTTGAGTGAGTGTTGTCCAACATAATATACAAAGAAAATTCAGTTAACCACATAACATCATAGAAATTATAAAATAAGTATGCTTAAAGTAATTAAAAATGCAAAAGGAGGAATAAGGAAAACAAAAATACATTAGGGCCAGGCACAGTGACTCACGCCTGTAATCCCAGAACTTTGGGAGGCCAAGGCAGGCAGATTACTTGAGGTCAGGAGTTCAAGACCAGCCTGGCCAACATTGTGAAACCCTGTCTCTATACAAAAATTAGCCGGGCGTGGTGGTGCACGCCTGTAGTTCCAGCTACTCAGAAGGCTGAGACAAAAGGATCTCTTAAACCCAGGAGGCAGAGGTTGCAGTGAGCCAAGATTGCACCACTACACTCCAGCCTGGGCAACAGAGTGAGACTTTGTCTAAAAAAAAAAATTAAATAAATAAATAAATTAGGAAGACAGGCGGTTTTGATAAATAATTAAACACAATTTTAACACATAAAAATATAATTAAAATTAAAATTCAATGGATGAGTAATAGTATATTAGAGATAAAGAGATAATTCAGCCATTAGAAATCAGCTCTTCAGAATTTAGAATTCAGTGCAGAAAGATTTTGAAAGCATAGAAAAGATGAAATTGAATTTAAGAAATGATAAAAGATACATTACAGAAAGAGAAAATACAGAAAATATGAGAGGCAATACTCAAAAACATGATGACTAAGAACTTTCCAGCATTGATGAAAGACTTAAATCTTCAAGTACGTGAAGCATACCAAGTCCCAATCGGTAAAAATGAAGAGCAGAGAAATAAGCATTTCACACCCAGTCAAATCATAAGGAAACATCAAAGACAAAGAGATTATCTTAAAATATTGAAGACAGATTATTTATAAGGGACAACAATTAGGATAACAATAGAGTGTGGGGAAACTATCACTTTCATCTATCCTTACAATTTGGTATAGCCGCATGAAGGTTTATGAAAAATAAAAATCAAACTTTAAAATGTATATAGATTTGTCTCAGCAATTTAACTTCTGACAATTTATCTAAAAGAATATTTGCACAAGTGTATGTTCAAGATTATTTGTTACAAAGTTACTTAGTAAAAAGTTGTAAAGAACTTAAATTTGCTTCAATAGGACACCATCTAAATATGTGATGTAATTCCATGCAGCCATTAAAAAGAATGAGATGGATTTATATACATTAACTTCTAAAATTATCTACCGTATATGTGACTTGGGTCTGCTTTCCATCTCTGAGCCTCAGCTTCCTCTTCTCTAAAATAGAGATAAAAGCAGAACCTACCTCTTAGGATGCTTGATTATTAGTTATTATAGACACATAGTGTGTACTATATAATTATTTGCTGTTTTATTATTTATTTCATGTATTTAATAAGTACTTGTATAGTGCTTACCATGTGCAAGGTACTGTTCTAAGTGCTTTAGAATATTAATTCATTATCAATATAATATGTTCATAAGTGAAAAAGTAAGTAAAGAACAGTATATCTTATTATTATATATTAGAGTACATGTATATCGAACTCTTAAGTCATCATCTCTGCATAGAGAATTATATGGGGGGTCCCGGCACGATGGCTCACGCCTATAATCCCAGCACTTTGGGAGGCCGAGGTGGGCGAATCACGAGGTTAGGAGTTTGAGACCAGCCTGGCCAACATGGTGAAACCCCATCTCTACTAAAAATACAAAAAATTATCTGGGCATGGTGGCAGGCACCTGAAATTCTAGCTACTCAGGAGGCTGAGGCAGGAAAATCACTTGAACCCAGGAGGCAGAGGTTGCAGTGAGCAGAGATTGTGCCACTGCACTCCAGCCCAGGCAACAGTGCAAGATTCCATCTCAAAAAAAAAAAAAAGAAAGAAAGAAAATTATATGGGGGGTAACTTCTATTTTATACTTTATGTAGGCCTATACTTTTTGCATCTTTATAAAGAGAACTTTATAATTAGGAAGAATTAATACATGTATTTATGCTTTGGAAAAAAAACACTTCTTCCAAATATTATACTATTTTTGATAAAGTAACATGAATCTTTCTGTTCATTAGTTTGATATTTTTGCAGTTCTGTTGCTCCATTGATCTCCAAGACAAACTCAGGGATGGGAAAAGTTTTGTCAAAGGTAATTGATTCCTATGTTGCTTAGGTTTTCACAACTCTTGGATATTGGCTGAAGAATTTTGAAGGTGGAGGTTCTGATGAACAGGACATAGAACATGCCATTTCTTTAGGGAAGGAATCAATCCATAAAGCTGCTAAGCTTGAGACCTACAAGAGGAAGCTGGCAGAGTCACCTAGATGGAGGAAGTGAAGGGGGTCAGAGAACAGCAGCTGCTGCTGAAGTCTCCACTCATCTGACTCTTCTTTTCTATGTATAGATGGAAATCTGAAATTTATGATTTTATAGTCTGGAATAGTTTGCAGGATCCAGCACAAAAGTTTTGTTAGGGTTCTGATTTCTCAGTGAACATTTTCCACACTTTGTTGGGTGTTACTGACTTACAGCATAAAGGGAAAAGTAAAACAAAGGGAAGTTCCTATAGGAAAGGGAAGCACCGCTAGGTAAGAACTATTTAGGTATACTGATTTGACATTGACAGGGAAGCCTCAGTCATCTGGGAGGCAGAAGAAAGTTTTCAGTCTCACAACTGTGGAGGCTCTTCTGGAAAGGTTAAGCCCTGTCTCAGGCCCCCATGTGCCAAAGGGCTCTAGGAGAGGATTCACGGCAGGATGTGACCAGGGAACATCTTATTGTCTGATGTCACCAGAGAAATCTACATATCATATTTCATACATTCTAAGATGCTCATTATTTCATATTTTGGCATATCTGGGTTACATCTCATCATTAATCCCTTACAATCACAATTGAATAAATTTTAGTTTCTTTGTTGCACATTTTAATATCTCTGAAATTGAGATTTTTCTTACAGGTGCTAAAGGCATTCACACCCAGTTTGTGGCTTCTGCCCTCCAGCTAAGATCGTTCCTTAGCTGTCCCCAAATATGAGAATGAATATACAATGATAAAACAAAAATAAATCAACCATATTGGCTCATAAAGCTTTCTTTATTTTTAACTAGAAATTTTCCTTCTGCTTGAGATCATTTCATTTGTTCCTCACAGAAATGAAAGCATTATTTTCAGTGAGATGATGCCACCTAGCCTTTTTCCCTCAAAACCTTTTATTTGCTGCCTATTCATTTTATTAGGTTGAAATAGAGACTAAGTGGCTTTTCAGGGCCATATAGAGGAAATTATCTTTTAAGAGACAATTTTGTCTGCTTCTCTAATCCACTTCACATTCTACTTTAGGTATGGTGTGTAGCCAAAGAGTGATCTATGTTGTTTTTCTTATATATCTGAAACCATTTTCTCCTGAGTACCTCTAAAGGACAGGAAGACAGATACTCAGGGGCAGAGGGATATGGCAGTGGAACATGCTGATTTGAATGGCAGGGCTGGAATTTTCAGTGAGGGTTTGCTATCATGATTGCTTGGGACAACTTTTGAAATTCTGATTTTATTTCCCTGTTTTGACCAGTGGCATATGCCCCCTTTAAAACGCTAGACCAGAGGGCCAACCATAGTGGCTCACACCTGTCATCTCGGCACTTTGGGAGGTCGAGGCAGGCGGATCACTTGAGGTCAGGAGTTAGAGACCAGCCTGGGCAACATGGTGAAGCCACGTCTCTACTAAAAATACAAAAATTAGCCGGGCATGGTGGTGCACACCTGTAATCCCAGCTACTCAGGAGGCTGAGGCAGGAGAACTGCTTGAGCCTGGGAGGTGGAGGTTGCAGTGAGCTGAGATGGAGCCACTGAACTCCAGCCTGGGCAACAGATTGAGACCCTGTCTCAAAAAAATAGAGAGAGAGAGAGAGAAACAAATAAAGAGAGAGAGAGAGAGAGAATTAACTCCTCTGACCAGTGCAGGGGCTCATGCCTGTAATCCCAATACATTGGAAGGCCAAGGTAGGTGAACCTCTTGAATCCAGGAGTTCGAGACAAGCCTGGGTGACATGGCAAAAACCTCATCTCTACACTGAAGTAAAATAAAGTAAAATAAAAATAAAATACCAGACCATACAAATCAAATCTTTTAAGGTGATAACATAATTACTGTTTTTTATAGCTGGGGGGTGTCTTTGTTATAAGATTTTTTAAACATTGCAAAAGACTCATTTAAAATTTATAAATATCTAATTTTCTTTTTTCCCCTCACATTCTCTGCCTTAACTAAGATTTTTTAAAATGCACTTATTTATTTGAGGCTGAATGTGGCTCTTACTACATTCTGTGAATATCACATTCAGATGAATACTGCTTTGTATATAGAAACTGGCTGAATGTAGTGTACTTGAGACCCAAATTAAAATAGATGGATGCTGGAGTGTATCAAGCTCTTGTTAATTGCATTTTCTATTATTATCTTGTTTACCCTTGAAGCTTTAAGCCATTAAGGAAAATATTGGGCAGAAGCTGGAATCAAGAGAGGGCTGTCAGTCAGCAATTGCTGGTGGGAAGAGGTGTCTTGGCACCAATACAAAACTGCAAATAAGAGCCAGGGAGGGTCTAGAAGCAGAACAAAAAGAAGAGAGTCCTTCTGGGTACAGGGTTATTGTAGGGCTCCTTCATGTTTAAACAACTCCTTATTTCCTCAGGGCTTTGAAAAGCAGCCTCTTGTCAAAACGTGGAGAGGCATTTTGGGGAGTAGCAAGGGAAGGCAAGTCATATGGAGAATTTAAGTGGCTTCAGTGCATGAGTCTCCATCACTTGTCAGGACACCTGCGTGCTGCCAGCCCAGTTTCTTTGCAATCTGAAAGGCTGCACTATCTACCCTTAAGGCCAACAAATCTATTCAGAAACTTTTTATCTGAAGATATTTTTGCAGACATATGAAATAGGTAAGACAAGTAGAATTCCAAAAGATGAAAATAAATAATTCCTATCTATCTATCTATCTATCTATCTATCTATCTATCTATCTATCTATCATGTCACAGAAGCAGATGTCAATAGACATAACTATAAAAGATCAGCATTGTCTTCAAAATTTTAGACTTCTGGCTGCCTTCTTTCCTAGAGATCAAATTTACTTGTTGCATCTACAAAAGTGGAAGCAATCATGTAATGTTTATACCACATTTGATTTGCTTTTTCCTTTGTTTATGCTGCAGCTCTTAATATCACAAATGCCACAGAGAGAGGTATTTAAAACCCCACCGTGTGCTGTGCTCTCAGTGATTGCAGTTTTAATAAAATTTGCAGTGGTCCTGTTCCCGGCATCAGTCCTAATTGTTTGATGCCACTAACAGGTTTGATTTGCTGTCATGAGTACATTGTGCATTTGAAAACCAAACAAAGAAAAAAATCACAAACCTCTGATATCCCTGGAGGCTATCATTGGGAAAATTAAATCTGCATGATTTAATAGGATGCATGTTCTAAAAGAGGAGCTTGACCCATTGATTTTGACTTTAGGGGATATTATGGTATATTATGGTATGGTTTCATCTAAAAAGTTCTATAAGGCTTTCAGAGAAGAATGGTAAAGTGGTCCTTTAGTTGAACAGTTGTCACTGCATTTCTCTAAGAAAAAGTCACTTGTATAATAATGATAGCACTGAATAGATAATACATAATGCTTCAAGTCAACACATAGTTAGGCCCTCTTAAAGTGCAGTGTTAAAGAAAATGTACTTTAAAGTAATTAAATTGTTTAGTATAATGTTGACATTATATTATTTGAAATGAAAAGTTATCGTGACCTGAAATACATATACTCTAATTGGAGTGAGTTTTTAATATCAGTTTTCAGATATTAAAATGAGATGCATAAGTTCAAGCATACATACACAGTAAAGGAAAATTGCTTTCTATTCAATGCATTAGTTCATCCAACAAAGACACACTGAGCAATGTTCCAGGTGCGACATGAGACAGAGAAGGCCATGCCTCCACTGGGCTTAATTTCAAAATGTGACTATTTTGATTCATGCAAAGATATCATGGAAAGCTATTAGAATTCTATGGCAAGAAGGAGTTCAAGTAATTTTATATTCAGTTATTTTCTTCAGATATCAAATACATGACTCTGAGACTGTAATTGTTATATTTATTTCCGTGAACAACAAACTATACAAGGCATTATTTTTGGAGAGGACTTAATATAGTGGTTAATAACATGGGTGGTAGGATCTCAAGAAAACTGCATGGGCTCTAGAGTCTCAGGTAAACTTCTTGAGTCCAAATCCTGGTTCTACCACCTATCACATGTGTAACTTCCAGTAGGTTACTTATCTCTTTGTGCTTCAGTTTCCCTACTTGTAAAATTAGGTTAATAATACTATCTACTTCATAAATTGAAGAATGTAGAAGTAGATGATATATTTATAGCTCTTACAAGAGTGACTGACACAGAGTAAACACTCAAATAGAAATTATCAATGTTAGTTCTAGGGCTAATATAACTTCTGTGCAACAGAAGCAGTGATTTACGCACTTGTGCAGACAATTATAGCTCCCTTTTCCATGTGTCATCTTTATCTCTGAGGTACAAGCAATAAAGTCCAATGGCAAAAACTAAATTTTTATTTTTAATAGTTTATTTGTATTAATTTTGGTTCTAGCAAAAGAATAATAACCAACTTTAAATCTGCAAGGAGACCCCAAAGTCATATAGTTCAATTCCTTAGTTTGTAGATAAAGAAATTTGAGACTAGGGGCAGTGGCTCACGCCTGTAATCCCAGCCCTTTGGGAGGCTGAGGCAGGAGGATTGCTTGAGGCCAGGAGTTCGAGGCCAGCCTGGGAAACATAGTGAGACCCCCCTCTCTAAAAAAAGTATTTATTTAAAAATATTTAAAAAAAATAAATTTGAGACCGGAAACATCTTTTATTTTATAGATAAAGACACTTGAGACCAAACAAATTGTGACTTTGCCCAGGTTGGCAAAGGAACTTGAGTGTCTTATTCCTAGTCTAGGACATGTTCCACTACCTATTCCGATTCTTTCCTCTTTTTAATATTTATGTTGTGTAGATAATACTCTGCAGAGTTCACATGCTTTAGTATCAGACAGACCTGGGTGTTAATCCTGACTGTGCTGCTTACCAGTTATGTGAGGTAGGATAATTTACTTGACCTCTGCAAGTCTATTTCCTCATTTGTGAAATGGGGGGTAATATTATCTAGAACACAGAGTTCTTAAAATGGACTCAGATAGCATATTCACAGTGTCTATGCAGTAGCTCTTTGATAAGTATTTGCTGTTGTTGGTATTGTTGTCTGTTGTTTACATTGTTATAAAGCTGGATGACATCTATCCAGAGAATACCACTAGTCAAGCTTCTTGAATTTCATAAATAGAATGTCAACATTAACAACTGCTCATCTGGTCTCCAAAGAACATAAATCTACTTTCAATCAGCAATGCTTTGTACCTGCATTCTTGTTACTTGTTAGAGATTATAACTTTGGTGTGGCTTCACCGTGACAAGTGATAAAGGGAAGCTTATCTAAGAAGCTGTGTAAAGAGGTGCCTTTAATGGCTAACAGGAGAGAGGCTATTTGGAGTCAACCTGTTAAAAAAAAAAATAGTACAACAACATAAAAGTGAAGGCGGCCTTCGTGTGTATCCTGAGCTTATATCATATTTTATTCACTATAGAAATAGATATTTGCCAAAAATCTTGTTGAAAATACTGATCCATTCTAGCACTCACTGCTCCCAAGTAAATCCCAAGTGAGAAATCACTTTAAAAATTTAGTGCCATAAAAAATGATGAGTTCATGTCCTTTGTAGGGACATAGATGAAGCTGGAAACCATCATTCTCAGCAAACTATTGCAAGGACAAAAAACCAAACACCGCATGTTCTCACTCATAGGTGGGAATTGAACAATGAGAACACTTGGACACAGGAAGGGGGACATCACACACCGGAGCCTGTTGTGGGGTCGGGGGAGAGGGGAGGGATAGATAGCATTAGGAGATATACCTAATGTAAATGATGAGTTAATGGGTGCAGCACACCAACATGGCACATGTATACATATGTAACAAACCTGCACGTTGTGCACAGGTACCCTAGAACTTAAAGTATAATAATAATAAAAAAAATTTAGTGCCTGGCTGAAGCTCTGTGAACAATGGCTGCAGAGGAGCTTCCTGCCAGCCTGGGGAAGCCATAGCCTGCACATGATCTGTCCCTTTTAGTGAACTAAGGTTGACTTGATGGAGCCAATGCTGGCAAAGGTCTCTGAGGAAAACTGACCTGGATTTATACAAGGTCCAGCCTTGCAGGTTGTAAGGGAGGTCACTTTCATGGCAGGCCAAGATCCTTGAGATGTTTTGAAAATTTGAAGGAGAAAGGAATTAGGCCAAAATGAATAGATACTGCAGACGAAATCTTATGGAGAAATTTCCTTGGACTTACATCCTTAGCCTCAGCACAGCAAATTAATAGAAGCTTGCAGAAGACCAAGCTGAGATTTCTTATAGAGACCTCCAGTGGAACAAACTTAAAGAAGGCCCATATGGTTAACGTTCTTGATGCCCATATGGTTAACATTGTTGATGCACCTGTGTAAAGAACCAGGCTAAATCTAATAAGGCCATACTCACTTTGTCGTCAAGAATCTTTGAGATTCTTTTTAATCAAAAGTGGGGAGACTATAAGGAACAATTTGTGCTTAAATGGAAAATTGTGTGTTGTCATTCTAGAGCACACCTGTGTTGTGTGATTCCAATTCTGTGGGAGCTGTTTTAAAGCTTTATAAATTGTAGATAACTGGCAGCAATGCTAAATCGTTCTCCTCCATAGACTTGCAAATGAATTCTGTCCAGTGGAAAAGCAACCAAAAAACCCAATCTGGCTCTGTTTGCACAGTCATTTTAATATTCCTGATCTATAAATGGGTCTGTCCTTGGGATTCTCTTTTCACCTGGTTGCAACACTTCACTGGTTTCCTTGTGAATGAGTTAAATAAAACCTTTAACTCATGTTTATTCTGAAAAAAAAAAAAAAAATCAGTGCCTGGGTTGGGGAGAAGGGTCTCTGCTGAGAAACTGACATTTTATCCATTCCTATAGTAAGTACTGTGTACTTTATTTTCTTTTACTTTATTTTTTGCTCGGCCTGGCATGTATCTTAGAATCCAATTTGAAGCTTAGTCATAGTATCTGTTACACCAAACCATCCAGAGGTTTTCTCCCTGATCCTAATATATTGTTATTCATTTAATTTATGGCCATATCAATATACCTTCCTTAAGATCTCTATGGAAAGAGAAAGAAATAACTAAGTTGACGGATTCATGGAACTTCTCCTCCAAGTGGTTCTCAAATGCCAGTGCACATCAGAAGCATCTGGAGATCTTACTAAATGACACAGCTTCAGGATGCATTCCCCAGTTATTCATATTTGATAGGTTTATGTTAGTGCTTTTTAACAACACCCCAAAGGATCCTTAATGCAGTGACCCATGAACCACACTTTGAAAAACACTGACTTCAGGTTTTCTACTTAGAGGGACTTTATTCCAGATGAATCTAAACAATTCAAGGAGAAAGCTTATCTGCAAATAGTAAGATATCAATGTTAGGATAGCTTCAAATTCATCCATTTGTGGAATGCCTACTATGTTCTATGCAATGAGGTAATTCTTAAGGATACAGACGAAAGAGAGATGTGGTTCATTTCTTGAAAAGTGTTCAAATTCAGTGAGGAAGATGGATATGCAAACAAGTAAAATGCAATATATTTACAATGATAGAAGTTTGTGTAGGGTTATATACACAGGACAGAGGAGATAGGGAAAGGTCAGGGAAATCTTCAGAGAGGTGAAGGCCAACAGGGCTTTGATTGATGAAGAGTGAGGAGCTCTTGGTGAGGATCATATCACATTGAGGGAGGAAAAAGAAAATAGAGGAAAAAATTCAGATTTACCATGCAAGCACAGCCTGACACTGACTCATAACCAGGGAGTAAAAGAAGGATTAGAGAGTTTGGGACAGTATCTATTAGTGGTGCTATAAAAACAGAATAAACCATGATTTGACTCACAGGCTAACATGGAGATCATCTTCTTGGTATCTTCTCTTGGACCTTTTTTTCTTTTTTTTTTTTTTTGAGACAGAGTCTCTCTCTGTCATTCAGGCTGAAGTGCAGTGGTGCAATCTCTGCTCACTGCAACCTCCGCCTCCCAGGTTCAAGCGATTCTTATGCTTCAGCCTCCTGAGTAGCTAGGATTACAGGCATGTGCCACCATGCCCAGCTAATTCTTGTATTTTTAGTGGAGATGGGGCTTCACCATGTTGGCCAGTCTGCTCTCAAGCTCCTGGCCTCAAGTGATCCACCTGCCTCAGTCTTCCAAAGTGCTAGGATTACAGGTGTGAGCCACCATGCCTAGCCCTCTCTTAGACATAATTTTAAACGGGTAGATACCTAACATCCTGACAATGTGGGAACCTATGGTTTGGAGGCATATGGCCTTATCTGGCATCCAGAATTCCATCTAAAAGGTTACAGAAATGTTCCCAACCCAAGCCACTTTAGGCAACTGGGATACTGTGGTATGATTTAAGATTAAGTTTATGGCTTCTATTTATTTTTCCAACTAAAATTTCCGGTTGGCTAAAACAAAAATCTTATTCTTAATAGACCTCAGCTCGTTTAACGCATGTCAGAGTGCAGGCATCTTCCAGAGCTTAGATCAAAAAAGTTATTTAAAAGTAAACTAAGATTTTGATAAACGTACCATGGTTATACAGGATGCTAACATTAGGGGAAGTTGGGTGAACAGTACATGGAAACCTTCTATACTATCTTTGCAACTCTTATGTAAATCTAAAATTATTTCAAAATAAAAATGTTTTAAAAAGGTAAACTAAGAAATACTTCTTTGTCCTGGTAATTAAGCAGTTTAGCATCTCCTCCCATCAAAAACAGAAAATGAACTTTCTTTAAGAAGAAAAAAGTGAATCAGGAATGAAGTCACATATTTTATTGGCTGATGATTAAACTTCTAATATATTTTCAGAACCAGTTTAACAAAAGTGCGGTTGCTTTATATACACCTAAGACTGAAACAAAAACAAGTAAACTTTGTGTAGCTCTTGTCTGATTTACATGGTAAACATTTCTTGCTCGTACCCACTATTCACCATCCATATTTACAAGTGAGAAAAACGTTACCATCTCAAAGGCCACAGAAATGTTCCCAACCCAAGCCATGGGAGGGAATCCCACATCATTGAGGCAGGCAGCCCTTATTTTGTCCTGGAGAAGAGAGTCACTGTATTTGAGGATGATGTGTATGTTTTCTAAAGGAGCTTGCCTTCTGACTCCTTCAGAGTTGGAGCCACAGTGGGTAAACCTCTTCAGGCATTGCCCTGCTTCAAAGCAGACAGAAACGTAAACAGTGGCAGTACACCAGGATCGGGTTTCTTTGCTTTAGCTACCAAGAGTCAGGAAAGAGAAACCAGGTATTTATTTAGGTTTGTCATTATTGCTAGGTTTTCTTTTAATGATAAGGGTTTGAGAAAAGAAGTATCTGTTCAGAAACAAAGTATCACAGAGCCTCAATAGGATTACTTTTTCAACCACCCAGGGCCACGTGTTTTTTAAGTCAAATATAAAAACAATTTAACCCATTTTGTTCTTTGTAGTCCTTGCCTTCTAACAGGCATCTCCAACTCAGTTATTCTTAAAATATGATGCTAGATGAGACAAATAGTCTATTTAAGAGCAGATTCAAATAATCTGTATAGATGAGCATCTATGTTTTAATAACAGGGTCGAAAGAATTTCTCTCTCTACAGAGTGATTTCTCTGTCTCAAATAATTCAGTTTATGAAAGGAGTTAAGGATATGCTTTTTAACACCGGAAAAGGGTACTTAACATGATCAATATCTAGGATACAGCCAGCTAAAGCAGATTGACGTTACAAAATAAAATAAAGCCTTCTCCCTTTGAAGTCCGCTAAAGGAACAGCTTTCATGACTCAGAAAGATATCCTAGAGATCAAAAAAGCTCTGGAGAAAGAAAAAGAACTAGAAGACCTGGCTTCAAAATTTACCTCTAGTACTTCCCAGTTATGAGTTAGCTGCTATATTAATTAATTGCTTTATATAAATCATGTCATTTAATCTTCTCCACAATTCTATGAGTTGAAAGTTAATAACTACGTTTTCTGGATAAAAAACCTGAAGTTCAGAGAAGTTGAACAGCAACTCAGAAAAAACAGCTAGTGAGAGTGAAGTGAGGATCCAATTCTACCACCTGGATTGCTGTTAGGGTATTGTACATGAGTGTAAGGAAAGTATCCTACTACTAAGATTTTGACTTCCCAACCTCTGAGTTTGTCCTTTGAAAAAGCCCTGCAATGGTGTTCTTATTTACCAAATGGTCAGAGATTTTCTCAAGATATTGACTATAAGGAAAATGATAAACAACTTAATGAAATGGCACTATGAAAATAAAATAATCTAGGAACAAATATTATTTTATTTTCATAGTGCCATTTCATTAAATTGCAGCACTATTCACAATAGCAAAGACTTGGAACCAACCTAAAAGCCCATCAATGATAGACTGGATAAAGAAAATGTGGTACATATATGCCATGGAATACTATGCAGCCATAAAAAGGAAAGAGATCATGCCCTTTGAAGGGACATAGATGGAGCTGGAAGCCATTATCCTCAGCAAACTAACACAGGAACACAAAACCAAACACCACATGTTGTCACTTATAAGTGGGAGCTGAACGATGAGAACACATGGACACATGGGGGGAACAATACACACTGGGGCCTGTTGGAGGCTGGGAGTGGGAGGAAGGAGAGCTTCAGGAAGAGTAGCTAACGGATGCTAGGCTTATTACCTAAGTGATGGGCTGATCTGTGCAGCAAACCACCGTGGCACACGTTTACCTATGTAACAAACCTGCACATCCTGCACTTGTACCCCTGAACTTAAAATAGAAGTTGGGGGAAAAAAAAGAAAAAAGAAAATATTAGCTTGGTGCAAAAGAAATAATGGCAAAAACTGCAATTACTTTTTTTGCACTAACCTAATAAAGTGATCTTCAGAAAACAGTCTACTTTTTTAAAAGGCAAAAAACAGAGTGGTTTATATAATTGGAATAATTTTTACATCTCTTTTTGATACACACTTCTTATTTTCTAAAATTTTCACAAATCATCTTAAACATTAATGCTGTCACCAAATAAATTCTCACAAAGTAATAGAAAGCTCAGGAAATTAATATTTGAGAAGTAAATTTAGAGGCAAGGATAACTTAAACTGAGAAGCATTTATAATTTTCCATTTTGAGAAATACTCTGTAGCATTTATAAACATTATATTTTAATTTTCTATTTCAATAAATTAATATTGTACCAGAATACCAAACTGCATTTGGAATCATAGGCAACTGTTATGTTTGTCCTTTCTTGATATTTGAAAAAAATGACCTTCCTTTTGAATGCTGCCCTCATAATTTAAAATTGGCCTTCTCCTTCACAGGGGACATTCACGATAAACTCTCAATAGGCTTTAATTTGGAGAATTTTAGTTTTGCCTTAGCAGCTTTTCTTATATCTTCTCTTAATTCTATAAGTTTAGGCTTTATATGTTTTGAAATTATATTGTTAAGTGCATACACATTAATTATTGTTGTAATTCCTCCTCTGCAGATTGCATTTTTAACCTTTGGATGATGTTCCTCTTCATCCCTTTTTTATAATACCTTTTAGCATAATTCTGTATTGTTTGATATTAATATCATTACCACATTTTTCCTTTGTTTTGTGTTTTCCTGTGCTCTTTGTTTGGTATTCTTCTATCCCTTTCTTCCAACCTCCCCACAATCTTGTAAGCAGAATATAGATAAATACTTTTGTAATTCAATCCAAAAGACTTTATTTTTAGTAGATAAGTGTAGGTCTTTGTATTTATTCTGAAAATTTATTTCTATTATTCTTTAGACGATTTCTATCATGTATTATGCTGTTTCTTTTCTCTGCTTCTTTTTTTAATTCCTTTTCTGTTTTCTGGTAGATCATTATATATTTTTTTAATTCTCCACTTTAACCCACACCACAACCACTTTGCTGATTTTGAAATTGTGGATCACAATGTTATATTTCAGTGATTACTTTTACATTTTAATATACATATATGATGCTATAATTCTAACAGTTTAAGATCATGTAGGATCTTCTCCAGTCTCTTTAACTAAAGCAAGCATCTTATCATTCTTTAAAATCTTATCTAACAGCACCTTCCCTCATCCTCTGTCACTTTCCTTGGCATTATCCAAAATTTTATTTATCTTAAAACACTGAATTATTTTATGGTCCATAAATAGTTCTATCAATATATGCCACCAATTGCTGTGTTCATCATTCAATTTTCATGTGCCTTTTTTCTTCTGTTTCCAATTTCTTATTTCTGAAACATATTATTCATTAGTTCATTCAATTAGATCTGTGAGCAGATATCTTTGTCTTTGTCTTTGTATGTTTGAAAATGCCACTATTTTACCCTGATCATTCAGGTGAACATTGAAATCTAAGTTGACAGATATTTTCCCTCAGTGTTGTCCTATGTCTTCTTACATCAATTGATGAGAAGTGTTCTGTCATTGTAACTATAATTCTTTGGTAGGTAACAGAGTTCTTCTATCTGGTCTTTTTACCTTTGATTACCAGTACTTTTACCATAATTTGTCATAGAATCTGTATTAGTTATCTGTTTCTCTGTAACGAATTACACAGAAACTCAATGTTTTAAAACAATAAACGATTATCACTTCATAGTTTCTATAACTCAGGAAGTACAGAGTGACTTTCCCAGGCCAATGTATGGATTATGTTTGCAGTAAAGATGTTGGCCACTTCTGCAGTCATCTGAAAGCTTGAATGGGCTGAAGGATCTAATTCAAATGTGGTTGACTCATAAGTTGGTATAAATTGATGCTGGCCAGTGCAGAGCCTCCCTTTGTCCCCATGTGGGTCTCTCCTCAGGCTGCTTGAGTGTCCCCACACTATGGTGCCTTCCTTCCCTAAGAGTAGATGATCTAATAGAGAACAAGGAGGAGTTAGTAATGTTTTTCATGGTCTAGCTTCAAAAGCCACACACAGTCACTTCTGCCACATCCTATTTGTTAGAAGTGAGTCTAAGTCCAGCCTACTTCCAAGGAGAGCAGAGGAACTATACTCTACTTTTCCAAGGGAGAATTTGTGGACAGGTTTTAAAACTACAATAGTGTCAATGCAAAATGCACCAGAAAGTCTCAGTAACAGAATCACACAAGCAGAAGAAAGAACTTCAGAGCTTGAAGACAAGGCTTGAACTAACCAAATCCATCAAAGACAAAGAAAAAATAATTTTTAAAAATGGACAAAGCCTCCAAGAAGTTTAGGACTATGTTAAAAGTCAAAACCTAAGAATAGTTGGAAGGAAGAAGAGAAAGAAGATAAATCTAAAAGTCTGGAAAACATATTTGAGGAAATAATCAAGGAAAACTTCCCTGGCCTCGCTAGAGATCTAGACATCCGAATACAAGAAGCTCAAAGAACACCTGGGAAATTCATTGCAAAAAAATCATTGCCTAGACACATAGTTATCAGGTTATCTAGAATCAAGACAAAGAAAAGAATCTTGAGAGCTGTGAGGCAAAAGCATCAGGCATCTTATAAAGGAAAATCTATCAGAGTAACAGCAGATTTCTCAGCAGAAACCCTACAAGCTAGAAGAAATTGGGGTCCTATTTTTAGCCTCCTAAAACAAAGCAATTATCAGCCAAGAATTTTGTATCCAGTAAAACTAAGCTTCATAAATGAAGGAAAGATACAGTCTTTCCAGACAAATGCTGAATTAGCCACCACAAAGCCAGCACTACAATCTCAAATGAACTCTAAATCTTGAAACAGATTCTGGAAATACACCAAAATAGAACCTCTTTAAAGTTTACATCTCACAGGACCTATATAACAGTAACACAATGAAAACAACAACAACAACAACAACAAGGTATTCAGGCAACAAATAGCACAATGAATAGAATAGTACCTCTCATCTCAATACTAACGTGGAATGTAAATGGCCTAAGTGCTCCACTTAAAAGATACAGAATAGCAGAATGGATAAGAATTTCACCAACCAAGTTTCTACTGTCTTCAAGAGACTCACCTAACACATAAGGACTAACATAAACTTAAGGTAAAGGGGTAGAAAAACATATTCCATACAAACAGACACCAAAAGCGAGCAGGAGTCGCTATTCTTATATCAGACAAAACAAACTATAGAGCAATAGCAGTTAAGAAAGACAAAGAGGGAGATTATATAATGATAAAAACACTAGTTCAACAGGAAAATATCACAATCCTAAATATATATACACCTTAACACTGGAGCTCCCAAATTTATAAAACAATTATTACTAGACCTTAAAAATAAGATAGATGGCAACACACTAACAGTGAGGGACTTTAATACTACACTGATAGCACTAGACAGATCATCAGGACAGAAAGTCAACAAATAAACAATGGAATTAAACTATACCCTACAACAAATGGACCTAACAGATATTTACAGAACATTCTACCCAACAAATGCAGAATATACATTGTAATCATCAGCACATGGAACATTCTCCAAGACAGACCATATGATAGGCCACAAAACAAGTCTCAGTGAATTTGAGAAAATAGAAATTATATCAAATATTCTCTCACACCACAGTGAAATAAAACTGGAAATCAACTCCAAAAGGAACCCTCAAAACCATGAAAATACATGGAAATTAAATGACCTGCTCCTGAATGATTGTTGGGTCAACAATGAAGTCAAGATGGAAATTTAAAAATTATTTGGACTGAACGATAATAGTAACAAATAGTGAGACAACCTATCAAAACCTCTGGGATACAGCAAAAACGGTACTAAGAGGAAAATTCATAGCATTATCTGAAAAAGCACATATAGACAATCCAAGGCCACACCTCCAATTCTCCATGCAATTGGTGAAACAAGAACAATCTAAACACAAATGCAGAAGAAGAAAAGAAATATAAAAGATGAGAGCAGAACTAAATGAAATTGAAATGGAAAAAAATACAAAAGATAAATGAAACAAAAAGCTGGTTCTTTGAAAAGATAAATAAAATCGATAGACCATTAGCTAGATTAACCAAGAAAAGAAGACAGAAAATTCAAATAAGCTTTATTAGAAATGAAATGGAAGGTATTACAACTGATATCACAGAAATATGAAACATTATTCAAGGCTAATATGAACACCTTTATGGACATAAACTAGAAAACCTAGAGGAGATGGATAAACTCCTGGAAGTATACAACCCTCCTAGATTAAACCAGGAAGATGTAGA